>NC_000019.10:27240874-27865874 GCF_000001405.40 Homo sapiens
GATCCTTTACACAGAACAGATTTGAAACACTCTTTTTGTGGAATTTCCAAGTGGAGATTTCAGCCGATTTGAAGTCAATCGTAGAAAAGGAGATATCTTCGTATAAAAACAAGACAGAATGATTTTCAGAAACTGCTTTGTGATGTGTGCGTTCAACTCACAGAGTTTCAACTTTCTTTTCATAGAGCAGTTAGGAAACACTCTGTTTGTAAAGTCTACAAGTGGATATTCAGACCTCTTTGAGGCCTTCGTTGGAAACGGGATTTCTTTATATTATGCTAGACAGAAGAATTCTCAGTAACTTCCTTGTGTTGTGTGTATTCAACTCACAGAGTTGAACGGTTCTTTACACAGAGCAGATTTGAGACACTCTTTTTGTGGAATTTGTAAGTGGAGATTTCAGCCGCTTTGAGGTCAGTGGTAGAAAAGGAAATATCTTCGTATAAAAACTAGACAGAATGATTCTCAGAAACTGCTTTGTGATGTGTGCGTTCAACTCACAGAGTTTAACCTTCCTTTTCATAGAGCAGTTAGGAAACACTCTGTTTGTAAAATCTGCAATTGGATATTCAGACCTCTTTGAGGCCTTCGTTGCAAACGGGATTTCTTTATGTTATGCTACACAGAAGAATTCTCAGTAACTTTCTTGTGTTGTGTGTATTCAACTCACAGAGTTGAACGATCCTTTAAACAGGGCAGATTTTAAACACACTTTTTGTGGAATTTGCAAGTGGAGATTACAGACGCTTTGTGGTCAATGGTAGAAAAGGAAATACCTTCGTATAAAAACAAGACAGAAACTCCTTTGTGATGTGTGCGTTCAATTCACAGAGTTTAACCTTTCTTTTCATAGAGCAGTTAGGAAACACTCTGTTTGTAATGTCTGCAAGTGGATATTCGGACCTCTTTGAGGCCTTCGTTGGAAACGGGATTTCTTCATATTATGCTAGAAAGAAGAATTCTCAGTAACTTCTTTGTGTTGTGTGTATGCAACTCACAGAGTTCAACCTTCCTTTAGACAGAGCACATCGGAAACACTCTTTCTGAGGGATTTGCAAGTGGAGATTTCAAGCGCTTTGATTCCAAAGGCACAAAAGGAAATATTTTCGCAAAAAACTAGACAGAATCATTCTCAGAACCGGTTCTGTGATGTGTGCGTTCAACTCACTGAGCTTAACTTGTCTTTTCATTCAGCAGTTTGGAAACACTCTGTTTGTCAAGTCTGCAAGTGGATATTCGGACCTCTTTGAGGCCTTCGTTGGAAACGGGATTTCTTCATATTACACTAGACAGAAGAATTCTCAGTAACTTCCTTTTGTTGTGTGTATTCAACTGACAGAGTTGAACCTTCCCTTAGACAGAGCAGATTTGAAACACTCTTTTTGTGGGGTTTGCAAGTGGAGATTTAAAGCGCTTTGAGGCCAAAGGCAGAAAAGGAAATATCTTCGTATAAAAACTAGACAGAATCATTCTCAGAAACTGCTGTGTGATGTGTGCTTTCAACTCAGAGAGTTTAACTTTTCTTTTCATTCAGCAGTTTGGAAACACTCTGTTTGTAAAGTCTGCAAGTGGATATATTGACCTCTTAGGGTCCTTCGTTGGAAACGGGTTTTTTTTCATGTAAGGCTAGACAGAAGAATTCCCAATAACTTCCTTGTGTTGTGTGCATTCAACTCACAGAGTTGAACGTTCTTTTAGACAGAGCAGATCGGAAACAATCTTTTTGTGCAATTTGCAGGTGGAGATTTCAAGCGCTTTAAGGTCAATGGCAGAAAAAGATATATATCTTCATTTCAAAACTAGACAGAATCATTCCAAAAAGTGCATTGTGATGTGTGCGTTCAACTCACAGAGTTTAACCTTTGTTTTCATATAACCGATTGTAAACGCTCTGATTGTCAAGTCTGCAAGTGGATATTCCGACCTTTTTGTGGCCTTAGTTGGAAACGGGATTTCTTCATAAAATACTACACAGAAGAATTATCAGTAACTTGCTTGTCTTGTGTGCATTCAACTCACAGATTTGAAAGATCCTTTACACAGAGCAGATTTGAAACACTCTTTTTGTGGAATTTGTAAGTGGAGATTTCAGCCGCTTTGAGGTCAATGGCAGAAAAGGAAATATCTTCGTATAAAAACTAGACAGAATGATTCTCAGAAACTGCGCTGTGATGTGTGCGTTCAACTCACAGAGTTTAACCTTTCTTTTCATAGAGCCGTTTGGAAACACTCTGTTTGTCAAGGCTGCAAGTGGATATTCTCACCTCTTTGTGGCCTTCGTTGAAACGGGATTTCTTCATATAATGCTAGACAGAAGAATTCTCAGTAACTTCCTTCTGTTGTGTGTATTCAACTCACAGATTTGAAAGATCCTTTACACAGAGCAGATTTGAAACACTCTTTTTGTGGAATTTGCAAGTGCAGATTTCAAGCGCTTGGAGGCCAATTGTAGAAAAGGAAATATCTTCGTATAAAAACAAGACAAAATCATTCCCAGAAACTGCGTAGTGAGGTGTGTGTTTAACTCACAGAGTTTAACCTTTCGTTTCATACAGCATTTTGGAAACACTCTGTTTGTAAAGTCTGCAAGTGGATATTTGGATCTCTTAGATGCCTTCGTTGGAAACGGGATTTCTTCATATAATGCTACAGGGAAGAATTCTTAGTAACTTCTTTGTGTTGTGTGTATTCAACTGTCAGATTTGAACCTTCATTTAGACAGAGCAGATTTGAAACACTCTTTTTGTGGAATTTGCAAATGCAGATTTCAAGCCCTTTGAGGCCAAACGCAGAAAAGCAAATATCTTCGTATAAAAACTAGACTGAATCATTCTCAGAAACTGCTCTGTGCTGTGTGCGTTCAACTCACAGAGTTTAAGTTTTCTTTTCATTCAGCAGTTTGGAAACGCTCTGTTTGTAACGTCTGCAAGTGGATATTTTGACCTCTTTGAGGCCTTCGTTGGAAACGGGATTTCTTCATATAATGCTAGAGGGAAGAATTCTTAGTAACTTCTTCGTGTTGTGTGTATTCAACTGTCAGAGTTGAACCATCATTTAGACAGAGCAGATTTCAAACACTCTTTTTGTGGAATTTGCAAATGCAGATTTCAAGTCCTTTGAGGCCAAACGCAGAAAAGGAAATATCTTCGTATAAAAACTAGGCAGAATCATTCTCAGAGACTGCTCTGTGCTGTGTGCGTTCAACTCACAGTGTTTAAGTTTTCTTTTCATTCAGCAGTTTGGAAATGCTCTGTTTGTAACGTCTGCAAGTGGATATTTTGACCTCTTTGAGGCCTTCATTGGAAACGGATTTTTTTCAGGTAAGGCTATACAGAAGAATTCTTATTAACTTCCTTGTGTTGTGTGTATTCAACTCTCAGAATTGAATTTTCTTCTAGACACAGCAGATTTAAAACACTCTTTTTGTGCAATTTGCAAGTGGAGATTTCAAGCGCTTTGATTCCAATAGTAGAAAAGGGAATATCTTCGCATAAAAACTAGACAAAATCATTCCCAGAAACTGCATAGTGATGTGTGTGTTTAACTCACAGAGTTTAACCTTTCTTTTCATACAGCATTTTGGAAACACTCTGTTTGTAAATTCTGCAAGTGGATATTTGGACCTCTTTGAGGCCTTCGTTCGAAACGGGATTTCTTCATATACTGCTAAACAAAACAATTCTAAGTCACTTCTTTGTGTTGTGTGTATTCAACTGACAGAGTTAAACCTTCCTTTAGACAGAGCAGATTTGAAACCCTCCTTCTGTGGAATTTGCAAGTGGCGATTTCAAGCGCTTTAAGGTCAATGGCAGAAAAGGAAACATCTTCGTTTAAAAACTAGACAAAATCATTCCCAGAAACTGCGTTGTGATGTGTGCGTTCAACTCAAAAAGTTTAACCTTTCTTTTCATAGAGCCGTTTGGAAACACTCTGTTTTTGAAGTCTGCATGTGGATATTCGGACCTCTTTGAGGCCTTCGTTAGAAACGGGATTTCTTTATATTATGCTAGACAAAAGAATTCTCACTAACTTCTTTGTGTTGTGTGTGTGCAACTCACAGAGTTCAACCTTCTTTTAGACAGAGCAGATTTGAAATACTCTTTTTTTGGAATTGGCAACTGGAAGTTTCAAGCGCTTAGAGGCCAATGGTAGAAAAGGAAATATCTTCGTATAAAAACAAGACAAAATCATTCTCAGAAACTCCGTAGTGATGTGGGTGTTTTACTCACAGAGTTTAACCTTTCTTTTCATACAGCTTTTTGGAAACACTCTGTTTGTAAAGTCTGGAAGTGGATATTTGGACCACTTGTATGCCTCCTTTGGAAACGGGATTTCTTCATATAATGCTGGAGAGAAGAATTCTTAGTAACTTCTTCGTGTTGTGTGTATTCAACTGACAGATTTGAACCTTCCTTTAGACAGAGGAGATTTAAAACACTCTTTTTGTGGAATTTGCAAGTAGAGATTTCAAGCGCTTTGAGGCCAATGGCAGAAAAGGAAATATCTTCGTATAAAAACTAGACAGAATCATTTTCAGAAACTGCTCTGTGATGTGTGTGTTCAACTCAGAGAGTTTAACTTTTCTTTTCATTCCGCAGTTTGGAAACACTCTGTTTGTAAAGTCTGCAAGTGGATATTTTGACCTCTTTGAGGCCTTCGTTGGAAACGGGTTTTTTTCTTGTAAGGCTAGACAGAAGAATTCTCAGTAACTTCCTTGTGTTGTGTGTATTCAACTCACGGAGTTGAACGTTCCTTTAGAGAGAGCAGACTTGAAACTCTCTTTTTGTGGAATTTGCAAGTGGAGATTTCAAGAGCTTTGTTGCCAATGGTAGAAAAGGAAATATCTTCGCATAAAAACTAGACAAAATCATTCCCAGAAACTGCGTAGTGATGTGTGTGTTTATCTCCCAGAGTTTAACCTTTCTTTTCATACCGCATTCTGGAAACACTCTGTTTGTAAAGTCTGCAAGTGGATATTTGGACCTCTTAGATGCCTTCGTTGGAAATGGGATTTCTTCATATAATGCTAGACAGAAGATTTCTCAGTAAGTTCTTCATGTTGTGTGTATTCAACTCTCAGATTTGAACGTTCCTTTAGACACAGCAGATTTGAAACACTCTATTTGTGGAATTTGCAAGTGGAGATTTCAAGCGCTTTGAGGCCAACGGTAAAAAAGGTAATAAATTCGTTTAAAAACTACACAGAATCATTCGCAGAAACTGCGTTGTGCTGTGTGCGTTCAATTCACAGAGTTTAACCTTTCTTTTCATTCAACAGTTTGGAAACACTCTGTTTGAAAAGTCTTCAAGTGGATATTTGGACCTCCTTGAGGCGTTCGTTGGAAACGGGATTTCTTCATATAGGGTTAGACAGAAGAATTCTCTGTAATTTCCTTTTGTTGTGTGTATTCAACTCACAGAGGTGAACGTTCCTTTAGACAGACAGATTTGAAACACTCTTTTTGTGGAATTTGCAAGTGGAGATTTCAGCCGCTGTGAGGTCAATGGTAGAAAACGAAATGTCTTCATATAAAAACTATACAGAATGATTCTCAGAAACTTCTTTGTCATGTGTGAGTTGAACTCACAGAGTTTAACCTTTCTTTTCATTCAGCAGTTTGGAAACACTCTGTTTATAAAGTCTGTAAGTGGATATTTTGACCTCTTTGAGGCCTTCGTTTTAAACGGGTTTTTTTCATGTAAGGCTAGACAGAAGAATTCTCAGTAACTTCCTTGTGTTGTGTGTATTCAACTCACAGATTTGAACGTTCCTTTAGACAGAGGAGATTTGAAACACTCTCATTGCGGAATTTGCAAGTGGGATTTCAAGCGCTTTGAGGCCAACGGTAGAAAAGGAAATATCTTCGTTTCAAAACTAGACAGAATCATTCCCACAAACTGCGTTGTGATGTGTGCGTTCACCTCACGGACCTTAACCTTTCTTTTCATAGAGCAGTTTGGAAACACTCTGTTTGTAAACTCTGCAAGTGGATATTTGGACCTATTAGACGCCTTCGTTGGTAACGTGATTTCTTCATATAATGCTAAACAGAAGAATTGTCAGTAACCTCCTTTTGTTTTGTGGATTCAACCCACAGAGATGAACATTCCTTTAGACAGAGCAGATTTCAAACACACTTTTTGTGGAATTTGCAAGTGGAGATTTCAAGCGCTTTGAGGCCAATTGTAGAAAAGGAAATATCTTCGTATAAAAGCTAGACAGAATGATTCCCAGAAACTGCGTTGTGATGTGTGCGTTCAAGTCACAGAGTTTAACTTTTCTTTTCATTGAGCAGTTTGGAAACACTCTGTTTGTAAAGTCTGCAAGTGGATATTTGGATCTAGTAGAGGCCTTCGTTGGAAACGTATTTTGTTCATGTAACGCTAGACAGAAGAATTCTCAGTAACTTCCTTGTGTTGTGTGTATTCAACTCGCAGAGTTGAACGGTCCTTTAGACAGAGCAGATTTCAGACACTCATTTTGTGGAATTTGCAAGTGGAGATTTCAAGCGCTTTAAGCTCAATGGCAGTAAAAGGAATATCTTCGTTGAAAAAATAGACAGAATCATTCCCACATAGTGCGTTGTTATGTGAGCGTTCAACTCACAGAGTTTAACTATTCTTTTCATAGAGCAGTTAGGAAACACTCTGTTTGTAAAGTCTGCAAGTGGATATTTTGACCTCTTTGAGGCCTTCGTTGGAAACGGGTTTTTTTCATGTAAGGCTAGACAGAAGAATTCTTAGTAACTTCCTTGTGTTGTGTGTGTTCAACTCACAGAGTTGAACGTTTCTTTAGACAGAGCAGATTTGAAACACTGTTTTTGTGGAATTTGCAAGTGGAGATTTCAAGCGATTTAAGGTCAATGGCAGAAAAGGAAATATCTTCGTTTCAAAACTAGACAGAATCATTCCCGGAAACTGCGTAGTGATGTGTGTGTTTAACTCACAGAGTTTAACCTTTCTTTTCATTCTGCAGTTTGGTAACACTCTGTTTGAAAAATCTGCAAGTGGATATTTTGACCTCCTTGAGGCGTTCGTTGGAAACGGGATTTCTTCATATAAGGCACGACAGAAGAATTCTCAGTAACTTCCTTGTGTTGTGTGTATTCAACTCACAGAGTTGAACGTTCCTTTAGACAGAGCAGATTTGAAACACGCTTTTTGTGGAATTTGCAAGTGGAGATTTCAAGCGATTTAAGGTCAATGGCAGAAAAGGGAATATCTTCGTTTAAAAACTAGACAGGATCATTCCCACAAACTGCGTTATGATGTGTGCGTTGAACTCACTTTGTTTAACCTTTCTTTTCATAGAGCCATTTGGAAACACTCTGTTTGTCAAGTCTGCATGTGGATATTCGGTCCTCTTTTTGGCCCTCGCTGGAAACGGGATTTCCTCATATAATGCTAGACAGAAGAATTCTCAATAACTTCCTTGTGTTGTGTGTATTCATATCACAGTTTTGAACGTTCCTTTAGACAGAGCAGATTTGAAACACTCTTTTTGTGGAATTTGCAAGTGGAGAATTCAGCCGCTTTGAAGACAATGTTAGAAAAGGAAATATCTTCGTAGAAAAACTAGACAGAATGATTATCAGAATCTGCTTGGTGATGTGTGCGTTCAACTCACAGACTTTAATCTTTCTTTTCATAGAGCAGTTAGGCAACACTCTGTTTGTAAAGTCTGCAAGTGGATATTCGGACCTCTTTGAGGCCTTCGTTGGAAACGGGATTTCTTCATATAGTGGTAGACGAAAGAATTCTTAGTACCTTCTTTGTGTTGTGTTTATGCAACTCACCGAGTTGAACCTTCCTTTATACAGAGCAGATTTGAAACACTCTTTTTGTGGAATTTGTAAGTGGAGATTTCAAGCGATTTGAGGCCAATGGTAGAAAAGGAAATATCTTCATATAAAACTAGAAAGAATCATTCCCCAAAACTGCATGGTGGTGTGTGCGTCAACTCACAGTTTTACGTTTGTTTTCATAGAGCAGTTGGGAAACACTCTGTTTGTAAAGTCTTCAAGTGGATATTTTTACCTCCTTGAGACCTTCGTTGGAAACGGGATTTCTTTATATAATGCTAGACAGAGGAATTCTCAGTGACTTCCTTTTGGTGTGTGCATTCAACTCACAGAGTTGAACCTTCCTTTAGACAGAGCAGATTTGAGACACTCTTTTTGTGGAATCTGCAAGTGGAAATTTCAAGAGCTTGGAGGCCAGTGTTAGAAAAGGAAATATCTTCGTATAAAAACTAGACAGAATCATTCCCAGAAACTGCGTTGTGATGTGTGCATTTAACTCACAGAGTTTAACCTTTCTTTTCATTCAGCAGTTTGGAAACACTCTGTTTGAAAATTCTGCAAGTGGATATTTGGACCTCCTTGAGGCGTTCGTTGGAAACGGGATTTCTTCATATAAGGCTAGACAGAAGAATTCTCAGTAACTTCCTTGTGTTGTGTGTATTCAACTCACAGAGTTGAACCCTCCTTTAGACAGAGCAGATTTGATACACTCTTTTTGTGGAATTTGGAAGTGGAGCTTTCAGCCGCTTTGAGGCCAACTGTAGAAAAGGAAATATGTTCGTATAAAAGCTAGACAGAATCACTCCCAGAAACTTCGTTGTGATGTGTGTGTTCACCTCACATAGTTTAACCTTTCTTTTCATTGAGCAGTTTGGAAACACTTTGTTTGTAAAGTCTGCAAGTGGATATTTGGACCTAGTAGAGCCCTTCTTTGGAAACAAGATTTCTTCATATAATGCTAGAGAGAAGAATTCTCAGTAACTTCATTTTGTTGTGTGTATTCAACTCACAGTGGTGAACTTTCCTTTAGACAGAGCAGAGTTGAATCTTCCTTTTGATAGAGCTGTTTTTACTCTTTTTATTGAATATGCAAGTGGATATTTGGAGTGCTTTGGAGCCTTCGTTTTAAAAGGTAATATATTCACATAAAAACTAGACAGAAGCATTCTCAGAAGCTTCTTTTTGATATGTGCACTCAACTCACAGAGTTGAACCTGCCTTTTGATAGAGCAGTTTTGAAACGCTCTTTTGTTGTATCTGGAAGTGGATATTTGGAGTGCTTTGAAGCCTTCATTGGAAACGGGAATATATTCTCATTAAAACTAGACAGAAGCATTCTCAGAAACTTCCTTGTGATGTGTGCGTTCAACTCACAGAGTTGAACCTTTGCTTTGGTGTAGAAGTTTTGAAACACTCTTTTTGTAGAATCTGCAGTTGGATATTTGTAGCTCTTTGAAGCCTATGGTAGAAAAGGAAATATCTACACATAAAAACTAGACAGAAGCATTCTCAGAAACTTCTTTGTGATGTGTGCTTACAAATCCCAGAATTTAAACTTTTTTTTTGACAGAGCAGTTTTGAAACACTCTTCTTGTAGTATTTGCAAGTGGATAATTGGATTACCTTGAAGCCTTGGTGGAAATGGAAATATTTTCCAATAAAATCTAGACAGAAGCATTGTCAAAAACTCCTTTGTGACGTGTACATTCAACTCACAGAATTTTACATATCTCTTAACAGAGCAGTTTTGAAACCCACTTTTTGTAGAATCTGCAAGTGGATATTTGGAGCAATTTGTGGGTATGGTGGAAAAGGAAATACCTTCACATAATAACTAGACAGAAGCTTTCAGAAACTTCTTTGTGATATGTGCATTCAATTCACAGAGTTGAACCTTTCCTTTGATAGAGCAGTTTTGAAACACTCTTTTTGATGAATCTGTAATTGGATATTTGGAGTGCATTGTGGCCTATGGTAGAAAAGGAAATATCTTCACATAAAAACTAGACAGAAAAATTCTCAAAAACCTCTTTCTGATGTTTGCATTCAACTCACAGAGTTAAAAATTTCTTTTGATAGAGCAGTTTTGAAACACTCTTTTTGCAGAATCTGCAAGTGGATATTTGGACAGCTTTGAGGCCTTTGTTTTATTTTTATTTTTATTTTTTTAAATGAAAAATATTTATTTATTATAAACCTATTTTGTTTGTTTGTTTTTTATTATACTTTAAGTTTTAGGGTACATGTGCACATTGTGCAGGTTAGTTACATATGTATACATGTGCCATGCTGGTGCACTGCACCCACTAACTAGTTATCTAGCATTAGGTATGTCTCCCAATGCTATCCCTCTCCCCTCCCCCAACCCCACCACAGTCCCCAGAGTGTGATATTCCCCTTCCTATGTCCATGTGATCTCATTGTTCAATTCCCACCTATGAGTGAGAATATGCAGTGTTTGATTTTTTTGTTCTTGCTATAGTTTACTGAGAATGATGATTTCCAATTTCATCCATGTCCCTACAAAGGACATGAACTCATCATTTTTTATGGCTGCATAGTATTCCATGGTGTATATGTGCCACATTTTCTTCATCCAGTCTATAATTGTTGGACATTTGGGTTGGTTCCAAGTCTTTGCTATTGTGAATAATGCCGCAATAAACATACGTGTGCATGTGTCTTTATAGCAGCATGATTTATAGTCATTTGGGTATATACCCAGTAATGGGATGGCTGGGTCAAATGGTATTTCTAGTTCTAGATCCCTGAGGAATCGCCACACTGACTTCCACAATGGTTGAACTAGTTTACAGTCCCACCAACAGTGTAAAAGTGTTCCTATTTCTCCACATCCTCTCCAGCACCTGTTGTTTCCTGACTTTTTAATGATTGCCATTCTAACTGGTGTGAGATGGTATCTTATTGTGGTTTTGATTTGCATTTCTCTGTTGGCCAGTGATGATGAGCATTTTTTCATGTGTTTTTTGGATGCATAAATGTCTTCTTTTGAGAAGTGTCTTTTCATGTCCTTCACCCACTTTTTGATGGGGTTGTTTGTTTTTTTCTTGTACATTTGTCTGAGTTCATTGTAGATTCTGTATATTAGCCCTTTGTCAGATGAGTAGGTTGCGAAAATTTTCTCCCATTTTGCAGTTTTGAAACAATCTTTTTGTACAATCTGAAAGTGGATAATTCGAGTACTTAGAAGCCTTCTTTGGAAACGGGAATATCTTCACATAAAAATTAGACAGATGCATTTTCAGAAACTACTTTGTGATGGTAGCATTCAACTCAGAGAGTTGAAACCTCCTTTTGATAGATCTGTTTTGAAAGGCTCTTTTTGTAGAATCTGCAAGTGGATATTTGGAGCGCTTTGAGGCCTGTGGTAGAAAAGGAAATATCTTCATAAAAAAAATAGACAGACGTATTCTCAGAAACTACTTCATGATGTGTGCATTCAACACAGAGACTTTAACCTTTCTTTTGATAGAGGAACTTTGAAACACTCTTTTTATAGAATCTGCAAAGGGACATTTGGAGCACTTTGACGGATACCGTGGAAAAGGAAATATCTTCACATAAAAACGAGTCAGAAGTGTTCTCAGAAACTTCTTTGTGTTGTTTGCATTCAACTCACAGAGTTGAAACTTTCTTTTCATTGAGCAGTTTTGAAACACTCTTTTTGTAGAATCCGCAAGTGGATATTTGGACTGCTTTGAGGCCTTCATTGTAAATGGGAATATCTTCACATAAAAACTAGACAGAAGCATTCTCAGAAACTTCTTTGTGATGTGGGCATTCACCTCAAAGTGTTGAACCTTCTTTTGATACAGCAGTTTTGAAAAACTCTTTTTGTGGTATCTGCAAGTGGATATTTGGAGCGTGTTGAGGCCTTCGTTTGAAACGAGAATATCTTCACATAAAAACCAGACAGAAGCATTATCAGAAACTTCTTTGTGATGTGTCCATTCAACTCTCAGAGTTGAACCTTCCTTTTGATAGAGCAGTTTTGAAATACTTTTTTTGAAGGACATGCAAGTGTATATTTGGAGTGTTTTGAAGCCTTCATTGGAAACAGGAATATCTTCACATAAAAACTAGATGGAAGCATTCTCCAAAACTTCTTTGTGATGTGTGCATTGGTAGAGCAGATTTGAAACACTCTTTTTGGAGAATCTGCAAGAGGATATTTGGAGCCCTTTAAAGCCTATGGTAGAAAAGGAAATTTCTTTATACAAAAACTGGAAAGAAGAATTCTCAGAAATTAGTTTTTGATGTGTACATTCAACTCACAAATTTTAAGCTTTCTTTTGATACAGCAGTTTTGAAACACTCTTTTTATAGAATCTGCAAGTGGATATTTGGACTACTTTGAGACCTTCGTCGGAAACGGGAATATCTTTACATAAAAACTAGACAGAGGCATTCTCAGAAAATACTTTGTGAAGTGTGTATTCAACTCACAGAGTTGAACTTTCCTTATGATAGTGCAGTTTTGAAACACACTTTTTGTAGAATCTGCAGTTGGATATTTGGACTGCTTTGAAGCCTTCTTTGGAAATGGGAATATCTTCACATAAAAACTAGGCAGAAGCATTCTCAGAAACTTCATTGAGATGTGTGCATTCAACTCACAGAGTTCAACCCCACTTTGGATAGAGCAGTTTTGAAACACTCTTTTTGTAGAATCTGCAAGTGGATATTTGGAATCTTCAGAAGCCTATGGTGGAAAAGGAAATGTCTTCATATAAAAACTAGAAAGAAACATTCTCAGAAACTACTTAGTGATGTGTGCTTACAACTCACAGAATTTAACCTTTCTTTTGAAAGAGCAGTTTTGAAACACTCTTCTTGCAGAATGTGCTAGTGGATAATTGGAGTGCTTTGAAGGCTTTGTTGGAAACGGGAATATCGTCACAAGAAAAATAGACAGAAGCATTCTCAAAAACTGCATTGTGATGTGGGCATTCATCTCACAGAGTTAAACTTATCTTTTTACAGAACAGTTTTGAAACACTCTTTTTGTAGTATCTGCCATTGGATATTTGGGACGCTTTGAAGCCTTTCTTGGAAACGGGAATATATTCACAAAAAACTAGACAGAAGCATTCTCAGAAACTTCCTTGTGATGTGTGTATTCAACTCACAGAGTTGAACGTTCTTTTTGAAAGATCAGTTTTGAAACACTCCTTTTGTAGTATCTGCAAGTGGATTATTGGAGTACTTTGAAGTCTTCATTGGAAACGGGTATATCTTCACATAAAAACTAGAAGATGCATTCTCACAAACTTCATTGTGATGTGTCCATTCAAGTCACAGAGCTGCACCTTCCTTTTCATAGAGCAGTTTTGAAAGAGTCTTTTTGTAGTATCTGCAAGTGGATACTTGTAGTGGTTTCAAGCCTTCAATGGAAACGGGAATATCTCCAAATAAAAAAAAGACAGAAGCATTCTCAGGAACTTCCTTGTGATGTGTGCATTCAACTCACAGAGTTGAACCTGCCTTTTATTAGAGCAGTTTTGAAACACTCTTTTTGTAGAATCTGCAAGTTGATCATTGGGGTACTTTGAAGTCTTCGTTGGACACGTGTATATCCTCACATGAAAACTAGACAGAAGTATTCTCAGAAACTTCTTTTAGATATGTGCATTTACCTCATAGAGTTGAACCTTCCTTTTGATAGAGCAGTTTTGAAACGCTCTTTTTGTAGTATCTGCAAGTGGATATTTGGAGTGCTTTAAGCCTTCATCGGAAACGGGAATATATTCACATAAAAACTAGAGAGAAGCATTCTCAAAAACTTCCTTGTGATGTGTGCATTCAACTCACAGAGTTGAATCTTCCTTTTGATAGAGCCGTTTTGAAACACTCTTTTTGTAAAATCTGCATGTGGATAATTGGAGTGCTTTGAAGTCTTCGATGAAAACGGGTATATCTTCACATAAAAACTAGAAAGATGCATTCTCAGAAACTTCTTTGTGATGTGTCCATTCAACTCACAGAGCTGAACCTTCCTTTAGATAGAGCAATTTTGAAAGAGTCTTTTTGTAGTATCTGCAAGTGGGTATTTTTAGTGGTTTGAAGCCTTTGTTGGAAAAGTGAATAGCTCAAAATAAAAACTAGACAGAAGCATTCTCAGTAACTTCCTTCTGATGTGTGCATTCAACTCACAGAGTTGAACCTTCCTTTTGATAGAGCAGTTCTGAAACACTCTTTTTGTAGCATCTGCACGTGGATAATTGGAGTAATTTGCAGTCTTCGTTGGAAACGGGAATATATTCACATAAAAACTAGACAGATGCCTTCTCAGAAACTTCTTTGTGATGTGTCCATTCAACTCACAGAGCTGAACCTTCCTTTTGATAGAGCAGTTTTGAAAGAGTATTTTTGTAGTGTCTGCAAGTGGATATTTGGAGTGCTTTAAGCCTTCATTGGAAACGGGAATATATTCACATAAAAACTAGACAGAAGCATTCTCAGAAACTTCCTTGTGATGTGTTCATTCAATGCACAGAGTTGAATCTTCCTTTTGATAGAGCAGTTTTGAAACACTCTTTTTGTAGAATCTGCAAGTGCATCATTGGTGTACTTTGAAGTCTTCGATGAAAACGGGTATATCTTCACATAAAAACTAGACAGATGCATTCTCAGAAACTTCTTTGTGATGTGTCCATTCAACTCACAGAGCTGATCCTTCCTTTTGATAGAGCAGTTTTAACTTACAAGGGATGTGAAGGACCTCTTCAAGGAGAACTACAAACCACTGCTCAAGGAAATAAAAGATGATACAAACAAATGGAAGAACATTCCATGCTCATGGTTAGGAAGAATCAATATCGTGAAAATGGCCATACTGTCCAAGGTAATTTACAGATTCAATGCCATCCCCATCAAGCTACCAATGACTTTCTTCACAGAATTGGAAAAAACTACTTTAAAGTGCATATGGAACCAAAAAAGAACCCACATCGCCAAGTCAATCCTAAGACAAAAGAACAAAGGTGGAGGCATCACACTACCTGACTTCAAACTATACTACAAGGCTACAGTAACCAAAACAGCATGGTACTGGTACCAAAACAGAGATATAGATCAATGGAACAGAACAGAGCCCTCAGAAATAATGCCACATATCTACAACTATCTGATCTTTGACAAACCTGAGAAAAACAAGCAATGGGGAAAGGATTCCATATTTAATAAATGGTGCTGGGAAAACTGGCTAGCCATATGTAGAAAGCTGAAACTGGATCCGTTCCTTACACCTTATACAAAAATCAATTCAAGATGGATTAAAGAGTTAAATGTTAGACCTAAAACCATAAAAACCCTAGAAGAAAACCTAGGCAATACCATTCAGGACATAGACATGGGCAGGGACTTCATGTCGAAAACACCAAAAGCAATGGCAACAAAAGATAAAATTGACAAACGGGATCTAATTAAACAAAAGAGCTTCTGTACAGCAAAAGAAACTACCATCAGAGTGAACAGGCAACCTACAAAATGGGAGAAAACTTTTGCAACCTACTCATCTGACAAAGGGCTAATATCCAGAATCTACAATGAACTCAGACAAATTTACAAGAAAAAAAACAAACAACCCCATCAAAAAATGGGCCAAGGACTTGAACAGACACTTCTCAAAAGAAGACATTTATGCAGCCAAAAAACACATGAAAAAATGCTCATCATCACTGGCCGTCAGAGAAATGCAAATCAAAACCACAATGAGATACTACCTCACACCAGTTAGAATGGCAATCATTAAAATGTCAGGAAACAACAGGTGCTGGAGAGGATGTGGAGAAATAGCAACACTTTTACACTGTTGGTGGGACTGTAAACTAGTTCAACCTTTGTGGAAGTCAGTGTGGCGATTCCTCAGGGATCTAGAACTAGAAATACCATTTGACCCAGCCATCCCATTCCTGGGTATATACCCAAAGGACTATAAATCATGCTGCTATAAAGACACATGCACACATATGTTTATTGCGGCACTATTCACAATAGCAAAGACTTGGAACCAACCCAAATGTCCAACAATGATAGACTGGATTAAGAAAATGTGGCACTTATACACCATGGAATACTATGCAGCCATAAAAAATGATGAGTTCATGTCCTTTATAGGGACATGGATGAAACTGGAAATCATCATTCTCAGTAAACTATCACAAGAACACAAAACCAAACACCGCATAATCTCACTCATAGGTGGGAATTGAACAATGAGATCACATGGGCACAGGAAAGGGAACATCACACTCTGGGGACTGTTGTGGGGTGCGGGGAGCGGGGAGGGATAGCATTGGGAGATATACCTAATGCTAGATGACTAGTTAGTGGGTGCAGTGCACCAGCATGGCACATGTATACATATGTAACTATCCTGCACAATGAGCACGTGTACCCTAAAACTTAAAGTATAATAATACAAGAAAAATTAAAAAAAAATCCGGTAAACTAAATGTTCACAGTGACAATTATAATAGTCTAAAAGTGGAAAGAAACCAAATGTTCATCTATTGATAAATGGTTAAACAAAATGTGGTATATACATATGGAATGTCATTTTCCACAAAAAGGAAGTGCTATTGCATGCTATAACATGGATGAACGTTGTAAACATTATGCTAAATAAAAGAAACCAAATACAAAAGGCCACATATTGTATGATTCAAGTTATATGAAATGTCCAGAATAGGCAAAATCATAGAAACAGATAGCAAATTTGAGGTGCCAAGGGTTAGAGGATTGGGGAATTGGAGGTGACTGCTGTCAGTTATGAGATTTCTTTTTGTGGTGATGGAAATGTTCCAGAATTAGGTCATGATGATTAACATAACACTGTGACTATACTAAAAAAACATTAACCTGTAAACTTGAAAATGGTGACTTGTATGTTATGTGAATAATACCTAAATAATTAAAAGAAGTAAGGATAATAAAATCATCTTAATCAGCCAGCTATGCTAGAGCAAGTAAAGCTAAATATCTTTTTAGGATCTAGAGAAAATAAAATTATAAAATTATCATACATAAAGACAATTAATGAGTATGCAGCAAAAAACTATTACAAAGATGGGTCATGCAATTCTATAATTTGTAAATGTTATTTTTATCAACTGAGTGGTATATTTCAAAAATTTAAAGCATTTTTAAGTTTATAATTCATTGTGTTTGTTTTTTCACTCCAAATAAATACCTACTGTCATGACTAAAAAAAAAAAAGAAAGAGTCTTTTTGTAGTATCTGTAAGTGGATATTTGTAGTGGTTTGAAGCCTTCGTTGGAAAAGGGAATATCTCCAAATGAAAACTAGACAGAAGCATTCTCAGAAACTTCCTTGTGATGTGTGCATTCAACTCACAGAGTTGAACCTTCCTTTTGATAGAGCAGTTCTGAAACACTCTTTTTGTAGCATCTGCACGTGGACAATTGGAGTAATTTGTAGTCTTCGTTGGAAACGGGAATATCTTCACATAAAAACTAGACAGATGCCTTCTCAGAAACTTCTTTGTGGTGTGTCCATTCAACTCACAGAGCTGAACCTTCCTTTTGATAGAGCAGTTTTGAAAGAGTCTTTTTGTAGTGTCTGCAAGTGGATATTTGTATTGGTTTGAAGCCTTGGTTGGAAAAGGGAATATCTCCAAATAAAAACTAGACAGAAGCATTCTCAGAAACTTCCTTGTGATGTGTGCATTCAACTCACAGAATTGAACCTTCCATTTGATAGAGCAGTTCTGAAACTCTCTTTTTGTAGCATCTGCACGTGGATAACTGGAGTACTTTGATGTCTTCATTGGAAATGGGTATATCTTCACATAAAAAATAGAAGCATTCTCAAAAACTACTTTGTGATGTGTGCATTCAACTCACAGATTTGAACCTTCCTTTTGATAGAACAGTTTTGAAACACTCTTTTTGTAGATTCTGCAATTGGATATTGGGAGTGCTCTGAAGTCTTCGTTGGAAACGGGAATTTCTCCACATAAAAACTAGACAAAAGCATTCTCAGAATCTTCTTTGAGTTGTTTGCATTCAACTCACAGAGTTGAAACTTTCTTTTGATGGAGCAGTTTTGAAACACTCTTTTTGTAGAATATGCAAGTGGATATTTTGTCTGCTCTGAGGAATTCGTTGGAAACGGGAATATCTTCAAACAAAAACTAGACAGAAGCATTCTCAGAAACTGCTTTGTGATGTGTGTGTTGAACTCACAGCGTTTAAACTTCCTTTTCATAGAGAAGTTTTGAAACACTCTTTTGTAGAATATGAAAGTGGATATTTGGAGTGCTTTGAAGCCTTCATTGGAAAGGGGAATATCTTCACATAAAAACTAGACAGAAGGATTCTCAGAAACTTCCTTGTGCTGTGTGCATTCCACTTACAGATTTGATCCCTCCTTTTGAAAGAACAGTTTTGAAACATTCTTTTTGTAGAATCTGCAGTTGGATATTTGGAACCCTTTGAGGCCTACGGTAGAAAGGGCAATATCTTCATATAAAAACTAGAAAAAAAACATTCTCAGAAACTACTTTGTGATGTGTGCATTCAAGTCACAGAGTTTAACCTTTCTTTTGATAGAGCAGTTTTGAAAAACTCTTTTTGTAGAATCTGTAAGTGGACATTTGGAGCACTTTGAGGGTTACTGTGGAAAAGGAAATACCTTCACATAAAAACTAGACAGAAGCATTCTCAGAAACTTCTTTGTGATGTTTGCATTCAACTCACAGTGTTGAACCTTTCTTTTCATAGAGCTGTTGTGAAACACACTTTTTGTATAATCTGCAAGTGGATATTTGGACTGCTTTGAGTCCTTCATTGGGAACGGAAATATCTTCACATAAAAACTAGACTGAAGAATTCTGAGGAAATTCTTTGTGATGTGTACATTCACCTCACATAGTTGAAACTTTCTTTTGATAAAACAGTTTTGAAACTGTTTTTGCAGAATCTGCAATTGGATATTTGGAGTGCTTTGAGGCCTATGTTAGAAAAGGAAATACCTTCATATAAAAACTAGACAGAAGCATTCTCAGAAACTACTTTGTGATGTGTGCTTACAACTCGCAGAATTTAACCTTTCTTTTGATATGCAGTTTTGAAACACTCTTTTTGAAGAATCTGCAAGGGGATAATTTGAGTGCTTTGAAGCCTTCCTTGCAAACGGGATTATCTTCACATAAAAATTAGACAGAAGTATTCTCAAAAACTACATTGTGATGTGGGCATTCATCTCACAGAGTTTAACCATTCTTTTGATAGGGAAGTTTTGAAACACTGTTTTTGTAGAATTTGCAAGTTGATAGTTGGACCACTGTGAGGCCTTCATTGGAAAGGGGAATATCTTCACATAAAAACTACACAGAAGCATTCTCAGAAACTTCTTTGTGGTATGTGCATTCAACACACAGAGCTGAGTCCTCCTTTTCATAGAGCAGTTTTGAAACACTCTTTTTATAGTATCCGCAAGTGGATATTTCAGTGCTTGGAAGCCTTCTTTGGAAACTGGAATATAATAACATAAAAAGTAGACAGAAGCATTGCCAGAAACTTCCTTGTGATGTGTGCATTCAACTCACAGATTTTAACTTTCTTTTGATAGAGCAGTTTTGAAACACTTTTTTTGTAGAATCTGCAAGTGGATATTCTGACTGCTTGTAGGCATTCCCTAGAAACAGGTATATCTTCACAAAAAAACTAGACAGAAGCATTCTCAGAAACTTCTTTGTGATGTTTGCATTCACCTCACAGATTTGAACCTTTCTTTTCATAGAGCAGTTTTGAAACACTCTTTTGGTAGTATCTGCATGTGGATATTTGGACTTCATTGAGGCCTTTGTTAGAAACGGGATTATCTTCACATAAAAACTAGACAGAAGCATTCTCAGAAACTTCTTTTTGATGTGTGCATTCAACTCACTGAGTTGAAACTTTCTTTTGTTAGAGCAGTTTTGAAACACTCTTTTTGTAGAATCTGCCATTGGATATTTGGAGCACTTTGAGGCCTATCATAGAAAAGGAAATAGCTTCATGTAAAAACAAGACAGAAGCATTCTCAGAAACTACTTCATGATGTGTGCTTACAACTCACAGAATTTAAACTTTCCTTTGATAGAGCAGTTATGAAAAACTCTTTTTGTAGAATCTGCAAGTGGGTAATTGGAGTGCTTTGAAGCCTTCAGTGGGAACGGGAATATCTTCACATAAAAAAAAGACAGAAGCATTCTCAGAAACTACTTTGTCATGTGATTTTGAACTCACAGAGTTGAACCTTCCTTTTGATAGAGATGTTTTGAAACACTCTTTTTGAAAAATCTGCAAGTGGATAATTGGAGTGCTTTGAAGCCTTCGTTGGAAATGGGAATATCTTCACATAAAAACCAGACAGAAGCATTCTTAGAAACTCTTTGGGATGTGTGTAGTCAACTCACAGAGTTTAACTTATCTTTTGATAGAGCAGTTTTGACACATGCTTTTTGTAAAATCTACAAGTGGACATTTGGAGCACTTTGAGCACTATGGTGGAAAAGGAAATATCTTAACATAAAATAGACAGAAGCATTCTCAGAAACTTCTTTGTGATATGTGCATTCAACACTCAGAGTTGAACCTTTCTTTCAATAGAGTACTTCTGACACACTCTTTTTGTTGAATCTGCAAGTGGACATTTGGGGCACTTTGAGGGCTATGTTGAAGAAAGAAATATCTTCACATAAAAACTAGACAGAAGCATTCTCAGAAACTTCTTTCGGTCGTTTGCATTCAACTCAGAGATTTGAACCTTTCTTTTGATAGAGCAGTTTTGAAACACTCTTTTAGTAGAATCAGCACATGGATAGTTTGAGTGCTTAGAATACTTCGTTGGAAAAGGGAACAGCTTCACATAAAAACTAGACAGAAGGATTCTCAGAGGCTACTTTGTGATGGGTGTGTTCAACTCAGAGAGTTGAACATTCCTTTTTGTGCAGCAGATTTTAAACACTCTTTTTGTAGAATCTGCAATAGGATATTTTCAGCCTGTTGAGGCCTCTGGTAGGAAAGGAAATTACTTTATATAAAAACTAGAAGAAAGAAATCTCAGAAGCTAGTTTTTGATGTGTGCATTCAACTCACAGATTTTAACCTTTCTTTTGATAGAGCAGTTTTGAAACACTCTTTTTGTAGAATCTGCAAGTGGATATTTTTACAGCTTTGAGGAATTCGTTAGAAACGGGAATATCTTCACATAAAAACTAGACAAAAGCATTCTCACAAACTTCTTTGTGATGTTTACATTCAGCTCACAGTGTTGAACTTTTCTTTTCATAGAGCAGTTTTGAAGCACTCTTTTTGTAGTATCTGCAAGTGGATATTTGGACTTTTTTGAGGCCTTCATTGGAAACGGGAATATCTACACATAAAAACTAGACAGAAGCATTCTCAGAAACTTCTTTGAGATGTGTGCATTCAACTCACAGAATTGCACCTTTCTTTTGATAGGGCAGTTTTGAAACACTCTTTTTGTAGAATTTGAAATTGGATATTTGGAGCGCTTTGAGGCCTAAGTTAGAGAAGGAAATATCTTCATATAAAAACTAGACCGAAGCATTCTCAGAAACAACTTTGTGATGTGTGCTTACAATTCACAATATAAAACGTTTTTTTTTTTTTTTGATATAGCATTTTTGAAACACTCTTTTTGTAGAATCTGCAACTGGATAATTGGAGTTCTTTGAAGCCTTCTTTGGAAACGAGAAGATCTTCACATAAAAACTAGACAGAAGCATTCTCAAAAACTACATTGTGGTGTGCGCATTCAACTCACGGAGTTTAACCTATCTTTTGACAGAGCAGTTTTGAAACACTCTTTTGTAGAATCTGCAAGTCGACATTTGGAGCACTTTGAGGGCTATGGTGGAAAAGTAAATATCTTCACATAAAAACTAGACAGAAGCATTCTCAGAAACTTCTTTGTGATGTTTGTATTGAACCCAGAGAGTTGAAAATTTCTTTTCACAGAGCATTTTTGAAGTACTCTTTTTGTAGAATATGCAAGGGGATATTTGGGCTGATTAGGGGCCTTCATTGGAAACGGGAATATCTTCACATAAAAACTAGACAGAAGCATTCTCAGAAACTTCTTTGTGATGTGTGCATTCAACACACAGAGTTTAACCATTCTTTTTATAGAGCAGTTTGAACCACTCTTTTTGTAGAATCTGCAGTGGACATTTGAAGCACTTTGAGGGCTATGGTGGAAAAAGTAATATCTTCACAAAAAAACTAGACAGGAGCATTCTCAGAAACTTCTTTGTGATGTTTGCATTCAACTCACAGAGTTGAACCTTTCTTTTGATAGAGTAGTTTTGTAACTCTCGTTTTGTAGAATCTGCAAGTGGATATTTGGACTTCTTTGAGAGCTTCGTAGGAAATGGGAATATACAAACAGAGAGAAGCATTCTCAAAAACTACTTTGTGATGTGTGCATTCAACTCACCGAATTTAACCTGTCATTTGACAGAGCAGATTTGAAACACTCTTTTTGTAGAATCTGCAAGTGGACATTTGGGGCACTTTGAGGGCTATGGTGGAGATGGAAATATCTTCACATAAAAACTAGACAGAAGTATTCTCAGAAACTGCTTTGAGATGTTTGCATTCAACTCAGAGAGTCGAACATTTCTTTTGATAGAGCAGCTTTGAAACATTTTTTTTTTAGAATCTGCAAGTGGATATTTGGACAGCTTTGAAGCCTTGGTTGGAAACGGTAATATCTTCCCATAAAAACTAGATAGAAGCATTCTCAGAAACTTTTTTGTAATACGTTCATTCAACTCAAAGAGTTGAACCTTCCTTTTGATAGAGCAGTTTTGAAACATTCTTTTTGTAGAATCTGCAAGTGGATAATTGGAGTACATTGAAGTCTTCATTGGAAACGGATTTATCTTCACATAAAAACTACACAGATGCATTCTCAGAAACTTCTCTGGCACGCGTACATTCAACTCACAGCGTTGAACCTTTCTTTTTATAGAGCAGTTTTGAAACACTCTTTTTGTAAAATCTGCAAGTAGTTATTTGGAGTGGTTTGAAGCCTTCCTTGGAAATGGGAATATCTCCACATAAAAACCAGACAGAAGCATTCTCAGAAACATCTTTGTGATGTGTGCATTCAACTCACAGAGTTGAACCTTCCTTTTGATAGAGCAGTTTTGAAACACTCTTTTTGTAGAATCTGCAAGTGGATATTTAGAAACATTTGACGCCTTCATTGGAAAAGGGAATATCTTCACATAAAAACTAGACAGAAGGATTCTCAGAAACTACTTTATGTGTGCATTCAACTCACAGATTTGAACCCTCCTTTTGGTAGAGTAGATTTGAAACACTGTTTTTGTAGAATCTCCAAGTGGGTATTTGTAGCCCTCTGAGGCCTCTGGTAGAAAAGGCAATTTCTTTATATGAAAATTAGAACAAAGCATTCTCAGAAACTAGTTTGTGATGTGTGCTTTTAACTCACAGAGTTTAACTTTTCTTTTGATAGAACAGTTTTGAAACACTCTTTCTGTAGAATCTGCAAGTGGATATTTTGACTGCTTTGAGGAATTCATTGGAAACGAGAAAAACTTCATATAAAAACTAGACAGAAGCATTCTCAGAAACTTCTTTGTGATATTTGCATTCAACTCACAGAGTAAAACCTTTCTTTTCATAGAGCAGTTTTGAAATATTCTTTTTGTAGAATCTGCAATTGGATACTTGGAGAGGTTTGAGGCCTATGGTAGAAAAGGAAATATCTTCATATAAAAACTAGACAGAAGCATTCTCAGAAACTACTTCGTAATGTGTGCTTACAACTCACAGAATTTAACCTTTCTTTTGATAGAGGAGTTTTGAAACACTGTTTTGGTAGAATCTGCAAGTGGATAATTAGAGTGCTTTGAAGCTTTGTTGGAAGAGGGAATATCTTCACATAAAAACTAGACAGAAGCATTCTCAAAAACTACTTTCTGGTGTATGCATTCAACTCACAGAGTTTAACCTATCTTTTGACAGAACAGTTTTCAAACACTGTTTTTGTAGAATCCGCAAGTGGACATTTTGAGCACTTTTTGGGCTATGGTGGAAAAGGAATATCTTCACATAAAATCAGACTGAAGCATTCTCAAAAACTTCTCTGCGATGTTTGCATTCAACACAGAGAGTTGAATATTTCTTTTGATAGAGCAATTTTGAAACACTTTTTTTGGAGAATCTGCAAGTCGATATTTGTTCTGCTTTGAGGCCTTCATTGGAAACGGGAATATCTTCACATAAAAACTAGACAGAAGCATTCTCAAAAACTACATTGTCCTGTGTGCATTCAACTCGCAGAGATTAACATATCTTTTGACAGAGCAGTTTTGAAACACTCTTTTTGTAGAAACTGTAAGTGGACAATTTGATCACTTTGAGAGCTATGGTGGAAAAAATAATATCTTCACAAAAAAACTAGACAGAAGCATTTTCAGAAACTTCTTTGTGATGTTTGCTTTCAACTCACTGAGTTGAAACTTTCTTTTCATAGAACAGTTTTGAAACACTCTTTTTGTGGAATCTGAAAGTGGATATTTGGACCGCTTTGAGGCCTTCGTAGGAAACGGGAATATCTTCACATAAAAACTAGACAGAAGCATTCTCAGAAACTTCTTTGTGATGTGTGCATTCAACTCACAGAGTTGAACTTACCTTATGATAGAGCGGTTTTGAAACCCTCTTTTTGTAGAATCTGCAAGTGGATATTTGGACTCCTTTGAGGCCTTCATAGGAAACGGAAAAATCTTCACATAAAAACTAGACAGAAGCATTCTCAGAAACGTCTTTGTGATGTGTGCATTCAACTCCCAGAGTTGAACCTTCCTTTTGATAGAATCTGAAAGTGGATATTTGGAGTGCTTTGAAGCCTTCGTTGAAAACGGGAATATCTTAACATAAAAACCAGACAGAAGCATTCTCAGAAACTTCTTTGGGATGTGTGCATTCAACTCACAGAGTTGAACATTTCTTCTGATAGAGCTGTTTTGAAACACTCTTTTTGTAGAATTTGTGAGTGGATATTTGGAGTGCTTTGAAGCCTTTGTTGGAAACGGGAATAACTCCACATAAAAACTAGACAGAAGCATTCTCAGAAACTTCTTTGAGATGTGTGACTTCAACTCACAGAGTTTCACCTTTCTCTTGATAGAGCAGTTTTGAAACCCTTTTTTTGTACAATCTGCAAGTGGAAAATTGGAGTGCTTTGAAGCTTTCGTTGGAAAGGTGTATATCTTCACATAAAAACTAGACAGAAATATTCTCAGAAACTTCTTTGTGATGCGTGCATTCAACTCACAGAGTTAAACCTTTTTTTGATAGAGCAGTTTTGAAACAAACTTTTTGTAGAATCTGCAAGTGGACATTTGGAGCACTTTGAGGGCTCTGGTGGAAAAAGAAATATCTTCACATAAAAACTAGACAGATCCATTTTCAGAAACTTCTTTGTGATGTCTGCATTCAACTCACAGAGTTGAACCTTTCTTTTGATAGAGCAATTTTTAAACACTCTTTTTGTAGGATCTGCAAGTGGACATTTGGAGCACTTTTTGGGCTATGTTGGAAAAGGTAATATTTTCACATAAAAACTAGAGAGAAGCATTCTCAGAAACTTCTTTGTGATGTTGCATTCAACTCAGAGAGTTGAACATTTGTTTTGATATAGCAGTTTTGAAACTCTCTTTTTGTAGAACCTGCAAGTGGACATTTGGACCGCGTTGAGGCCTTCGTTGGAAACGGGAATATCTTCACATAAAAATTAAACAGAAGCATTCTCAGAAGCTACTTTGTGATGTGTGCATTCAACTCACCAAGTTGAACATTCCTTTTGTTAGAGCAGATTTGAAACACTCTTTTTGTAGAATATGCATGTGGATATTTGGAGTGCTTTGAAGCCTTCTTTGGAAACGGGAATATCCTCACTTAAGAACTAGACAGAAGCATTCTCAGAAACTTCCTTTTGATGTGTGCGTTCAACTCACAGAGTTGAACCTTCGTTTTGATAGAGCAGTTTTGAAGCACTCGTTTTATAGAATATGCACGTGGGCATTTGGAGCACTTTGAGGGCTACGGTTTAAAAGAAAACACCTTCACAAGAAAACTTGACAGAAGCATTCTCAGAAACTTCGTCAGGATGTTTGCATTCAAGTCATGGAGTTGATACTTTCTTTTCATAGAACAGTTTTGAAACACTGTTTTTGTAGAATCTGCAAGTGGATATTTAGACTGCTTTGAGACCTTCTTCGGAAACGCTAATATCTTCACATAACTAGACAGAAGCATTCTCAGAAACTTCTTTCTGAAGCGTGAATTCAACTCACAGAATTGAACTTTTCTTTTGATAAAGCAGTTTGGAAACACTATTTTTGTAGAATCTGCAATTGGATATTTGGAGCGCTTTAAGGCTTATGGTAGAAGAGGAGATATCTTCATATAAAAATTACACAGAAGCATTCTCAGAAACTACTTAGTGCTGCGTACCTAAAACTCACAGAATTTAACCTTTCTTTTGATAGAGCAGTTTTGAAACACCCTTTATGTAGAATCTGCAAGTGGATAATTGTAGTGATTTGAAGCATTCGTTGGAAATGGGAATATCTTCACAAAAACTAGACAGAAGCATTCTCAAAAACTACTTTGTGAGGTGGGCATTCAACTCCCAGAGTTTAACATATCTTTTGACAGAGCAGTTTGAAACACTCTTTTTGTAGAATCAGCAAGTGGACTTTTGGAGCACTTTGAGGGCTGTGGTGAAAAAAAGAAAAAAATCTTCACATAAAAATTAGACAGAAGCATTCTCAGAAACTTCTTTGAGATGTTTGCATTCAACTCAGAGAGTCGAACATTTCTTTTGATAGAGCAGTTTTGAAACACTCAGTTTGTAGAAGCTGCAAGTGGATATTTGCACCACTTTGAGGCCTTCGTTAGAAACGGGAATATCCTCACATAAAAACTAGATAGAAGAATTCTCAGAAACTTCTTTGTGATATGTGCATTCAACCCACTGAGTTGAACCTTCCTTTTGATAGAGCAGTTTTGAAACACTCTTTTTGTAGTATCTGCAGTTCGATATTTGGAGTGCTTTGAACCCTTTGTTGGAAACGGGAATATGTTCACATAAAAACTAGACAGAAGCATTGTCAGAAACTTCCTTGTGATGTGTGCATTAAACTCATAGAGTTCAACCTTTCTTTTGATAGAGCAGTTTTGAAACACTGTTTTTGTAGAATCTGCAAGTGGATAAATGGAGTATTTTGAGGTCTTCGTTGGAAACGGTTGTATCTTCACATTAAAGCTAGACAGATGCATTCTCAGAAACTTCTTTGTGATGTGTGCATTTAACTCACAGAGTTGAAGCTTTCTTCTGATAAAGCAGTTTTGAAACAGTCTTTTTGTAGGATCTGTAAGTGGATATTTGGAGTGGCTTGAAGCCTTCGTTGGAAACGGGAGTATCTCCACATAAAAACTAGACAGAAGCATACTCCGAAACTTCTTTGTGATGTTTGCATTCAACTCACATAGTTGAAACTTTCTTTTCATAGAGCAGATTTGATACACTCTTTTTCAGATTCTGCAAGTGGATATTTGGACTGCCTTGAAGCCTTCGTTTGAAACGGGAATATCTTCACATAAAAACTAGACAGAAGCATTCTCAGAAACTTCTTTGTGATGTGTTCATTCTACTCACAGAGTTGAAGCTTTCTTTCAATAGAGCAATTTTGAAACACACTTTTTTTAGAATCTGCAATTGGATATTTGGAGCGCTCTGAGCCCTATGGTAGAAAAGCAAATATCTTCATACAAAAACTAGACAGAAGCATTCTCAGAAACTACTTTGTGATGGGTGCTTACAACTCACAGAATTTAACCGTTCTTTTGACAGAGCAGTTTTGAAACACTCTTTTTGTAGAATCTGCAACTGGATATTTGGACTGCCTTGAGGTCTTTGTTGGAAACGGGAATATCTTCACATAAAAACTAGACAGAAACATTCTCAGAAACTTCCTTGTGATGTGTGCATTCAACTCACAGAGATGAAACTTCCTTTTGATAGAGTAGTTTTGAAACACTTTCTTTGTAGAACCTGCAAGCGGATAATTGGAGTACTTTGAAATCTTCTTTGGAAATGGCTATATATTCACATAAAAACTAGACCGTTGCATTCTCAGGAACTTCTTTGTGGATGTGTGCATTCAACTTACCGATTTGGAGCTTCCTTTTGATAAAGCAGTTTTGAAACACTCTTTTTGTACAGTCTGCAAATTTATGTTTGGAGCGCTTTGAGGCCAGTGGTAGAAAATGAAATATCTTCATATAAAAACTAGATAGAAGCATTCTCAGAAACTACTTTGTGATGTGTGCCTTCAACTCACAGAGTTTCACCCTTCTCTTGATAGAGCACTTTTCAAAACCTCTTTTTGTAGAATCTGCTAGTGGAGAATTGGAGTGCTTTGAAGGCTTCATTGGAAACAGGTATATCTTCACATATAAACTAGACGGAAACATTCTCAGAGAATTCTTTGTGATGCGTGCATTCAACTCACAGAGTTAAGCCTTTTTTTTAATAGAGCAGTTTTGAAACACACTTTTTGTAGAATCTGCAAGTGGAAATTTGGAGCACTTTGAGGGCTATGGTGCAAACGGAAACACCTTCACAAAAAAACTAGACAGAAGCATTCTCAGAAACTTCTTCACGATGTTTGCATTCAAGTCACAGCGTTGAAACTTTCTTTTCATAGAGCAGTTTTGAAACACTCTTGTTGTAGAATCTGCAAGAGTACATTTGGAGTACTTTGAAGGATACAGTGGAAAAGGAAATATCTTCATATAAAAACTAGACTGAAGCATTCTCAGAAACTTCTCTGTGATGTTTGCATTCAACTCAGAGAGTTAAACATTTCTTTTGATAGAGCAGTTTTGAAACACTGTTTTTGCAGAATCTGCAAGTCGATATTTGGACGGTTTTGAGGCCTTCGTTGATAACGGTGTATCTTCACATAAAAACTAGACAGAAGCATTGTCAGAAACTTCTTTGTGATATGTGCATTCAACTCACAGAGTTGAACGTTCTTTTTCATAGAGCAGTTTTGAAACCCTCTTGGATATTTGGAGTGCTTTGAAGCCTTCGCTGGGAGCGCGAATATATTCACATAAAAACTAGACAAAAGCATTCTCAAAAACTTCCTTGTGATGTGTGTATTCAACTCACAAAACTGAACCTTCCTTTTGATACAAGAGTTTTGAAACACTCTTTTTGAGAATATGCACGTGGATAATTTGACTACTTGGAAGCCTTCGTTGGAAACGGGAATTTCTTCACGTAAAAACTAGACAGATGCATTCTGAGAATTTCCTTGTGATGTGTGCATTCAACTCACAGAGTTGAACCTTCCTTTTGATAGAGCAGTTTTGAAACCCTCTTTTTGTAGAATATGAAAATGGATAATTGGAGTTCTTTGTAGTCTTCATTGGAAACGGGAATATTTTCACATAAAAACTAGACAGAAGCATTCTCAGAAACTTCTTTGCAATGTGTGCATTCACCTCACAGAGTTGAGCCTTCCTTTGATAGAGCAGATTTGAAACACTCTTTTTGTAGAATCTGCAGGTGGATATTTGGAGTGCTTTAAAGCCTTCTTTGGAAACGGTAATATCTTCACATAAAAACTAGACAGAAGTATTCTCAAAAACTTCTTTGTGATGTGTGCATTCAACTCACACAGTTGAACCCTCCTTTTGCTACTGCAGATTTGAAACACTCTTTTTGTAGAATCTGCAAGTGGATATTTGAAGCCATTTCAGGCCTCTGGTAGAAAAGGTAATTTCTTTATCTAAAAACTAGAAAGAAGCAGTCTCAGAAACCAGCTAGTGATGTGTGCATTCAGCTCAGAGATTTTTAACCTCTCTTTTGCTAGAGCAGTTTTGAAACACTCTTTTTGTAGAATCTGCAAGTGGACATTTGGAGCACTTTAAGGGCTATGTTGGAAAAGGAAATACCTTCACATAAAAACTAGACAGAAACATTCTCAGAAACTTCTTTGTGATGTTCACATTCACCTCACAGATATGAACCATTGTGGAAGTCAGTGTGGTGATTCCTCATGGATCTAGACCTAGAAATGCCATTTGACCCAGCCATCCCATTACTGGGTATATACCCAAAGGACTATAAATCATGCTGCTATAAAGACACATGCACACATATGTTTATTGTGGCATTATTCACAATAGCAAAGACTTGGAACCAACCCAAATGTCCAACAATGATAGACTGGATTAAGAAAATGTGGCACATATACACCATGGAATACTATGCAGCCATAAAAAATGATGAGTTCATTTCCTTTGTAGGGACATGGATGAAATTGGAAATCATCATTCTCAGTAAACTATCATAAGAACAAAAAACCAAACACCGCATATTCTCACTCAGAGGTGGGAATTGAACAATGAGATCACATGGACACAGGAAGGGGAACATCACATTGTGTGGACAGTTGTGGGGTGCGGGAAAGGGGGAGGGATAGCATTGGGAGATATACCTAATGCTAGATGACTAGTTAGTGGGTGCAGCACACCAGCATGGCACATGTATACGTATGTAACTAACCTGCACATTGTGCACATGTACCCTAAAACTTAAAGTATAATCATAAAAAAATGAATTTTTCTTTTCATAAAGCAGTTTTGAATCACTCTTTTTGTAGAATCTGCAAGTGGATATTTGGATTGCTTTGAGGCTTTCGTTGGAAACGGGAATATCTTCACATAAAAACTAGACAGAAAGATTCTCAGAAACTTCTTTGTGATATGTGCACTCAACACAGAGAGTTGATCCTTTCTTTTGAAAGAGCCATTTTGACACACACTTTTTGTAGATTCTACAATTGGACATTTAGAGTACTTTCTGGGCTATAGTGCAAAAAGAAATATCTTCACATGAAAAGTAGACAGAAGCATTCTCAGAAGCTTCTTTGTGATGTGTGCATTCAACTCACAGAGTTTAACCTTCCTTTTGATTGAGCAGTTTTGAAACATTCTCTTTGTAGAATCTGCAAGTGGTTATTAGGACTACTTTGAGGCCTTCATTGGAAATGGGAATATCTTCACATAAAAACTATAAATAAGCATTCTCAGAAAGTTATTTGTGAATTGTGCATTCAACTCACAGAATTGAACCTTCCTTTTGATAGAGCAGTTTTGAAACACTCTTTTTTTATAGTATCTGCAAGTGGATATTTGGAGTGTTTTGAAGCCTTCGTTGGAAACGGGAATATATTCACATAAAAACTAGACAGAAGCATTCTCAGAAACTTTCCTGTGATGTGTGTATTCAATGCACAGAGTTGAACCTTCCTTTTGATAGAGCAGTTTTGAGACACTCTGTTTGTAGAATATGCTAGTTTATATTTGGAGTGCTTTGAAGCCTTCGTTGGAAATGTGAATATCTTCACATTAAAAACTAGACAGAAGGATTCTCAGAAACTACTTTGTGATGTGTGCATTCAACTCACACAGTTGAACCCTCCTTTTGCTACTGCAGATTTGAAACACTCTTTTTGTAGAATCTGCAAGTGGATATTTGAAGCCATTTCAGGCCTCTGGTAGAAAAGGCAATTTCTTTATCTAATAACTAGAAAGAAGCAGTCTCAGAAACCAGCTAGTGATGTGTGCATTCAGCTCAGAGATTTTTAACCTCTCTTTTGCTAGAGCAGTTTTGAAACACTCTTTTTGTAGAATCTGCAAGTGGACATTTGGAGCACTTTGAGGGCTATGTTGGAAAAGGAAATATTTTCACATAAAAACTAGACAGAAACATTCTCAGAAACTTCTTTGCGATGTTCACATTCACCTCACAGATATGAACCATTGTGGAAGTCAGTGTGGTGATTCCTCAAGGATCTAGACCTAGAAATGCCATTTGACCCAGTCATCCCATTACTGGGTATATACCCAAAGGACTATAAATCATGCTGCTATAAAGACACATGCACACATATATTTATTGTGACATTATTCACAATAGCAAAGACTTGGAACCAACCCAAATGTCCAACAATGATAGACTGGATTAAGAAAATGTGGCACATATACACCATGGAATACTATGCAGCCATAAAAAATGATGAGTTCATTTCCTTTGTAGGGACATGGATGAAATTGGAAATCATCATTCTCATTAAACTATTGCAAGAACAAAAAACCAAACACCGCATATTCTCACTCAGAGGTGGGAATTGAACAATGAGATCACATGGACACAGGAAGGGGAATATCACACTCTGGGAACTGTTGTGGGGTGCGAGGAGGGGGGAAGGATAGCATTGGGAGATATACCTAATGCTAGATGACTAGTTAGTGGGTGCCGCGCACCAGCATGGCACATGTATACATATGTAACTAACCTGCACAATGTGCACATGTACCCTAAAATTTAAAGTATAATCATAAAAAAAATGAATTTTTCTTTTCATAAAGCAGTTTTGAAACACTCTTTTTGTAGAATCTGCAAGTGGATATTTGGATTGCTTTGAGGCCTTCATTGGAAACGGGAATATCTTCACATAAAAACTAGACAGAAAGTTTCTCAGAAACTTCTTTGGGATGTGTGCATTCAACACACAGAGTTGATCCTTTCTATTGAAAGAGCCATTTTGACATACACTTTTTGTAGACTCTACTAGTGGACATTTGGAGTACTTTCTGGACTATAGTGAATAAATAAATATCTTCACATGAAAAGTAGACAGAAGCATTCTCAGAAGCTTCTTTGTGATGTGTGCATTCAACTCACAGAGTTTAACCTTCCTTTTGATTGAGCAGTTTTGAAACACTCTTTTGTAGAATCTGCAAGTGGATATTTGGACTGATTTGAGGCCTTCGTTGGAAACGGGAATATCTTCATCTAAACACTAGACGGAAGCATTCTCAGAAACTACTTTGTGATGTGTCCATTCAACTCACAGTGTTGAACCTTTATTTTTACAGAGCAGCTTTGAAACACACTTTTTGTAGAATCTACAAGTGGATATTTGGACTGCTTGGAGGCCTTCATTGGAAACGGGAATATCTTCACATAAACACTAGACAGAAGCATTCTCAGAAACTACTTTGTGATGTGTGCATTGAACCCCCTAGTTGAACCTTGCTGTTGATGGAGAAGTTTTGAGTCAATCTTTTTCTATAATATGCAAGTGTATATTCGGAGTGTTTTGAAGTCTTCATTGGAAACGGGAATATCTTCACATGAGAACTAGACGAAAGCATTCTCAGAAACTTCTTTGTGATGTGTGCATTAAACTCACAGAGTTGAAATTTCCTTTTGATTGAGCAGTTTTGAAGCACTCTTTTTGTAGAATCTGCAAGTGGATATTTGGACTGATTTGAGGCCTTCGTTGGAAACGGGAATATCTTCGTCTAAAAACTAGACAGAAGCCTTCTCAGAAACTACTTTGTGATGTGACCATTCAACTCACAGAGTCGAACATTTCTTTTGATAGGGCAGCTTTGAAACACACTTTTTGTAGAAGCTGCAAGTGGATATTTGGACTGCTTTGAGGCCTTCATTGGAAACGGAAATATCTTCACATAAAAACTAGACAAAAGCATTCTCAGAAACTACTTTGTGATGTGTCCATTGAACTCCCCTAGTTGAACCTTGCTTTTGATGGAGAAGTTTTGAATCACTCTTTTTGTAGAATATGCAAATGGATATTTGGAGTGTTCTGAAGCCTTCGTTGGAAACGGGAATATCTTCACATGAAAACTAGATGAAAGCATTCTCAGAAACTTCTTTGTGATGTGTGCATTCAACTCACAGAGTTGAACCCTCCTTTTGATTGAGCAGTTTTGTAGCACTCTTTTTGTAGAATCTGTAAGTGGATATTTGGAACACTTTGAGGCTTATGGTTGAAAAGGAAATATCTTCATAGAAAAACTAGCAAGAAGTGTTCTCAGAAACTACTTTGTGATGTGTGCTTACGACTCACAGAATTTAACCTTTCTTTTGATAGAGGAGTTTTGAAACAGTCTTTTTGTAGAATCTGCTAGTGGATAATTGGAGTGCTTTGAAGCCTTTGTTGGAAACTAGAATATCTTCACACATGTACTAGACAGAAGCATTCTCAGAAACTTGTTTGTGATGTTTGCATTCAACTCACAGAGATTAACCTTTCTTTTGACAGAGCAGTTTTGAAACACTCTTTTTGTAGAATCTACAAGTGGACATTTGGAGCACTTTGAGGGCTATGGTGGAAAAGGTAATATCTTCACATAAGAACTAGATAGAAGCATTCTCCGAAACTTCTTTGTGATGTGTGCATTCAACGCACAGAGCTTAACTTTCCTTTGGAAAGAACACTTTTGAAACACTCTTTTTGTAGAATCTGCATTTGGATATTTGGACTGCTTTGAAGCCTTCGTTGGAAACGGGAAAATCTTCATATAAAAACTAGACAGAAGCATGCTCGGAAACTTCTTTGTGATGTGTGCATTCAAACCACAGAGTTGAACCCTCCTTCTGATAGAGAAGTTTCAAAACACTCTTTTTGTAGAATCTGCAAGTGGATATTTGGAGCCCTTTGAGGCCTTTTGTAGAAAAGGAAATATCTTCATAGAAAAACTAGAAAGAAGCATTCTCAGAAACTATTTTGTGATGCGTGCATTCATATCACAGAATTGAACGTTTCTTTTGATAGAGCAGTTTTGAAACACTCTTTTTGTCAAATCTGCAAGTGGACATTTGGAGAAATTTCAGTGCTACCATGGAAAAGGAAATATCTTCACATAAAAACTAGACAGAAGCATTCGCAGAAAAGTCTTTGTGATGTTTGCATTCAACTCACAGATTTGAAACTTTCTTTTCATTTAGCAGTTTTGAAACAATTTTTTTTGTAGAATCTGGAAGACGATATTTGTACTGCTTTGACCCCTTCGTTGGAAACGGGAATAGCTTCACATGAAAACTAGACAGAAGCATTATCAGAAACTTCTTTGTTATGTGTGCATTCAACTCACAGAGTTCAACTTTCCTTTTGATAGGGCCGTTTTGAAAAACTCTTCCTGTAGAATCTGTAAGTGTATATTTGGACTGGTTTTAGGCCTTCATTGAAAAAGGGAATATCTTCACATAAAAACTATACAGAAGCATTCTCAGAAACTTCTTTGTGATGTGTGCATTCATCTTACAGTTTTGAACCTTCCGTTGAATGGTGCAGCTTTGAAACACTCTTTTTGTAGAATCAGCAATTGGATATTTGGAGCGATTTGAGCCCTATTGTAGAAAAAGGAAATATTTTCATATAAAAACTAGACAGAAGTATTCTCTGAAACTAATTTGTGATGTGTGCTTTCATCTCACAGAGTTTAAACTTTCTTTTGATAGAGCAGTTTTGAAACACTCTTTTTGCACTATCTGCAAGTGGATAATTGGAGTCCTTTGAAGCCTTTGTTGGAAACGGGAATATCTTCATATATAAACTAGACAAAAGCATTCTCAAAATCTACTTTGTGATGTGTGCATTCAACTCACAGAGATTAACTTTTCTTTTGATAGATCAGCTTTGAAACACTCTTTTTGAAGAATCTGCAAGTAGACATTTGGAGCACTTTGAGGGCTCTGGTGGAAAACGAAATATCTTCACATGAAAACCAGACAGAAGCATTCTCAGAAACTTCTTTGTGATGTGTGCATTCAACTCACAGAGTTGAAACTTTCTTTTGATAGAGCAGTTTTTAAACACACTTTTTGTAGAATCTGCAAGTTGACATTTGGAGCACTTTGAGGTCTATGGTGGAAAAAGATATATCTTCACATAAAAACTAGACAGGAGCCTTCTCTGAAACTTCTTTGTGACGTTCGGATTCAACTCACAGAGTTGAAACTTTCTTTTGATACAGCAGCTTTGAAACACTCTTTTTGTAGAATCTGCAGGTGGATATTTTGACTGCTTTGAGGCCTTCGTTGGAAAAGGGAATATCTTCACATAAAAACTAGACAGAAGCTTTCTCAGAAACTTCTTTGTGATGTGTGCATTCAACTCACAGAGTTGAACCTTCCTTTTGATAGAGCAGTTTTGAAACAATATTTTTGTAGAATCTGCAAGTGGATATTTGGAGTGCTTTGAAGCCTTAGTTGGAAACGGGAATATCTTCATATAAATACTAGACAGAAGCATTCTCAGAACCTTCTTTGTGATATGTGCATTCAGCTCACAGATTTGAACCATCCTTTTGATAGAGAAGTTTTGAAACCCTCTATTTGTAGAATCTGCAGGTGGATATTTGGAGCATTTTGAGTCCTACTGTAGAAAAGGAAATATCTTCATATAAAAACTAGAAAGAAGCATTCTCAGAAAGTACTTTGTGATGTGTGCATTCAACTCACAGAATTTAAACTTTCTTTTGATAGAGCAGTTTTGAAACACTCTTTTTGTAGAATCTGCAAGTGGATAATTGGAGTGCTTTGAAGCCTTCATTGGAAACGGGAATATCTTCACATAAAAACTAGACAGAAGCATTCTCAGAAACTGCTTTGTGATGTGTGCTTGCAGCTCACGGAATTTAATCTTTCTTTTGATAGGGCAGTTTTGAAACACTCTTTTTGTAGAATCTGCAAGTGGATAATTGGATTGCTTTGAAGCCTTCGTTGCAAACGGGAATATCTTTAAATAAAAATTTGTAATGCTTACATTCAACTCACAGAGTGTAACCTATCTTTTAGTAGAGCAGTTTTGAAACACTTTTTTTGTAGAATCTACAAGTGCACAGTTGGAGCACTTTGAGGGCTATAGTGGAAAAGGAAATATCTTCACATAAAAACTAGATAGAAGCATTCTCAGAAAGTTCTTTGTGATGTTTGCATTCAATTCATAGAGTTGAACATTTCTTTTGATAGAGCAGTTTTCAAAAACTCTTTTTGTAGAATCTGCAAGTGGACATTTAGAGTACTTTGAGGCCTATGGTGGAAAAGGAAATATCTTCACATAAAAATTAGACAGAAGCATTCTCAGTAATTTCTTTCTGATGTATGCATTCAACTCAGAGAGTTGAACATTTCCTTTGATAGAATAGTTTTGAAACACTCCTTTTGTAGAATCTGCAAGTGGATATTTGGACTGCTTTGTCGCCTTCGTTGGAAATGGGAATAGCTTCACATAAAAACTAGACAGAAGCATTCTCAGAAACTTCTTTGTGATATGTGCATTCAACTCACAGATTTTAACCATTCTTTTGATAGAGCCGTTTTGAAACACTTCTTGTAGAACCTGGAAGTTGATAATTGGAGTGCTTTGAAGCCTCCGTTGCAAACGGGAATATCTTCACATAAAAACTAGACCTAAGCATTCTGAGAAACATTTATGTGATGTGCGCATTCAACTCACAGAGTTGAACCCTCCTTTTGATAGGGCAGTATTGAATCTCTCTTTTTGTAGAATCTGGAAGTGGATATTTGGAGCACATTGAGGTCTATGGTAGAAAAGGGAATATCTTCACATAAAAACTAGACAGAAGCATTCTCAGAAACTAGTTTGTGATGTGTGCATTCAACTCACAGAGTTGAACCTTTGTTTTGATAGAGCAGTTTTGAAACACTCTTTTTGTAGAATCTGCAAGTGGATATTTCGACTGCTTTGAAGCCTTCGTTAGAAACAGGAATATCTTCACATAAAAACTAGACAGAATCATTTCAGAAACTACTTTGTGATGTTTGCATTCATCTCAGAGAGTTGAACCTTTCTTTTGATAGAACAGTTTTGAAACACCCTTTTTCTAGAATCTGCTGGTGGACATTTGGAGTACTTTGTGGTCGATGGTGAAAAGGATATATCTTCACATAAAAACTAGACAGGAACATTCTCAGAAACTTCTTTGTGATGTTTGCTTTCAACACAGGGAGTTGAAACTTTCTGTTGATAGAGGAGTTTTGAAACACTATTTTTGGAGAATCTGCAAGTGAATATTTAGACCACTTTGAGGCCTTCATTGGAAACGGGAATATTTTCACATAAAAACTAGATAGAAGCATTCTCAGAAACTTCTTTTTGATGTTTGCATTCAATTCACAGAATTGAACCTTCCTTTTAATTGAAAAGTTTTGAAACACTCTTTTTGTAGAATATGCAATTGGATATTTGGAGTGCTTTGAAGCCTTCATTAGAAACGGAAATATCTTCACATAAAAACTAGATAGAAGCATTCTCAGAAACTTCTTTGTGATGTGTGTATACAACTCACAGATTTGAACCTTTCTTTTGATACAGCAGTTTTTAAACACTCTTTTTGTAGAATCTGCAACTGTATATTTGGAGTGCTTTGAAGACTTCATTGGAGACGGGAATAACATCACATAAGAACTAGATGGAAACATTCTCAGAAACTTCTTCTTGATGTGTGCATTCAACCTACAGAGTTGAAGCCTCCTTTTGATAGAGCAGTTTTGAAACACTCTTTTTGTAGATTCTGCAAGTGGATATTTGGGGTGCTTTGAAGAGTTTGTCGGAAACGTGAATATCTTCACATAAAAACTAGTCAGAAGCATTCTCAAAAATTACTTTGTGATGTGTGCATTCAACTCACAGAGTTTAACCTATTTTTGATAGAGCAGTTTTGAAACACTCCTTTTGTGGAATCAGCAAGTGGACATTTGTAGCACTTTGAGGGCTTTGGTGGAAAAGGAAATATCTTCACATAAAAACTAGACAGAAGCAATCTCAGAAACTTCTGTGATGTTTGCATTCAACTCACAGATTGGAACATTTCTTTTGATAGAGCAGTTTTGAAACGCTCTTTTTGTAGAATCTGCAAGTGGACATTAGGAACACTTTGAGTGCTAGAGTGGAAAAGGAGATATCTTCACATAAAAACTAGACAGAAGCATTCTCAGAAACTTCTTTGTGATGTTTGAATTCAACTCAGAGTGTTGAACATTTCCTTTGATAGAGCAGTTTTGAAACACTCTTTTTGTAGAATCTGCAAGTGGATAATTGGAGTACTTTGAAGCGTTGTTGGAAACGGTAATATCTTCACATAAAAACTAGACAGAAGCATTCTCAGAAACTACTTTGTGATGTGTGCATTCAACTCACAGAGTTAAACCTTCCTTTTGATAGAGCAGTTTTGAAACACTCTTTTTATAGTATCTGCAAGTGGATATATGGAGTGCTTTGAAGCCTTCATTGGAAATGGGAATATATTCACATAAAAAATATACATAAGCATTCTCAGAAACTTCCTTGTGATGTGTGCCTTCAACTCACAGAGCTGAACCTTCCTTTTGATAAAGCAGTTTTGAAACACTCTTTTTGTGGAATCTGCAAGTGGATAATTGGAGTAATTTTAAGCATTGTTGGAAACGGGAATATCTTCACATAAATACTAGACAGAAGCATTCTTAGAAACTTCTTTGGGATGTGCGCATTCAACTCACAGAGTTGAACCCTACTTTTGATGGAGCAGTTTTGAAACGCTCTTTTTGTAGAATCTGCAAGTGGATATTTGGAGTGCTTTGAGGCCTATGGTAGAAAAGGAAATATGTTCATATAAAAACTAGACAGAAGCATTCTCAGAAATTACTTTTTGATGTGTGCATTCAACTTACAGAGTTGAACCTTTCTTTTCATAGGACAGTTTTGAAACACTATTTTTTTAGTGTTGGCAAGTGGATATTTGGACTGCTTTGAGGCCTTTGTTGGAAACAGGAATATCTTCACATAAAAACTAGACAGAGGCATTCTCAGAAACTTCTTTGTGATGTGTGCATTCAACTCACAGAATTGAACCTTCCTTTTGATAGAGCAGTTTTTTCTTCTTTTCTTTATTTATTATGATTATACTTTATGTTTTAGGTTACATGTGAGCAATGTGCAGGTTAGTAACGTATGTATACATGTGCCATGCTGGTGCGCTGCACCCACTAACTAGTCATCTAGCATTAGGTATATCTCCCAATGCTATCCCTCCCCCTTTCCCGCACCCCACAACTGTCCACACAATGTGATGTTCCCCTTCCTGTGTCCATGTGATCTCATTGTTCAATTCCCACCTCTGAGTGAGAATATGCGGTGTTTGGTTTTTTGTTCTTATGATAGTTTACTGAGAATGATGATTTCCAATTTCATCCATGTCCCTACAAAGGAAATGAACTCATCATTTTTTATGGCTGCATAGTATTCCATGGTGTATATGTGCCACATTTTCTTAATCCAGTCTATCATTGTTGGACATTTGGGTTGGTTCCAAGTCTTTGCTATTGTGAATAGTGCTGCAATAAACATACATGTGCATATGTCTTTATAGCAGCATGATTTATAGTCCTTTGGGTATATACCCAGTAATGGTATGGCTGTGTCAAATGGTATTTCTAGGTCTAGATCCCTAAGGAATGGCCACACTGACTTCCACAATTGCCGAACTAGTTTACAGTCCCACCAACAGTGTAAAAGTGTTCCTATTTCTCCACATCCTCTCCAGCACCTGTTGTTTCCTGACTTTTTATTGATTGCCATTCTAACTGGCATGAAATGGTATCTCATTGTGGTTTTGATTTGCATTTCTCTGATGGCCAGTGATGGTGAGCATTTGTTCATGTGTTTTTTGGCTGCATAAATGTCTTCTTTTGAGAAGTGTCTGTTCATGTCCTTTGCCCACTTTTTGATGGGGTTGTTTGTTTTTTTCTTGTAAATTTGTTAGTGTTCATTGTAGATTCTGGATATTAGTCCTTTGTCAGATAAGTAGGTTGTGAAAATTTTCTCCCACTTTGTAGGTTGCCTGTTCACTCTGATGCTAGTTTGTTTTGCTGTGCAGAAGCTCTTTAGTTTAATTAGATCCCATTTGTCAATTTTGTCTTTTGTTGTCATTGCTTTTGGTGTTTTAGACATGAAATCCTTGCCCATGCCTATGTCCTGAATGGTAATGCCTAGGTTTTCTTCCAGGGTTTTTATGGTTTTAGGTCTAACATTTAAGTCTGTAATCCATCTTAAATTAATTTTTGTATAAGGTGTAAGGAAGGAATCCAGTTTCAGGTTTCTACATATGGCTAGCCAGTTTTCTCAGCACCATTTATTAAATAGGGAATCCTTTCCCCATTGCTTGTTTTTCTGAGGTTTGTCAAAGGTCAGATAGTTGTAGACATGCGGCGTTATTTCTGAGGGCTCTCTTCTGTTCCATTGATCTATATCTCTGTTTTGATATCAGTACCATTCTGTTTTGGTTACTGTAGCCTTGTAGTATAGTTTGAAGTCAGGTAGTGTGATGCCTCCAGCTTTGTTCTTTTGGCTTAGGATTGACTTGGTGATGCGGGCTCTTTTTTGGTTCCATATGAACTTTAAAGTCGTTTTTTCCAGTTCTGTGAAGAAAGTCATTGGTAGCTTGAGGGGGATGGCATTGAATCTGTAAATTACCTTGGGCAATATGGCTATTTTCACGATATTGATTCTTCCTACCCATGAGCATGGAATGTTCTTCCATTTGTTTGTATCCTCTTTTATTTCTTTGTGCAGTGGTTTGTAGTTCTCCTTGAAGAGGTCCTTCACATCTTTTGTAAGTTGGATTCCTAGGTATTTTATTCTCTTTGAATCAATTATGAATGGGAGTTCACTCATGATTTGGCTCTCTGTTTGTATGTTGGTGTATAAGAATGCTGTGATTTTTGTACATTGATTATGTATCGTGAGCCTTTGCTGAAGTTGCTTATCAGATTAAGGAGACTTTGGGCTGATACAATGGGGTTTTCTAGATATACAATCATGTCGTCTGCAAACAGGGATAATTTGACTTCCTCTTTTCCTAATTGAATACCCGTTATTTCCTTCTTCTGCCTAATTCCCCTGGCCAGAACTTCCAACACTATGTTGAATAGGAGTGGTGAGAGAGGGCATCCCTGTCTTGTGCCAGTTTTCAAAGGGAATGCTTCCAGTTTTTGCCCATTCAGTATGATATTGGCTGTGGGTTTGTCATAGATAGCTCTTATTATTTTGAGATATGTCCCATCAATACCTAATTTATTGAGAGTTTTTAACATGAAGGGTTGTTGAATTTTGTCAAAGGCTTTTTGTGCATCTATAGAGATAATCATGTGGTTTTTGTCTTTGTTCTGCTTATATGCTGGATTACATTTATTGATTTGCGTATATTGAACCAGCCTTGCACCCCAGGGATGAAGCCCACTTGATCATGGTGGATAAGCTTTTTGATGTGCTGCTGGATTTGGTTTGCCAGTATTTTATTGAGGATTTTTGCATCAATGTTCATCAAGGATATTGGTCTAAAATTCTCTTTTTTGGTTATGTCTCTGCCTGGCTTTGGTATCAGAATGATGCTTGCCTCATAAAATGAGTTAGGGAGGATTCCCTCTTTTCTATTGATTGGAATAGTTTCAGAAGGAATGGTACCAGTTCCTCCTTGTACCTCTTGTAGAATTCGGCTGTGAATCCATCTGGTCCTGGTTTCTTTTTGGTTGGTAAACTATTGATTATTGTGACAATTTCAGTTCCTGTTATTGGTCTATTCAGAGATTCAACTTCTTCCTGGTTTAGTCTTGGGAGAGTCTATGTGTCGAGGAATTTATCCATTTCTTCTAGATTTTCTAGTTTATTTGCATAGAGGTGTTTGTAGTATTCTCTGATGGTAGTTTGTATTTCTGTGGGATCGGTGGTGATATCCCCTTTATCATTTTTTATTGCATCTATTTGATTCTTCTCTCTTTTTTTCTTTGTTAGTCTTGCTAGCGGTCTATGAATTTTGTTGATCCTTTCAAAAAACCAGTTCCTGTATTCCTTAATTTTTTGAAGGTTTTATGTGTCTCTGCTTCCTTCAGTTCTGCTCTGATTTTAGTTATTTCTTGCCTTCTGCTAGTTTTTGAATGTGTTTGCTCTTGCTTTTCTAGTTCTTTTAATTGTGATGTTAGGGTGTCAATTTTGGATCTTTCCTGCTTTCTCTTGTGGGCATTTAGTGCTATATATTTCCCTCTACACACTGCTTTGAATGCAACCCAGAGATTCTGGCATGTTGTGTCTTTGTTATCATTGATTTCCAAGAATATCTTTATTTCTGGCTTCATTTCATTATGTACCCAGTAGTCATTCAGGAGCAGGTTGTTCAGTTTCCATGTAGTTGAGCGGTTTTGAGTGAGATTCTTAATCCTGAGTTTGATTGCACTGTTGTTTGAGAGACAGTTTGTTATAATTTCTGTTCTTTTACACTTGCTGAGGAGAGCTTTACTTCCAAGTATGTGGTCAATTTTGGAATAGGTGTGGTGTGGTGTTGAAAAAAATGTATATTCTCTTGATTTGGGGTGGAGAGTTCTGTATATGACTATTAGGTCCGCTTGATGCAGAGCTGAGTTCAATTCCTTGGTATCCTTGCTGACTTTCTGTCTCATTGATCTGTCTAATGTTGACAGTGGGGTGTTAAAGTCTCCCATTATTAATGTGTGGGAGTCTAAGTTTCTTTGTAGGTCACTCATGACTTGCTTTATGAATCTGGGTGCTCCTGTATTGGGTGCATATATATTTAGGATAGTTAGATCTTCTTTTTGAATCGATCCCTTTATCATTGAGTAATGGCCTTCTTTGTCTCTTTTGATCTTTGTTGGTTTAAAGTCTGTTTTATCAGAGACTAGGATTGCAACCCCTGCCTTCTTTGTTTTCCATTTGCTTGGTAGCTCTTCCTCCGTCCTTTTCATTTTGAGCCTATGTGTGTCTATGCCCGTGAGATGGGTTTCCTGAATACAGCACAATGATGGGTCTTGACTCTTTATCCAATTTGCCAGTCTGTGTCTTTTAATTGGAACGTTTTGCCCATTCACATTTAAAGTTAATATTGTTATGTGTGAATTTGATCCTGTCATGATGTTAGCTGTTTATTTTGCTCGTTAATTGATGTAGTTTTTTCCTAGTCTCGATGGTCTTTACATTTTTGCATGATTTTGCAGCAGCTGGTACTGGTTGTTCCTTTCTATGTTTAACGCTTCCTTCAGGAGCTCTTTTAGGGCTGGCCTGGTGGTGACAAAAATCTCTCAGCAGTTGCTTGTCTAAAGGATTTTATTTCTCCTTCACTTATGAAGCTTAGTTTGGCTGTATGTGAAATTCTGGGTTGAAAATTCTTTTCTTTAAGAATGTTGAATATTGGCCCCCACTCTCTTCTGGCTTGTACAGTTTCTGCCAAGAGATCTGCTATTAGTCTGATGGGCTTCCCTTTGAGGGTAACCCAACCTTTCTCTCTGGCTGCCCTTAACATTTTTTCCTTCATTTCAACTTTGCTGAATCTGACAATTATGTGTCTTGGAGTTGTTCTTCTCGAGGAGTATATTTGTGGCGTTCTCTGTATTTCCTGAATCTGAATGTTGGCCTGCCTTGCTAGATTGGGGAAGTTCTCCTGGATAATATCCTGCAGAGTGTTTTCCAACTTGGTTCCTTTCTCCCCATCACTTTCAGGTATACCAATCAGATGTAGATTTGGTCTTTTCACATAGTCCCATATTTCTTGGAGGCTTTGTTTTTTTCTATTTATTCTTTTTTCTCTAAACTTCCCTTCTCACTTCATTTCATTTATTTCATCTTCTATCACTGATTCCCTTTGTTCCAGTTGATTGCATCGGCTCCTGAGGCTTCTGCATTCTTCACGTAGTTCTTGAGACTTGGTTTTCAGTTCCTTTAAGCAGTTCTCTGTATTTGTTATCCTAGTTACACATTCTTCTAAATTTTTTTCAAAGTTTTCAACTTCTTTGCCTTTGGTCTGAATGTCCTCCCATAGCTCGGAGTAATTTGATCATCTGAAGCCTTCTTCTCTCAGCTCGTCAAAGTCCTTCTATGTCCAGCTTTGTTCCATTGCTGGTGAGGAACTGCATTCCTTTGGAGGAGGAGAAGCCCTCTGCTTTTTAGAGTTTCCAGTTTTTCTGCTCTGTTTTTTTTCCCATCTTTGTGGTTTTATCTACTTTTGGTCTTTGATGATGGTGATGTACAGATGGGCTTTTGGTGTGGATGTCCTTTCTGTTTGTTAGTTTTCCTCCTAACAGACAGGATCCTCAGCTGCATGTCTGTTGGAGTACCCAGCCTTGTGAGGTGTCAGTATGCCCCTGCTGGTGGGGACCTCTCAGTTAGGCTGCTCTCGGGTCAGGGGTCAAGGACCCACTTGAAGAGGCAGTCTGCCTGTTCTCAGACCTCCAGCTGCATGCTGGGAGAACCACTGCTCTCTTCAAAGCTGTCAGACAGGGACATTTAAGTCTGCAGAGGTTACTGCTGTCTTTTTGTTTGTCTGTGTCTTGCCCCCAGACGTGGAGCCTACAGAGGCAGGCAGGCCTCCTTGAGCTGTGGTGGGCTTCACCCAGTTTGAGCTTCCTGGCTGCTTTGTTTACCTCAGCAAGCCTGGGCAATGGCGGGTGCCCCTCCCACAGCGTCCTTGCCCCCTTGCAGTTTGATCTCAGACTGCTGTGTTAGCAATCAGGGAGACTCCCTGGGCGTAGGACCCTCGGAGGCATGTGTGGGATATAATCTCCTGGTGCACCATTTTTTAAGCCCATTGGAAAAGTGCAGCATTCGGGTGGGAGTGACCCAATTTTCCAGGTACCCTCTTTCACCATTTTCTTTGACTAGGAAAGGGAACTCCCTGACCCCTTGCACTTCCCAAGGGAGGCAATGCCTTGCCCTGCTTTGGCTCATGCACGGTGCACGCACCCATGAGAGAGCAGTTTTGAAACACCCTTTTTGTAGAATCTGCAAGTGGATATTTGGAGAGCTTTGAGTCCTATCATGCAAAGGGAAATAACTTCACATAAAAAATAGACAGAAGCATTCTCCAAAACACCTTTGTGATGCTTACATTCAACTCACAGAGGTGAACCTTTCTTTTGATAGAGCAGTTTTGAAACACTCTTTTTTTTAGAATCTGCCATTGGTTATTTGGAGCGCTTTGAGGCCTTTGGTGGAAATGGGAATATCTTCAGATAAAAACCAGACAGAAGCATGCTCAGACACTACTATGTGATGTTTGCATTCAGCTCACAGAGTTGAACCTTTTTGATAGAGCAGTTTTGAAACACTCTTTTTGTAGTTTCTGCAAGTGGATATTTGGACTCCTTTGAGGACTTCGTTGGAAATGGGAACATCTTCACATAAAACTAGACAGAAGTATTCTCACAAACTTCTTTGTGACGTGTGCATTCAACTCACAGAGTTTTACCTTCCTTTTGATATAACAGTTTTGAAACACTCTTTTTGTAGAATCTGAAAGCGGATGTTTGGAGTGCTTTGAGGCCTTCAGTGGGAATGGGAATATCTTCACATAAAAAACAGCAGAAGCATTATAAAAAACGTCTTTGTGATGTGTTCATTGAATGCAGAGAGTTGAACGTTGCTTTTGGTAGAGTAGTTTTGAAACACTCTTTTTGTAAAATCTGCAGGTGGATATTTGGAGCACTTTGAGGCCTATGGTGGAAAAGGAATTATCTTCACACAAAAACTAGACAGAAGCATTCTGAGAATCTTCTTTGTGATGCTTGCATTGAACTCACAGTGTTGTACCTTCCTTTTGATAGAGCAGTTTTGAAACACTCTTTTTGTAGAATCTGCAAGTGGACATTTGGAGAGTTTTGAGGCCTGTGGTTGAAAAGGAAGTATCTTCATATAAAAACTAGAGAGAAGCATTATCAGAAACTTCTTTGTGATGTATGCATTCAACTCACAGAGTTGAACCTTCCTTTTGATAGAACAGTTTTGAAACACTGTTTTTGTAGTATCTGCAAGTGAATATTTGAAATGCTTTGAGGCCTACTGCGGAAAAGGAAATATCTTCACATAAAAACTAGACAGAAGCATTCTCAGAAACTTCTTTGTGATGTGTGGATTCAACTCACAGAGTTGAACCTTTCTTTTGATAGAGCAGTTTTGAAACAGTCTTTTTGTAGAATCTGCAAGTGGATATTTGAAGCACCTTGAGGCCTATGGTAAAATAGCAAATATCTTTACGTAAAACTAAACACAAGCATTCTCAGAAATGCTTTGTGATGCTTGCATTCAACTAACAGTTTTGAACCTTCCTTTTGATAGAGCAATTTTGAAAATCTTTTTGTAGAATCTGTAAGTGGATATTCAGAGCGCTTTGAGGCCTATGGTGGAAATGGGAATATCTTCACATAAAAAGTTGACAGAAACATTCTCAGAAACTACTTTGTGATGCGTGCATTAAACTCAGAGAGTTGAACGTTACTTTCAATAGAGCAGTTTGGAAACACTCTTTTTGTAGAATCTGCAAGTGGATATTTGGAGCGCTTTGAGGCCTATGGTAGAAAAGGAAATAGCTTCATATAAAAACTAGACAGAAGCGTTCTCAGAAACTTCTTTGTGATATATGCACTCAACTCATAGAGTTGAACCTTCCTTTTGATAGAGCAGCTTTGAAACACTCTTTTTGTAGAATCTGCCAGTGGATATTTGGACTGCTTTGAGGCCTTCGGTGGAAACGGGAATATCTTCACTTAAAAACTAGACAGAAGGATTCTGAGAAACTTCTTTGTGATGTGCACATTCAACCCACTGAGTTGAAACTTTCTATTGTTTGAGCAGTTTGGAAACAGAGTTTTGTAATATCTGCAAATGGATAATTGGAGATCTTTGACACCTACGGTGGAAAATGAAATATCTTCACATAAAAACTAGACAGAAGATTTCTTGGAAACTTCTTTGTAATGTGTGCATTCATCTCACAGAGTTGAACATTTCTTTTTTTGAGCAGTTTTGAAACACTCTTTTTGTAGAATCTGCAAGTGGATATTTGGAGCCCTTTGTTTCCTATAGTGGAAAAGGAAATATCTTCACTTAAAAGTAGACAGAAGCATTCTCAGAATTTTCTTTGTGATGTGTACATTCATCTCACAGAGTTGAACCTTTCTTTTGATTGAGCAGTTTTGAAACACTCTTTTTGTAGAATCAGCAAGTGGATATTTCGAATGCTTTGCGACCTATAGTGGAGAAAGGAATACCTTCACATAAAAACTAGACAGAAGCATTCTGAGAAACTATTTTGTTATGTGTGCATTCATCTCAGAGTGCTGAACTGTTTTTTTATTTGAGCGGTTTTGCAACACTCTTTTTATAGAATCTGCAAGTGGATATTTGGAGAATTTTGCCACCTATAGTGGGAAAGGAAATATCTTCACATAAAAACAAGACAAAAGCATTCTGAGAAACTCCTTTGCAATGTGTGCATTCATCTCAGAGAATAGAACTTTTCTTTTGATTGAGCAGTTTTGAAACACTCTTTTTGTAGAATCTGCAAGGGTGTATTTGGGGCGTTTTGAGGCCTGTGGCGGAAAAGGAAATTTCTTTACATAAAAACTCTGCAGAAGCATTCTGAGTCACTTCTTTGTGATGCGTGCATTCATCTGATGTAGTTGAACCTTTCTTTTGATTGAGTAGTTTGGAAACACTCTATTTGCAGGATGTGCAAGTAGATATTTGGAGCACCTTGATGCCCATGGTGGAAAACAAAATATCTTCACATAAAAACTACACAGAAACATTCTGAGAAACTTATTTGCTATGAGTGCATTCATCTCACAGAGTTGAAACTTTTTTTTGATTGAACAGTTTTGAAACACTCTTTTTGTAGAATGTGAAAGTTGATATTTTGAGCGCTTTGAGGCCTGTAGTGGAAAAGGAAATATCTTCACATAAAAACTACACAGAAGATTTCTGAGAAAATTCTTTGTGATTTGTGCATTCAACTCACATATTTGAACCTTTCTTTTGATAAAGCAGTTGGTAAACAGTCTTTTTGTAGTATCTGTAAATGGAAATTTGGAGCACTTTGAGGCCTATAGTGGAGAAGGTAATATCTACATATAAAAACTAGACAGAATCATTATGAGAAACTTCTTTGTGAAGTGTGCATTCATCTCACAGAGTTGAACCTTACTTTTCATTGAGCAGTTTTGAAACACTCTATTTGTAGGATCTGCATGTGGATATTTGGCGCATTTTCAGTCTATAGTGGACAAGGAAATATCTTCACATAAAAACTAGACAGTAGCATTCTGAGAAACTTCTTTGTGATGTGTGCATTGATCTCACATTGTGAAAGTTTCTTTCGATTGAGTACTTTGGAAACAGTCTTTTTGTAGTATCTGCAAATGGATATTTGGGGCGCTTAAAGGCCTATAGTGGAAAAGGAAATATCTTCACAAAATAGATAGACAGAAGCATTCTGAGAAACTTCATTGTGCTGTGTGCATTCATCTCAGAGATTTAAACTTTTGTTTTGATTGTGCAGTTTTGAAATACTCTTTTTGTAGAATCTGCAAGTGGATATTTGTAGCCATTTGCGGCCTATAGTGGAAAAGCAAATATCATCACATAAAAACAAGACAGAAGCATTCTGAGAAACTTCTTTGTGATGCATGCATGCATCTCACAGAGTTGAAGCTTTCTTCTGATTGAGCAGTTTTGAAACAGTCTTTTTGTAAAGTCTGCATGTGGATATATGGAGAGCTTTGGGCCTATAGTGGAAAAGGAAATATTTTCTCATTAAAACTGGACAAAAGCATTCTGAGAAATTTTTTTGTGATCTGTGCATTCAACTCACAGATTTGAACTTATCCTTTGATTGATCAGTTTGGAAACATTCTTTTTGTAATATCAGCCAGTGGATATCTCAAGCGATTGAGACTTATAGTGGAAAAGGAAATATCTTCAGGAAAAACTAGACAGAAGAATTCTGATAAACTTCTTTGTGATGTGTGCCTTCATCTCACAGTGTTGAACCTTTCTTTTAATTCAGCAGCTTTGAAAAAGTCTTTTTGTAGAATCTGCATGTGGATATTTGGAGTGCTTTGCTGCCTATAGTGAAAAAGGAAATATCTTCACATAAAATCTAGACAGAAGAAGTCTGAGAAACTTCCTTGTGATGTGTTCATTCTCCACACAGATTTGAAATTTTCCTTTGATTGAGCAATTTTGAAACACTCTTTTTTTTGTGCAAGTGGATATTTGGAGCACTTTTAGGCATATCATGGAAATGGAAATGTCTTCATATAAAAACTAGACATAAAAATTCCGAGAAACTTGTTTGTGATGTGTGCCTTCAACTCACAGTGTTGAAACTTTCTTTTGATTGAAGAGTTTGGAAACACTCTTTTGTAGTATCGGCAAGTGGATATTTGGATCGTTTCACGGTCTAAAGAGGGAAAGAAAATATTTTCACATAAAAACTAGACAAAAGCACTCTCAGAAACATCTTTGTGATGTGTTCATTCATCTCACAGGGTTGAACCAATCTTTTGATTCAGTAGTTTTGAAACACTCTCTTTGCAGTATCTGCAAGGGAATATTTGGAGCGCTATGAGGCCTATGGTGGAAAGCAAATATCTTTACATAAAACTAGACAGAAACATTCTGAGAAACTTCTTTGTGAAGTGTGCAGTGATCTCACAGATTTGAACCTTTGTTTTGATTTAGCTATTTTGAAACACTCTTTTTGTAGAGTCTGCAAGTGGATATTTGGAGCACTTTGTGGCCTACGGTAGAAAATTAAATATCTTCACACAAAAACTAGCAAGAAGCATTCTGAGAAACTTCTTTTTGGTGTGTGCATGCAACTCAAAGAGTTGAACCTTTCTTTTGATTGAGCAGTTTGTAAGCATTCTTTTTGTAGCATCTGCAAATGTATATTTAGAGTGCCTTAAGGCCTACAGTGGAAAAGGAAATATCTTCACATAAAAACTAGATGGAAGCATTCTGAGAAACTACTTTGTGATGTGTGCATTCATTTCAAAGAGTTTAACCTTTCTTTTGATTGAGCAGTTTTGAAACACTCTTTTTGTAGAATCTGCAAGGGGATATTTGCAGCGATTTTTGGCGTATATTGGAAAAGGAAATATCTTCACATAAAACCTAGAGAGAAGCATTCTGAGAAACATCTTCCTGAAGTGTGCATTCAACTTACAGAGATGAACCTTTCTTTTGATTGAGCAGTTTGGAAACACTCTTTTTGTAGTATCTGCAAATTGATATTTTGAGTGCTTTGAGGCTTATGGTGGAAAAGGACATATCTTCACATAAAAACCAGACAGAAGAATTCTCAGAAACGTCTTTGTGATATGTGCATTCATCTCACAGAGTTGAAACTTTCTTTTCGTTGAGCAGTTTTGAAACCCTTATTTTGTAGAATCTGCAAGTGTATATTAGGAGAGCTTTTCTGTCTATGGTGGAAAAGGAAATATCTTCACATAAAAGCTAGACTGAAACATTCTGAGAAACTTCTCTGTGATGTGTTCATTCATCTCAGATAGATTAATCTTTCTTTTTATTGAGCATTTTTGAACCACTCTTTTTTAAGTATCTGCAAGTGGATATTTGGAGCACATTGTGGCCTATAGTGGAAAAGGAAATATCTTCACATTAAAACTAGACTGAAGCTTTCTGAGAAACTTCTTTGTGATGTATCCATTCATCTCACGAGATGAACATATCTTTTGATTGAGCAGTTTGGAAACACTCTTTTTGTAGAATCTGCAGTTGGATATTTGGAGCTCTTGAGGCCTATGTTGGAAAAGGAAATATCTTCACATAAAAACCAGACAGAAGCATTCTGATAAATTGCTTTGTGATGTTTGCCTTCAACTCACAGAGTTGGATCTTTCTTTTGATTGAGCAGTTAAGAATTATTCTGTATGTAGTATCTGCAATTGGATATTTGGAGAGCTTTGGGGCCTATAGTGGAAAAGGAAATATCTTCACAGAAAAACTAGACAGTAGCATTCTGAGAAAATTCTTTTTGATGTGTTCATTCATCTCACGAGATGAACATTTTTTTTTGACTGAGCAGTTTTGAAACACTGTTTTTCTAGAATCTGCAATTGGATATTTGGTGCGCTTTGAGGCATATGGTGAAAAAGGAAATATCTTCACATTAAAAATAGACAGAAGCACTCTGAGAAACTTTTTTGTGATGTGTGCATTCATCTCGCAGTGTTAAAACTTTCCTTTGATTCAGCAATTTTGAAACACTCTTCTTGTAGAATCTGTGAGTGGATATTTGGAACCCATTCAGGCATATAGTGGAAAACGATATCTCTTCACATAGAAACTAGACAAAAACATTCTGAGAAATTACCTTGTGATGTGCACTTTCAACTCACAGAGTTGAACTTTTCTTTTGATTGGGGAGTTTGGAGACAGTCTTTTTATAGTATCTGCAAATGGATATTTGGAGAGCTTACAGTCCTACGGTGGAAAAGGAAATATCTTTACATGAAAGCTAGACAGAAGAACTCTGAGAAACTTCCTTGTGATGTGTGCATTCATCTCACAGAGTTAAACCTTTCTTTTCATTGAGCATTTTTAAAACACTCTTTTTTACAAATCTGCAATTGGAGATTTGAGTGCTTTGCGGCCTATAGTGTAAAAGAAAATACCTTCAAATAAAAACTAGACAGAAGCATTCTGGGAAACTTCTTTGTGATATGTGCATTCATCTCACAGAGTTGAAACTTTCTTTTGATTGTGCAGTTTTGAAACACTCTTTTTACAGAATCTGCAATTGGATATTTGGAGTGCTATGAGGCCTATTGTGGAAAAGGAAATATCTTCACATAAAAACTAGACAGAAGCATTCTGAGAAAGTTCTTTGTCATGTGTGTATTCACCTCACAGTGTTGCAAATTTCTTTTGATTGAGCAGTTTGGAAACAGTCTTTATGTACTATCTGCAAATGGATATTTTGAGCGCTTTGTGGCCTATAGAGGAAAAGGAGTTATCTTCATATAAGAACTAGACAGAAGCATTCTGAGAATCTTCTTTGTGATGTGTTCATTCGTCTCACAGTGTTGAAGCTTTCTTTTGATTGACAGTTCTGAAACACTTTTTTTTTAGAATCTGCAAGTGGATATTTGGAGCGCTTTGTGGCTTATATTGGAAAAGGAAATATCTTCAAATAAAAACTAGACAGAGGTATTCTGAGAAACTTCTTTGTGATGTGTGCACTCATCTCACAGAGTTGAACCTTTATTTTGATTGAGCAGTTTTGAAACACTCTTTTTGTAGAATCTGCAAGTGGATATTTGGAGCGCTTGGCTGCCTATGGTGAAAAAGAAAATATCTTCACGTAAAAACAAGACAGAATCATTCTGAGAAACTCCTTTGTGATGTGTGCATTCATCTCACACAGTTGAACATCTCTTTTCATTGGGAAGTTTTGAAACACTCTTTTTGTAGAATCTGCAAGTGGATATTTTGAGCGATTTGAGGCCTATGGTGGAAAAGGAAATATCTTCACCTAAAAACTGTACAGAAGCATTCTGAGAAACTTCTTTGTGATGTGTGCATTCAACTCACAGAGTGGAACCTTTCTTTTGCTTGAGCAGTTTGGAAACATTCTTTATGTAGAATCTGCAAATGGATATTTGGAGAGCTTTGAGGCCTATGGTATAAAAGGAAATATCCTCACATAAAAACTAGCAATAAGCGTTCTGAGAAACTCCTTTGTGATGTGCACATACAACTCAAGGAGTGGAACCTTACTTTGGATTGAGCAATTTGTAAGCATTCTTTTGTATTTATTTTTAATTTACTTTACGTTTTAGGGTACTTGTGCACAATGTGCATGTTAGTTACATATGTATACATGTGCCATGCTGGTGTGCTGCACCCATTAATTCATCATTTAGCATTAGGCATATCTCCTAGTGCTATCTCCCCACTTCCCCCACCCCATAACAGTCCCCAGAGTGTGATGTTCCCCTTTCTGTGTCCATGTGTTCTCATTGTTCAATTCCTACCTATGACTGAGAACATGCATTGTTTGGTTTTTTTGTCCTTGAGATCGTTTACTGAGAATGATGATTTCTGAATTAATCCGTGTCCCTACAAAGGACATGAACTCATCATTTTTTATGGCTGCATAGTATACCAAGGGGTATATGTGCCACATTTTCTTAATCCAGTATATAATTGTTGGTCATTTGGGTTGGTTCCATGTCTTTGCTATTGTGAATAGTGCTGCAATAAACTTACATGTACATGTGTCTTTATAGCAGCATGATTTATACTCCTTTAGGTATATACCCAGTAATGGGATGGCTGGGTCAAATGGTACTTCTAGTTCTAGATCCTTAAGGAATCGCCACACTGACTTCCACAAGGGTTGAGCTAGTTTACAGTCCCACCAACAGTGTAAAAGTGTTCCTATTTCTCCACATCCTCTCCATCACCTGTTGTTTCCTGACTTTTTAATGATTGCTATTCTAACTGGTGTGAGATGGTATCTCATTGTGGTTTTGATTTACGTTTCCCTGATGGCCAGTGATGGTGAGCATTTGTTCATGTGTTTTTTGGCTGCATAAATGTCTTCTTTTGAGAAGTGTCTGTTCATGTCCTTTGCCCACTTTTTGATGGGGTTGTTTGATTTTTTTCCTGTAAATTTGTTTGAGCTCATTGTAGATTCTGGATATTATCCCTTTGTCCGATGAGTAGGTAGTGAAAATTTTCTCCCATTTTGTAGGTTGCCTGTTCACTCTGATGGTAGTCTCTTTTGCTGTGCAGAAGCTCTTTAATTTAATTTGATCCCATTTGTCAATTTTGTCTTTTGTTGCCATTGCTTTTGGTGTTTTAGACATGAAGTCCTTGCCCATGCCTATGTCCTGAATGGTAATGCCTAGGTTTTCTTCTAGGGTTTTTATGGTTTTGGGTCTAACATTTAAGTCTTTAATCCATCTTAAATTAATTTTTGTATAAGGTATAAGGAAGGAATCCAGTTTCAGGTTTCTACATATGGCTAGCCAGTTTTCTCAGCACCATTTATTAAATAGGGAATCCTTTCCCCATTGCTTGTTTTTCTGAGGTTTGTCAAAGATCAGATAGTTGTAGATACACAGCATTATTTCTGAGGGCTCTCTTCTGTTCCATTGATCTATATCTCTGGTTTGTTACCAGTACCATGCAGTTTTGGTTACTGTAGCCTTGTAGTATAGTTTCAAGTCAGGTAGCATGATGCTTCCAGGTTTATTCTTTTGGATTAGGATTGACTTGGTAATGTGGGCTCCTTATTGGTTCCATATGAATTTTAAAGTAGTTTTTTTCCAATTCTGTGAAGAAAGTCATTGGTAGCTTGATGGGAATGGCATTGAATCTATAAATTACCTTGGTCAGTATGGCCATTTTCACATTATTGATTCTTCCTATCCATGAGCATGGAATTTTCTTCCATTTCTTTGTATCCTCTTTTATTTCCTTGTGCAATGGTTTGCAGTTCTCCTTGAAGAGGTCCTTCACGTCCCTTGTAAGTTGGATTCCTAGGTATTTTATTCTCTTTGAAGCAATTATGAATGAGAGTTCACTCATGATTTGGATCTCTGTTTGTCTGTTATTGGTGTATAAGAATTCTTGTGATTTTTGTACGTTGATTTTGTATCCACAACATACCAGAATCTCTGGGACACATTCAAAGCAGTGTGTAGAGGGAAATTTATAGCACTAAATGCCCACAAGAGAAAGCAGGAAAGATCCAAAATTGACACCCTAACATCACAATTAAAAGAGCTAGAAAAACAAGAGCAAACACATTCAAAAGCTAGCAGAAGGCAAGAAATAACTAAAATCAGAGCAGAACTGAAGGAAATAGAGATACAAAAAACCCTACAAAAAATTAATGAATCCAGGAGCTGGTTTTTTGAAAGGATCAACAAAATTGATACACCACTAGTAAGACTAATAAAGAAGAAAAGAGAGAAGAATCAAATAGATGCAATAAAAAATGATAAAGGGGATATCAACACCAATCCAACAGAAATACAAACTACCATCAGAGAATACTACAAACACCTCTACACAAATAAACTAGAAAGTCTAGAAGAAATGGATAAATTCCTCGACACATACACCCTCCCAAGACTAAACTATGAAGAAGTTGAATCAATGAATAGGTCAATAAGAGGCCCTGAAATTGTGGCAATAATCAAAAGCTTATGAACCAAAAAGAGTCCAGGACCAGATGGATTCACAGCCGAATTCTACCAGAGGTACAAGGAGGAACTGATACCTTTCTTTATGAAACTATTCCAATCAATATAAAAAGAGGGAATCCTCCCTAACTCATTTTATGAGGCCAGCATCTTCCTGATACCAAAGCCTGGCAGAGACACAACCAAAAAAGAGAATTTTACACCAATATCCTTTAGAACATTGATGCAAAAATCCTCAATAAAATACTGGCAAACCAAATCCAGCAGCACATCAAAAAGCTTATCCACCATGATCAAGTGGGCTTCATCCCTGGGGTGCAAGGCTGGTTCAATATATGCAAAGTAATAAATGTAATCCCGCGTATAAACAGAACCAAAGACAAAAACCACATGATTATCTCAATAGATGCAGAAAAGGCCTTTGACAAAATTCAACAACCCTTCATCCTAAAAACTCTCAATAAATTAGGTATTGATGGGACGTATCTCAAAATAATAAGAGCTATCTATGACAAACCCACAGCCAATATCATACTGAATGGACAAAAACTGGAAGCATTTGCTTTGAAAACTGGCACAAGACAGGGATGCCCTCTCTCACCACTCCTATTCAACATAGTGTTGGAAGTTCTGGACTGAGCAATTTGGCAGGAGAAGGAAATAAAGAGTATTCAATTAGGTAAATAGGAAGTCAAATTGTCCCTGTTTGCAGATGACATGATTGTATATCTAGAAAACCCCATTGTCTCAGCCCCAAATCTCCTTAAGCTCATAAGCAACTTCTGCAAAGTCACTGTAAGCATTCTTTTTGGAGCATCTGCAAATGTATATTTGGAGCGCCTTGATACCTTTAGTGAAAAAGGAAATATCTTCACATAAAACTAGACAGAAGCATTATGAGAAACTTCTTAGTGATGTCTGCATTCATCTCAAAGAAGTGAAGCTTTCTTTTGATTAAGTAGTTTTGAAATCCTCTTTTTGTAGAATCTGCAAGTGGATATAAGGAGAGCTTTGTGGTCTATAGTGGAAAAGGATATATCTTCACGTAAAAACGAGACAGAAACATTCTCAGAAACTTTTTTGTGATGTGTGCATTCATCTCACAGAGCTGAAACTTTCTTTTGATAGAGAAGTTTGAAACACTATTTTTTAAGGTTCTGCAAGTGGATATTTGGAGCACTTTGTGGCCTAGAGTGGAAAAGGAAATATCTTCATATTAAAAATAGAGAGAAGCATTCTGAGAAACTTCTTCATGATGTGAGCTTTCAACTAACAGAGTTGAACCTTTCTTTAGATTGACCAGTTTGGAAACCCTCTTTTTGTAGTATCTGCAAATGGATATTTGGAGCGCTTTCAGTCCTATGTTGGAAAAGGAAATATCTTCACATAAATACAAGACAGAAGCATTCTCAGAAAGTACTTTGTGATTGAGCATTCAACTCACAGAGTTGAAACGTTCTTTTGATTGAACAGTTTGGAAACAGGCTTTTGTAGTACCTGCAAATGGATATTTGGAGCGCGTTGAGGCCTATAGTGGAAAAGGAATTATCGTACCATAAAAACTATACAGAAGCGTTCTGAAAAACTTCTTTTCTGTGTGTGCATTCATCTCACAGAGTTCAACTTTTGTTTTGATTGAACAGCTTGGAAACACTCCTTTTGTAGAATCTGCAAGTGGATATTTGGAGCCCTTCGAGGCCTATTGTGGAAAAGGAAATATCTTCACATAAAAACCACACAGAAGCATTCTGATAAACTTCTTTGTGATGTGAGCATTCATCTCATGTAGTTGAAACTTGTTTTTGATTGAGCAGATTTGAAACACTCTTTTTGTAGAATCTGCAATTGGATATTTGGAATGCTTTGCAGCCTTTAGTGGAAAAGCAAATATTTTCACATAAAACCAAAAAAGAAACATTCTGGGAAACTTCTTTGTGATATGTGCATTCATCCCACAGAGTTGAACTTTTCATTTGATTGAGCACTTCTGCAACACTCTTGTTGTAGGATCTGCAAATTGATATTTGGAGCGCTTTGAGGCCTATGGTGGAAAAGGAAATATCTTCCCATAAAAACTAGACAGAAGCATTCTCAGAAATTTATTTGTGATGTGTGCATTCATCTCACAGAGTTGATTATTTCTTTCGATTGAGCAGCTTGGAAACGGCTTTTTGAAGAATCAGAAAATGAATATTTGGAGCGCTTTGAGGCCTGTGGTGGAAAATGAAATATCTCCACATAAAAACTAGACAGAAGCATTCTGATAAACTTCTTTCTGACGTGTGCATTCATCTCACAGAGTTGAAACTTTATTTTGATTGAGCAGTTTTGAAACACTCTTTTTGTAATATCTATAAGAGGATATTTTGAGTGCTTTGAGGCCTATGGTGAAAAAGGAAATATCTTCACATAAAACCACAGAGCAGCATTCTGGGAAACTCCTTTGTGATGTGTGCATTCAACTCACTGAGTTGAACCTTTCTTTTGATAGAGCAGTTTGGAAACAGTCTTTTTGCAGTATCTGAACATAGATAATTGGAGCGCTCTGAGGCCTTTGGTGGAAAAGTAAATATCTTCACATAAAAACTAGGTGCTACATTCTGAGAATCTTCTTAGTGATGTGTGCATACAACTCACAGAGTTGAATCTTTCTACTGATTGAGCATTTTTGAAACACTCCTTTTGTGGAATCTGCAAGTGCATATTCACAGCAGTTTGCATTAAGTAGTGTAAACGGAAATATCTTCAAATAAAAACTAGACAGAAGGATTCTGAGATACTTTTTTGTGATGAGTGCATTCATCTCACAGATTTGTACATTTCTTTTGATTCAGCAGTTTTTAAACACTCTTTTTCTAGTATCTGCAATAGGATATTAGGAGTGCTTTGAGGCCTTTGTTGGAAAAAGAAATATTTTCTCATAAAAACTACAGAGAAGCATTCTGAGAAACTTCTTTCTGATGTGTGCATTAGACTCACAGAGTTGAAACTTTCTTTTCATTGAGCAGTTTTAAACCCACTTTTTGTTGAATCTGCAAGTGGATATTTGGAGCACTTTGAGGCCTATGGTGGAAAAGGAAATATCTTCCCATAAAAACTAGACAGAAACATTCTGAGAAACTTCTTTGTGATGTGTGCATTCATCTCACAGAGTTGAACCTTTATTTTGATTTAGCCGTTTTGGAACATTCTTTATGTAGGTTCTGTAAGTGGATATTTAGAGCGCTTTGCGGCCTATAGTGGAAAAGGAAATATCTTCACATAAAAGCTAGACAGAAGCATTTTGAGAAACTTCTTTATGATGTGTGCATTCTTCTCACAGAGTTCAACCTTTCTTTGGATTGAGCAGTTTTGAATCCCTTTTTGTAGGATCTGCATGTGGATATTTGGAATGGTTTGAGGCGTTTTGTGGAAAAGGCAATATCTTCACATATAAAGTTGACAGGGGCATTCTGAGAAACTTCTTTGTGATGTTTGCATTCCACTCACACAGTTGAAACTTTCTTTTAATTGAGCAGTTTGAAACACTCTTTTTGAAGTATCTGTAAGTACATATTTGGATCACTGTGCGGCCTATGTTTGAAAAGTTAATATCTTCACATAAAAACTACACAAAAGCATTCTGAGAACGTCTTCATCATTTGTGCATTCACTCACAGATTTGAAATTTTCTTTTGATTGGGCAGTTTGGAAACAGTCTTTTTGTAGTATCTGTAAATGGATATTTTGAGTGGTTTCAGGCCTATAGTGGAAAAGAAAATATCTTCACATAAAAACTAGACAGAAGCATTCTGAGAAAGTTCTTTGTGATGTCTTCATTCCTCTCAGATAGTTGAAACTTTCTTTTCATTGAGCAGTTTTGAAACACTCATTTTCTAGAATCTGCAAGTGGATATTTGAATCACTTTCAGTCCTACTGTGTAAAAGGAAATATCTTCACATAAGAACTACAGAAAAGCAGTCTCAGAAACTTCTTTGTGATGTGTGCATTCCTCTCACAGAGTTGAACTTTTCTTTTGATTGAGCAGTTTGGAAACACACACTTTTTAGAATCTGCAAGTGGATATTTGGAGCACTTTGAGGCCTATGTGGAAAAGGAAATATCCTCAAATAAAAACTACACAGAAGAATTCTTAGAAATTTCTATGTAATGTGTGCATTCACCTCATACAGTTGAACGTTTCTTTTCATTCAGCAGCTTGGAAACACTTTCTTTGTAGAATCTGCACATGGATATTTGGAGTGCTTTGTGGCCTATTGTGGAAAAGGAAGTGTCTTCACATAAAACCTACACAGAAGCATTCAGAGAAACATTTTTATGATGTGTACATTCATCTCACAGAGTTGAACTTTTCTTTTGATTGAGCAGTTTTGAAAGACTCTTTTAGTAGAATCTGCAAGTGAATATTTGGTGCCTCAGAGGCCAATTGTGTAAAAGGAAATATCTTCACATAAAAACTACACAGAAGCATTCTGAGAAACCTCTTTGTGATGTGTGCATTCATCTCACAGAGTTGAACCTTGCTTTTCATTAAGCAGTTTGGAAACACTATTTTTGTAGAGTCTGCAAGTGGATATTTGAAGCGCTTTGAGAACTATTGTGGAATAGGATATATCTTCAAATGAAAATTACACACAATAATTCTGAGAAACTTCTTTGTGATGTGTGCATTCATCTCAAAGAGTTGAACCTTTCTTTTGAATGAGCAGTTTGGAAAAAATCTTTTTGTACATTCTGCAAATGGATATTTGGAGCACTTTTTGGCCTATTATGGAAAAGGAAATATCTTCATGTAAAAACTACATAGAAGCATTCTGAGAAACTTCTTTGCGATGTGTGCATTCATCTCACAGAGTTGAACCTTTCTTTTGATTGATTAGTTTGGAAACACTCTTTTTGTAGAATCTGTAAGTGGATATTTGGATTGCTTTGAAGGTTATGGTGGAAAAGGAAATATCTTCACATAAAAACTACACAGAAGCATTCCGAGAATCTTCTTTGTGATGCTTGCATTCAACACACAGAGTTGAAACTTTCTTTTGATTGAGCAGTTTGGAAACACACTTTTTGTAGAATCTGCAAGTGGATATTTGGAGCCCTTTGATGCCCATTTCAGAATAGGAAATACCTTCACATTAAAACTACACAGAAGCATTCTGAGAAACTTCTTTGTGATGTGTGCATTTATCTCACATAGTTGAACCTATCTTTTGATTGAGCAGTTTTGAAACTCTCTTTTTGTAGAATCTGCAAGTGGATATATGGAGCCCTTTTAGGCCTATGGTGGAAAAGGAAATATCTTCACATAAAAACTACACAGAAGCATTCTGAGAAACTTCATTGTGATGTGTGCATTCATATCACAGAGTTGAACCTTTCCTTTGATTGGGCAGTTTTTTATTTTATTATTATTGTGCTTTAAGTTTTAGGGTAAATGTGCACAGTGTGCAGGTTATTTACATATGTATACATGTAACTAACATATGTATACATATATACAACGCTGGTGTGTTGCTCCCATTAACTCGTCATTTAGAATTAGGTATATCTCCAACAGCTATCCCTCCCCCCTCCCTCCACCCCAGAACTGTCCCCAGAGTGTGATGTTCCCTTTCCTGTGTCCATGTCTTTTCATTGTTCAATTCCCCCCACTGAGTGAGAACATGCGATGTTTGGGTTTTTGTCCTTCTGATAGTTTACTGAGTATGATGATTTCCTATTTCATCCATGTCCCTAGAAAGGACATGAACTCATCATTTTTTATGGCTGCGTAGTATTCCACGGTATAGATGTGCCACATTTTCTTAATCCAGTCTATCACTGTTGGACTTTTGGGTTGGCTACAAGTCTTTGTGTTTTGAAACACTCTTTTTGAAGAATCTGCAAGTGGATATTTGGAGAGTTTTGAGGCCTATTGTGGAAAAGGAAATATCTTCATATTAAAACTACACAGAAGCATTCTGAGAAACTTCTTTGTGATGTGGGCATTCATCCAATACAGTTGAACTTTTCTTTTGATTGAGCAGTTTTGAAAAACTTTTTTTGTAGAATCTACAAGTGGATATTTGGAGAGCTTTGAGGCCTATTGTGGAAAAGGAATTATCTTCACTTAAAAACTACACAGAAGCATTCTGAGAAACTTCTTTGCAATGTTCACATTCATCTCACAGAGTTGAACTTTCGATTTGACTGAGCATTTTTGAAACACTCTTTTTGTAGAAACTGCAAGTGGATATTTGGACCGCTTTGAGGCCTATTGAGGAAAATGAAATATCTTCACATAAAAACTACACAGAAGCATTCTGAGAAACTTATTTGTGATGTGTGCATTCAACTCACAGAGTTAAATTTATCTTTTCATTGAGCAGCTTTGAAACTTTCTATTTGTAGCATCTGCAAGTGGATAATTGGAGTGCTTTGAGGCCTATTGTGGAAAAGAAAATATGTTCATATTAAAGCTACACAGAAGCATTCTGAGAATCTTCTTTGCGATGTGTGCATTCATCTCCCAGAGTTGAACTTTTCTTTTGATTGAGCAGTTTTGAAACACTCTATTTGTAGAATCTGCAAGTGGATATTTGGAGTGCTTTGAGGCCTATTATGGAAAAGTAAATATCTTCACATAAAAACTACACAGATGCATTCTGGGAAATTTCTTTGCGATTTGTGCACCCATCTCACAGACTTGAAATTTCTTTTGATTGAGCAGTTTGGAAACACTCTTTTTGTAGAATCTGCAAGTGGATATTTGGAGTGCTTTGAGGCCTATTATGGAAAAGTAAATATCTTCACATAAAAACTACACAGATGCATTCTGGGAAATTTCTTTGTGATTTGTGCACCCATCTCACAGACTTGAAATTTCTTTTGATTGAGCAGTTTGGAAACACTCTTTTTGTAGAATCTGCAATTGGATATTTGGAGTGCTTGGAGGCATTTAGTGGAAAAAGAAAAAACTTCACATAAAAACTAGATGGAAGCGTTCTCAGAAACTACTTTATGATGTGTGTGTTCAACTCACAGAGTTGAACATTTCTTTTGATGGAGCAGCTTGGAAACACTCTTCTTGTAGTATCTACAAAGGATATTTGGAGCACTTGGAGGCCTGCAGCTGAAAAGGAAATAATTTCACATAAACACTAGACAGAAGCATTCTGAGAAACTTCTTTGTGATGTGTGCATTTATCTCACAGAGTTGAACTGTTCTTTTGCTTGATCAGTTTTGAAACACTCTTCCTGTAGTATCTGCAAGTGGATATTGGGAGCACTTTGTGGCCTATTGTGGAAAAGAAAATATCTTCACATAAAAACTACACAGAAGCACTCTGAGAAACTTCTTGAACCTATCTATTGATTGAGCAGTTTTGAAATTCTCTTTTTATAGAATCTGCATTTGGATGTTTGAAGGACCTTGTGGCTATTGGTAGAAAAGGAAATATCTTCACACAAAAACTACACAGAAGCATTCAGAGAAACTATTTTGTGATGCGTGCATTGATCTCACAGAGTTTAATCTTTCTTTTAATTGAGCGGCTTTCAAAAACTCTTTTTGTAGAATCTGCAAGTGGATATTTCGGGCGCTTTCAGGCCTATTGTGGAAAAGGAAATATTTTCACATAAAAACTACACCAAAGCATCCTTAGAAACTTCTTTGGGATGTTTGCCTTTATGTCACAGAGTTGAACCTTTCTTTTGATTGAGCAGTTTTGAAACACACTTTTTGTAGAATCTTCAAGGAGATAGTTGGAGCCCTTTTCGGCCAATGGTGGAAAAGGAAATATCTTCATATAAAAACTACACAGAAGCATTCTGAGAAACTACTTTGAAACGAGGGCATTCATCTCACCGAGTTGAAAATTTCTTTGGGTTGAGCAGTTTTGAACGACTCATTTTGTAGTATCTGCAAGGGCATATTTCTAGTATTTTTTGGCCTATTGTGGAAAATGAAATACCTTCCCATAAAAACAACACAGAAGCATTCTGAGAATTTTTTTGTGATGTGTGCATTCATCTCACAGAGTTGAAAATTTCTTTGATTGAGCAGTTTTAAAATACTCTTTCTATGGAATCTGCGAGTGGATATTTGGAGCGCTTTAAAGCCTTTTGTGTAAAAGGAAATATCTTCACATAAAAACTACACAGAAGCATTCTGAGAAACTTCTTTGTGATGTGTGCATTCATCTCACCGAGTTGAACCTTTCTTTTCATTGAGCAGTTTGGAAACTCTCTTTTTGTAGAGTATGCAAGTCGATTTTTGGAGCAATTTGTGGCGTATGGTGGAAAAGAAAATATCTTCACATAATATATACATGGAAGCATTCTGAGAAACTTCTTTGTGATGTGTGCATTCAACTCAAAGAGTTGAACCTATGTTTGAGTAGTTTTAAAACTCTCTTTTTCTAGAATTTGCAAGTGGATATTTGGAGCCATTTGTGGCCTGTGGTGGAAAAGGAAATATCTTCACATAAAAACTACACAGAAGCTTTCTGAGAAACTTCCTTGAGATGTACGCATTCATCTCACAGAGTTGAACATTTCTTTTGATTGAGCAGTTTTGAAACACTCTTTTTGTAGAATCTGCATGTCGATGTTTGGAGTGCCTTGAGGTCTGTTGTGGAAAAGGAAGTATCTTCATATCAAAACTACACAGAAGCATTCTGAGAAACTTCTTTGTGATGCATGTATTCTTCTCACAAGGTTGAACCTCTCTCTTGATTGAGCGATTTTGAAACACTCCTTTTGTAGAATCTGTAACTGGATATTTGGAGTGCTTTGAGGCCTATTAAGGAAAAGGAAATATCTTCACATAAAAACTGCACAGAAACATTCTGAGAAACTTCTTTGTGATGCGTGCCTTCATCTCAAGGAGTTGAACTTTTCTTTTGATTGAGCAGTTTGGAAACACACTTTTTGTATAATCTGCAAGTGGGTATTTGGAAAACTTTGAGGCCTATTGTGGAAAAGGAAATATCTTCACATAAAAACTACACAGAAGCATTCTGAGTAACTTCTTTGTGATGTGTGCATTCAACTCACAGAGTTGAACCTCCCTTTTTTGGGGGGCAGTTGTGAAACTCTCTTTTTGTAGAATATGCAAGTGGATATTTGGAGCTCTTTGAGGCCTGTTGTGGAAAAGGAAATATCTTCACATAAATACTACGTGGAAGCATTCTGAGAAACTTCTTTGCAATGTGTGCATTCATCTCACAGAGTTGAACGGTTATTTTGATTGAGCAATTTGGAAACACACATTTTGTGGAATATGCAAGTGGATATTTGGAGCGCTTTGAGGTCTGTGGTGCAAAAGGGAATATCTTCACATAAAAACTACAGAGAAGCATTCTTAGAAACTTCTTTGTGATTTGTGCATTCATCTCACAGAGGTGAACCTTTCTTTTTATTGAGCAGTTTTGAAACTCTCTTTTTCTAGGATCTGCAAGTGCATATTTGGAGTGCTTTGAGCTCTTTTTTGGAAAAGGGAATATCTTCACATAAAAACTACACAGAAGCATTCTGAGAAACTTCTTTGTGATGTGTTCATTCATCTCACAGAGTTGAACCTTTATTTTGATTGAGCAGTATTGAAACAATCTTTTTGTAGAATCTGAAAGTGAATATTTGGAATGCTTTAAGGCCTAATGTGGAAAAGGAAATATCTTCATATAAAAAGTGCACAGAAGCATTCTGAGAAACTTCTCTGTGACGCGTGCATTCATCTCAAAGAGTTGAAACTTTCTTTTTATTGATCAGTGTTGAAACACTGTTTTTGTAGAATCTGTAAGTGGATATTTGGAGCGCTTTGAGGCCTAATGTGGTAAAGTAAATATTTTCACATAAAAGCTACACAGAAGCATTCTGAGAAACTTCTTTGTGATGTGTGCATTCATCTCAAAGAGTTGAAGCTTTCTTTTGATTGACTAGTTTTGAAACACTCTTTTTGTAGAATCTGCAAGTGGATATTTGGAGCGCTTTTAGGCCTATCGTGGTAAAGGAAATATCTTCACATAAAAACAACACAGAAGCATTCTGAGAAACTTCTTCATGATGTGTGCATTCATCACATGGAATTAAACCTTTCTGTTGATTGAGCACATTTGAAACACACTTTTTGCAGAATCTGCAAGTGGATATTTGGAACGCTTTGGCGCCTCCTGTGGAAAAGGAAATATCTTCATATAAAAAGTACACAGAAGCATTCTGAGAAACTACTTTGTGATGCGTGCCTTCATCTCACAGAGTGGAACCTTTCTTTTGATTGAGCAGTTTTGAAACACTCTTTTTGTAGAATCTGCAAATGGATAATTAGACCTCTTTGAGGCCTTTTGTGGAAAAATGAATATCTTCACATAAAAACTACACAGAAGCATTCTGAGAAACTTCTTTATGATGTGTGCATTCAATTCACGGAGTTGAACCTATCTTTTGATTGAGGGGTTTTGAAACTCTCTTTTTGTAGAATCTGCAACTGGATATTTAGAGCCCTTTGAAGCCAATGATAGAAAAGGAAATATCTTCATATAAAAACTACACAGAGGCATTCTGAGAAACTTCATTGTTATGTGTGCAATCATTTCACAGAGTTTAACGTTTCCTTTGATAGAGCAGTTGTGAAACACTCTTTTTGTAGCATCTGCAAGAGGATATTTGGAGCGCTTTGAGGCCTATTGTGGTAAAATAATTATCTTCAAATAAAGCTACACAGAAGTATTCTGAGAAACTTCTTCGTGATTTGTGCATTCATCTCACAGAGTTGAACATTTCTTACTATTGAGCAGTTTTGAATCACACTTTTTGCAGAATCTGCAAGTGCATATTTGGAGAGCTTTGGGGCCCATGGTGGAAAAGGAAATATCTTCATATAAAAACTACACAGAAGTATTCTGAGAAACTTCTTTGTGAAGTGTGCATTAATCTCACAGAGTTGAACCTTACTTTTGATTGAGCAGTTGGGAAACACACTTTTTGTATAATCTGCAACTGGATATTTGGAACGCTTTGAGGCCTCTTGCGGAAAAGGAAATATCTTCATGTAAAAACTACACAGAGCATTCTGAGAAATTTTTTTGCGAAGTGTGCATTCATTTCACAGAGTTGAACCTTACATTTGATTGAGCAGTTTGGAAACACTCTTTTTTTGGAAACTGCAAGTGGATATTTGAAGCGCTTTCACATCCATGGTGCAAAAGGGACTATCTTCACATAAAAACTACACAGAATCATTCTGAGAAACTTCTTTGTGATGTGTGCATTCAACTCACAGAGTTAAACTTTTCTTTTGATTGAGCAGTTTGGAAACATCCTTTTTGTAGAATCTGCATGTGGATATTTGGGACGCTATGAGGCCTACTGTGGAAAAGGAAATATCTTTTTGTAAAATCTACAGAGAAGCATTCTGAGAAACTTCTTGTCATGCGTGCATTCATCTCACAGATTTGAAGCTTTCTTTTGATTGAGCAGTGTGGAAACCCTCTTTTTGTAGAATCTGCAAGTGGATATTTGGAGCGCTTTGAGGTCTATTCTGGAAAAGGAAGTATCTTCACATAAAAACTACACAGAATCATTCTGAGAAACTTCTTAAAGATCTGTGCATTCATCTCACAGAGTTGAACATATCTTTTAATTGTGCAGTTCAAGAACTCTCTTTTTGTAGAATCTGTAAGTGGATACTTAGAGAGCTCTGAGTCTTGTGGTGGAAAAGGAAATATCTTAACTTAATAATGACACAAAATCATTTTGAGAAAATTCTTTTGATGTGTGCATTCAACTCACAGATTTGAGCCTATCTTTTGATTGAGCACTTCTGAAACTCTCTTTTTGTAGAATCTGAATGTGGATATCTGGAGCCCTATGCGGTCTGTGGTAGAAAAAGAAACATCTTCACATAAAAACTACACGGACGAATTCTGAAAAACTTCTTTGTGATGTGTGCATTCATCTCACAGAGTTGAACCTTCCTTTTGATTGAACAGTTTTGAAACAATCTTTTTGTAGAATCTGCAAGTGGATATTTGGAACGCTTTGAGGCCAATTGTGGAAAAGGAAATATCTTCATATAAAAACTGCACAGAATTATTCTGAGAAACTACTTTTTGATGTGTGCATTCAACTCACATAGTTGAACCTACTTTTTGATTTAGCAGTTTTGAAACACTCTTTTTGTAGAATCTGCAAATGTATATTTAGAGTCATTTGTGGACTATGGTGGAAAATGAAATATCTTCACATAAAAACTACACAGAAGCATTCTGAGAAACTTCTTTGTGATGCTTGCATTCAACACACAGAGTTGAAACTTTCTTTTGATTGAGGAATTTTGAAACACTCTTTTTGTAGAATCTGAAAGTGGATATTTGGAGTGCTTTGTGGCCTAAGGTGGAAAAGGAAATATCTTCACATAAAAACTACAAAGAATCATTCTGAGAAACTTCTTTGTGATGTGTGCATTCATCTCACAGAGTTGAAACTTCCTTTTGATTGAGCAGTTTTGAAACTCTGTTTTTGTGGAATCTGCAACTGGATATTTGGAGCCCCTTGCAGCCTATGGTGGAGAAGGAAATATCTTCAAATAAAAACTACACAGAAGCATTCTGATAAACTTCTTTGTGATGTGTGCATTCTTCTCACAGGATTGAACCTCTCTCTTGACTGAGCAGTTTTGAAACACTCTATCTGGAGAATCTGCACGTGGATATTGGAAGCGCTTTGAGGCATATTGTGGAAAATGTAATATCTTCACATAAAAACTACACAGAAGCATTGTGGGAAACATCTTTGTGATGTGTGCATTCATCTCATAGAGTGGAACCTTTCTTTTGATTGAGTTGTTTTGAAACACTCTTTTTGTACAGTCTGCAAGTGGATATTTGGAGGGCTCTGAGGCCTGTCGTGGAAAAGGAAATGTCTTCACAGAAAAACTGCACAGAAGCATTCTGAGAAACTTCTACACCGTGAGTGCATTCATCTCACAGAGTTGAACTTATCTTTTGATAGAGCAGTTTTTATACTCTCTTTTGGTAGAATCTGCAAGTGGATAATTGGAGCCTTTGTGGGCTACATTGGAAAAGGAAATATCTTCCAATATAAACTACACAGAAACATTCTGAAAAAATTCTTCGTGATGTGTGTATTCATCTCACAGAGTTGAACCTTTCTTTGATTTAGAAGTTTTGAAACACTCTTTCTTTAGAATCTCCAAGTGGATATTTGGAGCGCTTTGCGGCCTATTGTGGAAAAGGAAATATCTTCCCATAAAAAATACACAGAAGCATTCTGAGGAATATCATTGTGATGTGGGCATTCATCTCACAGAGTTGAGCGTTTCGTTTGATTGAGCAGGTTTGAAATACTCTTTTTGTAGAGTTTGCAAGTGGATATTTGGAGCACTTTGAGGGTTACAGTGGAAAAGGAAATATCTTCAAATAAAAACTACACAGAAGCATTCTGAGGAACTAATTTGTGATGTGCACATTCAACTCACAGAATGGAACCTTTCTTTGGATTGAGCAGCTTTGGAACACTCTTTTTGTAGAATCTACAAAATGGATATTTGGAGCGCTTTAAGGCCTTTTGTCGAAAAGGAAATATCTTCACATAAAACCTGCACAGAAGTATTCTCAGAAACTTCTTTCTGATGTGTGCATTCATCTCACAGAGTTGAACCTTTCTTTTGATTGAGCAGTTTTGAAACACTCTTTTTGTAGAATCTGCAAGTTTTATTTGGAGCACTTTGATGCCTGTGGTGGAAAAGGGTATATCTTCACATAAAATTACACAGAAGCGTTCTGAGAAACTTCTTTGTGATGTGTGCATTCGACTCACAGAGTTGAACCTATCTTTTGATTGAGCAGGTTTGAAACTCTCTTTTTGTAGAATCTCCAAGTGGATATTTTGAGCCTTTGTGGCCTATGGTGGAAAAGGAAATATCTTCCAATAAAAACTAAACAGAAGCATTCTGAGAAACTTGTTTATGATGTGTGCATTCACCTCACCGACTTGAATCTTTCTTTGGATTGAGCAGCTTTGAAAAACTATTTTTGTAGAATCTGCAAGTGAATATTTGAGCACTTTGATTCCTACGGTGGAAAATGAAACATCTTCACATGAAAACTAGACAGAAGCATTCTGAGAAACTTCTATGTGATGTGTGCATTCCACTGACAGAGTTGAAACTATCTTTTGATAGTGCAGTATTGAAACTCTCCTTTTGTAGAATCTGCAAGTGGAAATTTGGTAGACCTTTGCAGCCAATGGTGGAAAAGAGAATATCTTCACAGAAAAATTACATAGAAGTATTCTGAGAAACTTCTTTGTGATGTGTGCAATCATCTCACAGAGTTGAACTTTTCTTTTGATTGAGCAGTTTTGAAATATTCGTTTTGTAGAATCTGCATGTGAATATTTGGAGCGCTTTGAGGCCTATGTTGGAAAATGAAATATCTTCATAAAAAAATTACATGGAGACATTCTAAGAAACTTCTTTGTGATGTGTGCATTCAACTGACAGAGCTGAACTTATCTTTTGATAGAGCAGTTTCTAAACTCTTTTTATATAATCTGCAATTGGATATATGGAGCCCTTAGAGGCCTGTGGTGGAAAAGAAAATATCTTCACATAAAAACTACACAGAAGAATTCTGAGAAACTTCTTTGTGATGTTGCATTCATGTCACAGAGTTGAACCTTTCTTTTGATTGAGCAGTTAGCAAACACTCTTTTTTTAGAATCTGCAAGTGGCTATTTTGAGCGCCTTGAGGCCTATTGTGGAAAATGAAATATCTTCACATAAAAACTACACAGAAGCATTCTGAGAAACTTCTTTGTGATGTGTGTATTCACCTCACAGTGTTGACACTGTCTTTTGATTAAGCAAGTTTGAAATACTCTTTTCGTAGAATCTGCAAATGAACGTTTTGAGCGCTTTGAGGCTTATGGTGGAAAAGGAAACATCTTCACATAAAAATTACACAAAATTCTTCTGAGAAACTTCATTGTGATTTGTGCATTCAACTCACAGAGTTGACCTTCTCTTGTGATAGAGCAGTTTTCACTCTCTTTTTCTATAATCTGAAAGTGGATATTTGGAGCCCTTTGAGGCCTATTGTGGAATATGAAATATCTTCATATAAAAACCACACAGAAGCATTCTGAGAAACATCTTTGTGATGTGTGCATTCAACTCAGAGAGTTGAACCTTTCTTTTGACAGAGCAGTTTTGAAACTCTCTTTTTGTAGAATCTGCAAGTGGTTATTTGGAGCCATGTCCTGCCAATGGTGGAAAAGGAAATATCTTCCCATAAATACTACACAGAAGCATTCTGAGAAACTTCATTGTGATGCGTGCATTCATCTTAAAGAATTGAACCTATCTTTTGATATAACAGTTTTGAAACACTCTTTTTGTAGAATCTGCAAGTGGATAATTGGAGCCCTTTGAGGTCTATGGTGGAAAAGGAAATATCTTCCCATAAAAATTACACAGAAGCATTCTGAGGAACATCTTTGTGATGTGGGCATTCATCTCACAGAGTTGAAACTTTCTTTTGATTGAGCAGTTTTGAAACATTCTTTTTGTAGAATCTGCAAGTGGATATTTGGAGCACTTTGGGTCCTATGGTGGAAAAGGAAATGTCTTCATATAAAAACTGCACAGAAGCATTCTGACAAACACTTTTGTGATGTGTGTATTCAATTCGCAGAGTTCAACCTGTCTTATGATAGAACAGTTTTGAAACTCTCCTTTTGTAGAGTCTGCAACCGTATATTTGGAGCCCTTTGTGGACGATGTTGGAAAAGGAAATATCTTCCATAAAAATTACACAGCAGCATTCTGAGGAACTTCTTTGTGATGTGTGCATTCATCTACGAAAGTTGAACCTTTCATTTGATTGAGCAGTTTTGAAACACTCTTTTTGTAGATCTGCAAGTGGATATTTGGAGCGATTTGAGGCCTGTTGTGGGAAAGGAAATATCTTCACATAAAATCTACACTGAAACATTCTTACAAACATCTTTTTGATGTGTCCATTCATCACACAGAGTTTAACATTTCTTTTGATTGTACAGTTTGGATATACACTTTTTGTAGAATCTGCAACTGGATATTTGGAGAGCTTTGAGGCCTTTTGTCGAAAAGAAAATATCTTCACATGAAATCTGCACAGAAGTATTCTCAGAAACTTCTTTCTGATGTGTCCATTCATCTCACAGAGTTGAACTTTTCTTTTGATTGAACAGTTTTGAAACACTCTTTTTGTAGAATCTGCAAGTTTTATTTGGAGCACTTTGATACCTACAGTGGAAAAGGATATATCTTCACATTAAAAACTACACAGAAGCATTCTGAGAAACTTCTTTGTGGTGTGTGTATTCATCTCACAGAGTTGAACCTATCTTTTGATTGAGCAGATTTGAAACTCTCTTTTTGTAGAATCTCCAAGTGGATATTTTGAGCCTTTGTGGCCTATGGTTGAAAAGGTAATATCTTCCAATAAAAACTACAAAGAAGCTTTCTGAGAATCTTGTTTATGATATGTGCATTTACCTCACAGATTTGAACCTTTCTTTGGATTAAGCAGTTTTGAAAAACTCTTTTGTAGAATCTGCAAGTGGATATTTAAGCACTTTGATTCCTATGGTGGAAAAGGAAATATCTTCACATAAAAACTAGACAGAAGCATTCTGAGAAACTTCTATGTACTGTGTGCATTCCACACACAGAGTAGAAACTATCTTTTGATAGTACATTATTGAAATTCTCCTTTTGTAGAATCTGCAAGTGGATATTTGGAGCTCTTTGAGGCCAATGATGGAAAAGGATCTTCCAATAAAAACAACAAAGAAGCATTCTGAGACACTTCCTTGTGAGGTGTGCGTTCATACCCAGAGTTGAACTTTTCCTTTAATTGAGCAGTTTGGAACACCTTTTTGTAGAATCTACAAGTGGATATTTGTAGCACTTTGAGGGCTATGTTGGAAAAGAAAATATCTTCACATAAAAACTACACAGAAACCTTCTGAGAAACTTCTTTGTGATGTGTGCATTCATCACATGGAGTTGAACCTTTCTTTTGATTGAACAGTTTGGAAACACTCTTTTCATAGAATCTGCAAGTGGATATTTGGAGTGCTTTGAGGTGTATTGTGGAAAAGGATATATCTTCACATAAAAACTAGACAGAAGCATTCTCAGAAACTGCTTTGTGATGTGTGCATTCACCTCACAGACTGGAACCGTTCTTTTGATAGAGCAGTTTTGACACAGTCTTTTAGTAGAATCTGGAAGTGAATAGTTGGATCCCTTGAAGGCCTATTGTGGAAAAGGAAATATCTTCAAATGAAAACTACACAGAAGCATTCTGAGAAACCACTTTGTGATGTGTGCAACAACTCACAGAGTTGAACCTATCTTTTGATAGAGCAGTTTTGAAACTCACTTTTTGTAGAATCCCCAAGTGTATATTTGGAACCCTTTGCGTCCTATGGTGGAAAAGGAAATATCTTCCCATAAAAACTACACAGAAGCATTCTCAGAAACTTCTTTGTGATGTGTGCATTCAACTCAAAGAGTTGAAACTATCTTTTTATAGAGCAGTTTTGAAACTCTCTTTTTGAACAATCTGCAAGTGGATATTTGGAGTGCTTTGAGGCCTTTTGTGGAAAAGGAAATATCTTCACATAAAAACTATACAGAAGCATTTTCAGAAAATTCTTTGTGGTGTGAGCATTGATCTCACAGAGTTGAACCATTTTTTGATTGAGCACTTTGGAAACACTCCTATAGTAGAATCTGCAAGTGGATATTTGCAGCCCTTGGAGGGCAATTGTGGAAAAGGAAATATCTTCACATAAAACCTACACAGAAGCATTCTCAGAAACTTCTTTGTGATGTGTGCATTAAACTCACAGTGTTGAACCAATCTTTTGATTGAGCCTATCTTTTGATTGAGCAGTTTTGAAACTCTTTTTTGTATAATCTGCAAGTGGATATTTGGAGCCCTTTGTGGCTTATGGTGGAAAAGGAAATATCTGCAAATAGAACTACACAGAAGCTTTCTGAGAATTTTTTTTGTGATGTGTGCATTCATCTTACAGAGTTGAAACTTTCTTTTCATTGAGCAGTTTTGAAACACTCTTTTCATAAAATCTGCAAGTGGATATTTGGAGTCCTTGGAGGCCTATTGCGGAAAAGGAAATATCTTCACATAAAAGCTACACAGAAGCAGTCTGAGAAATTACTTTTTGATGTGTGCATTCATCTCACAGAGTTGAACCTTCCTTGGATTGAGCAGTTTTGAAACACTCTTTCTGTAGAATATGCAAGTGGATATTTGGAGTGCTTTTAGGCCTATTGTGGTAAAGGAAATATCTTCAAATAAAAACTACACAGAAGCATTCTGAGAAACTTCTTTGTGATGTGTGCATTCAACTCACAGAGTTGAACCTATCTTTTGATAGAGCAGTTATGAAACTCGCTTTTGTAGAATCTGCAAGTCGATATTTGTAGCCCTTTGCAGTTTATTGTGGAAAAGGAAATATTTTCACATAAACACTACACAGAAGCCTTCTGAGAAACTTCTTTGTGATGTGCATTCATTTCACAGCGTTGAACCTCTCTTTTGATTGAGCAGTTTGGAAACACTTTTTTGGAGAATCTGCAAGTGGATATTTGTAGCGCTTTGAGGAGTATTGTGGAAAAGGAAATATCTTCACATAAAAACTACAAAGAAGCATTCTGAGAAAGTTCTTTGTGATGTGTGCATTCACCTCACAGAGCTGAACTTTTCTTTTGCTTGAGCAGTTTGGAAACACTCTTTTAGTAGAATCGGGAAGTGGATAGATTTAGCTCTAGGAGGCCTATTGTGGAAACGGAAATATCTGCACATGAAAACTACACAGAAGCATTCTGAGAAACCACTTTGTGTTGTGTGCAATCAAGTCACACAGTTGAACCTATCTTTTGATAGAGCAGTTTTGAAACTCTCTTTTTGTAGAATCTCCAAGTGGATACTGGAACCCTTAGCATCCTATGGAGGAAAAGGAAATATCTTCACATAAAAACTTCACAGAAGCATTCTGAGAAACTTCTTTGTGATGTGTGCATTCAACTCACAGAGTTGAAGCTATCTTTTGATAGAGCAGTTTTGAAACTCTCTTTTTGCAGAATCTGCAAGTGGATATTTGGAGCCCTTGGTGGCCTATGGTGGAAAAGCAAATATCTTCACCTAAAAACTACACAGAAGGATTCTGAGTATCTACTTTGTGATGTGGGCATTCATCTCACAGTGTTGAAACTCTCCTTTGATTGAGCAGTTTGGAAAAACTCTTTTTGTAGAATCTGCAAGTGGATATTAGGAGCGCTTTGAGGCCTATTGTGGAAAGGGAAATATCTTCACATAAAAAATACACAGAAGCATTATTAGCAACTTCTTTGTGATGTGCGCATTCATCTCACAGAATTGATCCTTTTTTGATCGAGAAGTTTGGAAACACTCCTATAGTAGAATCTGCAAGTGGATATTTGGAGCCCTTGGAGGCCTATTGTGGAAAAGGAAATATCATCACATAAAACCTACGCAGAAGCATTATGAGAAACTTCTTTGTGAATTGTGCATCCATCTCACACCGTTGAAACTTTCTTTTGATAGAGCAGTTTTGAAACACTATTTTCATAGGATCTGCAAGTGGATATTTTGAGCACTTTTGGGCCTATGGTGGAAAAGGAAATATCTTCACATAAGAACAACACAGAAGCATTCTGATAAACTTCTTTGTGATTCGTGCATTCATCTCACCGGTTTGAACCTATATTTTGATTGTACAGTTTTGAAACACTCTTATTATAGACTCTGCAAGTGGATATTTGAAGCACTTTGAGGCCTGTTGTGGAAAACGAAATAACTTCTAATAAAAACTACACAGAAGCATTCTGAGAAACTTCTTTGTGATGTATGCATTCAACTTACAGAGTTGAACCTATCATTTGATTGAAGACTTCTGAATCTCTCTTTTTGTAAAATCTGCAAATGGATATTTGGAGCCCTTTGCAGCCTATTTTGGAAAAGGAAATATCTTCACATAAAAACTACACAGAAGCATTATGAGAAACTTCTTTGTGACGTGTGCATTCATCTCACAGAGGTGAACCTTTCTTTGGATTGAGCAGTTTTGAAACACTTTTTTTATAGAATTTGCAAGTGGATAATTGAAGCACTTTGAGGCCTATTGTGGAAAGGAAATATCTTCACTTAAAAATTGCACAGAAGCATTCTGAGAAACTTCTTTGTGATGTGTGCATTCATCTCACAGAGTTGAACCTTTCTTTTCATTGAGCAGTATGGAAACAATCATTTTGTAGAATCTGCAAGTGGATATTTGGAGCGCTTTGAGACCTATTGTGGAAAATGAAGTTTCTTCACAAAAAATTACACAGAAGCATTGTGAAAAACTACTTTGTGATGTGTGCATTCATCTCACAGAGCTGAACCTATCTTTTGATAGAGCAGTTTTGAAACTCTACTTTGTAGAATCTGCAAGTGGATATTTGTAGCCCTTTGTGGCCTATGTTGGAAAAGGAAATGTATTCACATAAAAACTACACCAAAGCATTCTGAGAAACTTCTTTTGTGCTATGTGGATTCATCTCACAGAGTTCAGCCTTTCCTTTGATTGAGCAGTTTTGAAACACACTTTTTGTAGAATATCCAGGTGGATATCTGGAGCACTTTCTGGCCTTTTGTGGAAAAGGAAATATCTTCACATAAAAACTACATAGAAGCATTATTGGAAACTTCTTTGTGATGTGTGCATTCATCTCACTGTGTTGAACCTTTCTTTTGATTGAGCAATTTTGAAACACTGTTTTTGTAGAATCTGCAAGTGGTTATTTAGAGAGCTTGGAGGCCTATTGTGGAAAAGGAAATATCTTCACATAAAAACTGCACAGAAGCATTCTGAGAAACTTCTTTCTGACGTGTGCATTCAAGTCACAATGTTGAACCTATCTTCTCATGGAGCAGTTTTGAAACTCTCTTTTTGTAGAATCTTCAAGTTGTTTTTTGGAGCCCTTTGCAGCTTATGGTGGCAAAGGAAATATCTCCATATAAAAACTACACAGAAGCATTCTGAGAAACTTCTTTGTGATGTGTGCATTCATTTCACAGAGTTGAACGTTTTTTGATTCAGCAGTTTTGAAACACTCATTTTTTAGAATATGCAAGTGGATATATGGAGCGTTTTGAGGCCTTTTGTGGAAAGGGAAGTATCTTCACAAAAAAACTACGCAGAGGCATTCTGAGAAATATCTTGTGAAGTGTGCATTCATCTCATAGAGTTGAACTTTGTTTTCATCGAGCAGTTTTGAAACACTCTTTTTGTAGAATCTGCAAGTGGATATTTGTAGCATTTTGAGGCCTATTGTTGAAAATGAAATATCTTCACATAAAAACTACACGGTGTAAGGAATTGATCCAGTTTCAGCTTTCTACATATGGCTAGCAAGTATTCCCAGCACCATTTATTAAATAGGGAATCCTTTCCCCATTTCTTGTTTTTCTTAGGTTTGTCAATGATCAGATAGTTGTATGAATGTAACATTATTTCTGAGGGCTCTGTTCTGTTCCATTGATCTATATCTCTGTTTTGGTACCAGTATCATGCTGCTTTGTAGTATAGTATGTAGCCTTGTAGTATAGTTTGACGTCAGGTAGCGTGATGGCTCCAGCTTTGTTGTTTTGGCTTAGGATTGATTTGGTGATGCGGGCTCTTTTTTGATTCCATATGAACTTTAAAGTAGTTTTTTCCAATTCTGTGATGTAAGTCATTGGTAGCTTGATGAGGATGGCATTGAATCAATAAATTACCTTGGGCAATATGGCCATTTTCATGATATTGATTCTTCCTACCCATGAGCATGGAATGTTCTTCGATTTGGTTGTATCCTCTTTTATTTCATTGAGCAGTGTTTTGTAGTACTCCTTGAAGAGGTCCTTCATGTCCCTTATAAGTTGGATTCCTAAGTATTCTATTCTCTTTGAAGCAATTGTGAATGGGAGTTCACTCATGATTTGGTTCTCTGTCTGTCTGTCACTGGTGTATAAGAATGCTTGTGATTTTTGTACATTGATTTTGTATCCTGAGACCTAGCTGAAATTGCTTATCAGCTTAAGGAGATTTCCGGCTGAGACAATGGGGTTTTCTAGATATACAATCATGTCATCTGCAAACAGGGACAATTTGACTTCCTCTTTTCCTAATTGAATACACTTTATTTCCTTCTCCTGCCTAATTGCCCTGGCCAGAACTTCCAATACTATGTTGAATAGGAGTGGTGAGAGAGGGCATCCCTGTCTTGTGCCAATTTTCAAAGGGAATGCTTCTAGTTTTTGCCCATTCAGTATGATATTGGCTGTGGGTTTGTCATAGATAGCTTTTATTATTTTGAGATACGTCCCATCAATACCTAATTTATTGAGAGTTTTTAGCATGCAGAGTTGTTGAATTTTGTCAAAGGCCTTTTCTGCATCTATTGAGATAATCATGTGGTTTTCATCTTTGGTTCTGTTTACATGCTGGATTGCATTTATTGATTTGCATATATTGAACCAGCCTTGCATCCCAGGGATGAAGTCCACTTGATCATGGTGGATAAGCCTTTTGATGTGCTGCTGGATTGGGTTTGCCAGAATTTTATAGAGGATTTTTGCATCAATGTTCATCAAGGATATTTGTCTAAAATTATCTTTTTTGATTGTATCTCTGCCCAGCTTTGGTATCAGGATGATGCTGGCCTCATAAAATGAGTTAGGGAGGATTCCCTCTTTTGCTATTGATTGGAATAGTTTCAGAAGGAATGATACCAGTTCCTCCTTGTACCTCTGGTAGAATTCAGCTGTGAATCCATCTGGTCTTGGGCTCTTTTTGGTTGGTAAGCTATTTATTATTGCACAATTTCAGATCCTGTTATTGGTATATTCAGAGAGTCAACTTCTTCCTGGTTTAGTCTTGGGACAGTGTATGTGTCAAGGAATTTATTCATTTCTTCTAGATTTTCTAGTTTAATTCTGTAGAAGTGTTTGTAGTATTCTCTGATGGTAGTTTGTATTTCTGTGGGATTGGTGATTAAAGACTTAAGTATTAGACCTAGAACCATAAAAACCCTAGAAGAAAACCTAGACATTACAATTCATGACATAGGCATGGGCAAGGACTTCATGTCTAAAACACCAAAAGCAATGGCAACAAAATCCAAAAGTAACAAATGGGATCTAATTAAACTAAAGAGCTTCTGAGCAACAAAAGAGACTACCATCAGAGTGAACAGGCAACCTAAAGAATGGGAGAAAATTTTTGTAACCTACTTATCTGACAAAGGGCTGATATCCAGAATCTACAATGAACTCAAACAAATTTACAAGAAAAAAACAAACAACCCCATCAAAATTGGGTGAAGGACATGAACAGACACTTCTCAAAAGAAGACATTTATGCAGCCAACAAACACATGAAGAAATCCTCACCATCACTGGCCATCAGAGAAATGCAAATCAAAAACAGAATGAGATACCATCTCACACCAGTTAGAATGGCAATCATTAAAATGTCAGGAAACAAGAGGTGCTGGAGCGGATGTGGACAAATAGGAACACTTTTACACTGTTGGTGGGTCTGTAAACTAGTTCAACCTTTGTGGAAGTCAGTGTGGGATTCTTCAGGGATCTAGAACCAGAAATACCATTTGACACAGCCATCCCATTACTGGGTATATACCCAAAGGACTATAAACCATGCTGCTATGAAGACACATGCACAAGTATGTTTATTGCAGGACTATTCACAATAGCAAAGACTTGGAACCAACACAAATGTCCAAAAATGATAGACTGGATTAAGAAAATGTGGCAAATATACACAATGGAATACTATGCAGCCATAAAAAATGATGAGTTCATGTCCTTTGTAGGGACATGGATGAAATTGGGAATCATCATTCTCAGTAAACTATCACAAGTACAAAAAACAGAACACCGCATATTCTCACTCATAGGTGTGAATTGAATAATGAGAACACATGGACACAGGAAGGGGAACATCACACTCAGGACTGTTGTGGAGTCAGGGGTTGGGGGAGGGATAGCTTTAGGAGATATAGCTAATGCTAAATGACGAGTTAATGGGTGCAACACACCAGCATGGCACTGGTATACATATGTAACTAACCTGCACATGGTGCACAGGTACTCTAAAACTTAAAGTATAATAACAATTAAAAAAACACACAAAAAGAGATTCTCACACACACAAACACACACACAAATACATGGAAGCTTTCTGAGAAACTTCTTTGTGATGTGTGCATTCATCTGACAGAGTTGAACCTTTCTTTTGATTCAGCACTTTGGAAACACTCTTTTTGTAGAATCTGCAAGTGGATATTTGGAGTGATATGAGGCCTATGGTGGAAAAGGAAATGTCTTCACATAAAAACTACACAGAAGCATTCTGAGAAGCTACTTTGTGATGTGTGCATTCATCTCACAGACCTAAAGCTTTCTTTTGATTGAGCATTTTGAAACATTCTGTTGGGAGAATCTGCAAGTGGATATTTGGAGCGCTTTGAGGATTATTGTGGAAAAGGAAATATCTTCACATAAAAATTACACAGAGGCATTCTGAGAAGCTTTTTTGTGATGTGTGCATTCATCTCACAGAGTTGAAATTTTCTTTTGATTGAGCAGTTTTGAAACATTCTCTTTGTAGAATCTGAAAGTGGATATTTGGAGTGCTTTGAGGCCTATTGTGGAAAAGGAAATATATTCACATAAAAACTACAAGGAAACATTCTGAGAAACTTCTTTTTGTTGTGTGCATTCATCTCACAGATTTGAACTTTTCTTTTGCTTGAGCAGTTTGGAAACACTCTTTTTGTAGAATCTGCAAGGGGATATTTGGAGCACTTTGAGGCCTATTGAGAAAAAGGAAATATCTTCACAAAAAACCACACAGAAGCATTCTGAGAAACTTCTTTGTGATGTGTGCATTCAACTCACAGTGTTGAACCTATCTTTTCAATGAGCACTTTTGAAACTCCCTTTTTTAGAATCCAGAAGTGGATATTTGGAGCCTTTTGTGGCCTATGTTGGAAAAGGAAATATCTTCACATGAAAACTACACAGAAGCATTCTGAGAAACTTCTTTGTGATGTGTGCATTCACCTCACAGGGTTGAACCTATATTATGATTAAGCAGTTTGGAAACACTCTTTTTGTAGAATCTGCAAGTGGATATTTGGAGCGCTTTGATGCCTACGGTGGAAAAGGAAATGTCTTCACATAAAAACTACACAGAAGCATTCTGAGAAGCTACTTTGTGATGTGTGCATTCATCTCACAGAGCTAAACCTTTCTTTTGATTGAGCAGTTTTGACACACTCTGTTTGTAGAATCTGCAAGTGTATATTTGGAGCACTTTGAGGCCTATTGTGGAAAAGGAAATATCTTCACATAAAAGCTACAAAGAGGCATTCTGAGAAGCTTTTTTCTGACGTGTGCATTCATCTCACAGAGTCGAAACTTTCTTTTGATTGAGCAGTTTGGAAACATTCTGTTTGTAGAATCTGAAAGTGGATATTTGGGGCGCTTTGAGGCCTATTGTGGAAAAGGAAATATATTCAAGTGAAAACTACACAGAAGCATTCTGAGAAACTTCTTTTTGTTGTGTGCATTCATTTCACAGAGTTGAACCTTTCTTTTGCTTGAGCAGTTTGGAAAAACTCTTTTTGTAGAATCTGCAAGAGGATATTTGGAGCACTTTGAGGCCTATTGTGAAAAAGGAAATATCTTCTAAAAAAACTATACAGAAGCATTCCGAGAAACTTCTTTGTGATGTGTGCATTCAAATCAGAGTGTTGAACCTATCTTTTGAATGAACACTTTTGAAACTCCCTTTTGTTGAATCTACAAGTGGATATTTGGAACCCTTTGTGGCCTATGTTGGAAAAGGAAATATCTTCACATAAAAACAACAAAGAAGCATTTGGAGAAACTTCTTTAAGATGTGTTCATCTCACAGATTTGAAACATTCTTTTTATTGAGCAGTTTTGAAACACTCTTCTTACAGTATCTGCAAGTGGATATTTGGAGCCCCTTGAGACCTATTGTGGAAACGGAAATATCTTCACATAAGAACTACACAGAAGCATCCTGAGAAACTTCTTTGTGATGTGTGCATTTATCTCACAGAGTTGAACCTGTCTTTTCATTGAGCAGTTTTGGAACACTCTATTTGTAGAATCTGCAAGTGCATATTAGGAGTGCTTTGAGGCTTATTGTGGAAAAGGAAATACCTTCACATAAAAACTACACAGAAACATCCTCAGAAACTTCTTTAGATGTGTGCATTCATCTCACAGAGTTGAACCTTTCTTTTCGTTGAGCAGTTTGGAAAAACTCTTTTAGTAGAATCTGCAAATGGATATTTAGAGCCCTTGGAAGCCTATTGTGGAAAAGGAAATATCTTCACATAAAAAGTCCACAGAAGCATTCTGAGAAACTTCTTTGTGACGTGTGCATTCATCTCACAAAGTTGAACGTTTTTTTTTTTTTTTATTGAGCAGCTTGGAAACACTCTTTTTGTGGGATCTCCATGTGGATATTTGGAGCACTTTGAGGCCTATGGTGGAAAAGGAAATATCTTCGCATGAAAACTACACAGAAGCATTCTGAGAAACTTCTTTGTGATGTCTGCATTCATCTCACAGAGTTGAATCTTTCTTTTGATGGAGCAGTTTTGAAACACTCTTTTTGTAGAATCTGCAAGTGGATATTTGGAGCGCTTTGAGGCCTAATGTGAAGAAGGAAATATCTTCACATAAAAACTGCACAGAAGCATTCTGAGAAACTTCTTTATGATGTGTGCATTCAGCTCACAGAGTTGAACCTATCTTTTTAAAGAGCAGTTTTGAAACTCTCCTTTCGTGTAATCTTCAAGTGGATATTTGAAGCCCTTTGCAGCCTATGGTGGAAAAGGAAATATCTTCACATAAAAACTACCCAGAAGCATTCTGAGAAACTTCTTTCTGATGTGTGCATTCCACTCACAGAGTTGAACCTATCTTTTGATTGAGCAGTTTTAAAACTCTCTTTTTGTAGTATCTGCAAGTGGATATTTGGAGTGCTTTGAGGCTTATGGTGGAAAACGAAATATCTTCACATAAAAACAACACAGAAGCATTCTCAGAATCTCCTTTGCGATGGGTGCATTTTCGTCACAGAGTTGAACTTTTCTTTTGACTGAGAAGTTTGGAAACACTCTTTTTGTAGAATATGAAAGTGGATTTTTGGAGTGCTTTAAGGCCTATGGTGGAAAAGGAAACATCTTCACATAAAAACTACACAGAAGCATTCTGAGAAACTTATTTGTGATGTGTGCATTCATTTCACAGTGATAAACCTTTCTTTTGATTAAGCAGTTTTGAAACACTCTTTTTGTAGTTTCTGCAAGTGGATATATGGAGAGATTTGAGGCCTGTTGTGGAAAAGGAAATATCTTCACATAATAACCAGACAGAAGCATTCTGAGAAACTTCTTTGTGATGTGTGTATTCACCTCACAGAATAGAACATTGCTTTTGATTAAGCAGTTTTGAAACCCTCTTTTTGTACAATCTGCAAGTGGATGCAATGGCATCCGCGATTGCCCAGGCTTGCTTAAGTAAATAAAGCAGCCGGGGAGCTAGAACTGGGTGGGCCCACCATAGCTCAAGAAGGCCTGCCTGCCTCTGTAGGCTCCACTTCTGGGGGCAGGGCACAGACAAACCAAAAGACAGCAGTAACCTCTGCAGACTTAAATGTCCCTGTCTGACAGCTTTGAAGAGAGCATCGGTTCTCCCAGCACACAGCTGGATTTCTCAGAATGGGCAGACTGCCTCCTCAAGTAGGTCCCTGACTCTTGACTCCTGAGCACCCTAACTGGGAGGCACCCCCAAGCAGGGGCAGACTGACACCTTACACGGCTGGGTACTCTTCTGAGACAAAATTTCCAGATGAACAATCAGAGAGCAGCATTTGCGGTTCACGAAAATCCGCTTTTCTGCAGCCACTGCTGGCCAATGCTGCTGTTACCCAGAAAAATAGGGTCTGGAGTGGACCTCCAGCAAACTTCAACACACCTGCAGCTGAGGGTCCTGTCTGTTAGAAGGAAAACTAACAAACAGAAAGGACATCCACACCAAAAACCCATTTGTACATCAACAACATCAAAGACAAAAGTAGATAAAACCACAAAGATGGGGAAAAAACAGAGCAGAAAAACTGGAAACTCTAAAAACCAGAGCACCTCTCCTCCTCCAAAAGAATGCAGTTCCTCACCAGCAACGGAACAAAGCTGGATGGAGAATGACTTTGACAACTTGAGAGAAGAAGGTTCGGATGACGAAACTACTCCGAGCTACAGCAGGAAATTCAAACCAAAGGCAAAGAAGTTAAAAACATTGAAAAAAATTTAGACGAATGTATAACTAGAATAACCAATATAGAGAAATGCTTAAAGGAGCTGATGGAGCTGAAAGCCAAGGCTCGAGAACTACATGAAAAATGCAGAAACCTCAGGAGCCGATGCAATCAACTGGAAGAAAGGGTATCAGTGATGGAAGATGAAATGAATGAAATGAAAGCGAGAAGGGAAGTTTAGAGAAATAAAAAGAAATGAGCAAAGCCTCCAAGAAATATGGGACTATGTGAAAAGACCAAATCTACGTCTGATTGGTGCACCTGAAAGTGATGGGGAGAATGGAATCAAGTTGGAAAACACTCTGCAAGATATTATCCAGGACAACATCCCCAATCTAACAAGGCAGGCCAACATTCAGATTCAGGAAATACAGAGAACGCCACAAAGATACTCCTCGAGAAGAACAACTCCAAGACGCATAATTGTCAGATTCAGCAAAGTTGAAATGAAGGAAAAAATGTTAAGGGCAGCCAGAGAGAAAGGTAGGGTTACCCATAAAGGGAAGCACATCAGACTAACAGTGGATCTCTCAGCAGAAACTCTAGAAGCCAGAAGAGAGTGAGGGTCAATATTCAACATTCTTAAAGAAAAGAATTTTCAACCCAGAATTTCATATCCAGCCAAACTAAGCTTCATAAGTGAAGGAGAAATAAAATACTTTACAGACAAGCAAATGCAGAGAGATTTTGTCACCACCAGGCCTGCCCTAAAAGAGCTCTTGAAGGAAGCACTAAACATGGAAAGGAACAACCGGTTCCAGCCACTGCAAAATCATTCCAAATTATAAAGACCTTCGAGGCTAAGAAGAAACTCCATTAACTAGTGAGCAAAATATCCAGCTAACATCATAATGACAGGATCAAATTCACACATAACAATATTAACTTTAAATGTAAATGGACTAAATGCCCCAATTAAAAGACACAGACTGGCAAATTGGATAAGGAGTCAGGACCCATCAGTGTGCTGTATTCAGGAAACCCATCTCACGTGCAGAGACACACATAGGCTCAAAATAAAAGGAAAGAGGAAGATTTACCAAGCAAATGGAAAACAAAAAAAGGCAGAGGTTGCTATCCTAGTCTCTGATAAAACAGACTTAAACCAACAAAGATCAAAAGAGACAAAGAAGGCCATTAAATAATGGTAAAGGGATCAATTCAACAAGAAGAGCTAACTATCCTAAATATATCTGCACCCAATACAGGAGCACCCAGATTCATAAAGCAAGTCCTCAGTGACCTACAAAGAGACTTAGACTCCCACACAATAATAATGGGAGACTTTAACACCCCACTGTCACCATTAGACAGATCAACGAGACAGAAAGTTAACAAGGATACCCAGGAATTGAACTCAGCTATACACTAAGAGGACCTAAGAGACATCTACAGAACTCTCCACCCCAAATCAACAGAATATACATTTTTTTCAGCACCACAGCACACCTATTCCAAAATTGACCACGTAGTTGGAAAGAAAGCTCTCCTCAACAAATGTAAAAATCAGAAATTATAACAGACTGTCTCTCAGACTGCAATGCAATCAAACTAGAACTCAAGATTAAGAAACTCACTCAAAACCGCTCAACTACATGGAAACTGAACAACCTGCTGCTGAATGACTACTGGGTACATAACGAAATGAAGGCAGAAATAAAGATGTTCTTTGAAACCAACGAGAACAAAGACACAACATACCAGAATCTCTGGGACACATTCAAAACAGTGCGTAGAGGGAAATTTATAGCTCTAAATGCCCACAAGAGAAAGCAGGAAATATCCAAAATTGACACCCTAAGATCACAATTAATAGAACTAGAAAAGCAAGAGAAAACACATTCAAAAGCTAGCAGAAGATAAGAAATAGCTAAAATCAGAGAACAACTGAAAGAAATAGTGACATAAAAAACCTTCAAAAAATTAATGAATCCAGGAGCTAGTTTTTTGAAAGGATCAACAAATTGATAGACTGCTAGCAAGACTAATGCAGAAAAAAAGAGAGAAGAATCAGATAGATGCAATAAAAAATGATAAAGGGGATATGACCACCAATCCCACAGAAATATAAACTGCCATCAGAGAATACTACAAACACCTCTATGCAAATAAACTAGAAAATCTAGAAGAAATGGATAAATTCCTCAACACATACACCCTCCCAAGAGTAAACCAGGAAGAAGTTGAATCTCTGAATAGACCAATAAGAGGATCTGAAATTGTGGCAATAATCAATAGCTTACCAACTAAACAGGGTCCAGGACCAGACGGATTCACAGCCAAATTCTACCAGAGGTACAAGGAGGAACTGGTACCATTCCTTCTGAAACTATTCCAATCAATAGAAAAAGAGGGAATCCTGCCTAACTCATTTTATGAGGCCAGCATCATCCTGATACCAAAGCCAGGCAGAGACACAACCAAAAAGGTGAATTATAGACCAATACCCGTGATGAACATTGATGCAAAAATCCTCTATAAAATACTGGCAAACCGAATCCAGCAGCACATCAAAAAGCTTATCCACCATGATCAAGTGGGCTTCATCCCTGGGATGTAAGGCTGGTTCAATATTCAGAAATCAATAAATGTTATCCAGCATATAAACCGAATCAAAGACAAAAACCACATGATTATCTCAATAGATGCAGAAAAGGCCTTTGACAAAATTCAACAACTCTGCATGCTAAAAACTCTCAATAAATTAGATATTGTTGGGACGTATCTCAAAATAATAAGAGCTATCTATGACAAACCCACAGCCAATATCATACTGAATGGGCAAAAACTGGAAGCATTCCCTTTGAAAACTGGCACAAGACAGGGATGCCCTCTCTCACCACTCCTATTCAACATAGTGTTGGAAGTTCTGGCCAGGGCAATTAGGCAGGAGAAGGAAATAAAGTGTATTCAATTAGGAAAAGAGGAAGTCAAATTGTCCCTGTTTGCAGATGACATGATTGTATATCTAGAAAATCCCATTGTCTCAGCCCAAAATCTCCTTAATCTGATAAGCAATTTCAGCTAAGTCTCAGGATACAAAATCAATGTACAAAAATCACAAGCACTCTTATACACTAGTGACAGACAAACAGAGAACCAAATCATGAGTGAACTCCCACTCACAATTGTTTCAAAGAGAATGTGTTTGCTCTTGCTTTTCTAATTCTTTTAATTGTGATGTTAGGGTGTCAATTTTGGATCTTTCCTGCTTTCTCTTGTGGGCATTTAGTGCTATAAATTTCCCTCTACACACTGCTTTGAATGTGTCCCAGAGATTCTAGTATGTTGTGGATACAAAATTAATGTACAAAAATCACAAGCATTCTTATACACCAATAACAGACAAACAGAGATCCACATCATGAGTGAACTCTCATTCTCAATTGCTTCAAAGAGAATGAAATACCTAGGAATCCAACTTACAAGGGATGTGAAGGACATCTTCAAGGAGAACTGCAAACTACTGCTCAATGAAATAAAAGAGGATACAAAGAAATGGAAGAACATTCCATGCTCATGGGTAGGAAGAAGCAATATCGTGAAAATGGCCATACTGCCCAAGGTAATTTATCGATTCAATGACATCCCCATTAAGCTGCCAATGACTTTCATCACAGAATTGGAAAAAAGTACTTTAAAGTTCATATGGAACCAATAAAGAGCCTGCATTGCCAAGTCAATCCTAAGCCAAAAGAATAAACCTGGAAGAATCACGCTACCTGACTTCAAACTATACTACAAGGCTACTGTAACCAAAACTGCATGGTACTGGTAACAAACCAGAGATATAGCTCAATGGAACAGAACAGAGCCCTCAGAAATAATGCCGCATATCTAAAACAATCTGATATTTGACAAACCTGAGAAAAACCAGCAATGGGGAAATTATTTCCTATTTAATAAATGGTGCTGGGAAAACTGGCTAGCCACATGTAGAAAACTGAAACTGGATTCCTTCCTTACACCTTATACAAAAATCAATTCAAGATGGATTAAAGACTTAAACGTTAGACCTAAAACCATAAAAACCCTGGAAGAAAACCTAGGAATTGCCATTCAGGACATAGGCATGGGCAAGGACTTCATGTCTAAAACACGAAAAGCAATGGAAACAAAAGCCGAAATTGACAAATGGAACCTAATTAAATTAAAGAGCTTCTGCACAGCAAAAGAACCTACCATCAGAGTGAACAAGCAACCTACAAAATGGGAGAAAATTTTCGCAACCTACTCATCGGACAAAGGGCTAATATCCAGAATCTACAATGAACTCAAACAAATTTACAGGAAAAAAACAAACAACCCCATCAAAAAGTGAGTGAAGGACATGAACAGACACTTCTCAAAAGAAGACATTTATGCAGCCAAGAAACACATGAAAAAATGCTCACCATCACTGGCCATCAGAGAAATGCAAATCAAAACCACAATGAGATACCATCTCACACCAGTTAGAATGGCAATCATTAAAAAGTCAGGAAACAACAGGTGCTGGAGAGGATGTGGAGAAACAGGAACACTTTTACACTGTTGGTGGGACAGTAAACTAGCTCAACCCTTGTGGAAATCAGGGTGGCAATTCCTTAAGGATCTAGAACTAGAAATACCACTTGACCCAGCCATCCCATTATTGGGCATATACCCAAAGGATTATAAATCATGCTGCTATAAAAACACATGCACACATAAGTTTATTGCAGCACTATTCACAATAGCAAAGACTTGGAACCAACCCAAATGTCCAACAATGATAGACTGGATTAATAAAATGTGGCCCATATACACCATGGAATACTATACAGCCATAAAAAAGGATGAGCTCATGTCCTTTGAAGAGACATGGATGAATTTGGAAATCATCATTCTCAGTAAACAATTGCAAGGACAAAATCCAAACACCACATGTTCTCACTCACAGGTGGGAATTGAACAATGAGAACACATGGACACAGGAAGGGGAACATCACACTCTGGGGACTGTTATGGGGTGGGGGAAGGGGGGCGATAGCATTAGGTGATATACCTAATGCTAAATGACGAATTAATGGGTGCAGCACACCAGCATGGAACATATATACATATGTAACTAACATGCACATTGTGCACAAGTACCCTAAAACGTAAAGTAAAATAAAATAAAAAATAAAAAAGAATGCTTACAAACTGCTCAATCCAAAGTAAGCTTCCACTCCTTGAGTTGTATGCACACATCACAAAGGAGTTTCTCAGAACGCTTCTTGCTAGTTTTTAGGTGAGGATATTTCCTTTTATACTGTAGGTTTCAAAGCTCTCCAAATATCCATTTGCAGATTCTACATAAAGAATGTTTCCATACTGCTCAAGCAAAAGAAAGGTTCCACTCTGTGAGTTGAATGCACACATCACAAAGAAGTTTCTGAGAATGATTCAGTCTAGTTTTTAGGTGAAGATATTTCCTTTTACATCATAGGCCTCAAAGCGCTTGAAATATCCACTTGCAGATTCTACAAAAAGAGTGTTTCAAAACTTCCCAACGAAAAGAGTTGCTCAACTGTGTGAGATGAATGCACACATCAAAAAGGAGTTTCTCAGAATGCTTCTGTCTTGTTTTTATGTGAAGATATTTACTTTTTCACCATAGGCATCAAATCGCTCCAAATATCCACTTGCAGATTCTACAGAAAGAGTGTTTCAAAACTGCTCAATCAAAAGAAAGGTTCAACTCTGTGAGATGAATGCACGCATCACAAAGAAGTTTCTCAGAATACCTCTGTCTAGTTTTTATGTGAAGATATTTCCTTTTCCAATATAGGCCACAAAGCGCTCCAAATATCCACTTGCAGATTCTACAAAAAGTGTGTTTCTCAGAATGCTTCTGTCTAGTTCTTATATGAAGATAACTCCTTTTCCTCTATAGACCAAAAAGCACTCAAAATATCCTTTTGGAGATAGTACAAAAAGCCTGTTTCCAAACTGCTCAATCAAAAGAAAGTTTTAACTCTGTGAGTTGAAAGCATACATCACAAAGAAGTTTCCCAGAATGCTTCTGCTAGTTTTTATGTGAAGATATTTCCTTTCCCAATATAGGCCTCAAACGCTCCAAATATCTACTTGAAGATACTAGTAAAAGAGTGTTTCAAAACTGCTCAATCAAAACAAAGGTTCAACTCTGTGAGATGAATGCACACATCACAAAGAAGTTTCTTGCAATGCTTCTGTGTAGTTTTTATGTGAATATATTTCCTATTCCACCTGTGGCCTCATAGTGCTCCAAATATCCTTTTGCAGATAATACAGAAAGACTCTTTCCAAACTACTCAATCAGAGAAAAGTTTCAAGTCTGTGAGTTGAATGCGCACATCACAAAGAAGTTTCTCAGAATGCTTCTGTCTAGTTTTTATGTGAAGATATTTCCTTTTCCACCAGAGCCCTCAAAGGGCTCCAAATATCCACTTGCAGAATCTACAAAATCTGTGGTTCAAAACTGCTCAATCAAAAGAAAGTTTCAACTCTGGGAGATGAATGTGCACATCACAAAGATGTTTCCCAGAATGCTTCTGTCTAGTTTGTATGTGAAGATATTTTCTTTTCCACTACAGGCTGCAAAGCTCTCCAAATATCCCGTTGAAGATTCTAAAAAAAGAGTTTTTCAAAACTGCTAAATCAAAAAAATTTCAAATCTGTGAGATGAATGCACACATCCCAAATTGTTTCTCAGAATGCTTCTGTTTAGTTTTTACGTGAATATATTTCCTTTTCCACTACAGGCCTCAAATAATTTGAAATATCCATTTGCAGATACTACAAAAAGACTGTTCCCAAACTGCTTAATGAAAACAAATGTTCAACTGTGTGCGTTGAATGCACACATCACAAAGAAGTTTCTCAGAATGCTTCTGTCTTGTTTTTATATGAAGATTTTTCCTTTTCCATCATAGGCCTCAATTCGATCTGAATATCCATCTGCACATTCTACAAAAACAGTGTTTCAAAACTGCTCTATCAAAAGAAAAGTTCAACTCTGTCAAATGAATGTACACATCAAAACGTAGTTTTTCTGAATGCTTCTGTCTAGTTTTTATGTGAAGTTATTTCCTTTTCCACCATAGGCCACAAAGGGCTCCAAGTAAAAAATTGCAGATTCTATAAAACGAGTGTTTGAAAACTGCTCAATCAAAAGACAGGTTCAACTCTGTGTGATGAATGCACATATCACAAAGTAGTTTCTTACAATGCTTCTGTCTAGTATTTATGCGAAGATTTTTCCTTTTCCACCATATGCCTCAAATCGCTCCTAATATCCACTTGCAGATTCTACAAAAAGAGTGTTTCAATAGTGCTCAATCAACAGAATGGTTCAGCTCTGGGAGATGAATGCACACATCCCATAGTAGTTTCTCAGAATGCTTTTGTCTCGTTTTTATGTGAAGATATTCCCGTTTACACTATAGGGCTCAAACCGCTCCAAATATCCATTTGAAGATTCTACAAAAAGTGTTTCTGAAAACTGCTCAATAAAAAAAAGCTTCAACTCTTTGAAATGAATGCACACATCCCAAATAATTTCCAAGAATGCATGTGTCTAGTTTTTATGTTAAGATATTTCCTTTTCCACCATAGGCCTCTTAGTGCTCCAATTATCCATTTGCAGATACTGCAAAAAGACTGTTTCCAAACTGCTCAAAAAATGAAAAGTACAACTCTGTGAGTTGAATACACACATCACAAAGAAGTTTCTCAGAATGTTTCTGTCTAGTTTTTATGTGAAGATATTTCCTTTTCCACCATAGTCCTCATAGTGCTCCAAATATCCACTTGCAGATTCTACAAAAGGAGTGTTTCAATACTGCTCAATCAAAAGAAAGGTTCAACTCTGTGAGATGAATGCACACATCAAAAGAAGTTACTCAGAATTCTTCTGACTAGATTTTATGTCAAGATATTTCCTTTTCCACTATAGGCTTCAAAGCGCTTCAAATATACATTTGCAGATAATATAAACAGAATGTTTCCAAACTGCTGAATCAAAAGAAAGGTACAACTCAGTGAGTTGAATGCAAACATCACAAACAATTTTCTCAGAATGCTTCTGTCTATTTTATATCTGAAGATATTTCCTTTTCCATTATAGGCCTCAATACGCTCCAAATATCCATTCAAAGATACTACAAAAAGACTGTTTCCAACTTGCTCAATCAAAAAAACATTGAACTCTGTGATTTGAATGCACACATCACAAAGTAGTTTCTCAAAATGCTTCTGTCTAGTTTTTAGGTGAAGATGTTTCCTTTTCCACCATAGGCCTCAAATCACTCCAAATATCCTCTTGCAGATTCCACAAAAAGAGTGTTTGAAAAACTGCTCAATCTAAAGAAAGGTTCACCTCTTTGAGATGAATGTACACAACACAAAGAAGTTTCTCAGAAAGCATCTGTGTAGTTTTATGTGAAGATATTTCCCTTTCCACTATAGGTCTCAATGCGCTCCAAATGTCCACTTGCAGATACTACAAAAAGTCTGTTTCCAAACTGCACAATCAAAAGAAAAGTTCAACTCTGTGAGTTGAATGCCCACATCACAAAAAAGTTTCTCAGGATTGTGAAGTCTAGTTTTTATGTGAAGATATTCCTTTTTCTACTATAAGTCACAGAACACTCCAAATAGCCACTTGCAGATCCTACAAAAATAGTGTATCAAAACTGCTCAATCAAAGGAAAGTATCAACTCTCTAAGATGAATGCACACATAACAAAGAAGTTTCTCAGAATGCTTCTGTTTAGTTTTTACGTGAAGATTTTTCCTTTTCCACGATAGGCCTCAAAGCGCTCCAAATACCCATTTTCAGATTCTGCTAAAATAATCTTTCAAAACTGCTCAAGGAAAAGAAAGTTTCAACCCTGTGAGATGAATGCAAACGTCACAAAGAAGTTTCTCAGAATGCTACTATCTAGTTTCTATATGAAGATATTTCCTTTTCCACCATTGGTCTCAAAGCTCTCCAAATATCCACTTGCAGATTCTACAAAAATAGTGTTTCCAAACTCCTCAATGAAAAGAAAGTTTCAAGTCTGTGGGATGAATGCACACATCACAAAGAAGTTTAACAGAATGCTTCCATCTAGTTTTTATGTGAAGACATTTCATTTTCCACTGTAGGCCTCGATGTGCTCCAAATATTCATTTGTAGATGCTACAAAAAGACTGGTACCAAACTGTTCAATCAAAAGAAAAGTTGAACTCTCTGAGTTGAATGCACTCATCTCAAGGAATTTTCTAAGAATGCTTGTGTCTAGTTTTTATGTGAAGATATTTCATTTTCCACTATAGGCCACAAAGTGCTCCAAGTATCCACTTGCAGATTATACAAAAAGAGTGTTTCAAAACTGCTCAAACAAAGGAAATGTTCACATCTGTGAGATAAATGGACACATAACAAAGAAGTTCTTCAGAATGATTGTGTCTATTTTTTATTTGAAGATATTTCCTTTTCCATTATAGGCTGCAAAACACTCCAAATATCCATTTGCAGTTAATATAAAAAGACTGTTTCCATACTGCTGAATCAAAAGAAATATTCAACTCTCTGAGTTGAATCCAAACATCACAAAGAATTTTCTCAGAATGTTTCTGTCTAGTTTTTATGTGAAGATACTTCCTTATCCCCTATAGGTCTCATTGCACTCCAAATATCCATTTGAAGATAGTATAAAAAAGACGGTTTCCAAACTGCTCAATCAAAAGAAAGGTTCACCTCTGTTAGTTGAATGCACACATGGGAAAAAAGTTTCTAAGAATGCTTCTGTGTAGCTTTTATGTGAAGATATTTCCTTTCCACCATAGGTCTCAAAGCGCTCCAAATATCCACTTGCAAATTCTACAAAAATAATGTTTCAAAACTCCTCAATCAAAAGATAGGTTCAACTCTGTGAGTTGAATTCACACATCATAAAGAAATTTCTCACAATGCTTCCGTCTAGTTTTTATGTGAAGATATTTTCCACCACAGGCCGCAAATCACTCCAAACATCTGCTTGCAGATTCGACAAAAAGAGTGTTTCAAAACTGTTCAATCAAAAGAAAGTTTCAACTTTGTGAGGTGAATGCACACATCAAAACTAAGTTTCTCAGAATGTTTCTGTCTAGTTTTTATGTGAAGAGAATTCCTTTTCCAGTATAAGCCACAATGCGATTCAAATATCCACCTGCAGATCCTACAAAAAGAGTGTTACAGAACTGCTCAATCAAAAGAAAAATTCAACCCTGTGGAGATGAATTCACACATCACAAAGATGTTTCTCAGAATGCTTCTGTATAGTTGTTAAGTGAAGAGACTTCCTTTTCCACCACAGGCCTCAAAGCAGTCCAAAATCCTTTTGCATGTAGTAAAAAAAGATGGTTTCCAAACTTCACAATCAAAAGAAAGGTTCAACTCTGTGAGATGAATGCACACTTCACAAAGAAGTTTCTCAGAATGCTTCTGTCTAGTTTTTATGTGAAGATATTTCCTTTTCCACAATAGGCCTCAAAGTGCTCCAAATATACTCTTGCAGATACTACAAAAATACGGTTTCCAAACTGCTCAATAAAGGAAAGGTACAACTCTGTGAGTGCAATGCACACATCACAAAGAAGTATCTCAGAATGCTTCTGTCTATTTTCTATGTGTAGATATTTCCTTTTCTACCATAGGCCACAAAGCACTCCAAATATCCACTTGCAGATTTTACAGAAACATTGTTTCAAAACTGCTCAATCTAAAGAAAGGTTCAACTGTGTGAGACAAATGCACACATCACAAAGAAGTTTCTCAAAATGCTTCTGTCTAGTTTTTATGTGAAGATATTACCTTTTCCCCTATAGCCCGCAAAGCACTCCATATATCCACTTGCAGATTCTACAGACAGAGTGTCTCAATACTGCTCAATGCAAAAAAATTTCAACTCCGTGAGATGAATGCACACATCACAAAGAAGTTTCTCAGAATGCTTCTGTCTAGTTTTTATGTGACGATATTTCCTTTTCCACCAGAGGCCTCAAAACCCTCCAAATATACTCTTGCAGACACTACAAAAATACGGTTTCCAAACTGTTTAATCAAAAGAAATTTTCAACTCTGTGAGTGCAGTGCACACATCACAAAGAAGTATCTCAGAATGCTTCTATCTATTTTCTATGTGTAGATATTTCCTTTTCCACCGTAGGCCTCAAAGCACTTGAAGTATCCACTTGCAGATTCTACAAAAAGAGTGTTTCAAAACTGCTCAATCAAAAGAAAGGTTCAACTCTGTCAGTTGAATGCACACATCACAAAGAAGTTTCTCAGAATGCTTCTGTCTGGTTTTGATGTGAGGATATTACCTTTTCCACTATAGGCCACAAAGCGCTCCGAATATCCAGTTTCAGAATCTACAAAGGAGTGTTTCAAAACTGCTCAATCAAAAGAAAGTTTCAACTCTGTGAGATGAATACACACATCACAAAGAAGTTTCTCAGAATGCTTCTGTGTAGTTTTTATGTGAAGATATTTCCTTTTCCACTATAGTCTCCAAAGCGCTCCAAATATCCATTTGCAGATACAAGAGAAAGACTATTTCCAAACTGCTCAATCAAAACAAATGTTAAACTCTGTGAGTTGAATGCACACATCACAAAGAAGTTTCTCAGAATGCTTCTGTCTAGTTTTTATGTGAAGATATTTCCTTTTCCACAATAGGACTCAAAGGGCTCCAAATATCCACTTGCAGATTCTTCAAACAGAGTGTTTCAAAACTGCTCAATCAAAAGGAAATTTCAACTCTGTTAGATGAATGCACACAAAAGAAAGAAGTTTCTGAGAATACTTCTGTCTAGTTTTTATGTGAAGATATTTCCTTTTCCACCATAAGCCCCAAAGCACTCCAAATATCCACATGCAGATTCTACATAAAGAATGTTTCAAAACTGCTCAATAAAAGGAAAGGTTTAGCTATGGGAGATGAATGCACACATCACAAAGAAGTTTCTCGGAATGCTTCTGTCTAGTTTTCATGTGAAGAGATTTCCTTTTCCACTAAAAGACGCAAAGCTCTCCAAATATCCACTTGCAGATTCTACAGAAAGAGTGTTTCAAAACGGCTCATCAAAAGAAAGTTTCAATTCTATGAGATGAATGCCCACATCACAACGTAGTTTCTCATAATGTCTCTGTCTAGTTTTTATGTGAAGATATTTCCTTTTCCATCATAGTCCCCAAAGCCCTCCAAATATCCATTTGCAGATACTTCAAAAACATTCTTTCCAAACTGCTTAATGAAAAGTAAGGTTCAAATCTGTGAGATGAATGCACATATCACAAAGAAGTTTCTCAGAATGCTTCTGTCTTGTTTTTATGTGAAGATTATTCCTTTTCCACCATAGGCCTCAATGCGCTCCAAAGATCCATTTGTAGATAATACAAAAAGAGTGTTTCCAAAAGGCAGAATCAAAAGAAATGTTCAACTCTGTGAGATGAATGCACTCATATGAAAGAGGTTTCTCAGAATTCTTCTGTTAAGTTTTTTGTGAAGATAATTCCTATTACCGCAGAGCCATCAAATGGCTCCCATATATCCCTTTACAGATCCTACAAAACGACTGTTTCCAAGATGATCAATTAAAAGAAAGTTTCAAATCCATGAGATGAATGCACACATAACAAATAGTATTCTCAGCATGCTTTTGTCTGCTTTTTATGTAAAGATATTTCCTTTTCCACCATAGGCCTCACAGTGATCCAAATATCCACTTGCAGATACTACAAATGAGTGTTTCAAAACTGCTCAATCAAACGAAAGGAACCACACTGTGAGATGAATACACACATCACAATGTAGTTTCTGAGAATGTTTCTGTCTACTTTGTATGTGAAGTTATTTCCTTTTCCTCCATAGGTTTCAAAGCGCTCCAAATTTCCATTTGCAGACACTACAAAAAGATTATTTCCAAATTGCTCAATGAAAAGTAAGGTTCAAATATTTGAGATGAATGCACACATCACAAAGAAGTTTCTCAGAATGCTTCTGTCTTGTTTTTATGTGAAGATTGTTCCTTTTCCACCATAGGCCTCAATGAGCTCCAAAGATCCATTTGTAGATAATACAAAAAGAGTATTTCTGAACTGCTCAATCAAAAGAAATGTTCAACTGTGTGGGATGAATGCACTCATAAGAAAGAAGTTTCTCAGAATGCTGCTGTGTAGTTTTTATGTGAAGATATTTCCTTTTCCACTATAGGCCTCAAAAGCTCCAAATATCCATTTGCAGATACTGCAAAAGACTGTGTCCAAACTGCTCAATCAAAAGAATGGTTCAACTCTGAGAGATTAATGCTCATATCACCAAGAATTTTTCAGAATGTTTCTGTCTAATTTTTGTGTGAAGATATTTTCTTTTGCACCATAGGACTCAAAGCGCTCCAAATATACGTTTGCAGATACTGCAGAAAGACTGTTTCGAAACTGTGCAATCAAAAGAAATGTTCAACACTGTGAGATTATTGCACATATCACTAAGTAGTCTCTGAGAACGCTTCTGTCTTGTTTTTAGGTGAAGATATTTCCTTTTCCACCATAGGCCTCAAAGTCCTCCATATATCCACTGCAGATTCTACAAAAAGAATGTTTCAAAACTGCTCAATCAAAAGAAAGTTTCAACTCTGTGAGATGAATGTGCACATCACAAAACAGTTTCTCAGAATGCTTCTGTCTAATTTTTATGTGAAGATATTTCCTTTTCCACTATACACCACAAAGGGCTCCACATATCCACCTACAGATTCTACAAAGAGTGTTTCCAAACTGCTCAATCAAAAGAAAGATTCAACCCCGTGAGATGAATGCACACATCACAATGTAGTTTTTCAGAATACTTCTGTCTATTTTTTATGTAAAGCTATTTCCTTTTCCACCATATGCCCAAAGCGCTCCAAATATCCACTTGCAGATACTACAAGAAGACTGTTACCAAACTGCTTAGTAAAAAGAAATATTCAACTCTGTGAGATAAATGCACACATCACAAAGAAGTATCTCAGAATACTTCTGTCTAGTTTTTATGTGAAGATATTTCCTTCTCCTCCATAGGCCTCAAAGTGCTCCAAATAACCATTTGCAGATAGTACAAAAAGGCTCTTTCCAAACTGCTCAATCAAAAGAAAGGTTCCACTCTGTGAGATGAATGCACACATCAAAAAGCAGTTTGTCAGAGTGTTTCTGTCTAGTTTTTATGGGAATATAGTTTCTTTTCCACCATAGACCTCAAACACTCCAAATATCCACTTGCAGGTTCTACAAAAAGTGTGTTTCCAAACTGCTCAATCAAAAGAAAAGTTCAACTCTGTGAGATGAATTCACAAATTCAGAAAGAAGTTTCTCAGAATGTTTCTGTTTAGTTTTTACGTGTTCGTAATTCCTTTTTCACCATAGGCCACAATGTGCTCCAAATATCCATTTGCACAAACTTCAAAACGACTGTTTCCAAACTTGTCAATCAAAAGAAAGGTTCACCTCTGTGAGATGAAGATACGCATCACAAAGAAGTTTCTCAGAAAACTTCTGTCTCGTTTTTCTGTGAAGTTATTTCCTTTTCCACCCTAGGCCTCAAAGCGCTGCAAATATCCACTTGTAGATTCTACAAAACCTGTGTTTCAAAACTGCTCAATCAAAATAAATTTTCAACTCTGAGATGAAAGCAGACAACACAAAGTGTTTCTCAGAAAGTTTCTATCTATTTTTTCTGTGAAGATAATTCTTATTTCCCAGAGGCATCAAAGGGCTCACAAATATCCCTTTCCAGATTCTGCAAAACGACTGTTCCAAACTGCTCAATCATAAGAAATGTTCAACTCTGTGAGATAAATGCACACATAACAAAGAAGTTTCTCAGAATGCTTCTGTCAAGTTAGTATGAGAAAATATATCTCTTTTCACCACAGAACTCAATGAGCTCGTAATATCCATTTGCACATACTACAAAAAGATTGTTTCCAACATGCTCAATGAAAACAAAGGGCCAACACCCTGAGATGAATTCACACATCACAAAGAAGTTTCTGAGAATGCTTCTGTCTAGTTTTTATGTGAAGATATTTCCTTTTCCACCATAGGCCTCAAAGTACTCCAAATATCCACTTGCAGATTCTTAAAAAGAGTGTTTCCAAACTATTCAATCAAAAGAAAGATTCAACTCCGTGAGATGATTGCACACATCACAAAGAGGTTTCTCAGAATGTTTCTCTCTAGTTTTTATGTGAAGATATTTCCTTTCCCAACATAGTCCTCAAATCGCTCAAAATATCAACTTGCAGATTCTAAAAAGGAGTGTCTCAAAACTGCTCAATCAAAAGAAAAATTCAACTCTGTGAGATGAATGCACACATCACGAAGAAGTTTCTCAGAATGCTTCTATCCAGTTTTTATGTGAAGATTTTTCCTTTTCTACCATAGGCTGCAAAGCTCTCCAAATATTCAATTGCAGATACTACAAAAAGACTGTTTCCAAACTGCTCTATAAAAAGAAAGTTTCAACTCTGTGAGAATAATGCGCACATCACAAAGAAGTTTCTCAGAAGGCTTCTGTCTAGTTTTTATGTGAAGATATATCCTTTTCCACCATAGGCCTCAAAGCGCTCCAAAAATTGTATTGCAGATTCAACAAAAAGAGTGTTTCAAAACTGCTCAATTAAAAGAAAGGTTCAACTCTGTGAGATGAATGCACACATCACAAAGAAGTTTCTCAGAATGCTTCTGTCTAGTTTTTGTGTGAAGTTCATTCCTTTTCCACCATAGGCCTCAAATCACTCTGAATATCCAAATGCAGATTCTCAAAAAAGAGTGTTTCCAAATGGCTCAATCAAAAGAAATTTCAACTCTGTAGATGAATACACACGTCACAAAGAACTTCCTCAGATTGCTTCTGTCTAGTTTTTATGTGAAGATATTTCCTTTTCCACCATAGGCCTCAAAGCACTCCAAATATCCATTTGCAGATACTACAAAAAGACTGTTTCCAAATTGCTCAATCAAAAGAAAGTTTCAACTCTGTGAGATCGAGACACACGTCACAAAGAAATTTCTCAGAAATTTTCTGACTAGTTTTTATTTGAAGAAATTTCCATTATGACTAGAGGCCTTAAAGTGCTCCAAATATTATCATGCCGATACTACAAAAAAGACTGTTTCCAAACTGCTCAATAAAAAAAAAAGGTTTATCTCTGTGAGATGAATGCACACATCACAAAGAAGTTTCTCAGAAAGTTTCTGTCGAGTTTTTATTTGAAGACATTTCCCATTTCCCCTTAGGTCTCAATGGGCTCAGAAATGTACCATTGCAGAGTCTACAAAACGAAGGTTTCCAAACTGCTAAATCAAAAGAAAGATTCAATTCTGTGAGATGAATGCAAACATCACAAATAGTTTTCTCAGAATGCTTCTGTCTAGTTTTTATGTGAAGATATTTCTTTTTCACCATATGCCTCAAACAGCACAGAAATATCCGTTTGCAGATTGTACAAATACTGGTTCCAAACTGCTCAATCAAAAGAAAGGCTCAACTCTGTGAGATGAAGGCACATATCACAAAGAATTTTCTCAGAATGCTTCTGTCTAGTTTCTATGTGAAGATATTTCCTTTTTCACCATTGGCCTCAAAGCACTCCATATATCCATTTGCAGATACTACAAAAATACTGTTTCCAAACTTCTCATTCAAAAAAAAGGTTCAACTATGTGAGTTGAATACACACATCACAAAGAAGTTTGTCAGAATCCCTCTGTCTAGTTTTTATGTGAAGATATTTCCTTTTCCACCATATTCCTCAAAGCGCTCCAAATATCCATTTGCAGATTCTACCAAAAGAGTGTTTCAAAACTACTCAATCAAAAGAAAAGGTCAACTCTTTGAGATGAATGCATACTTCACAAAGTAGTTTCTGAGAATGCTTCTGTCTAGTTTTTTTGTGATGATATTTCCTTTTTTACCATAGGCCTCAAAGCTATCCAAATATCCATTTGCAGATACTACAAAAAGACTGTTTCCAAACTGCTCAATTGAAAGAAAGTTTATTGTATGTGTTGAACGCACACATTAGAAAGAAGTTAGTCAGAAATTTTCTGTCTAGTTTTTAGGTGGAGATATCTCCTATTTCACCATAAGCCTCAATGGGCTCACAAACATCCCTTTGCAGATTCTACAAAACGAGTGTTTCCAAACTGCTAAATCAAAAGAAACGTTCAACTCTGTGAGATGAATGCACAAATCACAAAGAAGTTTCTCAGAATGCTTCTGTCTAGTTTTTATGTGAAGATATTTCTTTTTCACCCTAGGCCTCAAACGGCATACAAATATCCATTTGCAGATTATACAAAGACTGTCTCCAAACTGCTCAATCAAAAGAAAAGTTCAACTCTGTGAGATGAAGGAACACATCACAAAGGAGTTTCTCAGAATGTTTCTGTCTAGTTTTTATGTGAATATATTTCCTATTTCCCCATAGGCCTCAATGGGCTTTCAAATACACCTCAGCAGTTTCTACAAAACGACTGCTTCCAAGCTGCTCAATCAAAGGAAAGTTTCAACTCTGTGAAATGAAAGCACACATCAGAAAGGAGTTTCTTGTAAAGCTTCTGTCTTTTTTTTGTGTATAGGTATTTCCTATTTCCCCAGAGGCCTCAATGGGTTCACAAACATCCTTCTGTAGATTATAAAAAACGACTGTTTCCAAACTGCTCAATCAAAAGAAATGTTCAACTCTTTGAGATGAATGCACACATCAAAAAGAAGTTTCTCAGAATGCTTCTATCTAGTTTTTATGTGAACATATTTCCTTCTCTAAAATAGTCCTGAAAGTGCTCCAAATATCCACTTGCAGATTATAAAAAAAGAGTGTTTCCAAACTGCTCAATCAAAAAAAATTTCAACTCTGTGAGATGAATGCACACATCAAAAAGAAGTTTCTCAGAATGCTTCTGTCTAGTCTTTTTGTGAAGATATTTCCTTTTCCACCGCAGGCCTCAAAGCACTCCAAATATCCATTTACAGATTCTCCAAAAAGAGTGTTTCACAAATTAGTTTCTCAGAAACCTTCTGTCTAGTTTTTATGTGAATATATTTCCTATTTCCCCATTGGCCATAAATGGCTCACAAATATCCCTGTGCAGATTCTGTGAAAAGACTGTTTCCTAACTGCTCAATCAAAAGAAAGTTTCAACACTCTGAGATGAATGCACACATTCCAAAGTAGTTCCTCAGAAACCTATTGTTTAGTTTTTATATGAAGATATTGTCTTTTTCACTGTAGGCTTCAAAGCACTCCAAATATACCTTTGCAGATTCTACAAAAGTACTGTTTCTAAACTGTTCAAACAAAAGAAAGAATCAACTCTGTGAGATGACTGCACACATCACAAAGTAGTTTCTCAGAATGCTTCTGTCCAGTTTTTATGTGAAGATATTTCCTTTTTCGCAATTGGCCTCAAAGCATTCCAAATATCCATTTGCTAATTCTACAAAAAGACTATTTCCAAAGTGCTCAATCAAAAGAAAAGTTCAACTCTGAGATGAAAGCATACCTTACAAAGCAGATTCTGAGAAAGCTTCTGTCTCGTTTTTATGTGAAGATATTTTCTATTTAACCATAGGCCAAAATGTGCTCACAAATATCCCTTTGCACATTATACAAAAAGGCTGTTTCCAGACTGCTCAATTGAAAGAAAGGTTCAAATCACTGAGATGAACACACACATTACAAAAAAGTTCATCAGAATGCTTCTGTCTACTTTTAATGTGAAGATATTTCTTTATCACCATAGGCATCAAATGGCTCGGATATATCCCTTTGCAGAGTGTTCAAAAAGACTGTTTTGACACTGCTCAATTGAAAGAAAAGTTCAACTCTGTGAGATGAATGCACACATCCTAAAGAATTTTCTCAGAAAGCTTCTGTCTAGTTTTTATGTGAAGGTATTTCCTATTTCACCATAGGCCATAAATGGCTCAAAAAAATCACTGTGCAGATTCTACGAGAAGACTGTTTCCAAACTGCTCAGTCAAAATAAATGTTCACCTCTTTGGGATGAATGCACACATCCCAAGAAGTTTCGCAGAATACTTCTGTCTAGATTTTATATGTAGATATTTCCTTTTATGCCATAGGAGCCAAAGCACTCCAAATATCCATTTGCAGATTCTACAAAAAGACTGTTTCCAAACGAAACGGGTGAATCAAAAGAAATGTTCAACTCTGTGAGATGAAAGCATACATTAAAAAGAAGCTTCTCAGAAAACTTCTTTCTCGTTTTTATGTGAAGATATTACCTATTTCACCATATGCCATAATGGGCTTACAAATATCCCTGTGCAGATTCTATGAAAAGAATGTTTCCAAAGTGCTCAATCAAAAGAAAATTTCAAATCTGTGACATGAATGCACACATCACAAATAAGTTTCCCAGAAAGCTTCTATTTAGTTTTTATGTGAAGATATTTCCTTTTTCACCAAAGGCCTCAAAGCGCTCCAAATATCCATTTGCAGATTCTACAAAAAGGGTATTTCCAACCTGCTCAATTGAAAGAAAGGTTCAACTCTGTGAGATGAATGGATACATTTCAAAGAAGAGTCTCAGAAAGCTTCTGTCTAGTTTTTATGTGAAGATATTTCCTATTTCACCTTAGGGCATAAAGGGCTCTCAAATATCCCTGTGCAGATTCTATGAAAAAACTGTTTCCAAATTGCTGAATCAAGAGAAAGTTTAAACTCTGTGAGATGAGTACACACATCACAAAGATCCTTCTCAGAAACCTTCTGTTTAATTTTTATGGGAAGATATTTCCTTTTTCACCATAGGCCTTTAACCGGTCACAAATATCCCTCTACAGATACTACAAAAAGACTGTTTCCAAAGTGCTCCATCAAAAGAAAGGTTCAATTCTGTGAGATGAATACAGGCATCACAAAGAAGTTTCTCAGAATGCTTCTGTCTAGTTTTTATGTGAAGATATTTTCTATTTCACAATAGGCCATAAGGGACTCTCAAATGTCCCTGTGGAGATTCTACAAAAAGACTGTTTCCAAACTGCTCAATCAAAAGAAAAGTTCAACTTTGTGAGATGAATGCACACATCACAAAGAAGTTTCTCATAATGTTTCTGCCTAGTTTTCATGTGAAGATATTTCCTTTTCCACCATAGGCTTCAAAGCGTTCCAATTAACCACTTGCAGATTCTACAAAAAGTGTGTTTCCAAACTGCTCAATCAGAAGAAAGTTTCAACTCTGTGAGATGAATACACATATCACAAAGAAGTTCCTCAGAATGCTTCTGTCTTGTTTATATGTATAGCTATTTCTTTTTCACCATAGCCCTCAAATGGCTCGGAAATATCCATCTGCAGATTGTACAAGCAGGCTGTTTGCAAAGTGCTCAATCAAAGGAAAGTTTCAATTCTGTGAGATGAATGCAGGCATCACATGTAAGTTTCTTAGAAAGCTTCTGTTCAGTTTTTATGTGAAGATGTTTTCTTTTTCACTATAGGCCTCAAAGCACTCCAAATATCCATTTGTGGATTCTACAAAAAGAGTGCTTCCAAACTGTTCATTCAAAAGAAGCGTTCAACTCTGTGAGATGAAAACATACATCACAAAGAAGATTCTCAGAAAGCTTCTGTTTAGTTTTTATGTGAAGATATTTCCCTTTTCCCAATAGGCCTTAAAGTGCTCCATATATCCATTTGCAGATTCTACAAAAAGACTGTTTCCAAACTGCTCAATCAAAAGAAAGGTTCAACTCTGTGAGACGAAAGCATACATTAAAAAGAAGTTTCTCAGAAAGTTTCTGTCTCAATTTTATGTGAAGATATTATGTATTTCACCATAGACCATAAAGGGATCACAAATATCCCTGTGCAGATTCTAAGAAAAGACTGTTTCCAAACTGCTCAATCAAAACAAAGTTTCAACTCTGTGAAATGAAATGATACATCACAAAGAAGTTTCTAAGAAAGCTTCTGTCTAGTTTTTATGTGAAGATATTTCCTATTTCACCTTAGGATATAAAGGGCTCACAAATATCCCTGTGGAGATTCTACAAAAAGACTATTTCCAAACTGCTCAATCAAAAAAAGGTAACTTTGTGAGATGAATACACACATCACAAAGAATTTTCTCAGAATGCGTCTGTCTAGTTTTTATGTGAAGATAATTCCTTTTCCACCATAGGCCTCAAAGCACTCCAAATATCCATTTGCAGATTCCACAAAAAGACTGTTTACAGTGGGGTGTTAAAGTCTGCCATTATTATTGTTTGGGAGTCTAAGTCTCTTTGTAGGTCTCTAAGGACTTGCTTTATGAATCTGCGTTCTCCTGTATTGGATGCATATATATTTAAGATAGTTAGATCTTCTTGTTGCTTTGATCCCTTTACCATTATGTAATGGCTTTCTTTGTCTAGTTTGATCTTTGTTGATTTAAAGTCTGTTTTATCAGAGACTAGGTTTGCAACCCCTGCCTTTTTTGTTTTCCATTTGTTTGGTAGATCTTCCTCCATCCCTTTATTTTGAGCCTATGTGTGTCTCTGCACCTGAGATGGGTTTCCTGAATACAGCACACTGATGGGCCTTGACTCTTTATGCAATTTGCCAGTCTGTGTCTTTTAATTGGAACATTTAGCCCATTTACCTTTAAAGTTAATATTGTTGTGTGTGAATTTGATCCTGTCATTATGATGTTAGCTGTTATTTTGCTCGTTAGTTGATGCAGTTTCTCCCTAGCCTCGATGGCCTTACAATTTGGCATGTTTTTGTAGTGGCTGGTACCAGTTTTTCCTTTCCATGTTTAGTGCTTCTTTCAGGAGCTGTTTTAAGGCATGCCTGGTTTTCACAAAATCTCTCAACATTTGCTTGTCTGTAAAGTATTTTATTTTTCTTTCACTTTTGAAGCTTAGTTTGGCTGGATATGAAATTCTGGGTTGAAAATTCTTTTCTTTAAGTATGTTGAATATTGGTCCCCACTCTCTTCTGGCTTGTAGAGTTTCTGCTGAGAGACCTGCTGTTAGTCTGATGGGCTTCCCTTTGTGGGTAACCCGAGCTTTCTCTCTGGCTGCCCTTAACATTTTTTCCTTCATTTCAACTTTAGTGAATCTGACAATTATGTGTCTTGGAGTTGCTCTTCTTGAGGAGTCTCTTTGGGGCATTCTCTGTATTTCCTGAATTTGAATGTTGGCCCGCCTTGCTAGATTGGGGAAGTTCTCCTGGAAAATAGCCTGCAGAGTGTTTTCCAACTTGGTTCCATTCTCCCTGTCACTTTCAGATACACCAATCAGACGTAGATTTGGTCTTTTCACATAGTCCCATATCTCCTGGAGGCTTTGTTCATTTCTTTTTTTTCTTTTTTCTCTAAACTTCTTTTCTTGCTTCATTTCATTCATTTCATCTTCCATCACAGATACCCTTTCTTCCACTTGATCACAATGGCTACTGAGGCTTCTGCATTTGTCATGTAGCTCCCATGCCTTGGTTTTCAGCTCCATCAGGTCCTTTAAGGATTTCTCTGCATTGTTTATTCTAGTTATCCATTCGTCTAATTTTTTTACAAAGCTTTTAACTTCTTTGTCATTGGTTCGAATTTCCTCATGTAGCTCGGAGTAGTTTGATCATCTGAAGCCTTCTTCTCTCAACTCGTCAAAATCATTCTCCATCCAGCTTTGTTCCATTGCTGGTGAGGATCTGCGTTCCTTTGGAGGACAAGAGACACTCTGATTTTTAGAGTTTCCAGTTTTTCTGCTCACTTTTTTCACATCTTTGTGGTTTTGTCTACCTTTGGTCTCTCATGATGGTGATGTACATATGGGATTTTGGTGTGCATGTCCTTGTTGTTTGTTAGTTTTCCTTCTAACAAACAGGACCCTCGGCTGCAGGTCTGTTGGAATTTACTAGAGGTCCACTGCAGACCCTGTTTGCCTGGGTATCAGCAGCGGATTTGCCTGGGTATCACACATAAAAAAGAAGTTACTCAGAATGCTTCTACCTAGTTTTTATGTGAAGATACTTCTTTTTCACCATAGGACTCAAATGGTTCAGAAATATCCCTTTGCAGATTCTACAAAAAGTCTTTTTCCAAACTGCTCAATGAAAAGAAAGGTTCAACTCTGTGAGATGAATGCACACATGAAAAAGAAGTTTCTCAGGATGCTTCTATCTAGTTTTTATGTGAAGATATTTTTTTTTCACCATAGGCCTCAAATAGCTCAGAAATATCCATTTGCAGATTGTACAAAAATACTTTTTCCAAACTGCTCACTGAAAAGAAAGATTCAACTCTGTGAGATGAATGCAAATATCACAAAGAGGTTTCTCAAAAAACTTCTGTCTAGTTTTTATGTGAAGATATTTCCTTTTTAACCATAGGCATCAAACCACTCACAAATATCCCTTTGCAGATTACACAAAAAGACTGTTTCCAAACTGCTCAATGAAAAGAAAGGTTCAACCCTGTGAGAAGAATGCACACATGAAAAAGAAGTTTCTCAGAACGCTTCTGTCTAGTTTTTATGTGAAGATATTTCTTTTTCACCATAGGCCTCAATCTACTCAGAAATATTCCTTTGCAGGTTACACAAAAGACTGTTTACAAACTGCTCAATGAAAAGAAACGTTCAACACTGTGAGAAGAACACACACATAAAAAAAAGTTTCTCAGATTGCTTCTGTCTGGTTTTTATGTGAAAATATTTCCTTTTTTACCATAGGTCTCAATCCGCTCAGAAATATCCATTTGCAGATTGTACAAAAATACTGTTTCCAAACTGCTCACTGAAAAGAAAGGGTCAACTCTGTGAGATGAATGCAAACATCACAAAGGGGTTTCTCAAAGAGCTTCTGTCTAGTTTTTATGTGAAGATATTTCCTATCTCACCATAGGCCATAAATGGCTCTGAAATATAACTTTCCACATTCCACAAAAGGACTGTTTCTAAACTGCTCAATCAGAAGAAAGGTTCAACTCTGTGAGACAAATGGACACATCACAAAGAAGATTCCCAGAGAGTTTCTGTCTAGTTTTTATGTGAAGATATTTCTTTTCAACCATCAGCCTCAAATGGCTCAGAAATATCCCTTTGCAGATTATAAAAAAAAAAAAAAAACTGCTTCCAAACTGCTTAATCAAAAGAAAGTTTCATCCCTGTGAGATGAATGACCACATCAAAAAGAAGTTTCTCAGAATGATTCTGTTTAGTTTTTATATGAAGATATTTCATTTTCACCATATTCCTCAAAGGGCTCCAAATATCCATTAGCAGACTCTACAAAAAGAGTGTTTCCAAACTCCTCAATCAAAATAAAGTTTTAACTCTGTAAGATGAAAGCACACATCACAAAGAAGTTTCTCAGAAAGTTTCTGACTACTTTTTATGTGAAAATATTACCTATTTCACAATAGGACTCAATGGTTTCACAAATATCCCTTTGCAGATACTAAAAAGGACTGTTTCCACAATGCTCAACCAAAAGAAAGTTTCAACTTTGTGAGATGAAAGCACATATCACAAAGAGGTTTCTCAAAATACTGCTGTCTAGTTTTTATGTGAAGATATTTCCTTTTTCACCATAGGCCTTGAACCACTCAGAAACATTCCTCTGCAGATACTACAAAAAGACTGTTTCCAAACTGCTACATCAATAGAAAGTTTCAATTCTGTGAGATGAATGCACACAACACAAAGAAGTTTCCCAGAATACTTCTGTCTAGTTTCTTTGTGAAGATATTTCTTTTTTATCATAGCCTCAAAATGCTCCAAATATCCATTTGGAGATTATTCAAAAAGTCTGTTTCAAAACTGCTCAATTAAAGGAAACACTCAACTCTGTGAGATGAAAGCATGCATCACAGGAAGTTTCTCAGAAAGCTTCTGTCTACTTTTTATGTGAACATATTTCCTATTTCAACATAGGCCAAAAAGGGCTCACAAATATCCCTTTGCAGATTCTACAAAAGGACTGTTTCCAAACTGTTCAATAAAAAGAAACTTTCAACCCTGTGAGATGAATGCAGACATCACAATGAAGTTTCTCAGAATGCTTCTGTCTAGTTTTTATGTGAAGATATTTCCTTTTTCAACATAAGCCTCAAAATACTCACACATATCCCTATGCAGATACTACAAAAAGACTGTTTCCAAACTGCTCCATCAAAAGAAAGGTTGAACTCTGTTAGATGTATGCACACAGCACAAAGAAGTTTCTCAGAATGCTTTTGCCTAGTTTTTATGTGAAGATATTTCCCTTTTCACCATAGGCATCAAAGCATTCCAAATATTGATTTGCAGATTCTACAAAAAGACTGTTTCCAAACTGCTCAATCAAAAGAAAAGTTCAACTCTGGGAGTTGAATGCACACATCACAAAGAAGTTTCTGGGAAATATTCTGTTTAGGTTTATGTGAAGATATTACCTTTTTGACCATAGGCTGGAAAGCGCTCCAAATATCCATTTGCAGATTCTACAAAAATGGTGTTTCCAAACTGCTCTATCAAAAGAAAGGTTCAACTCTGTGAGATGAATGCACACATCACAAAGTAGTTTATCAGAATGCTTCTGTCTAGTTTTTATGTGAAGATATTGTCTTTTTCACCATAGGCCACAAAACACACCAAATATCAATTTGCAGATTCTACAAAAAGACTGTTTCCAAACTGCTCAATCAAAAGAAAGTTTCAACTACGGGAGATGAATGCACACATCACAAAGAAGTTTCTCAGAAAGCTTCCTTTTAGTTTTTATGTTAAGGTATTTCCTGTTTCACCACAGGACATAAAGGGCTCACAAATATCCCTTTTCTGGTTCTACGAAAACACTGTTACCAAACTGCTCAATCAAAAGAAAGGTTCAACACTGTGAGATGAATGGACACATTACAAAGAAATTTCTCAGAAGGTTTCTCTCTAGTTTTTATATGAAGATACTTGTTTTTCACAATAGGTCTCAAAAGGCTCAGAAATATCCCTTTGCAAATTGTACAAAAACACTGTTTCCAAACTGCTCTATCAAAAGAAAGATTCAACTCTGGGAGAAGAATGCAAATGTCACAAAGAAGTTTCTCAAAAAGCTTCCATTTTGCTTTTAGTGAAGATATTTCCTTTTTCATCATAGGCCTCAAAGCGCTGCAAATACCCATTTGAAGATTCTACAAAAAGAGTGTTTCCAAACTGCTCAAACAAAAGAAAGGTTCAACTGTGAGATGAATGCACACAAAACAAAGAAGTTTCTCAGAATGCTTCTGTCTAGTTTTTATGTGAAGATATTTCCATTTTCACAATTGTCCTGAAAGCACTCCAAATATCCATTTGCAGATTCTACGAAAATACTGTTTCCAAACTGCTCAAGCAAAAGAGAGGTTGAACTTTGTGAGATGAAAGCACACAGCACAAAGAAGTTTCTCAGAATGCTTCTCTCTAGATTTTATGTGAAGATACTTCTTTTTCAACACAGGCCTCAAACGACTCAGAATTATCCCTTTGCAGATTGTACAAAAAGACAGTTTCCAAACTGCACAATCAAAAGAAAGGTTCAACTCTGGGAGATGAATGCACACATCACAAAGAAGTTTCTCACAAAGCTTCTGTTTATTTTTTACCTGAAGATATTTCCTTTTTCACCATATACCTCAAAGCACTCCAAATATCCATTTCTGTATTCTACAAAAAGAAAGTTTCCAAACTGCTCAATCAAAAGAAAGGTTCAACTCTGTGAGATAAATGCACACATCACAATGAATTTTCTCAGAATGTTTCTGTCTAGTTTTTGTGTAAAGATATTTCATTTTTATCCATAGGTCTTAAATCAGTCACAAATATCCCTTTACAGATACTACAAAAAGAATGCTTCCAACCTGCTGTATGAAAAGAAAGGTTCAACTCTGTCACATGAGTGAAACCATTACAAAGGTGTTTCTCAGAATAATTCCGTCTAGTGTTTATGTGATGATATTTCATTTATCAACACAGGCCTTAAACCACCCAAAAATATTCCTCTTCAGATACTACAAAAGGACTGTTTCCAAATTGCTCCACCAAAAGAAAGGTTCAACTCTGTGAGATGAATGCACACATCACAAAGAAGTTTCTCAGAATGCTTCTGTCTAATTTTTATGTGAAGATATTTCCTTTTTCACCGTAGACAACAAATCGCTCCAAATATCAATTTGTAGATTCTACAAAAAGGCTGTTTCCACACTGCTCAATAAAAAGAAAGGTTCAACTCTGGGAGATGAATGCACACATCACAAGGAAGATTCTCAGAAAGCTTCTGTTTAGATTTTTTGTGATAATAGTTTCTTTTTCACCACAGGCCTCAAAGCACTCCAAATATCTATTTGCAAATTCTACAAAAAGAGAATTTCCAAGTTGTTCAATCAAAAGAAAGGTTCAACTCTTTGAGACAAATGCACACATAACAAAGAAGTTTCTCAGAATGATTCTGTCTAGCTTTTATGTGAAGATATTTCCTTTTTCACCGTAGACCTTAGACAGCTCAAAAATATCCCTCTGCAGATACTACAAAAAGACTGTTTCCAAACTGTTCCATCAAAACAAGGTTCAACTCTGTAAGATGAATGCACACATCACAAAGAAGTTTCTCAGAATGCTTCTGCCTAGTTTTGATGTGAAGATATTTCCTTTTTCAACTTTGCCCTCAAAGTGCCCCAAATATCCATTTGCAGATGCTACAAAAAGACAGTTTCCAAACTTTTCAAAAAAAGAAACGTTCAACTCTGTGAGATGAAAGCATACATCACAAAGAAGTTTCTTAGAAAACTTCTGTCTAGTTTTTATGTGAAGATATTTCCTATTTCACCATAGGTCATAAAGGGCTCACAAATATCACTTTGCAGGTTCTACGAGAACACTTTTTCCAAACTGCTCAATCAAAATAGAGCTTCAACTCTGTGACATGAATGCACACATCACAAAGAATTTTCTCAGAATGCTTCTGTCTAGTTTTTATGTGAAGATATTTCCTTTTTCACCATAGACACTAAAGCATTCACAAATATCCCTCTGTATACTCTACAAAAAGACTGTTTCTAAAATTATCCTTCAAAAGAAAGTTGAACTCTGAGATGAATGCACACTTCACAAAGGAATTTCTCAGAATGCTTATGTCTAGTTTTTATGTGAAGATATTCCCTTTTTCACGATAGTCCTCAAAGCATTACAAATATTCATTTGAAGATTCTACAAAAAGACAGTTTCCAAATTTCTCAATCAAAAGAAAGTTTCAACTCTGTGAGATGAAAACACACATCACAAAGAAGTTTCTCAGAAAGCTTCTGTCTAGTTTTTATGTGAACATATTTCCTATTTCACCATAGGCCTCAATGGGCTCACAAATATCCCTTTGCAGATTCTACAAAAGCACTGTTTCCAAACTTGTCAATAAAAAGAAAGGTTTGACTCTGTGAGGTGAATTCACACATCACAAAGAAGTTTCTCAGAATGCTTCTGTATAGTTTTTATGTGAAGATATTTCCTTTTTCACAGTAGGCCTCAAAGCGCTTCAAATATCCACTCGCAGATTCTACACAAAGACTGTTTCCACACTGCTCAATCAAAGGAAGTTTCAACTCTGTGTAATGAATGCACATATCACAAAGAAATTTCTCAGAAAACTTCTGTTTAGTTTTTACATGAAGTTATTTCCTTTTTTTCCATAGACCTCAAAGCACTCCAAATATCCATTTGCAGATTCTACAGAAAGAGTGTTTCCAAACTGCTCAATCAAAAGAATGTTTCAACTCTGTGAGATGAAAGCATGCATTACAAAGAACTTTCTCAGAAAGCTTCTGTTTAGTTTTCTTGTGAAGATATTTCCTATTTCACAATCACCTCAATGAGCTCACAAATATCCCATTGCAGATTCTACAAAAGGACTGTTTTGAAACTGTTCAAACAAAAGAAAGGTTCAATTCTGTGAAATGAATGCACACATCACAAAGAACTTTTTCAGAATGATTCTGTCTAGTTTTTATGTGAAGATATTTCCTTTTTCATCATATTCCTCAAAGCACTCCAAATATCCATTTGCAGATTCTACCAAAAGACTATTTCCAACTGCTCAAGAAAAAGAAGGGTTCAACCCTGTGAGATGAATGCACACATCACAAAGATGTCTTTCAGAATGCTTCTGTCTAGTTTTTATGGGAAAATATTTCCTATTTCACCATAGGCAATAAAAGGCTCAAATATATCACTTTGCAGATTCTACAAAAAGACTGTTTCCAAACTGCTCAGACAAAAGAAAGTTTCAACTCTGTGAGATAAATGGACACATCACAAAGAAGTTCCTCAGAATGCTTCTCTCGAGTTTTTCTGTGAAGGTATTACTTTTTCACCATAGGCCTCAAACAGCTCTGAAATATCCCTTGCAGATTGTAGGAAAAGACAGTTTCCAAACTGCTCAATGAAAAGAAAGCTTCAATACTGTGAGATGAATGCACCCATCACAAAGAAGTTTCTCACAAAGCTTCTGTCTAGTTTTTATGTGAAGATATTTCCTATTTCACAATAGGCCTCAATCAGCTCACAAATATCCCTTTTGCAGATACTACAAAAGCACTGTTTCCAAACTGTTCCAACAAAACTAATGTTCAACTCTGTGAAATGAATGCACACATCAAAAAGAAGTTTCTCAGACTGCTTCTGTGTACTTACTATGTGAAGGTATTTCCTTTTTCACCATAGACCTCAAAGCTCTCCAAATATCCATTTTCAGATTCTACCTAAAGACTGTTTCCAAACTGCTCAAACAAAAGAAAGGTTCAACTATCAGAAATGAATGGACACAACACAAAGAAGTTTCTCAGAATGCTTCTGTCTAATTTTTATGTGAAATATTTCCTATTTCACCATATGCCATAAAGGGCTCAAAAATATCTCTTTGCAGAATGTACAAAAAGACAGTTTCCAAACTGCTCAAAGAAAACAAAGGTTCAAATCTGTGAGATCAATGGATACATCACAAACAAGTTTCTCAGAATGCTTCTGTCTAGTTTTTATGTGAACACATTACTTTTCCACCATAGGCCTCAAGCAGCTCACAAATATTCCCTTACAGATTGTACAAAAAGAGTGTTTCCAAACTGCTCAATCAATAGAAACTTTCAACTCTGTGAGATGAAAGCATACATCACAGAGATGTTTCTCAGAAAGCTTCTGTCTAGTTTTTGTGTGAAGATATTTCCTATTTCACCATACGCCATCAATGGATCACAGATATCCCATTCCAGATTCTGCAAGAGGACACTTTCCAAACTGTTCAATCAAAAGAAAGGTGCAACTCTGTGAGATGACTGCACACATCACAAATAAGTTTCTCAGAATGCTTCTGTCTAGATTTTATGCGAGGACATTTGCTGTGTCACCATAGGCCTCAAAGTGATCCAAATATCCATTTGCAGATACTACATAAACACTGTTTGCAAGCTGCTCAATCAAAAGAAAGGTTGAACTCTGTGAGATGAAAGCATACATCTCAAAGAAGTTTCCCACAAACCTTCTGTGTCGTTTTTATGTGGAGATATTTCATATTGCACAATAGGCCATAAACGGCTCACAAATATCCTTTTGCAGATTGTACAAAAAGACTGTTTCCAAACTGCTCAATCAAAAGAAAAGTTCAACGTGTGAGACGAATGTGCACATCACAAAGGAGTTTCTCAGAATGCTTCTGTCTAGTTTTTATGTGAAGATATTTCCTTCTTCACCACAGGCCTCAAAGTGCTCCAAATATTCATTTGCAGATTCTACAAAGAGACTCTTTCCAAACTGCTCAATCAAAAGAAAGATTGATCTCTTTGAGATGAAAGCACACATCACAAAAAGTTTCACAGAAAACTTCTGTCTAGTTTTTATGTGATAATATTTCCTATTTCATGATATGCTTCCATGTGCTCACAAATATCCCTTTTCAGATTCTACAAAAGGACTGTTTCCAAACTGTTCAATCAAAAAAAAGGTTCAACTCTGAGAGATGAATGCACACATCACAAAGAAGTTTCTCATAAAGCCTCTGTTTAGTTTTTATGTGAATATATTTCCTTTTTCACCATCTGCCTCAATGTGCTGCAAATATCCATTTGCAGATTCTACAAAAAGAGTGTTTCCAAACTGCTCCATCAAAAAAAAGGTTCAATTCCATGAGATGAATGCACCCATCACAAAGGAGTTTCTCAAAATGCCTCTGTCTAATTTTTTTTTTTTGATGATATTTCATTTTCCACTATAGGTCTCAAAGTGCTGCAAATATCCATTTGCAGATTCTACAAAACAACTGTTTCCAAACTGCTCTATCATAATTAAGGTTCAACTCTGGGAGAGGAAATCACACATAACAAAGAAGTTCCTCAGAAACTTCTGTCTAGTTTTTGTGTGAAGATATTTCCTATTTCACCATAGGCCACAAAGGGCTCAAAAGTATCCCTTTGCAGATTCTGCAAAAGGACTCGTTCAAAACAGCCCACTCAAAGGAAAGTTTCATCTGTGTGAGATGAATACACAGATGACAAAGTAGTTTCTTAGAATGCTTCTGTCTAGTTTTTATGTGAAGATATTTCCTTTTTCATCATAGGCCTTAAACCACTCACAAATATACCTCTGCAGATACTACAAAACGACTGTTTGCCAACTACTCAATCAAAGGAAAGGTGCATCTCTGTGAGATGAATGCACACATCACAGAGAAGCTTATCAGAATGCTTCTGTCTAATTTTTATGTGAAGATATTTCCTTTTTCACCATAGGCCTCAATGTGCTCTAAATATCCATTTGTAGACCACACAAAAAGACGGTTTCCAAACTGCTCAATCAAAAGAAAGTTTCAACTCTGGTAGATGAAATCATATATGACAAAGAAGTTTCTCAGAAAGCTTCTGTCTAGTTTTTGAATGGAGATATTTCCTATTTCACCAAAGGACAGAAATGGCTCAAAAATATACATTTTCAGATTCTACAAAAGGACTCTTTACAAACTGCTCCATCAAAAGAAAGTTTCAATTCTGTGAGATGAATACACCGATTACAAAAAGATTCTCAGAATGCTTCTGTCTAGTTTTTATGTGAAGATATTTTCTTTTTCACCATAGGCATTACATTGCTCACAAATATCCCTCTGCAGCTACTACAAAAAGACCGTTTCCAAAATGCTCATTCAAAAGAAAGGTTCAACTCTGTGACATGAAAGGGCACATCACTATGAAGTTTCTCAGAATGCTTCTCTCTAGTTTTTAAATGAAGGTACTTCTTTTTCACCATAGGCCCAAATGGGCTCACAAATATCCCTTTACAGATTGTAGAAAAGGACTGCTTCCAAACTGATCAAATGAAAGAAAGTTTCAACTCTGTGAGATGAATGCAAACATCACAAAGAAGTTCCTCAGAATGCTTCTGCCTAGTTTTTATGTGAAGATATTTCCTTTTTCACCATAGGCCTCAAAGTGCTTCAAATATCCATTTGCAGATTCTACCAAAAGACTGTTTCCAAACTGCTCAAACAAAAGAGAGATTCAACTATCAGAAATGAATGGACACAACACAAAGAAGTTTCTCAGAATGCCTCGGTGCACTTTTTATGTGAAAATACTTATTTTTCACCACAGACCTCAAATGTCTCGGAAACATCCCTTGCAGATCGTACAAAAAGACTGTTTCCAAACTGCTCAATCAAAAGTAGGTTTCAAATCTGTGAGGTGAATGCACCCATCACAAAGAAGTTTCTCAGAAAACTTCTCTTATTTTTTCTGTGAAGATATTTCCTTTTTCACCACAGGCCTCCAAGCACTCCAAATATCCATATGCAGATTATACAAAAAGAATGTTTCCAAACTGCTCCATCAAAAAAAGGTTCAACTCTGTGAGATGAATGCACACATCATAGAGGAGTTTGTTAGAATTCTTCTGTCTAGTTTTTATGTGATGATATTTCCTTTTTCACCATAGGCCTAAACTGCTCACAAATATCCCTCTGCAGATAATATGAAAAGACTGTTTCCAAACTGCTCCATCAAAAGAAAGCTTCAACTTTGTGAGAGGAATGCACACAACAAAAAGCAGTTTCTCAGAATGCTTCTGTCTAGATTTTATGTCAAGATATTTCCTTTTTCTCCATAGGCCTGAAAGTGCTCCAAATATTCATTTGTAGATTCTACAAAAAGACTGTTTCTAAACTGCTCAATCAAAGAAAGGTTCAACTCTGTGGGATGAAAGCACACATCACAAATTAGTTTCTCAGAAAGCTTCTGTCTAGGTTTTATGTAAAGATATTTCCTATTTAGCATAGGCCACAATGGGCTCACAAATATCCCTCTGCAGATTCTTCTAATGGACTGTTTCCAAACTGTTCAAGAAAAAAAAGCGGTGTTGCCAAACTGCTCCAAAAAACGAAATGTTCAACTCTGTGAGGTAAATGCACACATCACAAAGAAGTTTCTCAGAATGCTTCAGTCTAGTTTTTATGTGAAGATACTTCCTTTTGGACCATAGGCCTCAAAGCTCTCCAAATGTCCATTTGGAGATCCTACAAAAACACTGCTTCCAAACTGCTCAATGAAAAGTAACGTTCAACTCCGTGGGAAGAAAGCATACATCACAAAGTTTCTCAGAAAGTTTCTGTCTAGTTTTGGAGTGAACATATTTCCTATTTCATCGTAGGCCATAAAGGGCTCACAAATATCCCTCTGCAAATTCTACGAAAGGACTCTCTCCAAACTGCTCAATCAAAAGAAAGGCTCAACTCTGTGAGATGAATGCAAATATCACAAAAAAATTCTCAGAATGCTTCTGTCTAGTTTTTATGTGAAGGTATTTCCTTTTTCACCATAGTCCTCAAAGTGCTCCAAGTATAGATTTGTAGATTCTACAAAAAGATTTTGTCGAAACTACTCAATCAAAAGAAAGGTTGAACACTGGGAGATGAATGCACAAATCACAAAGGAGTTTCTCAGAATGCTTCTGTCTAGTTTTTATGTGAAGATATTTCCTTTTTCATCATAGGCCTTAAACCGGTCACAATTATCCCTATGCAGATACTACAAGAAGACTGTTTCCAAGCTGCTCCATCAAAAGAAAAGTTCAACTCTGAGAAATGAATGCACACATCACAAAGAAGTTTCTCAGAATGCTTCTGTCTAGTTACTATGTGAAGATATTTCCTTTTTCACCATAGGTCTCAAAACGCTCCAAATACCCATTTGCAGATTCTACAAAAAGACTATTTCTAAACTGCACAATCATCAGAAAGGTTCAAGTCTATGAGATGGAAACATACATCAGATAGAAGTTTCTCAGTAAGCTTCTGTCTAGTTTTTATGTGAAGATATTTCCCTTTTCACCATAGGCCTTAAACTGCTCACAAATATCCCTCTGCACATACTACAAAGAGACTCTTTCCAAACTTCTCCATCAAAGGAAAGGTTCAACTCTGTGAGATGATTGCAAACATCACAAAAGATTTTGTCAGAATTCTTCTGTCTAGTTTTAATGTGAAGATGTTTCCTTTTTCACCTTCAGCCTCAAAGCGCTCCAAATATCCAGTTGCATATTCTACAAAAATGCTTTTTCCAAACTGCTCAATCCAAAGAATGGTTCAATGCCATGAAATGAAAGCACACATCACAAAGTAGTTTGTCAGAAAGCTTCTGTCTGGTTTTTATTGAAGATATTTCCTGTTTCACCATAGGCTTCAATGGGCATAAAAATATCCCTTTGCAGATTTTACAAAAGGACTGTTTCCAAACAGTTCAAACAAAAGAGAGGTTCAACTCTGTGAGATGCAATCACACATCACAAAAAAGTTTGTCAAAATGCTTCTGTCTACTTTTTATGTTGATATATTTCCTTTTTCATCATAGGACATAAAGGGCTGAAAAATATCCCTTTGCAGATTGTACAAAAAGACTGTTTCCAAACTGATGAATCAAAAGAAAGGTTCAACACTTTGAGATGAATGGACACAACACAAATAAGTTTCTCATAATGCTTCTGTATAATTTTTATGTGAAGATACTTCTTTTTCACCGTAGGCCTCAAACAGCTTGGAATTATCCATTTGCAGATTGTACAAAAAGACTGATTCCAAACTGTTCAATCAAAAGGAACGTTCAAATCTGTGAGAGGAATGCACACATCACAAAGAAGTTTCTCAGAAAGCTTCTGTTTAGTTTTTATGTGGAGATATTTCCTTTTTCACTATAGGCCTTGAAGCACTACAAATATCCATTTGTAGAGTCTACAAAAGAGTTTTTCCAAACTGCTCCATCAAAAGAAAGGTTGAACTGTGAGAGATGAAGCATACAGAACAAAGAAGTTTCTCAGAAATATTCTGTCTAGTTTTTATGTGAAGATATTTCCTATTTCACCATAGGCCATAAAGTTCTCACAAATATCCCTTTGCAGATTCTACAAAAACAGTGTTTCCAAACTGTTCAATCAAAGAAAGGTTCAACCCTCTGAGACGAATGCAGGCATCACAAAGAAGTTTCTCAGAATTCTTCTCTCTAGTTGTTATGTGAAGATATTTTCTTTTTCACCATAGGCCTCATAGCATTCCAAATGCCCATTTGCAAATTCTACAAAAAGACTGTTTCCAAACTGCTCAATAAAAACAAACGTTCATCTCTGTGAGATGAAATCATACATCACAAAGAAGTTTCTCAGTGAACTTCTGTCTAGTTTTTATGTGAAGATATTTCCTTTTTCACCATAGTACTTAAACTGCTCACAAATATCCCTCTGCAGAAACTTCAAAAAGACTCTTTCCAAACTGCTCCATCAAAGGAAAGGTTCGTCTCTGTGAGATGAATGCACACAGAGCAAAGAAGTTTCTAAGAATGCTTCTGTCTAGTTTTTATGTGAAGATACTTCATTTTTCACCATAGGCCCTAACTGCTCACAAATATCGCTCTGCAGTTACTACAAAAAGACTCCTTCCAACGTGCACCATCAAAAGAAACGTTCAGCTCTGTGAGATGCATGCACACATCACAAAGGAGTTTCTCAAAATGCCTTTGTCTAGTTTTTATGTGTAGATATTTCCTTTTCAACATAGGCCTCAAAGTGCTCCAAATATCCACTTGCAGATTCTACAAATAGACGGTTTCCAAACTGCTCAATCAAAAGAAAGGTTCAACTCTGTGAGATGAATGCAAACATCAAAAAGAAGGTTCTCAGAAAGCTTCTGTCTGCTTTTATGTGAAGATATTTCCTATTTCATCATAGGCCATAAAGGGCTCACAAATATCCCTTTACAGATCCTACGAAAAGACTGTTTACAAAATGCTCAATCAAAAGAAAGTTTCAACTCTGTGAGATGAATGGACACATCCAAAAGAAGTTTCTCAGAATGCTTCTGTCTAGTTTTTATGTGAGGATGTTTCTTTTTCACCATAGGCCTAAAACAGCTCAGAAATATCCCTTTGCAGATTCTACAAGAAGACTGTTTCGAATCTGCTCCATCAAAAGAAGGGCTCAACTCTTTGAGATGAATGCAGGCATCACAAAGAAGTTTCTCAGAATGCTTCCATCTGGTTTTATGTGAAGATATTTCCTTTTTCACCGTATACCTCAAAGGGCTCCAAGTATCCATTTGTAGATTCCACAAAAATGCTTTTTCCAAACTGCTCAATCAAAAGAAAGGTTCAACTCTGAGAGACGAAAGCATACATCATAAAGAAGTTTCTCAGAAAGCTTCTGTCTAGTTTTTATTTGAAGATATTTCCTATTCCACAGTAGGCCATACAGGGCTCAAAAATATCCCTTTGCAGATTCTATGAAAAGACTGTTTCAAAATTGCTCAATCAAAAGAAAGTTTCAAATCTGGGAGATGAATGGACACATTACAAAGAAGTTTTTTAGAATACTTCTGTCTAGTTTTTATGTGAAGAAATTTCCTTTTTCACCATAGGCCTCAAAGTGCTCCAAATATGCATTTGTAGATTCTACAAAAAACTGAATTCTTTTTTTTTTTTGATTTGGAAATACTACTTTATTCCTTTATAATCAATATATATATCTTAATACTTTCTGTGTGTCAGATAATACACTGGGTCCTGAGGAAAACAAGGTATAAAAATAATTTTTCTCATACTTGAGAAGATTTCAGTCTAGCGGGGAATGATTGAGAGGAGTCATTTCCCAAAAAGACTGATTTCTAAATGCTCCATGAAAAGAGAGGATCAACTCTGTGAGATGAAGGCACACATCACAAAGAACTTACTCAGAGTGTTTCCGTTTAGTTTTTATGTGAAGATGTTCCCTATTTCACCATAGGCATTAAACTGCGCACAAATATCCCTCTGCAGATAATACAAAAGGACGGGTTCCAAACTGCTCCATCAAAAGAAATGTTCAACTCTGTGAGATGAATGCACACATCGCAAAGTAGTTTCTCAGAAAGCTTCTGCTTAGTTTTTATGTGAAGATATTTCCTTTTTCACAATAGGCCTTAAAACGCTCAAAATATCCATTTGCAGATTCTACAAAAAGACTGTTTCCAAACTGCTCAATCAAAAAGAGGTTCAACTCTGTGAGATGAATGCAAACATCACAAAGAACTTTCTCAGAAACATCTGTCTGCTTTTAAGTTGAAGACATTTCCTATTTCACCATAGACCATAAAGGGCTTACAAATATCCCTTTGCAGATTCTACAAAAAGAATTTTTCCAAACTGCTCAATCAGAAGAAAGTTTCAACACTGTGAGATGAATGGACATATCACAAAGAATTTTCTCAGAAAGCTTCTGTCTAGTTTTTTATGTGAGGATATTTATTTTTAATCATAGGCCTCAACAGCTCAGAAATATCACTTTGCAGATTGTACAAGAAGACTGTTTCGAAACTGCTCCATCAATAGAAAGGTTCAACACTTTGAGATGAATGCAGGCATCACAAAGAAGTTTCTCAGGATGCTTCTGTCTAGTTTCTATGTGAAGATATTTCCTTTTTTACCATAGGCCTCAAAGTGCTATAAATATCCATTTGCAGATTCTACAAAAAGACTGTTTCCAAACTTCTCAATCAAAAGAAGGATTCAAATGTCTGAGATGAACCAACACATTATAAAGAAGTTTCAAAGAATGCTTCTGTCTAGTATTTATGTGGAGATATTCGCTTTTTCATCATAGGCCTTAAACCGGACACAAATATCCCTCTGCAGATACTTCAAAAAGACTCTTTTGGAACTTCTCCATCAAAAGAAAGTTTCAACTTTGTGAGATGAATGCACACATCACCAAGAAGTTTCTCAGACAGACTCAGTCTAGTTTTTATGCGAAGATATTTCCTTTTTCACCATAGTCCTCAAAGCGCTCCAAATATCCATTTGCAGATTCTACAAAAAGACTGTTTCCAACTGCTCAATCAAAAGAAAGTTTCAACTCTGTGAGATGAAAGCATACATCACAAAGAAATTTCTCAGAAATCTTCTGTCTTCTTTTTATGTGAAGATATTTCCTATTTCACCATAGGCCATAAAGAGCTCAAAAATATCCCTGTGCAGATTCTTTGAAAACACTGCTTCCAAATGCTCAATCAAAAGAAAGGTTCAACTCTGTGAGATGAATGCACACATCACAAAGAAGTTTCTCAGACTCCTTCTGTCTAGTTTTTATGTGAAGACATTCTTTATTCACCATAGGCCTCAAACAGCTCAGAAATATCCATTTGCAGATTGTACAAAAAGACTGTTTCCAAACTGCTTAATCAAAAGAAAGTTTCAACTCTGTGAAATTAATGCAGGTATCAAAAAGAAGTTTCTCAGAATGCTTCAGTCTAATTTTTATGTGGAGATATTTCCTTTTTCACTATAGGCCTCAAAGTGCTTCAAATATCCATTTGCAGATTCTACAAAAAGGCTGTTTCCAAACTGCTTAATGAAAAGACAGTTTCAAGTCTGTGAGATGAATACACACATCTCTAAGAAGTTTCTTAGAATGATTCTCTCTAGCTTTTATGTGTAGATATTTTCTTTTTCACCATAGGCCTTAAATCGGTCACAAATATCCCCCAGCAGATACTTCAAAAAGACGTTTCCAAACTGCTCCATCAAAAGAAATATTCAAACCTCTGAGATGAATGCACACATCACAGTGAAGTTTATCAGAATGCTTCTGTCTAATTTTTAAGTGAAGATATATTCTTTTTCACCATAGGCCTCAAAACCCTCCAAATATCCACTTGCAGATTATACAAAAAGACTGTTTCTAAACAGCTCAATCAAAAAGAAGGTTCAACTCTGTGAGATGAAAGCATACATCACAAAGAAGTTCCTCAGAAAGCTACTGTCTAGTTTTGATGTGAAGATATTTTCTATTTCACCATAGGCCACAATGGGCTCACAAGTATCCCTGTTCAGATTCTATGAAAAGACTGTTTCCAAACTGCTCAAACAAAGGAGAGATTCAACTCTGTGAGACGAATGCACACATCACAAAGAAGTTTCTCAGAGTTATTCTGCCTAGTTTTTATGTAAAGATATTTCCTTTATCACCATAGGCCTCAAAGCACTCCAAATATCCATTTGAAGATTCTACAAAAAGAGTTTTTCCAACCTGCTCAATCAAAAGAAAGATTCAACTCTGCGAGATGAAGGCACATGTCACAAAAAAGTTTCTCAGAATGCTTCTGTCCACTTTTTATGTGAAGATATTTCCTTTTTCATCATTGGCCTCAAAGCGCTCCAAATATCCTTTTACAGATTCTACAAAAAGACTGTTTCCTAACTGCTCAATCAAAGCAAAGGCTTAACTCTGTGAGATGAATGCACTCATCACAAACAAGCTTCTCAGATTGCTTCTGTCTAGTTCTGATATTTAGATATTCCTTTTTCACCATAGGGCACAAACGGCTCAAAAATATCCATTTGCAGATTGTACAAAAAGACTGTTTCCAAATTGCTCAATGAAAAGAAAGGTTCAACTCTGTGAAATGCATGCAGGTATCACAAAGAAGTTTCTCAGAGTGCTTCTGTCTATTTTTTATATGAAGATATTTCCTTTTCACCATAGACATCAAAGCCCTCCAAATATCCATTTGCAGATTCTAAAAAAATACTGCTTTCAAACTGCTCAATCAAAAGGAAGCTTCAACTCTGTAAGATGAATGCACACATCACAAAGTTTCCCAGAATGCTTCTGTCTAGTTTTTATCACAAGATATTTCCTATGTAAATGTATGCCTCAAAGCGATTCAAATATCCATTTGAAGATTCTACAAAAAGAGTGTTTCCAACAAGTTCAATCAAAAGAAAATTCAACTTTGTGAGATGAATGCACACATCACAAAGAAGTTTCTCTAAACGCTTCTGTATAGTTTTTATGTGAAGATATTTCCTTTTTCACCATAGACCTTAAACACGTCACAAATATCCCTCAGCAGATACTACAAAAAGAGTGTTTCCAAAGTGCTCCATGAAAAGAAAGCTTCAACTCTGTGAGATGAAAGCCTACATCACAAAGAAGTTTCTCAGAATGCTTCTGTCTACTTTTTATGTGAAGATATCTCTTTTTCACAATAGGCCTCAAACGGTTCAGAAATATCCCTTTGCAGATTGTACAAAAAGACTGTTTCCAAATTGCTCAATCAAAAGAAAGTTTCAACTCTGTGTGATGAATGCAGGTATCACAAAGAAGTTTCTCAGAAAGGTTCTGTCTAGTATTTACGTGAAGTGATTTACTATTTCACCACAGGCCGTAAAGGGCTCAAAAGTATCCCAGTGCATATTCTACAGAAAGACTGTTTCCAAAGTGCTTCATCTAAAGAAAGGTTCAGCACTGTGAGATGAATACACACATCACAAAGAAGTTTCTCTGAATGCTATTGTATAGTATTTATATGAAGATATTTCCTTTTTCACCATAGGCCACAATCCTCTCCAAATGTCAATTTGCAGATTCTATAAAAACAGTGTTTCTAACCTGCTCAATCAAAAGAATGGTTCAACTCTGTGAGATGAATGCACACATCACCAAGAAGTTTCTCAGAATGTTTCTGTCTCGTTTTTATGTAAAGATACTTCCTTTTTCACCAAGGGCCTTAAACCAATCACAAATATCTCTCTGTAGATACTACAAAAAGACTGTTTCCAAAGTCCTCCATCAAAAGAAAATTTCAACTCTGTGAGACGAATGCACACATCATGAAGAAGTTTCTCAGAATGCTTCTGTCTAGTTTTTATATGAATATACTTCTTTTTTCACCATAGGCCTCAAAGCACTCCAAATATCCATTTGCAGACTCTACAAAAAGAGTGTTTTCAACGTGCTCAATCAAAACAAAGGTTCATCTCAGTGAGATGAATGCACACATCACAAAGATGTTTTTCAGAATGGTTCTGTCTAGTATTTATGTGAAGATATTTCCTTTATCACCGTAGGCCTTAAACCGGTCACAAATATCCATCTGCAGATACCACAAAAAGACTATTTCCAAAGTGCTCCATGAAAAGAAAGGTTCAATCCTGTAACATGAATGAACACATCACAAAGAAGTTTCTCAGAATGCTTCTGTCTAGTTTTTATGTGAAGATACTTCTTTTTAAACATTGTCCTCAAAAGGCTCAGAAATATCCCTTTGCAGATTGTACGAAAAGACTGCCTCAAAACTGCTCAGTCAGAAGAAAGTTTCAACTCTGAGATGAATGTAGGCATCACAAAGAAGTTTCTCAGAATGCTTCTGTCTAGTTTCTACATGAAGATATTACCTATTTCACCATAGGCCAAAAAGGGCTCACAAATATCCCTGTTCAAATTCTACGTATACACGGTTTCCAAACTGCTCCATCAGAAGACACGTTCAACTCTGTGAGATGAATGCACACATCACAAAGAAGTTTCTCAGGTGATTCTGTGTTGTTTTTATGTGAAGATATTCCATTTTTCACCAGAGACCTCAAAGTGTTGCAAATATCCATTTGCAGATGCTACAAAAAGAGTGTTAACAACCTGCTCAATCAAAAGAAAGGTTCAACTCTGTGAGCTGAATGCACACATCAAAAAGATATTTCTCAGAATGCTTCTGTCCAGTTTTTATGTGAAGATATTTCCATTTTCACCATTGGCCTTAAACCGGTCACTAATATCACTCTGCAGATACTACTAAACGACTGTTTCCAAACTGTTACATCAAAAGAAAGGTTCAACACTGTGAAACGAATGCACTCATCACAAAGAAGTTTCTCTGAATGCTTCTGTGTAGTTTTTCTGTGAAGATATTTCCTTTTTCACCATAGGACTCAAAGCGTTCCAAATATCCATTTGCAGATCTACAAAAAGACAGTTTCCAAAGTGCTCAATCAAAAGAAACGTTCAACTGTTTGAGATGAAAGCATATATCACAAAGAATTTTATCAGAAAACTTCTATCTAGTTTTTATGTGAGGATATTTCCTACTTCACCATAGGCCATAAGGGGCTCACAAATATCCCTGTGCAGATTCTACGAAAAGACTGTTTCCAAACTGCTCAATGAAAAGAAAGTTTCAACTCAGTGAGATGAATGCACACAGCACAAAGAAGTTTCTCAGAATGCTTCTGTCTAGTTTTTATGTGAAGATATTTCCTTTTTCACCACAAGCCCTAAACCAGTCACAAATATCCCCTTGCAGATACTATAAAAAGGCTGTTTCCAAAGTGCTCCATGAAAAGAAAAGTTCAACTCTGTGAGATGAATGCAGGCATCAAAAGAAGTTTCTCAAAATGCTTCTTTCCAGTTCTTATCTGAAGATATTTAGTTTTTCACCATAGTCCTTAAATTGCTCAAAATATCCATTTGCAGAATCTACAAAAAGACTGTTTCCAAACTGCTCAATCAAATAAAAGTTCAACTCTGTGAGATGAATACACCCATCACAAAGAAGTTTCTCAGAATGCTTCTGTCTACTCTTTATGTGATGATAATTCCTTTTTCACCATAGGCCTCAAAGGGCTCCAAGTATCCATTTGCAGCTTCTAAAAAAAGAGCATTTCCAACTGGCTCTATCAAAAGAAAGTTTCAGTTCTGTGAGATGAATGCACACATCACAGAGCAGTTTCTCAGAATGCTTCTGTCTAGTTTTTATATGAAGATATTTCCTTTTTCACCACAGGCCTTAAACCGTTCACAAACATCCCACTGCAGATAATACAAAAAGACTGTTTCCCAATTGCTCCATGAAAACAAAAGGTTCAACTCTGTCAGATGAATGCACACACCAAAAAGAAGTTTCCCAGAATCCTTCTGTCTAGTTTTTATGTGAAGATATTTCCTTGTTCACCTTAGGCCTCAAACCACTCCAAATATCCATTTGCAGACTCTACAAAAAGATGTTTCCAACCTGCTCAATCAAAAGAAAGGTTCTATTCTGTGAGATGAAAGCACACGTCACAAAGAACTTTCTCAGAATACTTCTGTCTAGTTTTTATGTGAAGATATTTCCTTTTTCAACATAAGTCTTAAGCCTCGCACAAATATCCCTCTACAGATACTTCACAAGCACTGTTTGGAAACTGCTCCATCAAAATAAATTTTCAACTCTGTGAGATGAGTGCACAGATCACAAGGAAGTTCCTCAGAATGCTTCTGTCTAGTTTTTATTGGAAGTTATTTCTTTTTCACCATATGCCTCAAACAGCTCGGAAATATCCCTTTGGATAAGGTTTAAACAGACTGTTTCCAAATTGCTCAATCAGAAGAGAGCTTCAACTCTGAGATGAATGCAGGCATCCAAAAGAAGTTTCTCAGAATGTTTCTTTCTAGTTTTTATGTGAAGATATTTCCTTTTTCACCATAGGCCTCAAATCGCTCCAAATATCCATTTGCAGTTTCTACAAAAAGACTGTTTCCAAACTGCTCAACCAAAGAAAAGTTCAACTCGGTGAGATGAATGCTCACATCACAAATAAATTTCTGACAGTGCTTCTGCCAGAAGCAAATCGATATTTGCTATTTCAAAATAGGGTGTAAAGGGCTCACAAATATATCTGTGTAGATTTTATGAAAAAACTGTTTCCAAACTGCTCAATCAAAAGATTCAACTCTGTGAAATGAATGCAGATATCACATAGAAGTTCCTCAGAATAATTCTGTCTAGTTTTTATGTGAAGATATTTCCTTTATCACCATAGGCCTCAAAGTGCTCCAAATATCCCTTTGCAGATTCTACAAAATGATGGATTCCAAACTGCTCTATCAAAAGAACGGTACAACTCTGTGAGATGAATGCACACATCACAAAGAAGTCTCTCAGAATGCTTCTGTCTGGTTTTTAAGTGAAGATATTTCCTTTTTCACCAAAGGCTTCAAAGCGCTCCAAATATCCATTTGCAGATTCTACAAAAAGAGTGTATCCAACCTGCTCAATAAAAGAATGGTTCAACTCTGTGAGATGAATTCACACATCACAAAGCAGTTTCTCAGAATGCTTCTGTCTAGTTTTTATGAGAAGATATTTCCTTTTTCACCCGAGGCCTTAAACCAGTCACAAATATCCCTCTGCAGATTCTACAAAAAGACTCTTTCTAAACTGCTCCATCAAAAGAAGGGTTCAACTCGGTGAGATGAATGCACACATCACAAAGAAGTTTCTCAGAATGGTTCTGTCTAATTCTTCTGTGAAGATATTTCCTTTTTCACCACAGGCCTCAAAGCGCTCTGAATATCCATTTCCAGATTCTACAAAAAGACTGTTTCCAAACTGCTCAATCAAAAGGAATGTTCAACTCTGTGAGATGGAAGCAAACATCACAAGGAAGTTTCTCAGAAAGCTTCTGTCTAGCTTTTATGTGAAATACTTCCTATTTCACCACAGGCTATAAAGGGCTGACAAATATCCCTGTGCAGATTCTATGAAAAGACTGTTTCCAAACTGCTCAATCAAAAGAAAGGTTCAACGCTGTGAAATGAATGCAAGCATCACAAAGAAGTTTCCCAGAAAGCTTATGTTTACTTTTTATGTGAAGATATTTCCTTTTTCACCATAGGACCCACAGCGCTCCAAATATACATTTGCAGATTCTACAAAAAGACTTTTTTCAAACTGCTCAATGAAAAGAAAGCTTCAACTCTGTGAGATGAATGCACAAATCTCAAAGCAGCTTCTCTCAATGCTTCTGTCAGGTTTTTATGTGAATATATTTCCTTTTTCTCCATAAGCCATAGAGGGCTCACATATATGCTCTTGCAGATTCTACCAAAAACCATTTCCGAATTGCTCAATCAAGAGGATGGCTCAACCATTTGAGATGAATGGACTCATGACAAAGAAGTTTCTCAGAATGCTTCTGTCTAGTAGTTATATGAAGATATTTCTTTTTCACCATAGGCCTCAAACTGCTCAGAAATATCCCTTTGCAGATTGTACAAAAAGACTGTTTCCAAAGAGTTTAATTAAAATGAATGTTCAAGACTGTGAGATGAATGGACACAACACAAAAAAGTTTCTCAGAAAACTCCTGTTCAGTTTTTATGTGAAAATATTTCGTTTTTCACCATAGGCCTCAAATCGCTCCAAATATCCTTTTGCGGATTCTACAAAAAGAGTGTTTCCAAATTGCTCAAACAAAAGAAACATTCAACTCTGTGAGATAGAAGCTCGCATCACAAAGAGGTTTCTCAGAAAGATTCAGTTTAGTTTTTATATGAAGATATTTCCTTTTTCAACATAGGAATCAATGGGCTCAGAAATATCCCTTTTCAGATTCTACAAAAGGACTGTTTCCAAACTGCTCAATCCAAAGAAAGGTTCAACTCTTGAGAGATGAATACACACATCACAGAGAAGTTTCTCTGAATGCTTCTGTGTAGTTTTTATGTGAGGATATGTCTTTTTCACCATAGGCCTCAAACAGCTCACAAATATCCCTCTGCAGATACCATGAAAAGACTGCTTCCAAACTGCTCAATCAAAAGAAAGGTTCAACTCTGAGCAGTTTTTATGTATCTCAGGATACAAAATCAAGGTACAAAAATCACAAGCATTCGTATGCACCAATAACAGACAAACAGAGAGCCAAATCATGAGTGAACTCCCATTCACAATTGCTTCAAAGGTAATAAAATACTCAGGAATTCAACTTACAAGGGACATGAAGGACTTCTTCAAGGAGAACAACAAACTACTGCTCAATGAAATAAAAGAGGATACAAAGAAATGGAAGAACATTCCATGCTCATGGGTAGGAAGGAGCAATATCGTGAAAATGGCCATACTGCCCAAGGTAATTTATCGATTCAATGACATCCCCATTAAGCTGCCAATGACTTTCATCACAGAATTGGAAAAAAGTACTTTAAAGTTCATATGGAACCAATAAAGAGCCTGCATTGCCAAGTCAATCCTAAGCCAAAAGAATAAACCTGGAAGAATCACGCTACCTGACTTCAAACTATACTACAAGGCTACTGTAACCAAAACTGCATGGTACTGGTAACAAACCAGAGATATAGATCAATGGAACAGAACAGAGCCCTCAGAAATAACGCCGCATATCTAAAACAATCTGATCTTTGACAAACCTGAGAAAAACAAGCAATGGGGAAATGATCACCTATTTAATAAATGGTGCTGGGAAAACTGGCTAGCCATGTGGAGAAAGCTGAAGAAGGATCACTTCCTTACGCCTAAAACAAAAATTAATTCAAGATGGATTAAAGTCTTAAACATTAGACCTAAAACCATAAAAACCCTAGAAGAAAACCTAGGCTTTACCATTCAGGACATAGGCATGGGCAAGGACTTCATGTCTAAAACACCAAAAGCAATGGCAACAAAAGCCAAAATTGACCAACGGGATCTAATTAAACTAAAGAGCTTCTGCACAGCAAAAGAAACTACCATCAGAGTGAACAGGCAACCTACAAAATGGGAGAAAAGTTTTGCAACCTACTCATCTGACAAAGGGCTAATATCCAGAATCTACAAAGAACTCAAACAAATTTACAAGAAAAAAACAAACAACCCCATCAAAAAGTGGGTGAAAGACATGAACGGACACTTCTCAAAAGAAGACATTTATGCAGCCAAAAAACACATGAAAAAATGCTCACCATCACTGGCCATCAGAGAAATGCAAATCAAAACCACAATGAGATACCATCTCAAACCAGTCAGAATGGTGATCATTAAAAAGTCAGGAAACAACAGATGCTGGAGAGGATGTGGAGAAATAGGAACACTTTTACACTGTTGGAGGGACTGTAAACTAGTTCAACCATTGTGGAAGTCAGTGTGGTGATTCCTCAGGGATCTAGAACCAGAAATACCATTTGACCCAGCCATCCCATTACTGGGTATATACTGAAAGGACTATAAATCACGCTGCTATAAAGAAACATGCGCACGTATGTTTATAGCTGCACTATTCACAATAGCAAAGATTTGGAACCAAACTAAATGTCCAACAATGATAGACTGAATTAAGAAAATGTGGCACATATACATCATAGAATACTATGCAGCCATAAAAAATGATGACTTCAGGTCCTTTGTACGGACATGGATGAAATTGGAAATCATCATTCTCAGTAAACTATCGCAAGGACAAAAAAACAAAAACCGCATATTCTCACTCATAGGTGGGAATGGAAAAATGAGAACAAATGGACACAGGAAGGGGAACATCACACTCTGGGATGGTTGTGGGGTGGGGGGAGGGGGGATAGCATTAGGAGATATACCTAATGCTAAATGACGAGTTAATGGGTGCAGCACACCAGCATGGCACATGTATACATATGTAACTAACCTGCACATTGTGCACATGTACCCTAAAATTTAAGTATACTAATAATAAAATAAATAAAAAAGAAGCATTCTGAGAAACCACTTTGTGATGTGTGCATTCATCTCACAGAACTGAAACTTTCCTTTGATTCAGCAGCTTTGAAACACTCTTTTTGTAGAATCTGCAAGTGGATATTTGGAGCGCTTTGAGGCCTATTGTGGAAAAGGAAATATCCTCACACAAAAACTACACATAAGCATTCTGAGAAACTTCTTTGTGATGTGTGCATTCAATTCACAGTGTTGAACCTGTCTTTCGATTCAGCAGTTTTGAAACACTCTTTTTGTAAAATCTGTAAGTGGATATTGGAGCACTTTGAGGTCTGTAGTGGAAAAGGAAATACCTTCATCCAAAAACTACACAGAAGCATTCTGAGAAACTTCTTTGTGATATGTGCATTCATCTCACAGAACTGAAACTTTCCTTTGATTCAGCAGCTTTGAAACACTCTTTTTGTAGAATCTGCAAGTGGATATTTGGAGCGCTTTGAGGCCTATTGTGGAAAAGGAAATATCTTCACACAAAAACTACACATAAGCATTCTGAGAAACTTCTTTGTGATGTGTGCATTCAACTCACAGTGTTGAACCTGTCTTTTGATTCAGCAGTTTTGAAACACTCTTTTTGTAAAATCTGTAAGTGGATATTGGAGCACTTTGAGGTCTGTAGTGGAAAAGGAAATACCTTCATCCAAAAACTACACAGAAGCATTCTGAGAAACTTCTTTGTGATATGTGCATTCATCTCACAGAGTTGAACCTTTCTTTTGATTGAGCAGTTTGGAAACACCCTTTTTATGGAACCTGCAAGTGGATATTTGGAACGCTTTGAGGCCTATGGTGGAAAAGGAAATATCTTCACATGAAAACTAGACAGAAACATTATGAGAAACTTCTTTGTGATGTGTGCATTCATGTCACAGAGTTGAACCTAAGTTTTGATAGACCAGTTTTGTAACTCTCTTTTTGAATAATCTGCCAGTGGATATTTAGAGCCCTTAGTGGCCTATGGAGAAAAGGAAATATCTTCACATTGAAACTACACAGAAGTATTCTGAGAAACTTCTTTGTGATGTGTGCATTCAACTCACAGTGTTGAACCTATCTTTTGATTCAGCAGCTTTGAAACACTCTTTTTGTAGAATCTGCAAGTGGATATTGGAGCTCTTTGAGGCCTATAGTGGAAAAGGAAATACCTTCACCCAAAAACTACACAGACGCATTCTGAGAAACTTCTTTGCGATATATGCATTCATCTCAGAGAGTTGAACCTTTCTTTTGATTCAGCAGTTTGGAAACACCCTTTTTATAGCATCTGCCAGTGGATATTTGGGGCACTTTGAGGCCTATGGTGGAAAAGGAAATATCTTCACATAAAAACTAGACAGAAGAATTATGAGAAACTTCTTTTTGATGTGTGCATTCAACTCCCAGAGTTGAACCTAAGTTTTGATAGACCAGTTTTGAAACTCTCTTTTTGAATAATCTGCAAGTGGATATTTAGAGCCCTTAGCAGCCTATGGAAAAAAGGAAATATCTTCACATTAAAACTACACAGAAGCATTCTGAGAAACTTCTTTGTGATGTGTGCATTCAACTCACATTGTTGAACGTATCTTTTTTTTTTTATTATACTTGAAGTTTTAGGGTACATGTGCACAATGTGCAGGTTAGTTACATATGTATACATGTGCCATGCTGGTGTGCTGCACCCATTGAATCGTCAGTTATCATTAGGAATATCTCCCAATGCTATCCCTCCCTCCTCACCACACCCCACAACTGTCCCCATAGTGTGATGTTCCCCTTCCTGTGTCCATGTGTTCTCATTGATCAATTCCCACCTATGAGAGAATATGTGGTGTTTGGTTTTTTGTTCTTGTGATAGTTTACTGAGAATGATGATTTCCAATTTCATCCATGTCCCTATAAAGGACATGAACTCATAATTTTTTATGGCTGCATATATTCCATGGTGTATATGTGCCACATTTTCTTAATCCAGTCTGATTGTTGGACATTTGTGTTGGTTCCAAGTCTTTGCTATTGTGAATAGGGCCACAATAAATATACGTGTGCATGTGTCTTTATAGAAGCATGATTTATAGTCCTTTGGGTATATACCCAGTAATGGAATGGCTGGGTCAAATGGTATTTCTAGTTCTAGATCCCTGAGGAATCGCCATACTGACTTCCACAATGGTTGAACTAGTTTACAGTCCCTCCAACAGTGTAAAAGTGTTCCTATTCCTTCACATCCTCTCCAGCACCTGTTGTTTCCTGACTTTTTAATGATTGCCATTCTAACTGGCTTGAGATGGTATCTCATTGTGGTTTTGATTTGCATTTCTCTGATAGCCAGTTATGGTGAGCATTTTTTCATGTATTTTTGGCTGCATAAATGTCTCCTTTTGAGAAGTGTCTGTTCATGTCCTTTGCTCCCTTTTTGATGGGGTTGTTTTTTTTTTTCCTGTAAATTTTTTGAGTTCATTGTAGATTCTGGATATTAGCCCTTTGTCAGGTGCTAGATTGTGAAACTTTTCTCCCATTTTGTAGGCTGTCTGTTCACTCTAATGGTAGTTTCTTTTGCTGTGCAGAAGCTCTTTAGTTTAATTAGATCCCTTTTGTCATTTTGGCTTTTGTTGCCATTGTTTTTGGTGTTTTAGAGATGAGTTCCTTGCCCATGCCTATGTCCTGAATGGTAATGCTTAGGATTTCTTCTAGAGTTCTTATGGTTTTAAGTCTAACGTTTAAGTCTTTAATCCGTCTTGAATTAATTTTTTTATAAAGTGTAAGGAAAGGATCCAGTTTCAGCTTTCTCTGTATGGCTAGCCAGTTTTCCCAGAACCATTTATTAAATAGGGAATCCTATCCCCATTGCTTGTTTTTGTCAGGTTTGTCAAAGATCAGATGGTTGTAAATATACGGCATTACTTCTGAGGGCTCTGTTCTGTTGCATTGATCTATATCTCTGTTTTGGTACCAGTAGCATGCTGTTTTAGTTACTGTAGCCTTGTAGTATAGATTGAAGTCAGGTAGCATGATGCCTCCAGCTTTGTTCTTTTGGTATAGGACTGACTTGGCGATGTGGACTCTTTTTTGGTGTCATATGAACTTTAAAGTAGTTTTTTCCAATTCTGTGAAGAAAATCATTGGTATCTTGATGGGGATGGCATTGAATCTATAAGTTACTTGGGGGGCAGTATGGCGATTTTCACGATATTGATGCTTCCTACCTGTGCAGTTTTGAAACTCTCTTTTGTAGCAGCTGCAAGTGGATAGTTGGAGCCCTTTGAGGCCTATGGCAGAAAAGGAAATATCTTCACACAAAAACTGCACAAAAGCAATGTGAGAAACTTCTTTGTGATGTGTGCATTCATCTCACAAAGGTGAACCCTTCTTTTGATTGAGCAGTTTAGAAACACGCTTTTTGTAGAATCTGCAAGTGGATATTTGGAATGCTTTGAGGCTTATGGTGGAAAAGAAAATATCTTCACATAAAAACTACACAGAAGCATTCTGAGAAACTTCCTTGTGATGTGTGCCTTCAACTCACAGAGTTGAAGCTATCTTTTCATAGAGCAGTTTTGAAACTCCCCTTTTGTAGAATCTGCAAGTGGATATTTGGAGCCATTTGCAGCTTATGGCGTAAAAGGAAATGTCTTCACATAAAAGCTACACAGAGGCATTCTGATAAACTTCTTTCTGATGTGTGCATTCGTCTCACAAAGTTGAAACTTTCATTTGATTAACAGTTTTGAAACAATATTTTGGTAGAATTTGCAAGTGGATATTTGGAGCGATTTAAGTCCTATTGTGGAAAAGGAAATATCTTCACATAAAAACTACAAGGAAATATTCTGAGAAACTTCTTTGTGATGTGTGCATTCAACAAACACAGTTCAAACTTTCTTTTGATTGAGCAGTTAGGAAAGACTCTTTTTGTAGAATCTGCAAGTGGATCTTTGGAGCGCTTTGTGGCCTACTGTGGAAAAGGAAATATCTTCACATAAAAACTACCCAGAAGCATTCTGAGAAACAAATTTATGATGTGCGCATTGAACTCACAGAGTTGAACCTATCTTTTGATTGAGCAGTTTTCAGTCTCTCTTTCTGTAGAATCTGCAAGTGGATATTTGGAGCCCTTTTCAGCCTATTTTGGAAAAGGAAATATCTTCACATAAAAACTACACAGAAGCCTTCTGAGAAACTTCCTTGGTGTGTGTGCATTCACCTCACAGAGTTGAAGCTATCTTTTCATAGAGCAGTTTTGAAAGTCCCCTTTCGTAGAATCTGCAAGTGGATATTTGGAGCCATTTGTGGCTTATGGTGTAAAAGGAAATGTCTTCACATAAAAGCTACACAGAAGCATTCTGATAAACTTCTTTGTGATGTGTGCCTTCATCTCACAGAGATGAAAGTTTCATTTGATTAACAGTTTTGAGACAATCTTTTGGTAGAATTTGCAAGTGGATATTTGGAGCGATTTAAGTCCTATTGTGGAAAAGGAAATATCTTCACTTAAAAACTACACGGAAGCATTCTGAGAAACTTCTTTGTGATGTATGCATTCATCAAACACAGTTCAAACTTTCTTTTGATTGAGCAGTTTGGAAAGACTCTTTTTGCAGAATCTGCAAGTGGATATTTGGAGCGCTTTGTGGCGTATTGTGGAAAAGGAAATATCTTCACATAAAAACTACCCAGAAGCATTCTGAGAAACTTCTTTATGATGTGTGCATTCAACTCACAGAGTTGAACCTATCTTTTGATTGAGCAGTTTTGAAACACTCTTTTTATAGAATCTGCAAGTGGATATTTGAAGCGCTTTGAGTCCTATTGTGGAAAAGGAAATATCTTCACATAAAAACTACATAGAAGCATTCTCAGAAACGTCATTGTGATGTGTGTATTCATCTCACAGAGTTGAAACATTCTTTTGATTGAGCAGTTTGGAAACAGACTTTTTGTAGAATCTGCAAGTTGATATTTGGAGCGCTTTCAGGATTATTGTGGAAAAGGTAATATCTTCACATAAAAACTACATAGAAGCATTCTGAGAAACTTCTTTGTGATGTGTGCATTCATCTCAGAGAGTTAAACCATTTTTTTCATAGAGCAGTTTAGAAACACTCTTTTTGTAGAATCTGCAAGTGGATATTTGGAGTGCTTTGAGGCCTATTGTCAAAAAGGAAATATCTTCACATAAAAACTAAACAGAGGCATTCTGAGAAACTTGTTTGTGATGTGTACATTCATCTCACAGAGTTGAACGTTTCTTTTGATTGAGCAGTTTTGAAACCCTCTTTTTGTAGAATCTGCAAGTGGATATTTGGAGTGCTTTGAGGCCTTTTGTGGAAAAGGACATATCTTCACATAGAAACTACGCAGAAGCATTGTGAGAAAATACTTTGTGATGTGTGCATTCAACTCCCAGCGTTGAACCTATCTTTTGATTGAGCAGTTTTGAATCTCACTTTTTGTAGAATCTGCATGTAAATTTTTGGAGCCCTTTCCGGCCTATTTTGGAAAAGGGAATAAGTTCACATAAAAACTATATAGAAGCATTTTGAGAAACATTATTAGGACGTGTGCATTCATCTCACAGAGTTTTACCTATCTTTTGATTGAGCAATTTTGAACCACACTTTGTATAGAATCTGCAGGTGGATATTTTAAGCACTTTGAGGCCAATCGTGGGAAAGGAAATATCTTCACATAAAAACTACACAGAAGCATTCTGAGAAACTTCTTTGTGATATGTGCATTCATCTCACAGAGTTGAACATTTCTTTTGATTGAGCTGTTTTGAAACACCCTTTTTGTAGAATATGCAAGAGGATATTTGGAGCGCTTTGAGGCCAATTCTGGTAAAGGAAATACCTTCACATAAAAACTGCTAAGAAGCATTCTGTGAAACTTCTTTTTGATGTGTGCATTCAATTCACGCAGTTGAACCTACCTTTTGATTGAGTAGTTTTGAAACTCTCTTTTTGTAGAATCTGCAAGTGGATATTAGGAGCACATTGAGGCCTATTATGAAAAAGGAATTATCTTCACACAAATCTACAAAGAAGCATTCTGACAAAATACTTTGTGATGTGTGCATTCAACACACCGAGTTGAAAATTTCTTTTGATTGAGCAGTTTTGAAACTCTCTTTTTGCAGAATCTGCAAGTGAATATTTGGAGACTTTTGCAGCGTGTGCTGGAAAAGTAAATATCTTCACATAAGAATTACTCAGAAGCATTCTGATAAACATTTGGTGATGTGTGCATTCATCTAATAGTGTTGAACATATCTTTTGATTGAGCAGCTTTGAAACTCTTTTTTTCTAGAAACTGCAAGTGGATATTTGGAGCCCTTTGCGGCCTATGGTGAAAAAGGAAATATCTTCAAATAAAAACTACACAGAAGCGTTCTGAGAAACATCTTTGTGATGTGTGCATTCATCTCACAGATTTGAATATTTCTTTTGATTGAACAGTTTTGAAACACTCTTTTTGTAGAATCTGCAAGTGGATATTTGGAGAGCATTGCGGCCTCTAGTGGAAAAGGAAATATCTTCATATAAAAACTACACAGAGGCATTCTGATAATCTTCTATGTGATGTGTACAGTCATGTCACAGAGATGAAACTTTCTTTCGATTGAGCAGATTGGAAACACTCTTTTTGTAGAATCTGCAAGTGGATGTTTGGAGAGCTTTGAGGCCTCGTGGAAAAGGTAATATCTTTACGTAAAAACTACACAGATGCCTTCTGATGAACTTCTTTTTGATGTATGCCTTCAACTCATAGAACTGAACTTATCTGTTGACAGAGCAGTTTTGAAAACCATTTTTTGTAGAATCTGAAAGTGGATATTTGGAGTCCTTTGTGGCCTATAGCGGAAAAGGAAATACCATCACATAAAACTCCACAGAAGAATTCTGTGAAACTTCTTTTTGATGTGTGCATTCGTCTCATAGAGTTGAACCTTTCTTTCAATTGAGCAGTTATGAAACAATCTTTTTCTAGAATCTACAAGTGGATATTTGGAGCGCTTTGAGGCCAATAGTTTTAAAGGAAATATCTTCACATAAAAACTACACAGAAGCATTCTGAGGAATTTCTTTGTGATGTGTGCATTCATCTCACAGAGTTGAAACTTTTTTTTTTATTGAGCAGTTTTGAAACACTCTTTTCGTAGAATCTACAAGTGGATATTTGGAGTGCTTTGAGGTCTATTGTGGAAAAGGAAATTTCTTCAAATAAAAGCTACATGGAAGGAGTCTGAGAAACTTCTTTGTGATGTGTGCATTCATGTCGCAGGATGAAAGCTTTCTTTTGATTGAGCAGTTTGGAAATACTGTTTTTGTAGAATCTGCAAGTGGATATTTGGAGCTTTTAGAGGCCTACGGTAGAAAAGGAAATATCTTCCTATAATAACTACATAGAAACATTCTGAGAAACTTTTTTGTGCTGCGTGCATTCATCTCATAGAGTTGAACATTTCTTTTGATTGAGCAGTTTTTGAAACACTGTTTTTATAGAATCTGCAAGTGCACACTTGTGGCTATTTGTGGTCTATGGTGGAGAAAGGATATATCTTCACATAAAAACTGCACAGAAGCATTCTGAGAAAGTTCCTTGTGATGTGTGCATTCATCTCACCGAGTTGAACCTATGTTTTGATAGAGCAGTTTTGAAACACTCTTTTTGTAGAATCTGTAAGTGCATATTTTGAGTGCTTTGAGGCCTATGGTGGAAAGGAAATATCTTCACATAAAAACTACACAGAAGCATTCTCAAAACTTCTTTGTGATGTGTGCATTAAACTCACAGATTTGAACCTATCTTTTAATAGAGCAGTTTTGAAACTCTCTTTTGTACAATCTGCAAGTGGATATTTGGAGACCTTTGCGGCCTATGATAGAAAAGGGAATGTCTTCACATAAAAACTACCCAGCAGCATTCTGAGAAACTACTTTATGATGAGTGCATTCGTCTCACAGAGTTGAACTTTTCCTTCGATTGAGCAGTTTTGAATCACTCTTTTTGTAGAATTTGCAAGAGGATATTTGGAGCGCTTTGAGACCTATTGTGGAATGGGAAATATCTTCATGTAAAAACTTCCCAGAAGCATTCTGAGAAACGTCTTTGTGATGTGTGCATTCATCTCACAGAGTTGAAAGTTTCTTTTGATGAGCAGTTTGGAAACAGTCTTTTTGTACCATCTGCAAATGGATATTTGGAGCCCTTTGAGGCCTATGTTGGAAAAGGAAATGTCTTCACATAAAAACTACACAGAAGCATTCTGAGAAACTTCTTTGTGATGTGTGCATTCATTTCAGAGAGTTGAACTTTTCTTTTGATTGAGCAGTTTTGAAACTCTCTTCTTGTAGAATCTGCAAGTGTATATTTGAAGCGCTTTGAAGCATGTATTGGAAAAGGAAATATCTTCACATAAAAACTAGATAGAATCATTCTGAGAAACTTCCCTGTGATATGTGCATTCATCTCACAGTGTTGAAACTTTCTTTTGATTGAGCAGTTTGGAAACAGTGTTTTTGTAGTATCTGTAAATGGATATTTCAGGTGCTTAGAGGCCTATATTGGAAAAGGAAAAATCTTCACAAAAAAACTAGACAGAGGCATTCTGAGAAACTTCATTCTGCGATGTGCTTTTTTCTCACAGAGTTGGACTGTTCTTTTGATTGAGCAGTTTTGAAACACTGTTTTTGTAGAATCTGCAAGTGCATATTTGGAGCACTTGGAGGCCTATTGTGGAAAAGGAAATATTTTCTTATAAAAACTAGACAGAAGCATTCTGAGAAACTTCTTTGTGATGTGTGCTTTCAGTTCACAGAGGTGAAACTTTCTCTTGATTGAGCAGTTTGGAAGTAGTCTTTTTGTAGCATCTGCAAATGAATATTTGAATCGCTTTGAGGCCTATGTTAGAAAAGGAAATATCTTCATGTAAAATCTAGACAGTAGCATTCTGAGAAACTTCTTTGTGATGTGTGCATTAATTTCAGAGAGTTGAACTTTTCTTTTGATTGAGCAGTTTTGAAACACTCTTCTTGTATAATCTGCAAGTGTATATTTGGAGCGCTTTGAGCCATGTAGTGGAAAAGGAAATGTCTTCACATAAAAACTTGACAGAATCATTCTGAGAAACTTCTTTGTGATGTCTGCATTCAACTCACAGTGTTGAAACTTTCTTTCTATTGAGGAGTTTGGAAACAGTCTCTTTTTAGTATCTTCAAATGGATATTTCGAGTGCTTAGAGGCCTATAGAGGAAAAGGAAAAATTTTCACAAAAAAACTAGACACAGGCATTCTGAGAAACTTCATTGTGAGGTGTGCATTCATCTCACAGAGTTTGACTGTTCTTTTGATTGAGCTGTTTTGAAACAATCTTTTTGTAGAATCTGCAAGTGCATATTTGGAGTGCTTTGCAGCCTATGGAGGAAAGCTAATATCTTCACCTGGAAACTAGACAGAAGCCTTCTGGGAAACTTCTTTGTGATGTGTGCATTCACCTCACAGAGTTGAACCTTTCTTTTGATTGAGCAGTTTTGAAACACTCTTTTTGTAGAATCTGCATTTGGATATTTGCAGTGATTTGAAGCCTACGGTGGAAAAAGAAATGTCCTCATATAAAAACTAGACAGAAGCTTTCTGAGAAACTTCTTTGTGATGTGTGCATGCACCTCAGAGAGTTGAACCTTTCTTTTGATTGAGCAGTTTTGAAACACTCTTTTTGTAGAATCTGCAATTGGATATTTGCAGTGATTTGAAGCCTATGGTGGAAAAAGAAATGTCTTCATATAAAAACTAGACAGAAGCCTTCTGAGAAACTTCTTTGTGAGGTGTGCATTCAACTCACAGAGTTGAACCTTTCTTTTGATTGAGCAGTTTGGAAACCGTCTTTTTGTAGTATATGCAAATTGATATTTTGAGCACTTTGAGGCCCATGGTGGAAAAAGAAATATCTTCACATAAATACTAGACAGAAGCCTTCTGAGAAACTTCTTTGTGATGTGTGCATTCATCTCACAGAGATGAACCTTTCTTTTGATAGGGCAGTTGTGAAACACTCCTTTGTAGAATCTGCAAGTGGATATTTGGAGCGCTTTGCGGCCCATAGTGGAAAAGGAAATATCTTAACATAAAACCAGACAGAAGCATTCTGAGAAACTTCTTTGTGGTGTGCCTTTATCTCACTAAGTTGAACATTTCTTTTGATTGAGCAGTTTTGAAACAGTCTTTTTGTAGTATCTGTAAATTGATATTTCAAGCGCTTCAAGGCCTATGGTGGAAAAGCATATATCTTCATATAAATACTGGACAGAAGGATTCTGAGAAACTTCTTTGTGATGTTTGCATTCATATCATAGAGTTGAACCTTACTTTTCACTCAACAGTTTTGAAACACTCTGTTTGTAGAATGTGCAGGTGGATATTTGGAGCGCTTTGCAGCCTATAGTGGCAACGAAAATATCTTCACATAAAAACTAGACAGAAGCATTCTGACAAACTTCTCTGTGATGTGTGCATTCAACTCACAGAATTGAACCTTTCTTTTGGTTAAGCAGTTTAGAAGCAGTCGTTTTGTGGAATCTGCAAAGGGATATTTGTGAGCCCATTGAGGCCTCTGGGGAAATAGGAAATATCTTCTCATTAAAACTAGACAGAACTTTCTGAGAAACTGCTTTGTTATGTGTGTTTTCACCTCAAAAGGTTAAACCTTTCTTTTGATTGAGCAGTTTTGAAACAGTCTTTTTGTAGAAACTGCAAATAGATATTTGGAGCCCTTTGAAGCATAAGGTGAAAAAGGAAATATCTTCCCATAAAAACTATTCAGAAGCATTCTGAGAAACTTCTTTGTGACGTGTGCATTCATCTCACAGAGTTGAACATTACATCTGATTGAGCAATTTGGAAACAGTCGTTTTGTGGAATCTGCAAAGGGATATTTGTGAGCCCATTGAGGTCCCTGGGGAAAAAGGAAATATCTTCACATTAAAACTAGACAGAAACTTTCTGAGAAACTTCTATGAGATATGTGCTTTCAACTCACAGATTTGAAACATTCTTTTGATTGAGCAGTTTGGAAATAGTCTTTTTGTAGATTCTGCAAATGGACATTTGGATGCTTTGAGGCCTATGGTGAAAAAGGAAATACCTTCCCATAAAAATTAGGCAGAAGCATTCTGACAAACTTTTATTTGATGTGTGCACTCATCTCACAGAGTTGAAACTTTCTTTTGTTTGAGCAGTTTTGAAAAAATCTTTTTGTAGAATCTGCAATTTCATATTTGGAGCACTTTGTGGCCTATAATGGGAAAGGAAATATCTTCACAAAAAAACTAGCCAGAAGCATTCTGACAAACTACTTTGGATGTGTGCATTCATCTGAGGGAGGTGAATCTTTCTTTTCATTGAACAGTTTTGAAACACTCCTTTTGTAGAATCTGCAAGCAGATATTTGGAGTGCTTTGAGACCTATGGTGGAAAAGTAAATATCTTCACATAAAAAGCTAGACAGAAGCATTCTGAGAAACTTCTTAGTGATGTGTGCATTCATCTCACCGAGTTGAAACTTTCTTTTGATTGAGCAGTTTGGAAACAGTCTTTTTCTAGAATCTGCAAGTAGATATTCGGAACGCTTTTTGTTGTATAGTGGAAAAGGAAATAACTTCACATAAAAACTAGACAGAAGCAGTCTGAGAAACTTCTTTATGATGTGTGCATTCAACTCACGGAGTTTAACATTTCTTTTCATTGAGCAGTTTTGAAAAACTCTTTTTGTATTATCTGCAAGTGGATATTTGGAGCACATTTAGGCCTATGGTTGAAAAGGAAATATCTTCACATAAAAACTAGACAGAAGCATTTTGAGAAACTTCTTGATGTCTGCATTCATCTCATAGAGGTGAAACATATTTTTGGTGAGCAGCTTTGAATCACTCTTTTTATAGATTCTGCAAGTGGATATTTGGATCAGTTTATGTTGTGTACTGGAAAAGGGAATATCTTCACGTAAAAACTAGACAGAAACATTCTGAGAAACTTCTTTCTTTTGTGTGCATTCAACTCAGAGACTTGAACCTTTCTTTTGATTGAGCGGTTTGGATACCATCTTTTTAGTGTCTGCAAATTGATATTTGGAGTGATTTGAGGCCTGTAGTAGAAAAGGAAATATCTTCATATAAAAACTAGACAGAAGCATTCTGAGAAACTTCTTTGTGATGTGTGCATTCATCTCACAGAGTTGAACCTTTCTTTTGATTGAGCAGTTTTGGATCACTCTTTTTGTACAATCTGCAAGTGGATATTTGGAGTGCTTTGAGGCCTATGGTAGAAAAGGAAATATCTTCACATAAAAAGTAGGCAGGAACGTTCTGAGAAACTTCTTTGTGATGTGTGCATTCATCTTACAGAGTTGAAATTTTCTTTTGGTTGAGCAGTTTTGAAACACACTTTTTGTAGTATCTGCAAGTGGATATTTGGGGCGCTTTGACGCCTATTGTGGAAAAGGAAATATCTTCACTTAAATACTACAAAGAAGCATTCTGAGAAACTTCTTTGTGATGTGTGCAGTCATGTGTCAAAGCTGAACCTTTCTTTTGATTGACCAGTTTGGAAACAGTCTTTTGGTAGTATCGGCAAATGGATATTTGGAGCGCTTTGAGGTCTATGGTGGAAAAGGAAATATCTTCACATAACAACTAGGCAGAAACATTCTGAGAAACTTCTTTGTGATGTGTGCATTCATCTCAGAGAGTTTAACCATTCTTTTGATTGAGCAGTTTTGAAACACTCTTTTTGTTGAATATGCAAATGAATATTTGGAGCTCTATGAGGCCTATAGCTTAAAAGAAAATATCTTCACATAAAAACTACACAGAAGAATTCTGAGAATCTTCTTTGTGATGTGTGCATTCATCTTCATCTTACAGAGTTGAACATTTCTTTTGATTGAACAGTTTGGAAACACTCTTTTTGTAGAATCTGCAAGTGGATATTTGGAGCACTTTAAGTACTATGATGGAAAAAATATCTTCACATAAAAATTAGACAGAAGCATTCTGAGGAACTTCTTTGTGATGTGTGCATTCATCTCACTGCATTGAATGTTTCTTTTGATTGAGCAGTTTGGAAACAGTCGCTGTGTGGAGTCTTCATAGGGATATTTGAGCTCACTGAGGCCTATGGGCAAATAGGAAATATCTTCACATAAAAATTAGATGGAGTCTTTCTGAGAAACTTCTTTGTGATATGAGCTTTCATCTCACAAAGTTGAAACTTTCATTTGAATGAGCAGTTTGGAAACTGTCTTCTTGTAGAAACTGCAAATTGATATTTGGAGCGCTTTGAGGCCAGTGGTGAAAATGGAAATGTCTTCATTTAAAAACTAGACAGAAGCCTTCCTAGAATCTTCTTTGTGATGAGTGCATTCATCTCACATAATTGAACCTTTCTTTTGATTGAGCAGTTTGGAAATAGTCGTTTTGGAGAATCTGCAAAGGGATATTTGTGAGTCCATTGAGGCCCATGGGATAATGGGAAATATCTTCACATAAAAACTAGGCAGAAACTTTCTGAGAAGCTGGTTTGTGAGGTGTGCTTTCATCTCACAGAGTTGAAACTTTCTTTTGAGTGAGCAGTTTAGAAATAGTCTTTTTTTTAGAATCTGCAAATGGATATTTGAGGCACTTTGAGGCCTATGTTGAATAAGGAACTATCCTCGCTTAAAAACTAGACAGAAGCATTCTGAGAAACATCTTTGTGATGTGTGCATTCATATCATGGCGTTCAACCTTGCTTTAGATTGATCAGTTTGGAAACAGTCTTTTTGTAGTATTTGCAAAGGGAGATTTTGAGCGTTTTGAGGTCTATGGTGAAAAAGGAAATATCTTCACATAAAAAGTAGACAAAAGCATTCTGAGAAACATCTTTGTGGTTTGTGCATTCATCTCCCAGAGTTGAAAATTTCTTTTTATTAAGCAGTTTTGAAACACTCTTTTTGTAGAAAATGCTACTGGATGTTTGGAGTGCTTTGAGGCCTGTGGCAGAAAAGGGGTATCTTCACATAAAAACCAGACAGAAGCATTCTCAGAAACTTCTTTGTGATGTGTGCATTCATCTTAGAGAGTTGAATATTTCTTTTGATTGAGCAGTTTGGAAACATTCGTTTTGTAAAATGTGCAAAGGGATATTTGTGAGCCCATTGAGGCTTATGGGAAAATAGGAAATGTCTTCACATAAAAACTTGCCGGAAACTTGTTGCAAAACTACTTTGTGATGTGTGCTTTCACCTCAAAGAGTTGAAACTTTCTTTTGATAGAGCAGTTTTGAAATAGTCTTTCTGAAGAATCTGCAAATGGATATTTGGAGCGCATTGAGGCTTATGGTGAGGAAGGACATATTTTCACATAAAAACTCGACAGAAGCATTCTGAGAAATTCTTTGTGATGTGTGCATTCATCTCTCAGAGTTCAAACTTTCTTTTGATAGAGCAGTTTGGAAACAATCTTTTTATAGTATCTGCAAAGTGATATGTGGAGCACTTGGAGGCCTGCATTGAAAAAGGAAATATCATCAAATAAAAACTAGACAAAAGCATTATGAGAAACTTCTTTGTGAGGTGTGCATTCATCTCATAGAGTTGAACTATTCTTTTGATTAAGGAATTTTGAAACACTCTATTTGTAGAAAATGGAACTGGATATTTGGAGTGCGTTGAGGCCTGTGGTGGAAAAGGAAATATCTTCACATAAAAACTAGACAGAAACTTTCCGATAAATTACTTTGAGACGTGTGCTTTCATCTCACAGAGTTGAAAATTTCTTTTGATTGAGCTGTTTGGAAGCATACTTTTCATAGTAACTGAAAATGGATATTTGTAGCACTTTGAGTCATATGGGGAAAAATGAAATATCTTCATATAAAAACTACACTGAACCATTGTGGGAAACTTCTTTCTGATGTGTGCATTCATTTCACAGAGTTGAACCTTTCTTTTGATTGAGCACCTTGGAAACAACCTTTTTGTAGTATCTTCAAAAGGATATTTGGAGTGCTTTGAGGCCTATGGTGAAAAAGGAAATATCTTCACAAAAAAACTACAGAAGCATTCTGAGAAACTTCTCTGTGATGTGCGCATGCAGCTCCCAGAGTTGAATCTTTCTTTTGATTGAGCAGTTTTGAAACACTGTTTTTTTAGAATCTGCAAGTGGATATTTAGAGCGCTTTGAGGCCTGTGGTGGAAAAGGAAATATCTTCACATAAAAACTAGACAAAAACATTCTGAGAAACTTATCTGTGATGTGTGTATTCATCTCAGAGAGTTAAACCTTTCTTATGATTGAGCAGTTTTGAAAACAGTCGTTTTGTAGAATCTTCACAGGGATACTTGAGAGCCCATTGAGGCCTATGGGGAAATAGGAAATATCTTTGCATAAAAAATAGACAGAAACTTTCTGAGAAACTAATTTGTGATGTGTGCTTTTATCTCACACAGCTGAATCTTTCTTTTGATTGAGAAGTTTTGAAAGAGTCTTTTTGTAGAATCTGCAAGTGGAATTTTGGAGCACTATGAGGCCTGTGGTGAAAAAGGAAAAATCTTCATAGAAAAACTAGACAGAAGCATTGTGAAAAACTTATTTGTGATGTGTGCATTCGACTCACAGAGTTGAACCTTTCTTTTGATTGTGCAGTTTGGAAACAGTCTTTTTGTACAATCTGCAACTGGATATTTGGAGCCCTTTGAGGCTTATGGGGAAAAGGAAAATATCTTCATATAAAAACTAGACAGAAGTATTCTGAGAAACTTCTTTGTGATGTGTGCATTCATCTCACAGAGTGGAACATTTCTTTTGATTGAGCAGTTTGGAAACTGTCATTTTGTAGAAACTGCAAGTGGATATTTGGAGTTATTTGCAGCCTAAGGTGGAACAAGGAATATCTTCATGTGAAGACGAGAGAGAGGCATTCCTAGAAACTTCTTTTTGATGTGTGCATTCATCTCACAGAGTTGAACATTTCTTTTGATTGAGAAGTATGGAAACAGTCTTTTTGTAGAATCTGCAAAGGGATGTTTGTGAGTGCATTGAGGCCTATGGGCAAACATGAAATATCTTCACATAAAAACTAGAAAGAAACATTATGAAAAACTTCTTGGTGATGTGTGCTTTCATCTCACACAGTTGAAACTTTCTTTTCATTGAGCAGTTTTTACACAGTCTTTTTGTGGAATCTGCAAATGGATATTTGGAGTGCTTTGAGGCCTATCATGAAGAAGGAAATATCTTCACATAAAAACCATACAGAAGCATTCTGGGAAACTTCCTTGTGTGCCTTCATCTCAGAGAGTTAAACCTTTCTTATGATTGAGCAGTTTTGGAAACAGTCGTTTTGTAGAATCTTCAAAGGGATACTTGAGAGCCCATTGAAGCCTATGGGGAAATAGGAAATATCCTCACATAAAAAAAAAAACAGAAACTTTCTGAGAAACTAATTTGTGATGTGTGCTTTATCTCACAGAGTTGAACATTTCTTTTGATTGAGAAGTTTGGAAACAGTCTTTTTGTAGAATCTGCAAAGGGATGTTTGTGACTGCATTGAGGCCTATGGGCAAAAAGGAAATATCTTCACATAAAAACTAGAAAGAAACATCATGAAAAACTTCTTTGTGATGTGTGCTTTCATCTCACACAGTTGAAACTTTCTTTTCATTGAGCAGTTTTTACACAGTATTTTTGTGGAATCTGTAAATGGATACTTGGAGCACTTTGAGGCCTATGGTGAAGAAGGAAATATCTTCACATAAAAACCAGACAGAAGCATTCTGGGAAACTTCCTTGAGATGTGTGCCTTCATCTCGGAGAGTTGAGACTTTCTTTTGTTAGACCAGTTTGAATATAGACTTTTTGTAGAATGTGCAAGTGGATATTTGGAGTGTCTTGAGGCCAATGGTGGAAAAGGAAATATCTTCACATAAAAACTAGATAGAAGCATTCTTAGAAACTTCGTTGTGATGTGTGCATTCTTCTCACAGTGTTGAACATTTCTCTTTATTGAGAACTTTGGAAACCGTCCTTTTGTAGAATCTGCAAAGGGATATTTTTGAGCCCATTGAGGCCTATGAGGAAATAGGAAATATCTTCACATAAAAACTAGTCAGAAACTTTCTGAGAAACTTCTTTGTGATGTGTGCATTCATCTTACAGTGGTGAACCTTTCTTTTGATTGAGCAGTTTGGAAACCATCTTTTTGTAGTATCTGCATGTGGGTATTTTGAGTGCTATGTGGTCTATGGTGAAAAAGCAACTATCTTCAAATAAAAACTAGACAGAAGCATTCTGAGAAACTTCTTTCTGATGTGTGCATTCATCTCACGAAATTGAACCTTTCTTTTGATTGAGCAATTGGGAAACAGTCTTTTTGTAGTATCTGCAAGTGTATATTTGGAATGATTTGAGGCCTATGGTGAAAATGGAAATATCTTCACATAAAAACTACAGAGAAACATTCTGAGAAACTTCTTTGTGATGTGTGCATTCATCTCATAGAGTTGAAACTTTCTTTTGGTTGATCAGTGTTGAAACACTCTTTTTGTGAATCTGTAAGTAGATACTTGGAGCGGTTTGAAGCATATGGTTGAAAAGGTAGTATCTTCACATAAAAAGTAGACAGAAGCATTCTGAGAAACTTCTTTGTGACATGTGCATTCATCTCACAGATTTGAAACTTTCTTTTAATTGAGCAGTTTTCCAAGCAGTCTTTTTGTAAAATCTACACATGGATATTTGGAGCACTTTGAGGTCTATGGTGAAAAAGGGACTATCTTCACATTAAAACTAGACAGAAGCATTCTGAGAAACTTCTTTGTGAGGTGTGCATTAACCTCACAGAGTTGAACCTTTCTTTTGATTGAGCAGTTTTGGAACAGTCTTTTTGTAGTATCTGCAAACGGATATTGTGAGCGATTTGATTCCTATGGTGAAAAAGGAAATATCTTCCCATAAAAACTACACAGAAGAATTGTGAGACACTTCTTTGTGATGTGTGCATTCATCTCACAGAGTTCAACCTTTCTTTTCATTGAGAAGTTTGGAAACTGTCTTTTTGCAGAATCTGCAAGTGGATATTTGGAGCACTTTGTGGCCTTCAGTGGAAAAGGAAATATATTCACATAAAAACTGGATGGAAGCATTCTGAGAAACTTCTTTTTAATGTGTGCATTCATCTCACAGAGTTGAACATTTGTTTTGATTGAACAGTTTGGAAAGCGTCGTTTTGTGGGATCTGCAAAGGGATATTTGTGAGCCCATTGAGGCCTATGGGAAAATAGGAAATATTTTCACATAAAAACTAGACAGAAACTTTCTGAGAAACTTCTTTGTGATGTGTACTTTCATCTCAGAGTTGAAATTTTCTTTTTTTTGAGCAGTTTGGAAATGTCTTTTTGTAGAGTCTGCAAATGGATATTTGGAGCGCTTTGAGGCCTATGGTGAAAAAGGAAATATCTTCACATAAAAACTAGACAGAAGCATTCTGAGAAACTTCTTTGGATGTTTGCATTCATCTCACAGGCTTGAATATTTCTTTTGATTGAGCTGTTTGGAGACAGTCTTTTTGTAGTATCTGTAAATGGATATTTTGAGTGCTTTGTGGCCTATGGTGAAAAACGAAATATCTTCACATAAAAATTAGACAGAAGCATTCTGAGAAACTTCTTTGTGATGTGTGCATTCATCTCATGGAGCTGAACCTTTCTTTTGATTAAACAGTTTTCAAACACTCTCTTTGTCGAATCTGCAAGTGGATATTTGGAGCACTTTGAGTCCTGTGGTGGAAAAGGAAATATCTTCACATAAAAACTAGGAAGAAGCATTCTGAGAAACTTCTTTGTGATGTGTGCATTCATTTCACAGAGGTGAACATTTCTTTTGATTGAGTCGTTTGGAAACAGTCATTTTGTAGAATCTGCAAAGGGATATTTGTGATCCCTTTGAGGCCTATGGGGAAATAGGAGATATCTTCACATAAAAACTAGACAGAAGCATTCTGAGAAACATCTTTTTGATGTTGTGTCCAGAATTGGTGGGTTCTTGGTCTCACTGACTTCAAGAATGAAGCCCCGTACCCTTATGGTGAGTGTTACAGTTCTTAAAGGTGGCGAGTCTGGTGTTTGTTTTTTCTGATGTTCAGATGTGTTCTGAGTTTCTTCCTTCTTGTGGTTTTGTAGACTCGCTAGCTCAGGAGTGAAGCTGCAGACCTTCACAGTGAGTGTTACAGCTCTTAAGGCAGTGCATCTGGAGTTTTCCATTCCTCCCAGTGGACTCGTGGTCTCGGTCACTTCAGGAGTGAAGCTGCAGAGCTTCACCTTGAGTGTTGCAGCTCATAAAGGCAGTGTGGACACAAAGAGAGTGAGCACCAGCATTATTTATTGCAAACAGTGAAAGAACAAAGCTTCCACAGTGTAGAAGGGTCCCCAAGCAGGTTGCCACTGCTGGCTCTGGCAGCCTGCTTTTTATTCTCTTATCTGGCCCCACCCACTTCCTGCTGATTTGTAGAGCCCAGTGGACTGTTTTGACAGGGCACTGATTGGTGCATATACAATCCCTAAGCTAGACACAAAGGCTCTTCATGTCCCCACCAGATTAGCTAGATAGAGTGTCAACACAAAGTTATCCAAGGCCCCATCAGAGTAGCTAGATACACGGTGTCGATTGGTGCATTCACAAACCCTGAGCTAGACACAGGATGCTGATTGGTATGTTTACACACTTTGAGCTAGATACAGAGTGCGATTGGTATATTTACAACCCCTGGGCTAGACATAAAAGTTCTCCAAGTCCCCATGAGAATAGCTAGATACAGCATGTCAATTGGTGCACTCAAAATCCCTGAGCTAGACACAGGGTGCTGATTGGTGTGTTTACAAACCTTGATCTAGATACAGAGTGCTCATTATGTGAGCACTGGAAATATATGAAGATATTTCCATTTTCACCACAGGTCTCAAACTGCTCTCAAATATCCCTCTGCATATTCTGCAAAAAACTGTGTTCAAACTGTTCAATCAAAAGAAATTTTCACCTCTGTGAGATGAATGCACACATCACAAAGAAGTTCCTCAGAATTCTTCTGTCTAGTTTTTATATGAAGATACTTCCCTTTTCACCATAGGCCTCAAAGCACTCCAAATATCCATTTGAAGATTCCACAAAAAGACTGTTACCAAACTGCTCAACCAGAAGAAAGGTTCAATTCTGTGAGATGAAAGCACACATCACAAAGGGGTTTGGCAGAAAGCTTCTGTCTACTTTTTATGTGAAGATACTTCTTTTTCACCTGAGGTGGCAAAGAGCTCAGAAATATCCCAATGCAGATTGTACAAAAAGACGGTTTCCAAACAGCTGAACCAAAAGGAAGTTTCAACTCTGCGAGATGAATGGACACCTCACAAAGAAGTTTCTCAAAAAGTGTCTGTCTAGCTTTTACATGAAGGTATTTCCTTTTCCACTATATGTCTCAAACTGCTCACAAATATTCCTCTGCAGAATCTACAAAAAGTCTGTTTCCAAACTACTCAATCAAAAGAAAGATTCAGCTCAGTGAGATGAATGCAAACCCCACAAAGAAGTTTCTCAGAATGCTTCCGTCTAGTTTTTATATGAAGAAATTTCCTCTTCCACCATAGGCCCCAAAGCACTCCAAATATCCATTCACAGATTCTACAAAAAGACTCTTTCAAAACTTCTCAATCAAAAGAAAGATTCAGCTGTATGAGATGAAAGCACACATCACAAAGAAGTTTCTCAGAATGCTTCTGTCTATTTTTTATGTGAAGATATTTCATATTACACCCCAGGCCTCAATGACATCACAATTATTCCTTTGACGATTCTACAGAAAACTGTTTCCAAACTGCTCAATGAAAAGAAAGGTTCAACTCTTTGAGATGAATGTGCACATCACAAAGCAGTTTCTCAGATTACTTTTGTCTAGCTTTCATGTGAAGATATTTACATTTTCAACATAGGCTTCAAACCGCTCATAAATATCCATCTCCAAATTCTACAAAAAGACTGTTTCTAAACTGCTAAATCAAAAGAAAGTTTCAACTCTGTGTGATGAATGCAGACATCACAAAGAAGTTTCTCAGAAACGTTCTGTCTAGTTTTTATGTGAAGCTATTTCCTATTTCAACATGGGCCTCAAAGGCCTCGCAAATATCCCTTTACAGATTCTACAAAAAGATTGTTTCCAAACTGCTAAATCAAAATAAAAGTTCAACCCTGTGATATGAATGCACACATCACAAAGCAGTTTCTCAGAATGCTTCTGTCTAGTTTCTATGTGAAGATATTTCCATTTTCACAATAGGCACAAAACTGCTCACAGATAACCCTCTGCATATTCTGCAAAAAGACTGCTTCCAAACTGCTCAATGAAAAGAAATATTCAACTCTGGGAGATAAATGCAGTCATCACAAAAAAGTTTCAAAGAAATCTTCTGTTTAGTTTTTATGCGAAAATATTAGCTTTTTCACCATAGGTCTCAAAGAGGTCCAAATATACATTTGCAAATTCCACAAAAAGATGGTTTCCAAACTGCTGAATCAAAAGAAGATCTCAAGTCTGTGAGATGAATGTACACATCACAAAGAAGCTTCTAAGAATGTTTCTGTCTAGTTTTTATGTGAAGATATTTCCCTTTTCACCACAAGCCTCAAAGCGCTCCAAATATCAATTTGCTGATACTATAAAAAGACTGTTACAAAACTCCTCAATCAAAACAAAGTCTCAAGTCTGTGAGATGAAAGCAAATATCACAGAGAAGTTTGGCAGAAAGCTTCCACCAAGTTTTTATTTGAAGATATTTCTTTTTCAACATAGGCTGCAAACCACTCAGAAATATAGCTTTGCAGATTGCACAAAAACACTGTATTCTAACTTCTCAAACAAAGGAAAGGTTCAACTCTGAGAGATGAAAGCTCACATCACAAAGAAGTTTCTCAGAATCCTTCTGTGTTGTTTTTATGTGAGGATATTTCCTATTTCACCTTGGGCCTGAAAGGTTTCACAAATATCCCTTTGCAGATTCTAGAAAAAGACTGTCTCCAAACTGCTCAATCAAAAGAAAGGTTCAACTTTGTGAGATGAATGCACACATCACACAGCAGTTTTGCAGAATGTCTCTGTCTAGTTTTTATGTGAAGATATTTCCATTTTCACCGTAGGCCTCAAACAGCTGAGAAATATCCCTCTACAAATGCTACAAAAACACTGTTTCCAAACTGCTCAATTAAACAAAAGGTGCAACAGTGTGAGGTGAATGGACAAATCACAAGGAAGTTGCTCAGAAATCTTCCATTCCTTTTTTATGTGAAGATATTAGCTTTTTCACTTTAGGCCTCAAAGAGGTCCAAATATCTATATGCAGATACGACAAAAAGACTTTTTTCAAACTGCTCAATGAAAAGAAAGGTTCAACACTGTGAGAAGAAGGCACAATCAAAAAGAAGTTTCTCAGAATGATTCTGTGAAGTTTTTATGTGAAGATATATCCTTTCCAGCTATAGGCCCCAAAGAACTCCAAATATCCATTTGAAGATACTACAGAAAGAGTGTTTCCAAACTGCTCAATCAAAAGAAATGTTCAACACTGTGAGTAGAATGCATACATCACGAAGACGTTTCTGAGAATGCTTCTGTCTAGACTTATGTGAAGATATTTCCTTTTCCACCGTAGGCCCAAAAGCCCCCCAAATATCCACTTGCAGATACTACAAAAAGAGTGTTTCTAAACTGCTCAAGAAAAAGAAAGGTTGAACTATGTAAGATGAATGTACACATCACAAAAAGTTTCTGAGAATGCTTCTGTCTAGATTTTATGTGAAGATATTTCCTTCTCCACCGTAGGCCTCAAACCACTCCAATTATCCGTTTGCAGATAATACAGAAAGAGTGTTTCCAAACTGCTCAATCAAAAGAAAGGTTCAACTCTTTGAGTTCAATGCACACATCACAAAGCAGTTTCTGAGAATGCTTCTGTCTAGTTTTCATGTGAAGATATTTCCTTTTCTACCATAGGCCTCCAAGAGCTCCAAATATCCACTTACAGATTCTCCAAAAAGAGTGTTTCAAACTGCTCTATCAAAAGGAGGGTTCAACTCTGTTAGTTGAATGCACACATCACAAAGAAGTTTCTGAGAATGCTTCTGTCTAATTTTTATGTGAAGATATTCCCGTTTCCAACAAAGGCTTCAAAGCGGTCCAAATATCCACTTGCAGATTCTACCAAAGAGTGTTTCCAAACTGGTCAATCAAAAGAAAGTTTCTACTCTGTGAGGGGAATGCACACATCACAAAGAAGTTAATGAGAATGCTTCTGTCTACTTTTTATATGAAGATATTCCCTTTTCAACTATAGGCCTCAAAGCACTCCAAATATCCATTTGCAGATAATAGAAAAAAAGGGTGTTTTCAAACTACTCAGTCAAAAGAAAGGTTCAACTCTGTGAGTTGAATGCACCCATCACAAAGAATTTTGTGAGAATACTTCTGTCTAGTTTTCATGTGAAGATATTTCCTTTTCCACCATAGCCCTCAAAGCCCTCCAAATATCCACTTGTAGATTCTACAAAAAGAGTGTTTCCAAACTACTGAATCTAAAGGAAGATTCAACTCTGTGAGATGAATGCACACATCACAAAGTAGTTTCTCAGAATGCTTCTGTCTACCCTTTATATGAAGATATTTCCTTTTCAACTACAGGCCTCAAAGCGCTCCAAATATCCACTTGCAGAAACTAACTGCAAAAAGAGTGCTTCTAAACTGCTCAATCAAAAGAAAGGTTCAATTTTGCGAGTTTAATGCACACATCACAAAGAAGTTACTGAGAATGCTTCTGTCTAGTTTTCATGTGTAGATATTTCCTTTTCCACCACAGGCCTCAAAGCGCTCCAAATATGCACTTGCAGATTCTACAAAAAGAGTGTTTAAAACTGCTCAATCAAAAGAAATGTTCAACTCTGTGAGATGAATGCACACATCCCAAAAAAATTTCTCAGAATGCTTCTATCTACTTTTTATGTGAAGATATTTCCTTTTCAGCTATTGGTCACAAAGCATTCCAAATATCCATTTGCAGATACAACTAAAAGATTTTTTCCAAACTGCTCAATCAAAAGAAATGTTCAACCTTCTGAGTTGAATGCACACATCACAAAGAAGTTTCTGAGAATGCTTCTGTCTAGTTTTTATGTGAAGATATTTCCTTCTCCACCATAGGCTTCAAACCACTCCAATTATCCATTTACAGATACTACAAAAAGTGTTTCAAACTGCTCAATCAAAGAAAGCTTCAACTCTTTGAGTTGAGTACACACATAACAAAGCAGTTTCTGAGAATGCTTCTGTCTAATTTTCTTGTGAAGATATTTCCTTTTCCACCATAGGCCTCAAAGCACTCCAAATATCCACTTGCAGATTCTACAAAAACACTGTTTCGAAACTGCTCAATCAAAACAAGTGTTCAAACCTCTGAGTTGAATTAAAACATCACAAAGAAGTTTCTGAGAATGCTTCTGTCTAGTTTTTATGTGAAGATATTTCCTTTTCCACTATAGGCCACAAAGCGCTCCAAATATCCACTTGCAGACCCTACAAAAAGAGTGTTTCAAAACTGCTCAGTCAAAAGAAAGGTCGAACTCTGTGAGATGAATGTACACATCAGAAAGAAGTTTCTCAGAATGCTTCTGTCTAGTTTTTATATGAAGATATTTCCTTTTCAACAATAGACTTCAAAGGGCTTCAAATATCCATTAGAAGATACTACAAAAAAAAGAGTGTTTCCAAACTTCTCAATCAAAAGAAAGGTTCAACTCTGTGAGTTGAATACACACATCACAGAGAAGTTTCTGAGAATGCTTCTGTCTAATTTTTATGTGAAGATATTTCCTTTTTCACCATAGGCCTCAAACTGCTCCACCTATTCACTTGCAGATTCTAAAAAAAGAGTGTTTCAGAACTGCTCAATCAAAAGAAGGATTCGGCTCTGTCAGATGAATGCACACATCACAAAGCAGTTTCTGAGAATGCTTCTGTCTAGTTTTTATGTGAAGATATTTCCTTTTCCACCATAGACATCCAAGGGCTCCAAATATCCACCGGCAGTTTCTACAAAAAGAGTGTTTCAAAGCTGCTCAATAAAAAGAATATTTCAACTCTGTGAGATGAATGCACACATCACAAAGAAGTTTCTGAGAATGCCTCTGTCTGGTTTTGGCATGAAGATATTTCCTTTTCCACAATAGGCCTCAAAGCGCTCCAAATATCCACTTGCAGATTCTATAAAAAGAGTGTTTCAAAACTGCTCAGTCAAAAGAAAGACTCAACACTGTGAGATGAATGCACACATAACAAGAAGTTTCTCAGAATGCTTCTGTCAAGTTTTTATGTGAAGATATTTCCTTTTCAATTATAGGCCTCAAAGTGATCCAAATATCCATTGGTGGTTACTACAAAAAAGAATGTTTCCAAACTTCTCAATCAAAATAAATGTTCAAATCTGTGAGTTAAATGCACACATCACAAAGAAGTTTCTTAGAATGATTCTGTCTACTTTTTATGTGAACATACTTCCTTTTCCACCATAGGCTTAAAGCACTAAAAATATCCACTTGCAGATTCTACAAAAAGAGTGTTTCAAAACTGCTCAATCAAAAGAAAGGTTCAACTCTGTGAAATGAATGCAGACACCACAAAGTAGTTTCTGAGAATGCTTCAGTCTAGTTTTTATGTGAAGCTATTTCCTTTTCCACCATTGGCCTCAAAGTGCTCCAAATATCCACTTGCAGATACTACAAAAAAGTGTTTCAAAACTGCTCAGTCAAAAGAAAGGTTCAACTCAGTGTGATGAATTCAAACATCACAAAGAAGTTAATGAGAATGCGTCTGTCTAGTTTTTATGTGAAGGTATTTCCTTTTCAGCTATAGGCCTCAAAGGGCTCCAAATATCCATTTGCAGTTACAAGAAAAAAAGAGTGTTTCCAAACTGCTCAATCAAAAGAAAGGTTCAACTCTGTGAGTTGAATGCACACATAACAAAGAAGTTTCTCAGAATCCTTCAGTCTAGTTTTTATCTGAAGATATTTCCATTTCCACCATGGACATCAAAGTGCTCCAAATATCCACTGTCAAGTTCTACAAGAAGAGTGTTTCAAAGCTGCTCAATAAGCAGAAAATTTCAACTCTGTGAGATGAATGCACACATCACAAATAAGTTTCTGAGAATGCTTCTGTCTAGTTTTTATGTGAAGATATTTCCTTTTCCACCATAGGCCTCAAAACTCTCCAAATATCCACTTACAGATTCTACAAAAAGAGTGTTTCAAAACTGCTCAATCAAAAGAAAGACTCAACTCTATGAGATGAATGCACACACAACAAAGAAGTTTCTCAGAATGCTTCTGTCAAGTTTTTATGTGAAGATATTTCCTTTTCAAATATAGGCCTCAAAGCAATCCAAATATCCATTGGCGGATACTACAAAAAAGAGTGTTTCCAAACTGCTCAACGAAAAGAAAGACTCAACTCTGTGAGTTGAATCCACGCACCACAAAGAAGGTTCTCAGAATGCTTCTGTATACTTTTTATGTGAACATATTTCCTTTTCCACAATAGGTCTCAAAGCAATCAAAATATCCACTTGCAGATTCTACAAAAAGCATGCTTCAAAACTGGTCAATCAAAAGAAAGGTTCAACTCTGTGAGATGAATGCACACATCACAAAGAAGTTTCTGAGAATCCTTCTGTCTAGTTTTTATGTGAAGATATTTCCTTTTCAGCTATAGACCCCAAAGTGCTCCAAATATCCATTTGCAGATAGTAGAAAAAAAGAATGTTTCCAAATTGCTCAATCAAAAGAAATGTTCAGATCTGTGAGTTGAATGCACGCATCACAAAGAAGTTTCTGAGAATGCTTCTGTCTTGTTTTTATGTGAAGATATTTCCTTTCCCACCATGGGCCTCAACCACTTGAAGTATACACTTGCAGATTCTACAAAAAGAGTGTTTCAAAGCTGCTCTATCAAAAGAAAAGTTCAACTCTGTGAGATGAATGCACACATCACAAAGAATTTAATGAGAATGCTTCTGTCAAGTTTTTATATGAAAATATTGACTTTTCAGCTATAGGACACAAAGCGCTCCAAATATCCATTTGCAGATACTAGAAATAAAGGGTGTTTTCAAACTGCTCAATCAAAAGAAAAGTTCAACTCTGTGAGTTGAATGCACCCATCAAAAAGCAGTTTGTGAGAAAGCTTCTGTCTAGTTTTTATTTGAAGATATTTCCTTTTCCATCATAAGCCTCAAAGTGCTACTAATATCCACTTGCAGATACTACAAAAAGAGTGTTTCAAAACTGCTCTATCAAAAGGAAGGTTCAACTGTCTGCATTGAATGGACACATCCCAAAGAAGTTTCTGAGAATGCTTCTGTCTAGTTTTTGTGTGAAGATATTTCCTTTTCAGCTATAGACCCCAAAGCGCTCCAAATATCCATTTGCAGATAGTAGAAAAAAAGAATGTTTCCAAACTGCTCAATCAAAAGAAATACTCAAATCTGTGAGTTGAATGCACGCATCACAAAGAAGTTTCTGACAATGCTTCTTTCTTGTTTTTATGTGAAGATATTTCCTTTCCCACCATGGGTCTCAAAGCCCTCGAAATATACACTTGCAGATTCTGCAAAAGAGTGTTTCAAAACTGCTTAATCAAAAGAAAGACTCAACTCTGTGAGATTAAGGCAAACATCAGAGTTAGTTTCTCAGAATTCTTCTGTCTAGTTTCTATGTGAAGGTATTTCCTTTTCAACTATAGGCCTCAAAGCACTCCAAATATCCATTTGCAGATACTAACTGCAAAAAGAGTGTTTCCAAACCACTCAATCAAAAGAAAGTTTCAATTCTGTGATTTCAATGCACACATCACAAAGAAGTTTCTCAGAATGCTTCTGTCTAGTTTTTATGTGAAGATATTTCCTTTTCCACCATAGGCCTCAAAGCGCTACAAATATCCACTTGCAGATCCTACAAAAAGAGTGATTCAAATCTGCTACATCAAAAGAAAGGTTCAACTCTGTGAGATGAATGCACACATCACAAAGTAGTTTCCCAGAATGCTTCTGTCTAGTTTTTATGTGAAGATATTTCCTTTTCAGCTATAGGCCTCAAAGCGATGCAAATATTCATTTGCAGATACTATAAAAGATTGTTTCCAAACTGCTCAATCAAAAGAAAGGTTGAACTCTTTGAGGTGAATGCACGCATCAAAAAGAAGTTTCTGAGAATGTTTCTGTCTAGTTTTTATGTGAAGATATTTCCTTTTCCACCATTGGTTTCAAAGCGCTCCAAATATCCTCTTGTGTATCCTACAAAAAGAGTTTTTCAAAACTGCTCAATCAAAAGAAAGTTTCAACTCTGTGAGATGAATGAACAGATCACAAAGAAGTTTCTGAGAATATTTCTGTCTAGTGTTCATGTGAAGAAATTACCTTTTGAGCTATAGTCCTAAAGCGCTGCAAATATCCATTTGCAGATACTAAAAAAAAAGATGGTTTCCAAACTGCTTAATCAAAAAAAGTTCAACTCTGTGAGTTGAATGCACACATCACAATGAAGTTTCTGAGAATGTTTCTGTCTAGTTTTTATGTGAAGATATTTCCATTTCCATGACAGGCCTCAAAGTGCTCCAAATATCCACTTATAGATTCTACAAAAAGAGTGGTTCCAAACTGCTGTATCTAAAGAAAGATTCAACTCTGTGAGATAAATTCACACATCACAAAGTAGTTTCTCAGAATGCTTCTGTCTTGCTTTTATGTGAAAATAGTTCCTTTTCAACTATAGGCCTCAAAGCGCTCCGAATATCCATTTGCAGATACTAACTGCAAAAAGAGTGCTTCCAAACCGATCAATCAAAAGAAATGTTCAATTCTATGAGTTGAATGCATACATCACAAATAAGTTTCTGAGAATGCTTCTGACGAGTTTTCATGTGAAGATATTTCCTTTTCCACCATAGGCCTCCAAGCACTCCAAATATCCACTTGTAGATTCTAAAAAGGAGTGTTTCAAAATTGTTCAAGTAAAAGAAAATTTCAACTCTGTGAGATGAATGCACACATCACAAAGAAGTTTCTTAGAATAATTCTGTCTAGTATTTATGTGAAGAAATTTCCTTTTCGACTATAGGCCTCAAAGTGCTCCAAATATCCATTTGCAGATGCTACAAAAAGAGTGTTTCTAAACTGCTCAATCAAAAGAGACATTGAACTCTGTGAGTTGAATGAACATATCACAAAAAAGTTTCTGAGAATGCTTCTGTCTAGTTTTTATGTGAAGATATTTCCTTTAACTTCATAGGCCTCAAAGTGCTCCAAATATCCACTTGCAGATTAGACAAAAAGAGTGTTTCAAAACCGCTCAATCAAAAGAAGGTTTCAACTCTGAGATGAATGCACGCTTCACAAATAAATTTTTCAGAATGCTTCAGTCTAATTTTTATGTGAAGGAATTTCCTTTTCAGCTACATGCCTCAAAGTGCTCCAAATATCAATTTACAGATACAACAAAAAGAGTGTTTCCATTCTACTCAATCAAAAGAAAGATTCAGCTTTCTGAGTTGAATGCCCACATCACAAAGAAGTTTCTCAGAATACTTCTGACTAGTTTTTATGTGAAGATATTCCCTTTTCCACCATAGGCTTCTAAGCCATCAAAATATGCACTTGCAAATACTACAAAAGGAGTTTTTCAAAACTGCTCAATAAAAAGAAAGGTTCAACTCTGTGAGATGAATGCACACACACATCACAAAGAAGTTTGTCAGAATGCTTCTGTCTAGTTTTTATGTGAAGATATTTCCTTTTCAGCTATAGGACTATAAGCGCTCCAAATATCCATTTGCAGATACTACAAAAACAGTGTTTCCAAACTGCTAAATAAAAAGAAACTTCAACTCTGTTAGTTGAATGCACAAATCACAAGGAAGTTTCTGAGAATGCTTCTGTCTAGTTTTTATGTGAAGATATTTACCTTTCCACCATATGCCTGAAAGTGCTCCAAATATCTCCTTGCAGATTCTACAAAAAGAGTGTTTCAAATCTGCTCTCTGAGAAGAAAGGTTCAACTATGTGAGATGAATGCACACATCACAAGTAAGTTTCTCAGAATGCATCTGTCCACTTTTTATGTGAAGATATTTCTTTTTCAACTATAGGTCTCAATGCTCTCCAAATAGCCACTTGCAGATTCTCCAAAAACAGTGTTGAAAACTGCTCAATCAAAAGAAATGTTCCCATCTGTGAGATGAACCCATACATCACAAATAAGTTTCTCAGAATGCTTGTGTCTAGTTTTACTGTGAAGATATTTCCTTTTCCACCATAGACCTCAAAGCGCTCCAAATATCCACTTGCAAATTCTACAAAAAGAGGGTTTCAAAACTGCTCAATCAAAAAGCAAGTTTCAACTCTGTGAGATGAAAGCACACATTACAAAGAAGTTTCTGAGAATCCTTCTGTCTACTTTTTGTGTGAAGATATTACCTTTTCCACCATAGGCATAACAGTGCTCCAAATATCCCTTTACATATACTACAAAAAAAGTGTTTCCAAACTGCTCAAACAAAAGAAACGTTCAACTCTGTGAGTTGAATGCACACATCACAATGAAGTTTCTGAGAATGTTTCTGTCTAGTTTTTATGTGAAGATATTTCCATTTCCATGATAGGCCTCAAAGTGCTCCAAATATCCACTTATAGATTCTACAAAAAGAGTGGTTCCAAACTGCTGTATCTAAAGAAAGATTCAACTCTGTGAGATAAATTCACACATCACAAAGTAGTTTCTCAGAATGCTTCTGTCTTGCTTTTATGTGAAAATAGTTCCTTTTCAACTATAGGCCTCAAAGCACTCCAAATATCCACTTGCAGATTCTACAAAAAGAGTGTTTCAAAACTATTCAATCAAAAAAAAGGTTCAACTCTGTCAGTTGAATGGACACATCACAAAGAAGTTTCTCAGAATGCTACTGTCTACTTTTTATGTGAAGATATTTCTTTTTCAACTATAGGCCTCATAGCACTCCAAATACCCATTTGCAGATACTACAAAAGGAGTGTTTCCAAACTGCTCAATTAAAACACAGGTTGAACTCTGTGACTTGAATGCACACATCAGAAAGAAGTTTCTGAGAATGCTTCTGTCTGCTTTTTATGTGAAGATATTTCATTTTGCACCATACGCCTAAAATCTCTCCAAATATCCGATTGCAGATTCTACAAAAGAGTGTTTCAAAACTGCTCAATCAAAAGAAAGGTTCAACAGTATCAGACGAATGCACAAATCACAAAGAAGTTTCTGAGAATGCTTGTGTCTAGTTTTTATGTGAAGGTATTTCCTTTTCAACCACATGCCTCAAAGCACTACAAATACCATTTGAAGATACTATTAAAAGAGTGTTTCCAAACTACTCAATCCAAAGAATCATTTAATTCTGTGAAATAAATGCATCATCACAAAGAAGTTTCTCAGAATGCTTCAGTCTAGTTTTTATCTGAGGATATTTCCTTTTCAGCTTTAGGCCTCAAAGCACTACAAGTATCCACTTGCAGATGCTACAGAAAGGGTGTTTCCAAACTTCTCAATCAAAAGAAATGTTCATCTCTGTGAGTTGAATGCACACATCACAAAGAACTTTCTGAGAATGCTTCTGTCTAGTTTTTATGTGAAGATATTTCCTTTTCACTGTAGGCTCAAAATCGTCCAAATATCCATTTGCAGGTACTACAAAAAGACTGTTTCCAAAATGCTCAATCAAAAGAAAGTTTCAAATCTGTGGCTTGAATGCACATATCAGAAAGAAGTTTCTGAGAATATTTCTGTCTAGTTTTTATGTGAAGATATTTCCTTTTCCACCATAGGCCTCAAAGTGCTCCAAATATCCACTTGCAGTTTCTACAAAAAGTGTGTTGGAAAACTGCTCAATGAATAGAAACTTTCAACTCTGTGAGATCAATGCACACATCACAAAGAAGCTATTCAGAATGCTCTTGTCTATTGTTTAAGTGAAGATATTTCTTTTTGAGATATAGACCTCAAATTGATCCAAATATCCATTTGCAGATTCTACAAAAAAAGTGTTTCCAAACTGCTCAATCAAAAGAAAAGTTCATTTCTGTGAGTAAAATGCACACATCACAAAGAAGTTTCTCAGAATGCTCCTGTCTACCTTTTAAGTGAAGATATTTCTTTTCGAGTTATAGACCTCAAAGTGATACAAATATCCATTTGCAGATTCTACAAAAACAGTGTTTCCAAGCTGCTCAATCAAAAGAAAGGTTCAATTCTGTGAGTAAAATGTACACATCACAAAGAAGTTTCTGAGAATGCTTCTGTCTAGTTTTTATGTGAAGATATTTCCTTTTCCACCATAGACCTCAAAGCGCACCAAATATCCACTTGCAGATTCTACAAAAAGAGTATTTCGAAACTACTCAATGAAAAAAAAGGTTCAACTCTGTGAGATGAATTCATAAATCACACAGAAATTTCTCAGAATGCTTCTGTCTAGTTTTTATGTGAAGATATTACCTTTTCAGCTATAGGCTTCAAAAAGTACAAAATATGTGTTTGCGGATACTACAATACGAGTGTTTCCAAACTGCTCAATAAAGCAAAGGTCCAACTCTGTGAGTTGAATGCACACATCACTAAGAAGTTGCTGAGAATTCTTCTGTCTAGTTTTGATGTGAACATATTTCCTTATCCACCATAGGCCTCAAAGTGCTCCCAATATCCACTTGCAGATTCTACAAAGAGAGTGTTTCAAAACTGCTCAACGAAAATAAAGTTTCAACTCTGTGAGATGAATGCACACAATACACAGAACTTCCTCAGCATGCTTCTGTCTAGTTTTTATGTGGCGATATTTGCTTTTCAGCTTTAGGCGTCAAAGCGCTCCAAATATCCACTTGCAGATTCTCCAAAAACAGTCTTTCAAAACTGCTCAGTCAAAAGAAAAGTTCAATTCTGTGAGATGAATGCACACATAACAGAGAAGTTTCTCAGAAAGCTTCTGTCTAGTTTTTATGTGAAGACATTTCCTTTTCAACAACAGGCCTCAAAGCACTCCAAATATCCATTTGCAGATACTACAAAAAGAGTGTTCCCAAACTGCTTAATCAAAAGAAAATTTCAACTCTGTGAAATGAATGCACACATCAAAAAGTAGTTTCTGCAAATGCTTCTGTCTAGTTTTTATGTGAAGATATTTCCTTTTCCACCATAAGCCTCAAAGCGCTCCAAATATCCACTTGCAGATTCCGCAAAAAGAGTGTTTCAAAACTGCTTAATCAAACGACAGATTCAACTTGTGAGATGAATGCACACATCACAAATAAGTTTCTCAGAATGCTTCTGTCTAGATTTTTTGTGAAGACATTTCCTTTTCAACTATAGGCCTCAAATGGCTACCAATATCCATTTGCAGATACTTCAAAAAGAGGGTTTCTAAGCTGCTCAATCAAAAGAAAGTTTCAACTGTGTGAGTTGAATGCATAAATCACAAAGAAGTTTCTGAGAATGCTTCTGTCCAGTATTTATATGAAGATATTTGCTTTTCTGCCAATGGCCTCAAAGCACTCCAAATATCCACTTGCAGATTCCACAAAAAGAGTGCTTCAAAACTGCTCAATTAACTGAAAGGTTCAATTCTGTGAATTGAACGCACACATCACAAAGGTGTTTCTGAGAATGCTTCTGTCTAGTTTTTATGTGAAGATATTTCCTTTTCCACCATAGTACTCACAGCGCTCCAAATATCCAGTTGGAGATGCTACAAAAGATTGTTTCAAAACTGCTTAATCAAAAGAAAGGTTCAACTCTGTGAGATGAATGCACACATCAGAAAGAAGTTTCTCACAATGCTTTTGTCTAGTTTTTATGCCAAGATATTTCCTTTTCAGCTGCAGGCCTCAAAGCGCTCCAAATATCCATTGTCAGATACTACCAAAAGAGTGTTTCCAAACTGCTATATCAAAAGAAAAGTTTAACTCTTTGAGTTGAATGCACACATCACAAAGAATTTTCTGAGAATGCGTCTGTGTGGTTTTTATGTGAAGATATTTCCTTTTCCACTGCAAACCTCAAAGCACTCTCAATATCCATTTGCTGATTCTACAAAAAGAGAGTTTCAAAACTGCTCAATCAAAAGAAAGATTCAACTCTGTGAGTTGAATGCACACATCACAAAGAAGTTTCTCAGAATTCTTCAGTCTACTTTTTATGTGAAAATATTTCCTTTTCAACTGTAGGCTTCAAAGCGCTCCAAATATCCATTTGCAGATACTACAAAATGGGTGTTTCCAAACTCCTCAATCAAAAGAAATGTTCAACTCTTTGAGATGAATACACGTATCACAAAGAAGTTTCTCAGAATGCTTCTGTCTAGTTTTTATGTGGAGATATTTCCTTTTCAGCCGTAGGCCTGAAAGCGTTCCAAATATCCATTTGCAGACACTACAAAAAGAGTGTTTCTAAACTGTTCAGTCAAGAGAAAGGTTTAACTCTGTGAGTTGAATGCACACATCACAAAGAAGTTTCTGAGAGTGTTTCCTCTAGTTTTTATGTGAAGATATTTCCTTTTCCAATGTATGCCTCAAAGCACTCCAAATGTCCACGTGCAGAATCCACAAAAAGACTGTTTCAAAACTGCTTGATCAGAAAAAAGGTTCAACTCCATGAGATGAATGCACACATCACAAAGAAGTTTCTCAGAATGCTTCTGTCTTGTTTTTATATGAAGATATTTCCTTTTCAGCTATAGGATTCAAAGTGCTCCAAATATCCACTTGCAGATACTAAAAAAAGAGTGTTTCCCAACTGCTCAATAAAAGAAAGGTTCAACACTGTGAGTTGAATGCACACATCAAAACGAAGTTTCTGAGAATGGTTCTGTCTTGTTTTTATGTGAAGATATTTCCTTTTCCCCCTAGGCCAAAAAGTGCTCCAAATATCCACTTGCAGATTCTACAAAAAGAGTGTTTCAAAACTGCTCAATCAAAAGAAGGGTTCAACTCTGTGAGATGAATGCACACAACACAAATAACTTTCTCAGAATGCTTCTGTCTAGTTTTATGTGAAGATATTTCCTTTTCAACTACAGGCCTGAAAGCACTGCAAATATCCACTTGCAGATACTACAAAAAGAGTGATTCCAAACTGCTCAATCAAAAGAAAGTTTCAACTCTGTGAGTTGAATGCACACATCACAAAGAAGATTCTGAGAATGCTTCTGTCTGGTTTTTCTGTGAAGATATTTCCTTTTAAACCATATGCCTGGAATTGCTCCAAATATCCAACTTCAGATTCTACAAAAAGAATGTTTCAAAACTGCTCAATGAAAAGAAAGGTTGAACGCTGTGAGTTCAATACACACATCAAAAAAGTTTCTCAAAATGCTTCTGTCTAGTTTTTATGTGAAGATATTTCCATTTCCACCATTGGCCTCAAAGCGCTTCAAGTGTCCCATTGCAGATTCTTCAAAAAGTGTGTTTGAAAACTGCTCAATCAAAAGACAAGTTCAAATCCATGAGATGAACGCACACATCACAAAGAAGTTTCTCAGAATGCTTCTGTCTTGTTTTTATATGAAGATATTTTCTTTTCAGCTATAGGCTTCAAAGCGCTCCAAATATCCAATTGCAGATACTAAAAAAAGAGTGTTTCCAAACTGCTCAATAAAAGAAAGGTTCAACACTGTGAGTTGAACGCATATATCACAAAGAAGTTTCCCAGAATGTTTCTGTCTAGTTTTTATGTGAAGATATTTCCTTTTCCACCATAAACCTCAAAGCACTCTCAATATCCCTTTGACGATTCTACAAAAAGAGTGTTTCAAAACTGCTTAATAAAAAGAAAGGTTCAACTCTGTGAGATGAATGCACACATCACACAGAAGTTTCTCAGCAGGCTTCTGTCTAGTTTTTATGTGAAGATATATCCTTTTCAACCATAGGCCTCAAAGCACTCCAAATATCCACTTGCAGATTCTACAAAAACAGTGTTTCAAAACTGCTCAGTCAAAAGAAATGTTCAAAAATGTGAGATGAATGCACACATCACAAAAAAGTTTCTCAGAATGCCTCTGTCTACTTTTTATGTGAAGATACTTCCCTTTCCACTATAGGCCTCGAATTGCCACAAATATCAACTTTGAAATTCTACAAAAAGAATGTTTCAAAACCGCTCTATCAAAAGAAAGGTTCAGTGCTGTGAGTTGAATGCACACAGCACAAAGCAGTTTCTCAGAATGCTTCTGTCTAGTTTTTATGTGAAGATATGTGCTTTTCCTCCATAGTCCTCAAAGGCTCCAAATATCCACTTGTAGATTCTACAAAAGCAGTGTTTAAAAACTGGTCAATTAAAAGAAAGTTTCAACTCTGTCAGATGAATGCACACATCACAAACAAGTTTTTGAGAATGCTCCTGTCTATTTTTTATATGAAGATATTTCCTTTTCCACCATAGGACCTACAGCACTCCAAATATCCAATTCCAGATTCTACAAAACAGTGTTTCAGAACTGCACAATCAAAAGAAAGTTACAGCTCTTTGAGGTGAATGCACACATCACAAAGATGTTTCTCAGAATGCTTCTGTCCAGTTTTTAAGTGAAGATTTTTCCTTTTCCACTGTAGGCAGCAAAGTTCTCCAAGTATCCACTTGTAGATTCGACAAAAAGAGTGTTTCAAAAGTGCTCAGTCAAAAGAAATATTCAACACTGTGATGTGAATGCACACATTGCAAAGAAGTTTCTCATAATGCTTCTGTATAGTTTTTATGGGAAGATATTTCCTTTTCCACCATAGGCTTCAAAGCGCTCTAAATATCCACTGGCAGGCACTACAAAAAGAGTGTTTCAAAATTGCTCAATTAAAAGAAAGGTTGAACCCTGTGAGATGAATACACAAACCACAAAGATGTTTCCCAGAATGCTTCTGTGTAGTTTTTATGTGAAGATATTTCCTTTTCCACTATAGGCCACAAAGCATTCCAAATATCCACTTGCAGATACTACAAAAAGTTTGTTTCCAAACTGCTCAATCAAAAGAAAGTTTCAACTGTGTGACATGAATGCAGACATCAAAAAGAAGTTTCTCTGAATGCTTTGTTCTAGTTTTTATGTGAAGATATTTCCTTTTCCACTATAGACCTCAAAGCACTCCAAATATCCATTTGCAGATACTCCAAAAAGACTGTTTCCAAATTGCTCAATTAAAAGAAAGTTTCAACTCTATGAGTTGAATGCACACATCTCAAAGAAGTTTCTCAGAATGCTTTTGTCTGGTTTTTATGTGAAGATATTCCCTTTTCCACTGTAGACCTCAAAGCCTTCCAATTATCCTCTTGTAGATTTTACAAAAAGAGTGTTTCAAAACTGCTCAATCAAAAGAAAGGTTCAACTCTGTGAGATGAATGCACACATTGCACAGAAGTTTCTCAGAATGTTTCTGTCTAGTTTTTATGTGAAGATATTTCCTTTTCCACCACAGGACCCAAAGCACTACAAATATTCACTTGCAGATACTACAAAAGGACTGTTCCAAACTGCTCAATCAAAAGAAAGGTTCAGCTCTGTGAATTGAATACACACAGCACAAAGAAGTTTCTCAGAATGTATCTGTCAATTTTTTATGTGAAGATATACCCTTTTCCACCATAGGTTCAAAGCACTCCAAATACCCACTGGCAGATACTACAAAAAGATTGTTTCAAAGCTATTCCATCAAAAGAAAAGTTCAACTACGTGAGAAGAACACACACATCACAAAGAGTTTTCTGAGAATGCCTCTGTCTGGTGTTTGTGAGAAGATATTTCCTTTTCCACCATATGCTGCAAAGCTATTCATATATCCCATTGCAGAAAGTACAAAAAGACTGTTTTCAACCTGCTCAATCAATAGAAAAGTTCAATCCTGTGAGTTGAATACAGAAATGCAAGGAAGTTTCTCTGAATGCTTCTGTCTAGTTTTTATGTGAAGATATTTCCATTTCCACGATAGGACTCAAAGCGCTCCAAATATCCATTTGCAGATACCACAAAAAGACGGTTTCCAAACTGCTCAATCAAAAGAAATATTCAACTCTGTGAGATGAATGCACACATCACAAAGGAGTTTCTCAGAATGCTTCTGTCAAGTTTTTATGTGAAGATATTTCCTTTTCAACCATAGGCGTTAAAAGTGTTCCAAATATCCACTTGGAGATACTACAAAAAGACTGTTTCCAAACTGCTCAATCAAAAGAAAAGTTCACATCTCTGAGTTGATTACACACATCACAAAGAAGTTTCTCAGTATGATTCTGTCTAGATTTTAAGTGAAGATATTTCCTTTTCCACCATAGGCCTGAAAGCACTCCAAATATCCACTTGCAGATTCTACAAAAAGAGTGTTTCCAAACTGTTCAATAAACAGAAGGGTTCAACTCTGTGAGATGAATTCACACAACACATAGAATTTTCTCAGAATGTTTCTGGCTAGTTTTTATGTGAAGATATTTCCATTTTCACTATAGGACTCAAAGTGCTCCAAATATCCATTTGCAGATACTACAAAAAGACAGTTTCCAAACTGCTCAATCAAAAGAAATATTCAACTCTGTGAGATGAATGCACACATCACAAAGGAGTTTCTCTATATGCTTCTGTCTAGTTTTTATGTGAAGACATTTTCTTTTCCAATATAGGCTTCAAAGCGCTCTAAATATCCGCTTGCAGATTCTACAAAAAGAGTGTTTCCAAACTGTTTAATCAAAAGAAAGGTCCAACTCAGTGAGATGAATGAACACAACACAAAAACTTTGTCAGAATGCTTCTGTCTAGTTTTTACTTGAAGATATTTCCTTTTTCACCTTAGGCCTCAATGTGTTCCGAATCTCCTTCTGCACATACTAAAAAATACTGTTTCCAAACTTCTCAATGAAAAGAAAGGTTCAACTCTTTTAGATGAATGCACACATCACAGCGAAGTTTCTCAGAATGCTTCTGTCTTGTTTTTATGTGAAGATATTTCCTTTTCCACAATAGCCCACAAAGCACTCCGAATATGAACTTGCGGATTCTGCAAAAAAAGTGTTTCCAAACTTATGAATCAAAAGAAAGTTTCAACTCTGTGTAAGGAATGCACACAACACAAAGAAATTAGTCAGAAAATTTCTGCCAAGTTTTTATGTGAAGATATTACCTATTTCCCCAGAGGCCTCAATGGGCTCAAAAATATTCCTTCAGAGATTCTACAAAACAACTGTTTCCAAACTGCTCAATCAAAAAAAAAGTTTCAACCATGTGACATGAATGCTCTCATCGCAAGGAACTTTCTCAGAATGCTTCTGTCTAGTTTTCATGTGAAGATATTTTTTTTTCACCACAGGCATCAAAGCGCTCCAAATATCAATTTGCAGACACTTCAAAAGTACTGTGTCCATACTGCTCAATCAAAAGGAAAGTTTAGCTCTGTGAGATGAATGAACACGTCACAAAGAAATTTCTCCAAATGCTTCCATCCAGTTTTTATGTAAAGATATTTTCTTTTCCACTATACCCCACAAAGCGCTATTAAAATACACCTGCAGTTTCTATCAAAAGGCTGTTTCCAAACTGCACAATCAAATGAATGGTTCAACTCTGTGAGATGGATTCACACATCACAAAGACATTTCTCAGAATGTTTCTGTCTAGTGTTTATATGAAGAAATTCCCTTTTCCACCATGGGCCTCAAAGCGCTCCAAATATCCACTTTCAGATTGTACAAAAAGAGTGTTTCAAAACTCCTCAATCAAAAGAAAGGTTCAACTCTGTGAGATGAATACACCCATCACAAAGAAGTTTCTTTGAATCCCTCTGTCTAGTTTTTATGTGAAGATATTTCCTTTTCCACTATGGGCCTCAAATCACACCAAATATCAATTTGCAGATACTACAAAAAGAGTGTTTACAAACTGCTCAATGAAAAGAAAGGTTTAACTGTGAAATGAATGCGCACATTACAAAGAAGTTTCTCAGAATTCTTCTGTCTAGTTTTTATGTGAAGATATTTCCTTTTCCACTATAGGCCACAGAGCACTCTAAATACCCACTTTCAGATTCTACAAAAAGAGTGTTTCAAAACTGCTCAATCAAAAGAAAGGCTAAATTCTGTGACATGAATGCACACATCACAAAGAGGTTTCTGAGAATGCTTCTGTCTAGTTTTTATGTGAAGATATTTCCTTTTCCACTATAGGCCTCAAAGCACTCCAAGTATCCACTTGCAGATACTACAAGAAGACTGTTTCCAAACTGCTCAATGAAAAGAATTTTTCAACTCTGTGAGATGAAAGCACACAACACACATAAGTTTCCCAAACGTTTCACTCTAGATTTTATCTGAAGAGATTTCCTATTTTCCCAGAGGCCTCAATGGGCTCACACATATCTCTTTCCAGAATCTACAAAATGACTCTCTCCAAAGTGCTCAATAAAAAGAAAGATTCACCTCTGTGGGGTGAATGCACACATCACAAAGACGTTTCTCAGAATACTTCTGTCTAGTTTTTATGTGAAGATATTTCCTATTTCCTGAGAGGTCTCAATGGGCTCACAAATATCCCATTGCAGATTCTACAAAACGACTGCTTTCAAAATGCTAAATCAAAAGAAAGTTTTAACTCTGTGAGTTGAATGCACTCATCACAAAGAAGTTTCTCAGAATGCTTCTTTCTAGTTTTTATATGAAGATATTCCCTTTTCCACAAAAGGTCTCAATTGAGCTCCAAATATCCACTTGCAGATACTACAAAAAGACTGTTTCCAAACTGCTCAATCAAAACAAATGTTCAACTCTGTGAGATGAATGCGCACATTACAAAGAAGTTTCTCAGAATGTTTCTGTCTAGTTTTTATGTGAAGATGTTTCCTTTTTCACCATAGGCCTCCAAGCGTTCCAATTATCCACTTGCAGATTCCACAAAAAGGGTGTTCCAAAACTGCTCAATCAAAAGAAAGTTTCAACTCTGAGAGATGAATGAACACATCACAGAGAAATTTCTGAGAATGCTTCTGTCTAGTTTCTATGTGAAGATATTTATTTTTCCACAATAGGCCTCAAAGCTCTCCAAATATCCACCTGCAGATTCTAGAAAAAGAGTGTTTCACAACTGCTCAATCAATAGAAAGTTTCAACTCTGTGAGATGCATGCACACATCACAAAAGTTTCTCAGAATGCTTCTCTCTAGTTTTTATGTGAAGGTATTTCCTTTTCCATCATAGTCCTCAATGTGCTCCAAACATCCACTAGCAGATTCTACAAAAAGAATGTTTCCAAACTTTTCAATCAAAAGACAGGTTCAACTCTGTGAGATGAATGTGCACATCACAAGCAAGGTTCTCAGAATGCTTCTGTCTCGTTTTTATGTGAAGATATTTTCTTTTCCTCAGTAGGCCACAAAGTGCTCCAAAAATACACTAGAAGATTCCAGAGAAAGAGTGTTTCAAAACTGCTCAATGAAACGAAATGTTCAACTCTGTGAGATGAATGCACACATCACCAAGAAGTTTCTCAGAAAGTTTCTGTCTAGTTTTTATGTGAAGAAGTTTCCTATTTCCCCATAGGCTTCAAAGGACTCACAAATTTCCCTTTGCAGTTTATAGAAAACGAATGTTTCCACACTGGCCAATAAAAAGAAATGTGCAACTCTGTCAGATGAATGCACCCATCACAGAGAAGTTTCTCAGAATTCTTCTGTCTAGTTTTTATGTGAAGATATTTCATTTTTCACCAGAGTTCTCAAAGAGCTCCAAATATCCATTTGCAGATTCTACAAAAGGTCTGTTTCCAAACTACCCAATCAAAGGAAAGTTTCAACTCTGTGAGATGAAAGCACACATCAGAAAGAAGTTTCCAGAAAGTTTCTGTCTAGTTTTCGTGTGACGATATTTCCTATTTCTCCATAGGCCTCAATGGTCTCACAAATATCCCTTTGGAGATTCTACAAAACCACTGTTTCCAAACTGCTCAATCAAAAGAAATGTTCAACTCTGTGAAATGAATGCACACATCACAAATAAGTTGCAGAGAATGTTTCTATCTAGTTTTCATGTGAATATATTTCCTTTTCCACCATAGGCTTCTAGGTGCCCCAAATATCCACTTGCAGATTCTACAAAAAGAGTGTTTCAAAACTGCTCAATCAAAAGAAAGGTTCAACTGTGTGAGCTGAATGCACATATCACAAAGAAGTTTCTGAGAATGCTTCTGTCTAGTTTGTATGTGAAGATATTTCCTTTTCCATCTTAGGCCTCAAAGTGCTCCAAATATACATTTTCAGATTCTACACAAAGAGTGTTTCAAAACTGCTCAATCAAAGAAACATTCAACTCTGTGAGATGAAAGCAGACATCACAAACAAGTTTCTCAGAATGCTTCTGTCTACTTTTTATGTGAAGATATTTCCATTTCACCATAGGCCTCAAAGCGCTCCAAATATCCACTGGCATATTCTACAAAAAGATTGTTTCAAAACTGCTCATTCAAAGAAAGGTTCAACTCTGTCAGATGAATGCAAACATCACAAAGAAGTTTCTCGGAATGTTTCTTTCTAGTTTTTATGTGAAGATGTTTCCTATTTCCCCATAGGCCACAATGGGCTCACAAATATCCATTTGCAGATTCTACAAAATGCAGTTTTCCAAACTGTTCAATCAAAAGAAATGTTCCCATCTGTGAGATGAACGCATACATCACAAGTAAGTTTCTCAGAATGCTTGTGTCTAGTTTTTATGTGAAGATATTTCCATTTGCACCATAGGCCTCAAAGTGCACCAAATATCCATTTGCAGATACTACAAAAAGACCGTTTTATAACTGCTCAATCCAAAGAGAGGTTCAACTCTGTGAGATGAATGCACACATCACAAAGAAGTTTCTCAGAATGCTTCTGTCTAATATTTATGTGAAGGTATTTCCTTTATCACCATAAGCCCCAAGGCCCTCCACATATCCCTTTGCAGATCCTACAAAAAGACTGATTCCAAGCTGCTCAATCAAAAGAAAGTTTCAACTCTGTGACATGAAAGCAAACAGCACAAAGGGTTTTCTCAGAAAGCTTCTGTCTGGTTTTCATGTGAAGATATTTCCAATTTCTCCACAGGCCTCTAAGCGCTCCAAATATGCACTTGCACATTCTGCAAAAAGAGTGTTTCAAAACTGCTCAATCAAAAGAAAGTTTCAACTCTGTGAGGTGAATGCACACATCACAAAGAAGTTTCTCAGAAGGTTTCTGTCTACTTTTTATGTGAAGATGTTTCTTATTTCCCCTTAGGCCACAATTGGATCACAAATATCCCTCGGCAGATATTATAAAAGGAAGGTTTCCAAACTGCTCAATCAAAAGAAATGTTCCCATCTGTGAGATGAACCCATACATCACAAATAAGTTTCTCAGAATGCTTGTGTCTAGTTTTACTGTGAAGATATTTCCATTTGCACCATAGGCCTCAAAGCACTCCAAATATCCATTTGCAGATACTACAAAAAGGCTGTTTTCCAACTGCTCAATAAAAAGAGAGGTTCAACTCTGTGAGATGAGTTCACACATCACAAAGAAGTTTCTCAAAGTGCTACTGTCTAGCTTTTATATGAAGATATTTCCTTTTTTCACCATAGGCCCCAAAGTGCTCCAAATATCCATTTGCAGATTCTACAAAAATACTGCTTCCAAACTGCTCAATCAAAAGAAATCTTCAACTCTGTGAGATTAATGCAAACAACACAAAGAAGTTTCTCAGAATGCTTCTGTCTAGTTTCTATGTGAAGCTATATCCTTTTCCACCATAGGGCCCAAAGTGTTCCAAATATCCAATTGTAGATTCTACAAAGAGAATGTTTCAAAACTGCTCAATCAAAAGAAAGTTTCAACTCTGGGAGATGAATTCATACATCACAAAGAAGTTTCTCAGGATGCTTCTGTCCATTTTTTAGATGAAGATATTTCCTTTTTCACCATAGGGCTCAAAGTGCTACAAATATCCATTTGCAGATACTTAAAAAGACTGTTTCCAAACTGCTCAATCTAAAGAAAGGTTGAACTCTGTTAGATGAAAGCACACATCACATAGAAGCTTCTCAGGAACTTTCTGTCTAGTTTTTATGTGAAGATATTTCCAATTTCCCCATAGGCTTCAATGGGCTCCCAATAATCCTTTTGCAGATTCTACAAAACGACTGTTTCCCAACTGCTGAATCAAAAGAAAGGTTCAACTCTGTGAGATGAATGCACACATCACAAAGAAGTCTCTCAGAATGATTTTCTCTAGTTTTTATGTGAATATACTTCCTTTTTCACCATAGGACTCAAAGTGCTCCAAATATCCATTCGTAGTATCTACAAAAAGTCTGTTTCCAAACTGCACTAACAAAACAAAGTTTCAATTCTGTGAGATGAAAACACACATCACAAAGTAGTTTCTCAGAATGCTTCTGTCTAGTTTTCATGTGGAGATATTTCCTACTACCCCATAGGCCTCAATAGGCTCACAAATATCCCTTTACAGACTCTACAAAACGACTGTTTAAAAGCTGCTCAATCAAAAAAAATGTTCAACTCTGTGAGATGAATGCACACATCACAAATAAGTTTCTCAGGATGGTTCTCTCTACTTTTTGTGTGAAGATATTTCCTTTTCCAACATAGGCCTCAAAGCACTCCAAAGATCTTCTTGCAGATTTTTCAATAAGAGTGTTTCAAAACTGACTTTCTTCACAGAATTGGAAAAAAACTACTTTAAAGTTCATATGGAACCAAAAAAGTGCCCGCATCACCAAGTCAATCCTAGGCCAAAAGAACAAAGCTGGAGGCATCACGCTCCCTGACTTCATACTATACTACAAGGCTACAGTAACCAAAACAGCATGGTACTGGTACCAAAACAGAGATATAGATCAATGGAACAAAACAGAGCCCTCAGAAATAACGTCAAATATCTACAACTATCTGATTTTTGACAAACCTGAGAAAAACAAGCAATGGGGAAAGGATTCCATATTTAATAAATGGTGCTGGGAAAACTGGCTAACCATATGTAGAAAGCTGAAACTGAATCTCTTCCTTACACCTTATACAAAAATTAATTCAAGATGGATTACAGACTTAAACGTTAGACCTAAAACCATAAAAACCCTAGCAGAAAACCTAGGCATTACCATTCAGGACATAGGCTTGGGCATGGACTTCATGTCTAAAACACCAAAAGCAATGACAACAAAAGACAAAATTGACAAATGGGATCTAATTAAACTAAAGAGCTTCTGCACAGCATAAGAAACTACCATCAGACTGAACAGGCAACCTACAAAATGGGAGAAAATTTTTGCAACCTACTCATCTGACAAAGGGCTAATATCCAGAATCTACAATGAACTCCAACAAATTTACAAGAAAAAAACAAACAACCCCATCAAAAAGTGGGCAAAGGACATGAACAGACACTTCTCAAAAGAAGACATTTATGCAGCCAAAAAACACATGAAAAAATGCTCACCATCCCTGGCCATCAGAGAAGTCCAAATCAAAACCACAATGGGATACCATCTCAAACCAGTTAGAATGGCAATCATTAAAAAGTCAGGAAACAACAGGTGCTGGAGAGGATGTGGAGAAATAGGAACACTTTTACACTGTTGGTGGGACTGTAAACTAGTTCAACCATTGTGGAAGTCAGTGTGGTGATTCCTCAGGGATCTAGAACTAGAAATACCATTTGACACAACCATCCCATTACTGGGTATATACCCAAAGGATTATAAATCATGCTGCTATAAAGACACATGCACACGTATGTTTATTGTGGCACTATTCACAGTGGCAAAGTCTTGGAACCAGCCCAAATGTCCAACAAGAATAGACTGGATTAAGAAAATGTGGCACATATACACCATGGAATACTATGCAGCCATAAAAAATGATGAGTTCATGTCCTTTGTAGAGACATGGATGAAATTGGAAATCATCATTCTCAGTAAACTATCACAAGGACAAAAAAACAAACACCGCATATTCTCACTCATAGGTGGGAATTGAACAATGAGAACACATGGACACAAGAAGGGGAACATCACACTCTGGGGACTGTGGTGTGGTGGGGGGAGGGGGGAGAGATAGCATTAGGAGATATACCTAATGCTAAATGAGGAGTTAATTGGTGCAGCACACCAGCATGGCACATGTATACATATGTGACTAACCTGCACATTGCACGCATGGAGCTTAAAGCTTAAAATATAATAATAATAAATTTAAAAAAAATAAATAATAGATTTTTTTAATCTGTAAAATAAATAAATAAATAAATAAAAATAAATAAAAAATTGCTAAATCAAAAGAAAGGTTCAACTCTGTGAGATGAATTCACACATCACAAAGAAGTTTCTCAGAATGCTTCTGTCTAGTTTTTGTGTGAAGATGTTTCCTTTTTCACCATAGGCCTCAAAGCACTCCAAATATCCATCAGCAGATACTACAAAAAGACTGTTTCCAAACTGCTGAATCAAAAGAAAGGTTCAACTACGTGAGATGAATGCACACATCACAAAGAAGTTTCTCAGAATGCTTCCGTCTAGTTTTTATGTGAAGATAATTCCTTTTTCACCATAGGGTTCAAAACGCTCCAAATACCCACTGGCAGATTCTACAAAAGAGTGTTTCCAAACTGCTCAATCAAAAGAAAGGTTCAATTCTGTGAGATGAATGCACACATCACAAAGAAGTTTCTCAGAATGCTTCTGCCTAGTTTTTATATGATGATATTTCCTTCTTCACCATATGCCGCAACATGCTCAAAATATCCATTTGCAGATTCTACAAAAAGACTGTTTCCATACTGCTCAATCAGAAGAAAGCTTCAACTCTATAAGATGAAAGCATGCATCACAAAGAAGTTTCTCAGAATGGTTCTCTCTAGTTTTTATGTGAAGATATTTCCTATTTCCCCTTAGGCCTCAATGGGCTCAAAAATATCCCTTTGCAGATTCTACAAAACAGCTGTTTCCAAACTGCTCAATCAAAAGAAAGGTTCAACTCTGTGAGATGAATGCACACATCACAAACGAGTTTCTAGGTATGTTTCTGTCTAGTTTTTATGTGAAGATATTTCCTTTTTCACCATAGGCCTCAAAGCGATCCAAATATCCATTTGCAGATTCTATAAAAAGACCTTTTACAAACTGCTCAATCAAAAGAAAATTTCAACTCTGTGACATGAAAGCACACATCATGAAGAAGTTTCTCAGAAAGATTTTGTCTGGTTTTTATGTGAAGATGTTTCCATTTCCCCATAGTCCTCAAAGGGCTCACAAATATCCCTTTGCAGATTCTACAAAACAGCTGTTTCCAAACTGCTCAATCAAAAGAAAGGTTCAACTCTGTGAGATGAATGCACACATCACAAACGAGTTTCTAGGTATGTTTCTGTCTAGTTTTTATGTGAAGATATTTCCTTTTTCACCATAGGCCTCAAAGCGATCCAAATATCCATTTGCAGATTCTATAAAAAGACCTTTTACAAACTGCTCAATCAAAAGAAAATTTCAACTCTGTGACATGAAAGCACACATCATGAAGAAGTTTCTCAGAAAGATTTTGTCTGGTTTTTATGTGAAGATGTTTCCATTTCCCCATAGTCCTCAAAGGGCTCACAAATATCCCTTTGCAGATTCTACAAAACAGCTGTTTCCAAACTGCTCAATCAAAAGAAAGGTTCATCTCTGTGAGATGAATGCACACATCACAAATGAGTTTCTAGGTATGTTTCTGTCTAGTTTTTATGTGAAGATATTTCCTTTTTCACCATAGGCCTCAAAGCGATCCAAATATCCATTTGCAGATTCTATAAAAAGACCTTTTACAAACTGCTCAATCAAAAGAAAATTTCAACTCTGTGACATGAAAGCACACATCATGAAGAAGTTTCTCAGAAAGATTTTGTCTGGTTTTTATGTGAAGATGTTTCCATTTCCCCATAGTCCTCAAAGGGCTCACAAATATCCCTTTGCAGATTCTACAAAACGACTGTTTCAAAACTGCTCAATCAAAAGAAATGTTCAACTCTCTGAGATGAATGCACACATCACAAAGCAATTTCTCAGAATGCTTCTGTCTATTTTGTATGTGAAGATATTTCCTTTTCCACCATAGGCCTCAAAGCACTCCAAATATCTGCTTGCAGATACTACAAAAAGAGTGTTTCCAAACTGTTCAATCAAAAGAAAGGTTCAACTCTGTGAGATGAATGCACACATCCAAAGAACTTTCTCAGAGTGTTTCTGTCTAGTATTTATTTTAAGATATGGCCTTTTTCACCATAGGCCACAGAGTGCTCTAAATATCCATTTGCAGATCCTACAAAAAGACTGTTTCCAAAGTGCTCAATCAAAAGAAAATTTCCACTTGGTGAGATGAAAGCCCGTATCACAAAGTAGTTTTTCAGAAAGTTTCTGTCTAGTTTTTATGTAGAATCTGCAGAGGGATATTTGTGAGTGGTTTGAGGCCTGTGGTGAAAAAGGACATATCCTCACATAAAAACTAGACAGAAGCATTTTGAGAAACTTTTTCATGGTGTGTGCATTCATCTAACCGAGTTGAACCTTTCTTTTGATTGAGCAGATTGGAAAGTCTTTTTGTAGAATCTGCAGAGCTACATATGTGAGTCATTTGAGGCCTATGGTGAAAAAGGAAATAATTTCACACAAAAACTACACAGAATCTTTCTGAGAAACTTATTTTTGATGTGTGCTTTCATCTCACAGAGTTGAACCTCTTTTTTGACTGAGCAGTTTGGAAACAGTGTTTTTGCAGAATCTGCAAATGGATATATGGTGTGCTTTGAGGCCCATGGTGGAAAAGGAAATATCTTCAAATAAAAAATAGACAGAAACTTTCTGAGAATCTCCTTTGTGATCTGTGCTTTCACATCACTGAGTTGAAACATTCTTTTCATGGAGGAGTTTTGAAACAGTCTTTTTGAAGAATCTGCAAAGGGATATTTGTGACCAGTTTGAGGCCTATGGTGAAAAAGGAAATATCTTCACACAAAAACTAGGCAGAAGTTTTTGAGAAACTTCTTTGTGATGCTTGCATTGACCTCACAGAGTTGAACCTTTCTTTTCATTGAGCAGTTTGGAAACAGTCTTTTTGAAGAATGTGCAGAGGGATACTTGTTTAGCCGTTTTAGGCCTATGGTGAAAAAGGAAATATCTTCCCAGAAAAACTAGACAAAAGATTTTTGAGAAACTTCTTTGTGACTTGTGCATTCATCTCACAGATTTGAAGCTTTCTGTTGATTGAGCAGTTTGGAAAGAGTCTTTTTGTAGAATCTGTAAAGGGATATTTTTGAGACCATTGAGGCCTATGGTGAAATAGGAAACATCTTTACATAAAAACAAGACAGAAGCTTTCTGAGAAACTTCTTTTTGTTGGGTGCTTTCATCTCACAGAGTTGAACCTTTCTTTTTATTGAGCAGTTTGGATATAGTCTTTTTATAGAATCTGAAAATGGATATTTGGAGTGCTTTGAGGCCTATGGTGAAAAAGGAAATGTCTTCACATAAAAACTAGAGAGAAACATTCTGAGAAACTTCTTTGTGATGTGTGCTTACATTTCACAGATTTGAACCTTTCTTTTCATTGAGCAGTTTGGAAATAATCTTTTTGTAGAATCTGCAAATGGATATTTGTGAGCGGTTTGAGGCATACCGTGAAAGAGGAAATATCTTCACATAAAAACTGGAGAGTAGCTTTTGAGAAACTTCTGAGTGATGTTTGTATTCATCTCACAGAATTGAACTTGTCTTTTCATTGAGCAGTTTGGAAACAGTCTTTCTGTACAATCTGCAAAGGGATGTTTCTGAGAGTTTTGAAGCCTATGGTGAAAAAGAACTATTTTCATGTAAAAATTAGACCGAAGATTTCAGAGAAATTTCATTTTGATGTGTGCTTTCATCTCACAGAGTTCAGCATTTCTTTTGATTGAGCTGTTTGGAAAGTCTTTTTGTAGAATCTGCAAATGGATATTTGGTGTGCTTTGACGCCTATGGTGAAAAAGGAAATATCTTCACATAAAAACTAGACAGAAGATCTCTGAGTAACTTATTTGTAATGTGTCCATTCATCTCACAGACTTGAAACTTTCTTTTGATTGAGCAGTTTAGAAACCGTCTTTTTGTAGATTATGCAGCAGAATAGTTGTGAGAGGATTGATGCCTATTGTGTAAAAGGAAATATCTTCACATAAAAACTAGAAAGAAACTTTCTGAGAAACTTCTTTGTGATGTGTGCATTCATCTCAGAGGGTTGAGCGTTTCTTTTGATTGAGCACTTTGGAAACAGTCTGTTTCTACAATCTGCAAAGGGATATTTCTGAGTGGTTTGAGGCCTATGGTGAAAAAGAAGTATCCTCATATAAAAACTAGATAGCAGCATTCTCAGAAACTACTATGTGATGTGTGCATTCATCTCACAGTGTTGAAAATTTATTTTGATTGAGCAGTTTGCAAACAGCTTTTTTGTGGACTCTGCAAAGGGATATTTGTTAGCCCATTGAGGACTATGGTGAAATAGGAAATATCTTCACCTAAAAACTAGACAGAATCTTTTTAAGAAACTTCCTTGTGATGAGTGCTTTCATCTCATCGAATTGAACATTTTTTTCATTGAGCAGTTTGGAAACAGTCTTTTTGTAGTATCTGCAAAGGGATATTTGTGAGTGGTTGAGGCCTATGGTGAAAAAGGAAATATCTTCACGTAAAAACTAGATAGAAGCTTTTTGAGAAACTTCTTTGTGATGTTTGCATTCATCTCACAGAATTGAACCTGTCTTTTCATAGAGCAGTTTGGAAACACTCTTTTTGTACAATCTCAAATAGATATTTCTGCACGTCTTGAGGCCTATGGTGAAAAAGAAATATCTTCACAAAAACTAGACAGAAACTTTCAGAGAAACTTCACTGTGATGTGTGCTTTATTATCACACAGACGAACCTTTCTTTTGATTGAGCAGTTTGGAAACAGTCTTTTTGAAGTTTATGCAGAGAGATATTTGTGAGCAGTTTGATGTCTATGGTGTAAAAGGAAATATCTTCACATAAAAATTAGACAGAAGTTTTCTGATAAACTTCTTTGTGATGTGTGCATTCATATCACAGAGGTGAACCTTTGTTTTGATTGAGCAGTTTGGAAACAATCTTTTTCTACACTCTGCAAAGGGATATTTCTGAGCAATTTGAGGCCTATGGTGAAAAAGAAGTATTATCACATAAAAACTAGAAAGAAGCATTCTGAGAAACTTTTTTGTGATGTGTGCATTCATCGAACAGAGTTGAAAATTTCTTTTGATTGAGCAGTTTTGAAACGGTGTTTTTGTGGAATCTGCAAAGGGATATTTGTTAGCCCATTCAGGCCTACAGTGAAATAGGAAATATTTTCACATAAAAACTTGACAGAAAATTTCTGAGAAACTTCCTTGTAATGTGTGATGTCATCTAACATAGTTAAACCTTTCTTTTGATTGATCACTTTGGAAACAGTCTTTTTGTAGAATCTGCAAATGGATATTTGGAGTGCTTTGAGGCCTATAGTGAAAACGGAAGCATATTCACATAAAAACTAGACAGAAGCTTTGTGAGAAAATTTTCTGTGATGGGTGCATTCACCTCACAGAGTTGAACGTTTGTTTTGAATGAGCAGTTTGGAAACAGTCTGTTTGTAGAATCGGCAAATTGATATTTTTGAGCCATTTGAGGTATATGGTGAAAAAGGAAACAACTTCACATAAAAACTAGACAGAAGTTTTCTGAGAAACTTCTTTGTGATGTGTGCATTAATCTCACCATGTTCAACCTTTCTTTTGAGTGAGCAGTTTGGAAACAATCTTTTTATAGACTCTGCAAAGGTATATTTGTGAGCCCATTGAGGCCTATGGTGTAACAGGAAATATCTTCACATAAAAACTAGAGAGAAGCATTCTGAGAAACCACTTTGTGATGTGTCCTTTCATCACACAGAGTTGAACCTTTCCGTTGATTGAGCAGTTTGGAAACAGTCTTTTTGTAGAATCTGCAAATGGATATTTGGAGAACTTTGAGGTCTACGGTGAAAAGGGAAACATCTTCACAAAAAAACTAGACAGAAACTTTCTGAGAAACTTCTTTGTGATGTGTGCTTTCATCTCACAGGGTTGAAACATTCATTTCATTGAGCAGTTTGGAAAGTCTTTTTGTAGAATCTGCAAAGGGATAGTTTTGAGCTCAATGAGGCCTATGGTGAAACAGGAAATACCTTCACATAAAAACAAGACAGAAGCTTTCTGAGACACTTCTTTGTGATGTGTGCTTTTATCTCACAGATTTCAAACTTTATTTTGATTGAGAAGTTTGGAAACAGTATTTTTGTAGAACCTGCAAGTGAATATTTGGAGCACTTCGAGGCCTATAGTGAAAAAGGAAATATCTTCACATAAAAACCAGACAGAACATTTGTGAGAAAGTTCTTTGTGGTAGGTGCATTCATATCACGAAGTTGAACGTTTCCTTTGATTGAGCACTTTGGATATAGTCTGTTTGTAGAGTCTACAAAGGGATGTTTGTGAATATTTTAAGGCCTGTGTTGAAAAAGTAAATATCTTCACATATAAACTAGACAGAAGAATTCTGAGAAACTTCTTTGTGATGTGTGCATTCATCTCACAGAGTTGAACCTTTCTTTTGATTCAGCAGTTTAGAAAGAGTTTTTTTGTAGAATCTGGAAATGGATATTTGGTTCACTTTGAGGCCTATGGTTAAAAAGGAAATATCTTCACATAAAAACTACACACAAACTTTCTGAGAAACTTCTTTGTGATGTGTGCTTCATCTCACTGGGTTGAGCCTGTCATTTTTTTTTTATTATTATACTTTAAGTTCTAGGGTACATGTGCACATTGTGCAGGTGAGTTACATATGTATACAAGTGCCACTCTGGTGTGCTGCACCCACTAACTCGTCATCTAGCATTAGGTATATCTCTCAATGCTATCCCTCCCCACTCACCCCACCCCACAACAGTCCCCAGAGTGTGATGTTCCCCTTCTTGTGTCCATGTGATCTCATTTTTCCATTCCCACCTATGAGTGAGAATATGCGGTTTTTGTTTTTTTGTCCTTGCGATAGTTTACTGAGAATGATGATTTCCAATTTCATCCATGTCCCTACAAAGGACATGAACTCATCATTTTTTATGGCTGCATAGTATTCCATGGTGTATATGTGCCACATTTTGTTAATCCAGTCTATCATTGTTGGACATTTGGGTTGGTTCCAAGTCTTTGCTATTGTGAATAGTGCCGCAATAAACATACGTGTTCATGTGTCTTTATAGCAGCATGATTTATAGTCCTTTGGGTATATACCCAGGAATGGGGTGGCTGGGTCAAATGGTTATTCCAGTTCTAGATCCCTGAGGAATCACCACACTGACTTCCACAATGGTTGAACTAGTTTACAGTCCCACCAACAGTGTAAAAGTGTTCCTATTTCTCCACATCCTCTCCAGCACCTGTTGTTTCCTGACTTTTTAATGACTGCCATTCTAAATGGTGTGAGATGGTATCCCATTGTGGTTTTGATTTGCATTTCTCTGATGGCCAGTGATGATGAGCATTTTTTCATGTGTTTTTTGGCTGCATAAATATCTTCTTTTGAGAAGTGTCTGTTCATGTCCTTCACCCACTTTTTGATGGGGTTGTTTGTTTTTTTCTTGTAAATTTGTTGGAGTTCATTGTAGATTCTGGATATTAGCCCTTTGTCCGATGAGTAGGTTGCGAAAATTTTCTCCCATTTTGTAGGTTGCCTGTTCACTCTGATGGTAGTTTCTTATGCTGTGCAGAAGCTCTTTAGTTTAATTAGATCCCATTTGTCAATTTTGTCTTTTGTTGTCATTGCTTTTGGTGTTTTAGACATGAAGTCCTTGCCCATGCCTATGTCCTGAATGGTAATGCCTAGGTTTTCTTCTAGGGTTTTTATGGTTTTAGGTCTAACATTTAAGTCTTTAATCCATCTTGAATTGATTTTTGTATAAGGTGTAAGGAAGGGATCCAGTTTCAGCTTTCTACATATGGCTAGCCAGTTTTCCCAGCACCATTTATTAAATATGGAATCCTTTCCCCATTGCTTGTTTTTCTCAGGTTTGTCAAAGATCAGATAGTTGTAGATATGTTTTGTTATTTGAGAATTTTAGACGAATATCCTTGATGAACATTGATGCAATAATCCTCAATAAAATACTGGCAAACCCAATCCAGCAGCACATCAAAAAGCTTATTCACCTTGATCAAGTGGGCTTCATCCCTGGGATGCAAGGCTGGTTCAATATACACAAATCAATAAATGTAATTCAGCATATAAGCAGAGCCAAAGACAAAAACCACATGATCATCTCAATAGATTCAGAAAAGACCTTTGACAAAATTCAACAACGCTTCATGCCAAAAACTCTCAATAAATTAGGTATTGATGGGACATATCTCAAAATAATAAGAGCTATCTATGACAAACCCACAGCCAATATCATACTGAATGGGCAAAAACTGGAAGCATTCCCTTTGAAAATTGGCACAAGACAGGGATGCCCTCTCTCACCACTCCTATTCAACATAGTGTTGGAAGTTCTCGCCAAGGCAATTAGGCAGGAGAAGGAAATAAAGGGTATTCAATTAGGAAAAGAGGAAGTCAAATTGTCCCCCTGTTTGCAGATGACATGATTGTATATCTAGAAAACCCCATTGTCTCAGCCCAAAATCTCCTTAAGCTGATAAGCAACTTCAGCAAAGTCTCACAATACAAAATCAATGTACAAAAATCACAAGCATTCTTATACACCAACAACAGACAAACAGAGAGCCAAATCATGAGTGAACTCCCATTCACAATTGCTTCAAAGAGAATAAAATACCTAGGAATCCAACTTACAAGGGATGTGAAGGACCTCTTCAAGGAGAACTACAAACCACTGCTCAAGGAAATAAAAGAGGATACAAACAAATGGAAGTACATTCCATGCTCATGGTTAGGAAGAATCAATATCGTGAAAATGGCCATACTGCCCAAGGTAATTTATAGATTCAATGCCATCCCCATCAAGCTACCAATGACTTTCTTCAAAGAATTGGAAAAAACTACTTTAAAGTTCATATGGAACCAAAAAGGAGCCCGCATCGCGAAGTCAATCCTGAGCCAAAAGAACAAAGCTGGAGGCATCACACTACCTGACTTCAAACTATACTACAAGGCTACAGTAACCAAAACAGCATGGTACTGGTACCAAAACAGAGATATAGATCAATGGAACAGAACAGAGCCTGTCTTTTCGTTGAGCAGTTTGGAAACAGTCTTTTTGAAGAATCTGCAAAGGGGTATTTGTGAGCTCTTTGAAGCCTATGTTGGAAAAGGAAATATCTTCACATAAAAACTAGACAGAAGCTTTTTGAGAAACTTATTTTTGATGTTTGCATTCACCTCACAGAGTTGAAACTTTCTTTTCTTTGAGCAGTTTGAAAATATCTTGTGTGCAATCTGCCAACGCATAACTTGGAGTGGTTTGAGCCTATGGTGTAAAAGAAATATCTTCACATGAAAACTAGACAGAACCATTCAGAGAAACTTCACTGTGATGAGCATTCATCTGACAGAATTGAACCTTTCTTTTGATTGGGCAGTTTGGAAACAGTCTTTTTCCTGTATTTGCAAAGAGATATTTGTGAGGCCTTTGAGGCCTAAGGTGAAATAGGATATTTCTTCACATAAAAACTAGACAGAAGATTTCTGATAAACTTCTTTGTGATGTGGGCATTTATCTTGCAGGGTTGAAACTTTCTTTTGATTGAGCAGTTTGGAAACAGTCTTTTTGTAGAATATGTAGAGGGATATTTGTGAGTGCTTTGAGGCCTATGGTGCAAATGGAAATATCTACACATAAAAACTAGACAATAGCTTTCTAGGAAACGTCTTTGTGATGTGTGCATTCATCTCACATAGTTGAAAATTTCTTTTGATTGAGCAGTTTGGAAACAGTCTTTTTGTAGAATCTCCAAAGGTATATTTCTGAATTCTATGATGCCTACAGTGAAAAAGGAAATATCTTCACATAAAAACTAGACAGAAGCATTCTGAGAAACTCTTTCGGATGTGTGCATTTATCTCACAGTGTTGAACCTTTCCTTTGATTGAGCAGTTTGGAAACCGTATTTTTGTAGTATCTGCAAATGGATATTTGGTGTGCTTTGAAGCCTATGGTTGAAAAGGAAATATCTTCACATAAAAACTAGGCAGAGGCACTCTGAAAAAACTTCTTTGTGATGTGTGCATTCATAGCAATGAGTTGAACCTTTCTTTTTATTCAGCAGTTTAGAAACAGTCTTTTTTGTAAAATCTCCAAAGGGTGATTTGTGAGTCCTTTGAGGCCAATGGAGAAAAAGGAAATATATTCACATAAAAACTCGACAGAAGGTTTCTGAGAAACTGCTTGTGAAGTGTGTATTCATCTCACAAAGTTGAACCTTTCTTTTGATTGAGCAGTTTGGAAACCATCTTTGTGTAGAATCTGCAAAGGGATATTTGTGAGCCCTTTGAGACCTATGGTGAAAAAGGAAATATCTTCACATAAAAACTAGATAGAAGCTTTCTGAGAAACTTCTTTGTGATATGTGCTTTCACCTTACAGAGGCGAAAATTTCTTTTGATTGAGCACTTTGGAAACAGTCTTTTAGTAGAATCTGCAAAGGGATATTTGTGAGCCCTTTGAGGCCTATGGTGGAAAAGGAATTATCTTTACATAATAACTAGACAGAAGGTTTATGATAACCTGATTTGTGATGTGTGCATTCATCTCAAGGGGTAAACGTTTCTTTTCTTTGAGCAGATTGGAAACTCTGCTCTTGCAGAATCTTCAAAGGGATATTTGTGAGCCCTTTTATTCCTATGGTGAAAAAGTAGATAGCTTTACATAAAAACTAGACAGAAACTTTCTGAGAAACTTCTTTGTGATGTGTGCATTCATCTCACAGACTTGAAGCTACTTTTGAGTGAGCAGTTTGGAAACTGTCTTTTCATAGTAACTGCAAAGGTATGTTTGTGAGATCTTTGAGGCCTATGGAGAAAAAGGAAATATCTTCACATAAAACTAGACAGAAAGTTTGTGAGAAACTGCTTTCTGATGTGTGCATTCATCTCACAGAGTTGAATAATTCCTTTGATTGAGCAGTTTGGAAGCAATCTTTTCGTAGAATCTACAAAAGGATATTTGTGAGCCCTTTGAGGCCTGTGGTGATAATGGAAATATTTTCACATAAAAACTAGACAGCATCTGAGAAACAAATTTGTGATGTGTGCATTCATCTCACACTGTTGAAACTTTCTTCTGATTGTGTAGTTTGGAATCATACTTTATGTAGAATCTGCAAAGGGATATTTGTGATCCCTTTGAGGCCTATGGGGAAATAGGAACTATCTTCACATAAAAACTAGACAGAAGGTTTAGGAGAAACTGGTTTGTGATGTGTGCATTCATCTCACAGTTTTAAACTCTTTCTTTCTTTGAGCAGATTGGAATCTCTGTTCTTATAGAATCTGCAAAGGGAAATTGGTGAGTGCTTTGAGGCCAGTAGTGAAAAAGGAAATATCTTCACATAAAAACTAGACAGAAGCTTTCTGAGAAACTTCTTTGTGATATGTGCATTCATGTCACAGAATTGAACGTATTTTGATTGAGCAGTTTGGAAACACTCTTTTTGAAGAATCTGCAAGGGGATGTTTGTGAGCGGTTTGAGATCTATGATGAAAAAGGAAATACCTTTACCTAAAAACTAGACAGAAACCTTCTGAGAAACTTCTTTCTGATGTGTGCATTCATCTCATGGAGGTAAACGTTTCTTTTCATTGAGCAGATTGCAAACCCTGTTCTTGTAGAATCTGCAAAGGTGTGTTTGTGAGACCTTTGAAGCCTGTGGTGTAAAAGGAAATATCTTCATATAAAAAGTAGACAGATGCTTTCTGAGAAACTTCCCTGTGATGTGTGCTCTCATCTCACAGAGTTGAACCTTTCTTTTAATTGAGCAGATTGTAAAAAGTGTTTTTGTAGAATCTTCAAAGGGCTATCTGTAACGCTTTGTGGCCTATGGTGAAAAAGGAAGTATATTCACATAAAAACAGGACAGAAGCATTCTGAGAAGCTTCTTTGTGATATGGGCATTCATCTCGTATAGTTGAACCTTTCTTTTGATTGAGCAGTTTAGAAAGTCTTTTTGTAGAATCTGCAAAGGGATATTTATGAGTGGTTTGAGGCCTATGGTGAAAAAGGAAATATCTACACATCAAAACTAGAGAGGAGTTTTCTGAGAAACTGCGTAGTGATGTGTGCCTTCATCTCACAGAGGTAAATGGTACTTTTTATTGAGCAGATTGGAAACCCTGTACTTGTATAATCTGCAAAGTGATATTTGTGAGTGCTTTGAGGTATATAGCAGAAAAGGAAATATTTTCACATAAAAAGTACTCAGATGTTTTCTGAGAAACTTCCTTGTGATGTATGCATTCATCTCACAGAGTTGAACCTTTGTTTTGATTAAGGTGATTGGAAAAAGTATTTTTGTAAAATCTGCCAATGTATATATGTGAGCACTTTGTGGCCTATGTTGAAAAAGGAAATATCTTCACATAAAAACTGGAGAGAAGGTTTATGAGAAACTGCTTTGTGATGTATGCATTCATCTAATAGCATTGAATTTTCTTTTTATTGAGCATTTTGAGAAAAGTCTTTGGTTAGAATCTGCCAAGGGATATTTGTTAGCACTTTGAGCTGTACGGTGAAAAAGAGAATATCTTCACATAAGAACTAGACAGAAGCCTTCTGAGAAACTGCTTTGTGATGTTTGCATTCATCTCACAATATTGAACCTTTCTTTTGATTGAGCAGTTTGGAAGCTGTCTTTTTGTAGAATCTGCAAAGGGAAATTTGTGATCGCTTAGAAGACTATGGTGAAAAAGGAAATATCTTCACATAAAAACTAGACAGAAGCTTTCTGAGAAACTTCTCTGTAATGTGTGCATTCATAGCACAGAGTTGAACCTTTTGTTTGATTGAGCAGTTTGTAAACAGTCTTTTTGTTGAATCTGCAAGGGGATAATCAGAGTGCTTTGAGGCCTATGGTGAAAAAGGAAATATCTTCACATAAAAACTACACAGAATCATTCTGAGAAACTTCTTTGTGATGGGTGCATTTATCTCCCAGAGTTAAACGTTTCTTTTGATTGAGCAGTTTGGAAACAGTCTTTTTGTTGAATCTGCAAGGGAATATTTATAGCGCTCTGGGGCCTATGGTGAAAAAGGAAGTAACCTCACTTAAAAACTAGACAGAAGCTTTCTGAGAAACTGTTTTGTGATGTGTGCATTCATCTCACAGAGTTGAAACTTTCTTTTCATTGAGCATTTTGGAAACAATCTTTTGTAGAATCTGCAAAGGGATATTTGGTGCACTTTGAGGACTGTGGTGAGAAAGGAAATATCTTCATATAAAAACTAGACAGAAGCATTCTGGGAAACATCTCTGTGATGTGTCTATTCAACTCAGAGAGTTGAAACTTTCTTTTGATTGAGCAGTTTGGAAAGAGTCTTTCTATAGAATCTGCAAGGGGATATTTTTGAGTCCTTTGAGGTCTATGGTGAAAAAGGAAAAATCTTCACTTAAAAACTAGGCAGAAGGTTTCTGAGAGACTGCTTCATGATGTGTGCATCCATCTCTCAGAAGTAAACTTTTCTTTCCATTGACAATATTGGATACTCTGTTCCTGTAGAATTCGCAGAGGGATATTTGTGACTGCTTTGAGGCCTACGGTGGAAAAGGAAATATCTTCACAGAAATACTAGACAGAAGCTTTCTGAGAAACTACTTTGTGATGTGTGCATTCGTCTCACACAGTTGAAACTTTCCTTTGATTGAGCAGTATGGAAAAAGCCTCCTTGCAGGGTCTACAAAGGGATATTTGTGAGCAGTTTAAGAACTATGGTGAAAAAGGAATTATGTTCTCATAAAAACTGGACAGAAGCTTTTGGAGAAACTTCTTTGTAATGCGTGTATTCATCTCACAGAGTTGAAACTTTATTTTGATTGAGCAGTTTGGAAACCGTCTTTTTGTAGAATCAGCAAATGGATATTTATGAGGGCCTTGAGGTCTCAGGTAAGAAAAGGAAATATCTTCACATAAAAACTAGACAGAAGGTTCCTGAGAAACTGTTTTCAGATGTGTGCCTTCATCTCACAGAGGTAAATGTTTCTTTTCATTGAGCAGATTGGAAACTCTCTTTTTTGAGAATCTGCAAGGGAATATTAGTGAGTGGTTTGAGGCCTATTGTGAAAAAGGAAATATTTTCACATAAAAATTAGGCAGAAGCTTTCAGAGAAACTTCTTTGTGATGTGTGCATTCATCTCACAGATTTGAACCTTTCTTTTGATTGAGCAGTTTGGAAACATTCTTTTTGTAGAATCTGCAAAGGGATATTTGTGAGCACTTTGAGGCTTTTGGTGCAAAAAAGGAAATATCTTCATATGAAAACTAGACAGAATTTTTCTGAGAAACTGCTTTGTGATGCGTGCATTCATCTCACAGAGTTGAAACTTTCTTTTGATTGAACAGTTTGGAAACAGTCTTTTTGTAGAATCTGCCAAGGGATATTTGTGAGCGCTTTGAGGCCTATGGTGAAAAAGGAAATATCTTCACATAAAAACTATACAGAAGCTTTCTGGAAAACTTCTTTTTGATGTGTGTATTCATCTCATGAAGTTGAACTGTCTTTTGATTGATCAGTTTAGAAACAGTCTTTCTGTAGTATCTGCAAAGGGATATTTGTGAGGGCCTTGAGGCCCATATTGAGAAAGGAAATATCCTCATATAAAAACTAGACAGAAGGTTTCTGAGTAACTGCTTTGTGATGTGTGCATTCATCTCACACAAGTAAACATTTCTTTTCATTGAGCAGATTGGAAACTCTGTTCTTGTAGAATCTGCAAAGGGATATTTGAGGAAGTTTTGATGCCTGGGGTGAAAAAGGAAATATCTTCATATGAAAACGAGACAGAAGCTTTCAGAGAAACTTCTTTGTGATGTATGCATTCGTCTCACACAGTTGAACCTTGGTTTTGATTGAGCATTTTGGAAACGTCTTTTTGCAGAATCTGCAAAGAGATATTTTTGAGGGCCTTGAGGTCTATGGTAAAAAAAGGAAATATCTTCACATAAAAACTAAACAGAAGTTTTCTGAGAAAGTGCTTTGTGATGTGTGCTTTCATCTCCAGAGGTAAATGTTTATTTTCATTGAGCCAGTTGGAAACTCTGATCTTTGAGAATCTGCAAGGGGATATTTCTGAGTGGTTTGAGGCCTATTGTGAAAAAGGAAATATTTTCATATAAAAACTAGACCGAAGCTTTCTGAGAAACTTCTTTGTGATGTGTTCATTCATCTCACAGAGTTGAACCTTTCTTTTGATTGTACAGTTTGGAAACAGTCTTTTTGTAGAATCTGCAAAAGTGTATTTGGGAACCCTTTGAGGCATATGTTGAAAAAGGAAATATCTTCACATAAAAACTAGACAGAAGCTTTCTTAGAGACTGCTACATTTTGTGGGCATGCATCTCACAGAGGTAGAAATTTCTTTTCATTGAGCTGATTGGAAACCTTCCTCATATAGTATCTGCAAAGGGATATTTGTGACCGCTTTTAGGCCAGTGGTGAAAAAGGAAATGTCTTCACATAAATCTAGACAGACGCATTCTGAGAAACTTCTTTGAGATGTGTGCATTCATCTCATGGAGTTGAACCTTTCTTTTGATTGAGCAGTTTGGAAACAGTCAGTTTGTAGAATCTGTAAAGTGATATTTGTGAGCAGTTTGAAGCGTATGGTGAAAAAGAAAAAATCTTCCCATAAAAACTAGATAGGAGAATTCTGAGAAACTGCTTTGTTATGTGTGCATTCATCTCAAAGATTTGAACCCTCCGTTTGGTTGAGCAGTTTGGAAACAGCATTTTTGTAGAGTATGCAAAGGGATATTTGTGAGTCATTGGAGTCCTGTGGTGAAAAAGGAAAATCTTCATATGAAAACAAGACAAAGGCTTTCTGAAAAACTGCTTGTGATGTGTCCATTCATCTCACATAGTTGAAACTTTCTTTTGAATGACTAGTTTGGAAACAGTCATAACTGTCTTTTTGTAGAATCTGCAAAGGGATATTTGTGAGTGCTTTGATGCCTGTGGTGAAAAAGGAAATATCTTCACATAAAAAAATAGAAGATTTCCGAGAAACTTCTTTGTGATGTGTGCATTCATCTCACAGAGTTGAATCTTTCTTTTGATTGAGCAGTTTGGAAACAGTCTTTTTGTAGAATCTCCAAAGGGATATTTTTCAACCCTTTGAGGTCTATGGTGAAAAAGGAAATATCTTCACATAAAAAATAGACAGAATGTTTCTGAGAGACTGTTTCATGATGAGGGCATTCATCTCAAAGAGGTAATTATTTCTTTTCATTGAGCAGATTGGAAACTCTCTTCTTGTATAATCTGCAAAGGGATATTTTTGACTGCTTTGAGACCTGTGGTGAAAAAGGAAATATCTTCACATAAAAACTAGACAGAAGCTTTCTGGGAAATGGCTTTCTGATGTGTGCATTCATCTCACTGAGTTGAAACTTTCTTTTGATTGAGGAGTTTGGAAGAGTCTTTTCATAGAATCTGCATAGGGATATTTGTGATTGGTTTGAGGCCTACGGTGAAAAAGGAAATATCTTCACATAAAAACTAGACAGAAGCTTTCTGAGAAACTTCTTTGTGATGCTTGGATTCATCTCATAGAATTGAAACTTTCTTTTGATTGATCAGTTTGGAAAGACTCTTTTTGTAGAGTCTGTAAAGGGATATTTGTGAGCTGTTTGAGTCCTGTGGTGAAAAGGAAAATAACTTCATATGAAAACTAAATAGAATCTTTCTGAGAAAATGCTTTGTGATGTGTGCATTCATCTCACAGAGTTGAAACTTTCTTTTGATTGAGCAGTTTGGAAACAGTCTTTTTATAGAATCTGCAAAGGCATATTTGTGAGCAGTTTGAGGCCTATGGTGAAAAAGGAAATATCTTCACATAAAAACTACACAGAATCCTTCTGAGAAACTTCTTTGTGATGTGTGCATTCATCTCAAAGAGTTGAACCTTTCTTTTGATTAAGCAGTTTGGAGGCATTCTTCTTGTAGTATCTCCAAAGGTATATTTGTGAGTGCTTTGAGGCCTATGGTGAAAAAGGAAATATCTTCACATAAAAACTAGACAGAAGCTTTATGAGAAACTTCTTTGTGATATGTGCATTCATCTCACAGTTGAAATTTTCTTTTGAATGAATAGTTTGGAAAGTGTCTTTTTGTAGAATGTGCAAAGGGATATTTATGAGCCCTTTGAGGCCTATGGCAAAAAAGGAAATATCTTCAAATAAAAATTAGACAGAATGTTTCTCAGAAACTGCTTCATGACATGGGCATTCATTTCACAGAGGTAAACGTTTCTTTTCATTGAGTAGATTGGAACCTCTCTTCTTCTAGAGTCTGCAAAGGGATGTTTGTGAGCACTTTGAGGCCTATTGTGAAAAAGGAAATATTTTCACATGAAAACTAGACAGAAGCTTTCTGAGAAACTACTTTCTGATGTGTACATTCATCTGAAATAGTTGAACATTTCTTTTGATTGAGCAGTTTGGAAGCACTCTTTTTGTAGAATCTGCAAAGAGATATTTTTGAGCACTTTCAGGCCTATTATGAAAAAGGAAATATCTTCACATAAAAACTAGACAGAAGCTTTCTGAGAAAATTCTCTGTGATGTGTGAATTCATCTCACATAGCTGAGACTTTCTTTTGATTGTCAATTTGGCAAAAGTGTTTTTGTAGCATCTGCAAACGGATATTTGTGGGCTGTTTGAGGCCTATGGTGAAAAAGGAAATGTCTTCACATAAGAACTAGACAGAAGATTTCTGAGAGACTGCTTCATGATGTTGGCATTCATCCCACAAAGGTAGACATTACTTTTCATTGGGCAGATTTGAAACCCTCTTCTTGTAGAATCCACAAAGTTAGATTTGGGACCACTTTCAGTCTGTGGTGAAAAACTAAATATCTTCAAATAAAAACCAGACAGAAGCTTACTGAGAAACTGATTTGTGATGTGTGCATTCATCTCACACAGTTGAAACTTTCTTTTGATTGAGCAGTTTGGAAACAGTCTTTTTGTAGAGTCTGTAAAGGGATATCTGTGAGTGGTTTGAGGCATATGGTTAAAAATGAAATATCTTCACATAAACCTAGACAGAAATTTTGTGAGAAACTGCTTTGTGATGTGTGCATTAATCTCAAAGAGTTGAAACTTTCTTTTGATTGAGCAGTGTGGAAACAGCCTTTTCATAGAATTTCCAAGGGGATATTTGTGAGCCCTTTGAAGCCTATGGTGAAAAAGGAAATATATTCACATGAAAACTAGACAGAAGGTTTCTGGGAGACTGCTTTGGGATGTGGGCAATCGTCTCACAGAGGTAAACATTTATTTTCACTGAGCAGATTGGAAACTCTCTTGTGGTATCTGCCAAGGGATATTTGTGACCACTTTGAGGCCTGTGGTGAAAAAGGAAATATCTTCACATAAAAACTAGGCAGAAGCTTTCTGAGAAACTTCTTTGTGATGCCCGCATTCATCTCACAGAGTTGAAACTTTCTTTTGATTGATCATTTTGGAAACAGTCTTTTTGTAGAATCTGTAAAGGAATATTTGTGAGTGGTTTGAGTCCTATGGTGAAAAAGGAAAAATCTTCACTTCAAAAAATAGACAGAAGATTTCTGAGAAACTTCTCTGTGATGTATGCATTCATCCCACAGAGGTTAATCTTTCTTTCAATTAAGCAGTTTGGAAACAGCCTTTTTGTAGCATCTGCAAAGGGATATTTGTGAGCCCTTTGAGGCCTATGGTCAAAAGGGAAATAACTTCCTATGAAAACTAGACAGAATCTTTCTGAGAAACTGCTTTGTGATGTGTGCATTCATCTCACAGAGTTGAAACTTTTTTTTTTGGTTGAGCAGTTTGGAAACATTCTTTTTGTAGATCTGCAAAGTGTTATGTTTGAGCAGTTTGAGGCCAATGGTGATAAAGGAAATATCTTCCCATCAAAACTAGACAGAAGCTTTCTGAGAAACTTCTTTGTGATGTCTACATTCATCTCAGAGAGTTGAAGCTTTCTTTTGATTGAGCATTTATGGAAAAAGTATTTTTGTAGAATCTGTAGAGGGATATTTGTAGCAACTTGAGGCCTATGGTGAAAAAGGAAATCTCTTCACATTAAAACTAGACAGAAGGTTTCTCAGAGACTGCTTCATGATGTGGGCATTCATCTCACAGAGGTAGATATTTCTTTTCATTGAGCAGATTGGAAACCCTCTTCATGAAGTATCCGCAAAGGGATATTTGTGAACACTTTGTGGCCTATGGTGAAAAAGGTAATATCTTCACATAAAAACTAGACAGAAGCATTCTGAGACACTTCTTTGTAATGTGTGCATTCAACTCACAGACTTGAACGTTTCTTTTGATTGAGCAGCTTGGAAACAGTCTTTTTGTAGAATCTGTAAAGGGATATTTGGAGCAATTTCAGGCCTATGGTGAAAAAGGAAATATCTTCACACAAAAAGTAGACAGAATGGTTCTGACAGACTGCTTAGTGATGAGGGCATTCATCTCAAAGAGGTAAAGATTTCTTTTCATTGAACATATTGGAAACTCTCTTCTTGTAGAATCTGCAATGGGATATTTGTGACTGCTTTGAATCCTGTGGTGAAAAAGGAAATATCTTCACATAAAAACTAGACAGACGCATTCTTGGAAACTGCTTTCTGATGTGTACATTCATCTCACAGATTTGAACCTTTCTTTCGATGGAGCAGTTTGGAAGAGTCTTCTTGTAGAATCTACATAGGGATATTTGTGAGCAATTTGAGGCCTGTGGTGAGAAAGGAAATATCTTCACATAAAAACTAGACAGAAGTTTTCAGAGAAACTTCATTGTGATGTGTGCACTAATCTGACAGAGATGAACCTTTCTTTTGATTGAGCAGTTTGGAAAGAATCTTTTTCTAGAGCCTGCAAAGGGATATTTGTGAGCACTTTGAAGCCTGTGGTGGAAAAGGAAATATCTTCACATAAAAATTCGACAGAAGCTTTCTGAGAAACTTCTTTGTTATGTGTGCATTCATTTCACAGAGGTAAGCATTCCTTTTCCTTGGGAAGATTTGAAGCTCTTTTCTTTTAGAATCGAAGGGGATATTTGTGAGCGCTTTGAGACCTACAGTGAAAAAGGAAATATCTTCACATAAAAACTACATAGAATCTTTCTGAGAAACTTCTTTGTGATGTGTGCATTCATCTCACAGATTTGAACCTTCCTTTTGATTGAGCAGTTTGGAGACTGTCATAACAGTCTTTTTGTAGAATCTGCAAGGGGATATTTGTGAGTGGTTTGAGGTCTAGGGTGAAAAAGGAAATATCTTCACATGAAAACTAGATAGAAGGTTTCTGAGAAATTTCTTTGTGATGTGTGCATTTTTCTCAAAGTGTTGAACCATTCTTTTGATTGAGCAGTTTGGAAAAAGTCTTTTTGTAGCATCTGCAAAGGGACATTTGTGAGCACTTTGAGGTCTGTGGTGAAAAAGGAAATATATTCCCATAAAAACTAGACAGAAGATTTCTGAGAAACTTCATTGTGATGCCTGCATTCATCTCACAGAGTTGAAACTTTCTTTTGATTAATCAGTTTGGAAACAGTCATTTTGCAGAAGCTGTAAAGGGATATTTGTGAGTGGTTTGAGTCCTATGGTGAAAAAGGAAAAATCTTCACATAAAAACCAGACAGAAGATTTCTGAGAAACTTCTTTGTGATGTGGCATTTATCCCACAGAGTGAACCTTTCTTTCAGTTAAGCAGTTTGGAAACAGCCTTTTTGTTGGATCTGCAAAGGGATATTTGTGAGCCCTTTGAGGCCATTGCTGAAAAGGGAAATAACTTCATAGGAAAACTAGACAGAATCTTTCTGAGAAACTGCTTTGTGATGTGTGCATTCATCTGACAGAGTGGAAACTTTCTTTTGATTGGGCAGTTTGGAAACATTATTTTTGTAGAATCTGCAAAGTGTTATTTGTGAACGGTTTTAGGCCTACGGTGAAAAAGGAAATATCTTCATATAAAAACTAGGCAGAAGCTTTCTGCAAAACTTTTTTGTGGTATGTGCATTCATCTCACAGAGTTGAAACTTTCTTTTGATTGAATAGTTTGGAAAGCGTCTTTTTGTAGAATCTGCAAAGGGATATTTGTGATTGCTTTGAGGCCTATGGTGAATAAGGAAATATCTTCATATAAAAACTAGACAGAAGGTTACTGAGAAGCTGGTTCATGATGTGGGCATTCATCTCACAGAAGTAAACGTTTCTTTTCATTGAGCAGATAGGAAACTCTGATCTTGTAGTATCTGCAAAGGGAGATTTGTGAGGACTTTGAGGCATATGATGAAAAAGAAAATATCGTCACATAAAAATTAGGCAGTAGCTTCATGAGAAACTTCTTTGTGATGTGTGCATTTATCACACAGAGTTGAACCTCTCTTTGCATTGAGCAGTTTGCAAAAGTACTTTTGTAGAATCTGCAAAGGGATATCTTTGAGCGCTTTGAGGCTTATGGTGAAAAAGGAAATAACTTCACATAAAAACGAGACAGAAGATTTCTGAGAAACTTCTTTGTATTGTGTGCAGCCATCTCACAGTGTTTAACTTCTGTTTTCATGGAGCAGTTTGGAAACAGTATTTTTGTAGAATCTGCAAAGGGATATTTCTGAGCGCTTTGAGTCCTATGGTGAAAAAGGAAATATCTTCACGTGGAAACTAGACAGAAGTTTTCTGAGAAACTTCTTTGTGATGTGTGCACTCATCTCACGGAGTTGAACCTTTCTTTTGATTGAATAGTTTGGAAATAGTCCTATTGTCGAATGTACAAAGGGATATTTGTGAGCGCTTGGAGGGCTGTGGGAAAAAAAGGAAATATCTTCATATAAAAACTAGAAAGAAGCTTTTTGTGAAACTATTTTGTGATTTGTGCATTCATGTTACAGAGCTGAATATTTCCCTTGATGGAGCAGCTTGGAAACAGTCTTCGGATACTCTGTATGGGGATATTTGTCTGCCCTTTGAGGCCTGTTTTGAAAAAGTATATATCTTCACATGAAAACTCGATAAAAGATTTCTGAAAAACTGATTTGTGATGTGTGCATTCATCTCACAGAGTTGAACCTTTCTTTTTATTGAGCAGTTTGGAAACAGTCTTTTTGTGGAATCTGCAAAGGCATATTTGTGAGCACTTTGAGGCCTAGGGTGAAAAAGGAAATATCTTCACATGAAAACCAGACAGAAGCTTTCTGAGAAACTTCTTTGTGATGTGTGCATTCAGCTCACAGTGTTGAACTTTTCTTTTGATTGAGCAGTTTGGAAAACATCTTTTTGTAGTATCTGCATAGGGATATTTGTGAGTGGTTTGAGGACTATGGTGAAAAAGGAAATACCTACACATAAAAACTAGACTGGACCTTTCAGAGAAACTTCTTCATGCTGTGTTCATTCATCTCACAGGGTTGAAACTTTCTTTTGATTGAGCATTTTGGAAACAGTCTTTTTGTAGAATCTGCAAAGGGATATTTGTGAGCCCTTTGTGGTCTATGCAGAAAAAGAATATATCTTCACATGAAAACTAGATAGAAGGTTTCTGAGAAATTTCTTTGTGATGTGTGCATTTTTCTCAGAGTTGAACCATTATTTTGATTGAGCAGTTTAGAAAAAGTCTTTTTGTAGCATCTGCAAAGGGATGTTTGTGAGCACTTTGAGGTCTATGTTGAAAAAGGAAATATCTTCACATAAAAACTAGACATAATATTTCTGAGAGACTGCTTAATGATGTGGGCATTCATCTCATAGAGGTAGACATTACTTCTCATTGAGCAGATTGGAAACCCTCTTCTTGTAGAATCCACAGAGGGAGATTTGTGACCGCCCTCAGGCCTGTGGTGAAAAAGGTAATATCTTCACATAAAAACTAGATAGTAGCATTCTGAGACACTTCTTTGTGATGTGTGCATTCATCTCACAGAGTTGAACCTTTCTTTTGGTTGAGCAGTTTGGAAACAGTCTTTTTGTAGAATCTGTAAAGGGATATTTTTGAGCGGTTTGAGGCCTATGGTGAAAAATGAAATATCTTCACATAAAAACCATACAGAAGTTTTCTGAGGAACTGCTTTGTGATGTGCATTAATCTCACAGAGTTGAACATTTCTTTTGATTAAGTAGTTTGGAAACAGTGTTTCTGTAGAATCTGCAAAGGGATATTTGTGAGTGGTAGGAGGCCTAAGGTGAAAAAGGAAATATCTTCACATAAAAACTAGAGAGAAGCTTTCTGAGAAACTTCTTTGTGATGTGTGCATTCATCTCACATAATTGAACCTTTTTTTTGATTGAGCAGATTGGAAACAGTCATAGCAGTCTTTTTGTAGAATCTGCAAAGGGATATTTGTGATCGCTTTGAGGCCTATGGTGGAAAAGGAAATATATTCATGTAGAAACTACCCAGAATCTTTCTGAGAAACTACTTTTTGATGTGTGCATTCATCTCACAGAGTTGAACCTTTGTTTTTATTGAGAAGTTTGGAAATTGTCATTACCATCTTTTGGTAGAATCTGAAAAGGGATATTTTTGAGCGGTTTGAGTCCTGTGTGAAAAGGGAAATAACTTCATATAAAAACTAGACAGAAGCTTTCTGAGAAACTTCTTTGTGATGTGTGCATTCATCTCAAAGGGTTAAACCTTTCTTTTGATTAAGCAGTTTGGAGACATTCTTTTTGTAGTATCTCCAAAGGTGTATTTTTGAGTGCTTTGAGGCCTATGGTGAAAAAGGAAATATCTTCACATGAAAACTAAATGGAAGCTTTCTGAGAAACTTCTTTGTGATATGTGCATTCATCTCACAGATTTGAAACTTTCTTTTGATTGAATAGTTCAGAAAGTGTCTTTTTGTAGAATCTGCAAAGGGATATTTTTGAGCCCTTTGACGTCTATGGCAAAAAAGGAAATATCTTCACATAAAAATTAGACAAAATATTTCTCAGAAACTGCTTCATGACATAGGCATTCATCTCACAGAGGTAAACGTTTCTTTTCATTGAGCAGATTGGAAACTCTCTTCTTCTGGATTCTGCAAAGAGATATTTGCGAGTGCTCTAAGGCCTATGGTGAAAAAGGAAATATCTTCACATGAAAACTAGACAGAAGCTTTCTGAGAAACTACTTTGTGATGTGTACATTCATCTCAAATAGTTAAAGCTTTCTTTTGATTGAGCAGTTTGGAAACACTCTTTTTATAGAATCTGCAAAGGTATATTTGTGAGCACTTTGAAGCCTATTATGAAAGAGGAAATATCTTCAAATGAAAACTAGGCAGAAGCTTTCTGAGAACCTTCTTTGTGATGTGTGAATTCATCTCACATAGTTGAATTTTTCTTTTGATTGAGCAATTTCGAAAAAGTGTTTTTGTAGCATCTGCAAATGGATATTTGTGAGCCCTTTGAGGCCGATGGTGAAAAAGGAAATATCTAAACATAAGAACTAGGCAGAAGGTTTCTGAGAGACTGCTTCTTGATGTGGGCATTCATGTCACAGAGGTAGACATTACTTTTCATTGAGCAGATTGGAAACCCTCTTCTTGTAGAATCCGCAAAGTTAGATTTGGGACTGCTTTCAGGCCTGTGGCGAAAAAGGAAATATCATCACATAAAAACCAGACAGAAGCTTTCACAAAAACTTCTTTGTGATGTATGCATTAATCTCAAAGTGTTGAAACTTCCTATTGATTGAGCACTGTGGAAACAGTTATTTTGTAGAATCTGCAAAGGGATATTTGTGAGCTCTTTGAGGCCTATGGTGAAAAAGGAAATATCTTCACTTGAAAACTAGACAGAAGATGTCTAAGAGACTGCTTCGTGATGTGGGCATTCATCTCACAGAGGTAAACATTTCTTTTCAACTCTCTTCTTGTAGTATCCACAAAGGGATATTTGTGACCGTTCTGAGGCCTGTTTTGAAAAAGGATATATCTTCACATAAAAACTAGGCAGGAGGTTTCTAAGAGACTGCTTTTTGATGCGTGCATCCACCTCACACAGGTAAATGTCTCTTATCATTGAGTAGATTGGAAACTCTTTTCTTACAGAATCTGCAAAGGGATATTTTTGAGCACTTGGAGGCCTATGGTGAAAAAGTAAATATCTTCACATAAAAACTACAAAGAATCTTTCTGAGAAACTTCCTTGTGATGTGTGCATTCAGCTCACAGAGTTGAACCTTTCTTTTGATTGAGCAGATTGGAAACAGTCATAACAGTCCTTGTAGAATCTGCAAAGGAATAGTTGTGAGCGCTTTGAGGCCTATGGTGAAATAGAAAATATCTTCACATAAAAACTAGACAGAAGATTCCTGAAAAACTCCTTTGAGCTGTGTGCATTTATCCCACAGAGTTGAACCTTTCTTTCCGTTGAGCAGTTTGGAAACAGTCTTTTTGTAGAATCTGCAAGGGGATATTTGTGAGCGCTTGAGACCTATGGTGAAAAAGACCTATCTTCACATAAAAACCAGAAAGAAGGATTCTGAGAGACTGCTTCCTGATGTGAGCATTCGTCTCACAGAGGTAAACATTTCTTTTCACTGAGCAGATTGGAAACTCTCTTCTTGTAGTATCCACAAAGGGATATTTGTGACCACTTTGAGGCCTGTGGTGAAAAGGGAAATATATTCCCATAAAAACTAGACAGAAGATTTCTGAGAAACTTCATTGTGATGCCTGCATTCATCTCACAGAGTTGAAACTTTCTTTTGATTAATCAGTTTGGAAACAGTCTTTTTGCAGAAGCTGTAAAGGGATATTTGTGAGTGGTTTGAGTCCTATGGTGAAAAAGGAAAAATCTTCACATAAAAACCAGACAGAAGATTTCTGAGAAACTTCTTTGTGATGTGGCATTTATCCCACAGAGGTGAACTTTTCTTTCAATTAAGCAGTTTGGAAACAGCCTTTTTGTTGGATCTGCAAAGGGATATTTGTGAGCCCTTTGAGGCCATTGCTGAAAAGGGAAATAACTTCATAGGAAAACTAGACAGAATCTTTCTGAGAAACTGCTTTGTGATGTGTGCATTCATCTGACAGAGTGGAAACTTTCTTTTGGTTGAGCAGTTTGGAAACATTATTTTTGTAGAATCTGCAAAGGGATATTTGTGTGTGGTTTGATGCCTATGGTGAAAAATAAAATATCTTCACATAAAAACTAGAAAGGAGCTTTCTGAGAAACTTCTTTGTGACGTGCGCATTCATCTCACAGAGTTGAAACTTTCTATGGATTGAGCAGTTTGAAAACAGTCTTTGTGTAGAATCTACAAAGCGATATTTGTGAGCTTGTTGAGACCTATGGTGAAAAAGGAAATATCTTCATATAAAAACCAGACAGAAGCTTTCTGAGATACTTCCTTGAGATGTGTGCATTCATCTCACTAAATAGAACCTTGAGTAGTTTGTAAACAGTCTTTTTGTAGAATCTGCAATCCGATATTTGTGAGCCCTTGGTGGCCTATGGTGAAAAAGGATATACATTCACATAAAAACTAGGCAGAAGGCTTCTGAGAATCTGATTTGTGATGTGTGCATTCATCTGACAGAGGTAAATGTTTCTTTTCATTGATCAGATGGGAAACTCTCTTCTTGTAGAATCTGCAATGAGATACTTGTGAGTGCTTTGAAGCCTATGGTGAAAAAGTAAATATCTTCACATAAAAAGTAGACAAAAGCTTTTTGAGAAACTTCTTTGTGATATGTGCTTTCATCTCACACAGTTCAAACTTTCTTTTGATTGAGCAGTTTGGAAAAAATCTTTTTGTAGAAAATGCAAAGGGATATTTGTGAGTGGCTTGAGGCCTATGGATGGAAAGGAAATATCTTCACATAAATACTAGACAGAAGCTTTCTGAGAAACTTCTTTGTGATGTGCACATTCATCTCACAGACGTAAACCTTTCTTTTCATTGTGGAGATTGTAAACTCTGTTCTTGCAGTATCTGGAAAGGGATATTTCTGAGCGCTTTGAGGCCTGTGGTGAAAAAGGAAATATCTTCACATAAAAAGTAGACAGAAGCTTTCTGAGAAACTTCTTTGTGAAATGTGCATACATCTCACAGAGTTGAGCCTTTCCTTTGACTGAGCAGTTTGGAAACAGTCTTTTTGTAGAATCTTCAAAGGGATATTTGCGAACACTTTGAGGTCTATAGTGAAAAAGGAAATATCTTCACATAAAAACTAGAGAGAAGTATACTGAGAAACTGCTTTGAAATCTGTGCATTCATCTCACAGAGGTTAACCTTTCTTTACATTGAGCAGATTGGATATTATGTTCTTATAGAATCTGAAAAGGCATATTTTTGAGTGCTTTGAGTCGTATGGTTAAAAAGGAAATATCTTCACATAAAAACTAGACAGAAACTTTCTGAGAAACTTCTTTGTGATATGTGCACTCATCTCACAGAGTTGAACCTTTCTGAGTAGTTTGAAAATAGTCTTATTGTCGAATCTGCAAAGGGATACTTCTGAGTGCTTGGAGGGCTGTGGTGAAAAAGGAAATATCTTCATATAAAAGCTAGAAAGAAGTTTTCTGTAAAACTTTTTTGTGATTTGTGCATTCATCTCACAGAGGTGAACAATTCCCTTGAGGGAAAAGTTTGGAAGCAGTCTTTTTGGAGAATCTGCATAGGGATATTTGTCTGCCCTTTGAGGTCTGTTTTGAAAAAGTATATATCTTCACATGAAACCTCGACAAAAGCTTTCTGAAAAACTGCTTTGCGATGTGTGCATTCATCTCACAGAGTTGAACTTTTCTTTTTATTGACTAGTTTGGAAACAGTTTTTTTTCGTGGAATCTGCAAAGGGATATTTGTGAGTACTTTGAGGCCTAGGGTGAAAAAGGAAATATCTTCACATGAAAACCAGACAGAAACTTTCTGAGAAACTTCTTCTTTTTATAGAATCTGCATATGGATATTTGTGAGCAGTTTGAAGACTATGGTGAAAAAGGAAATATCTACACATAAAAGCTAGACAGAACCTTTCAGAGAAACTTCTTTGTGATGTGTGCATTCATCTCACAGAGTTTTGTCTTTCTTTTGAGTAAGCAGTTTGGAAACAGTCCTTTTGTAGAAACTGCAAAGGGATATTTTTGTGTGCTCTGAGGCATATGGTGAAAAAGGAAATATCTTCACATAAAAACTAGACAGAAGCTTTCTGAGAAACTTTCTTTTGATGTGTGCTTTCATCTTACAGTGTTGAAACTTACATTTGATTGACTAGTTTGGAAACAGTCTTTTTGTAGAATCTGCAAAGGGATGTTTGTGATCCCTTTGAGGCATATGATGAAAAAGGAAATATCTTCACATAAAAACAAGACAGAAGATTCCTGAGAAACTGCTTAGGGACATGGGCATTCATTTCATAGAGGTAAACGTTTCTTTTCATTGAGCAGATAGGAAACTCTGATCTTGTCAAATCTGCAGAGGGATATTTGTGAGTGCTTTGAGGCCTATGGTGAAAAAGGAAATATCTACAGATAAAAACTGGACAGAAGTTTCTGAGAAACTTCTTTGTGATGTGTGCATTCAACTCAAAGGGTTCAACCTTTCTTTTGATTGAGCTGTTTGAAAACACACTTTTTGTGGAATCTGCAAACAGATATTTGTGAGCGGTTTGGGGCCTATGGTGAAAAAGGAAATATCTTCACATAAAAACTAGACGAAAGCTTTCTCAGAAACTTCTTTGTGATGTGTGCATTCATCTCACAGAGATCAACATTTCTTCTTGTTGAGCAGTTTGGAAAAAGTCTTTCTGTGGAATCTGCAAAGGGATATTTGTGAGTGCTTTGAGGCCTGTGGTGAAAAAGGAAATATCTTCAGATAAAAACTGGACAGAAGCTTTCTGAGAAACTTCTTTGTGATTTGTGCATTCAACTCAAAGAGTTCAACCTTTCTTTTGATTGAGCTGTTTGGAAACACGCTTTTTGTGGAATCTGCAAACAGATATTTGTGAGCGGTTTGGGGCCTATGGTGAAAAAGGAAATATCTTCACATAAAAACTAGACGAAAGCTTTCTCAGAAACTTCTTTGTGATGTGTGCATTCAACTCAAAGAGTTCAACCTTTCTTTTAATTGAGCTGTTTGGAAACACGCTTTTTGTGGAATCTGCAAACAGATATTTGTGAGCGGTTTGGGGCCTATGGTGAAAAAGGAAATAGCTTCACATAAAAACTAGATGAAACCTTTCTCAGAAACTTCTTTGTGATGTGTGCATTCATCTCACAGAGATGAACATTTCTTCTTGTTGAGCAGTTTGGAAAAAGTCTTTCTGTGGAATCTGCAAAGGGATGTTTGTGATCCCTTTGAGGCATATGATGAAAAAGGAAACATCTTCACATAAAAACTAGACAGAAACATTCTGAGAAATTTCTTTGTGATGTGTTCATTGATCTTACATAAAGTTGAATCTTTATGTGGATTGAGTAGTTTGGAAACATTCTTTTTGTAGAATCTGCAAAGGGATGTTTGTGACTCCTTTGAGGACTATGGTGAAAAAGCAAATGTCTTCCCTTCAAAACTAGACAGAAGGTTTCTGAGAAACTGCTTTTTGATATGTGCACCCATCTCACAGAGATAAAAGTTTCTTTTCATTGAGCAGATTGGAAACTCTGTTCTTGTAGAATCCGCAAAGGGATATTTGTGAGCGCTTTAAGGCTATGGTGAAAAAGGGAATGCCTTCACATAAAAACTAGACAGAATATTTCTGGGAAACTTCTTGTGATGTGTGCATTCATCTCTCAGTGTTGAACTGTCTTTTGATTGAGCAGTTTGGAAACTGTCTTTTTGTAAAATATGCAAAGGGATACTTGTGAGCCCTTTGAGGCCTATGGTGAAAAAGGAAGTATCTTCACATAAAAAGTAGACAGGGGGTTTATGAGAAACTGCTTTGTGATGTGTGCATTCATTTCACAGTGTTGAATCTTTCTTTTGATTGAGCAGTTTGGGAACAGTCTTTTTGCAGTATCTCCAAATGGATATTTGTGAGCCCTTTGATGCCTATGGTTAAAAAGGAAATATCTTTAATAAAAACTAGACAGAAGCTTTGTGAGAAACTTCTTTGTGATGTGTGCATTCATCTCACAGAGTTGAAAATTTCTTTTCATTGAGCAGTTTCAAAACAGTCTTTTTGTAGAATATTCAAAGGGATATTTTAGAGTGGTTTGAAGCCCATGTTGAAAAAGGAAATATCATCACACAAAAACCAGACAGAAAATTTCTGAGAAACTTCTTTGTGATGTATACTTTCATCTAACAGAGTTGAACTTTTCTTTTGTTTGAGCAGTTGGGAAACTCTCTTTTTGTAGAATCTGCAAAGGGATATTTCTGAGTGCTTTTAAGCCTATCGTGAAAAAGAAAATATCTTCATATAAAAAATACAGAGATGTTTTCTGAGAAACTTCTTTGTGATGTGTGCATTCATCTGACAGAGTTGAAATTTTCCTTTGACTGAGCAGTTTGGAAACCATCTTTTTGTGGAAAGTTCCATGGGATATTTGGAGCGCTTTGAGGCCTATGGTGAAAAAGGAAATATCTTCACATAAAAACTGGACAGAAGATTTCTGAGAAACTTCTTTGTGATATGTGCATTCATCTCACAGTGTTGAAACTTTCCTTTGATTTAGCAGTGTGGAAACAGTCTTTTTGTAAAATCTGCAAAGGGATATTTGTGAGCTGTTAGAGGCCTATGGTGGAAAAGGAAATATCTTCATATAAATACTAGACAGAAGCTTTCTGAGAAACTAATTTGTGATGTGTGCTTTCATCTCACAGAGTTGAATCTTTCTTTTGATTAAGCTGGCTGGAAACAGTCTTTTTGTAGAATTTGCAAAGGGATATTTGGGGTGCTTTGAGACCTATGTTGAAAAAGGAAATATCTTAATATAAAAAGTAGACAGAAGCTTTCTGAGAAACATCATTGTGATGTGTGCCTTCAACTCACAGAGTTGAACCTTTCTTTTGATTGATCAGTTTGGAAACTGTCTTTTGTAGAATCTACAAAGGGATATTTGGAGCTCTTTGAGACCTATGGTTAAAAAGGACATATCTTCCCATAAAAACTAGATAGAAGCTTTCTGAGAAACTTCCTTATGATGTGTGCGTTCATCTCACAGAGTTCAACGTTTCTTTTGATTGAGCAGTATGGAAACATTCTTTTTGTAGAATCTGCAAAGGAATAGGTGTGAGTGGTTTCAAGCCTATGGTGAAAAAGGAGATACCTTCACATAAAAACTAGACAGAAGCTTCCTGAGAAACTTCTTTGTGATATGTGCATTCATCTCACTGAGTTGAAACTTTCTTTTGATTGAGCAGTTTGGTAATAGTTTCTTGTAGAATCTGCAAAGGGATATTTGTGAGTTCTTGGTCACCTATGGTAGAAAGGGATATATCTTTACATAAAAAGTAGAGAGAAGTTTTCTGAGAAACTGACTTGTTACATGTGCATTCATCCCACAGAAGTAAACGTTTCTTTTCATTGATCTGATTGGAAATTCTGTTCTTCTGGAATCTGCAAAGGGATATTTATTAGCCCTTTGAGGCCTATAGTGAAAAAGGAAATACCTTCATATAAAAACTAGACAGAAGCATTCTGGGAGACTTCTTTCTGATGTGTGCATTCATCTCACAGAGTTGAACCTGTCCTTTGATTGAGCAGTTTGGAAACAGTCTTTTTATAGGATCTGCAAATGGATATTTGGAGCACTTTGAGGCTTATTGTGAAAAAGGAAATATCTTCACATAAAACCTAGACAGAAACTTTCTGAGAAACTACTTTATGATGTGTGCTTTCATCTCACACAGTTGAACCTTTCTTTTCATTTAGCAGTTTGGAAGCAGTCTTTTTCTAGTATCTACAAGGGGATATTTGTGAGCATAAGGCCTATGGAGAAAAAGGAAGTATCTGCACTTAAAAACTAGACAGAAGCTTCTTAGAAACTTCTTTGTGATGTGTGGATTCATCTCACAGATTTGAAAGTTCCCTTTGATTGAACAGTTTAGAAAAGGTCTTTTTGTAGTATCTGCAAAGGTATATTTGTGAGCAGTTTCAGGCCTATGGTGAAAAAGGAAATACCTTCACATAAAAACTAGACAGAAGTTTTCTGAGAAACTTCTTTGTGATATGTGCATTCATCTCACTGAGTTGAAAATTTCTTTTCATTGAGCACTTTGGTAACAGTTTTTTGTAGAATCTGCCAACTGATATTTGTGAGCCCTTGGTCACCTATGGTGAAAAAGGATATATGTTTACATAAAAAGTAGAGAGAAGTTTTCTGAGAAACTGATTTGTGATGTGTGCATTCATCTCACAGATTTTAACCTTTCTTTTGATTGAGCAGTTTGGAAACTCTTTTGGTAGGATCTGCAAAGGGATATTTGTGAGCAGTTTGATGCCTATGGTGAAAAAGGAAATATCTTCACATAAAAACTAGACAGAAACTTTCTAGGAAACTTCTTTGTGATTTGTACATTCATCTCACAGAGTTAAAACTTTCTATTTATTGAGCACTTTGAAAACAGTCTGTGTGTAGAATCTACAATGGGATATTTGTGAGTGCTTTGAGACGTATTTTGAAAAAGGAAATATCTTCATATAGAAACTAGACGGAAGCTTTCTGAGAAACATATTTGTTATGTGTGCTTTCATCCCACTGAGATGAACCATTCTTTTGATTGAGCATTTTGGAAACAGTCTTTTTGTAGAATATGCAAAGGGATATTTGTGAGCCTTTGGTGACCTATGGTGAAATAGGATATATCTTCACATAAAAACTGGACAGAAGGCTTCTGAGAATATGATTTGTGATGTGTGCATTCATCTCACAGAGGTAAGCATTTCTCTTCATTGATCAGATTGGAAACTCTCTTCTTGCAGAAACTGCAAAGGGATATTTGTGAGCACTTTGAGTCCTATGGTGAAAAAGGAAACATGTTTGCATTAAAACAAGATAAAAGCATTGGGAGAAACTTCTTTGTGACATGTACATTCATCTCATGGATATGAACCTTTATTTTGATTCAGCAGTTTGGAAGAAGACTTTTTGTAGAATGTTCAAAGGGATATTTGTGAGCAGTTTGAGGCCTACGGTGGAAAAGGAAATATCTTCATATAAAAACTAGACAGAAGCTTTCTGAGAAACTCCTTTGTGATGTGTGCACTCAACTCACAGGTGTAAACGTTTCTTTTCATTGAGCAGATTGGAATCTCTGTTCTTGTGGAAACTGCCAGGGGATATTTGGAGTGCATTGAGGCCTATGGTGAACAATGAAATATCTTAACATAAAAAGTAGACAGAAGCTCTTTGAGAAACTTCTATGTGATGTGTGGATTCATCTCACAGAGTGGAAACTTTCTTATGATTGAGCAGTTTGGAAACAGTCTTTTCGTAGAATCTGCCAAGGGATATTTTGATCGCTTTTTGGTCTATTTTGAAAAAGGAAATATCTTCACATAAAAATTAGACAGTACCTTTTTGAGAAACTTCTTTGTGATGTGTGCATTCATCTCACACAGTTGAACACTTCTTGTGATTGAGCAGTTTGGAAACAGTCTTTTTGTGGAATCTGCAAAGGGATATTTGGACAGCTTTGAGGACAATGGTGGAAAAGGAAATATCTTAACATACAAACTAGACAGAAGCTTTCTGAGAAATTTCCTTGTGATGTGTGCCTTCATCTCACAGAGTTGAAAACTTCTTCTGATTGAGCAGTTTGGAAACAGTCTTTTTGAAGAAACTTCCAAAGGATATTTGGAGGGCTTTGAGGCATATGGTGAAAAAGGAAATATCTTATCATAAACACTAGACAGAAGTTTTCTGAGAAACTTCTCTGTGATGTTTGCATTCATCTTACAGAGTTGAAACTTTCTTCTGATAGAGCAGTTTTCAAACAGTCTTTTTGTAGAAACTGCAAAGGGATATTTGTGAGATGTTTGAGACCTATTTGGAAAAGGTAATATCTTAACATAAAACCTAGACAGAAGATTTCTGAGAAACTTCTTTGTGACATGTGCTTTCATCTCACAGAATTGAACCTGTCTTTTGATTGAGCAGTTTGGAAACAGTCTTTGTGTAGAATCAGCAAATGGATATTTGGAGCACTTTCAGGCATATGGCGAAAAAGGGTATATGTCCACATGAAAACTAGACAGAAGTTTACTGAGAACTTATTCATAATGTGTGCGTTCATCTCACAGAGTTGAACATTTCTTTTCATTGAGTAGTTTGAAAACAGGTTTTTGTAGTATCTAAAAAAGATATTTGGAGTTCCTTGAGGCCTATGGTGAAAAAGGAAATATCTTAATATAAAAACTAGACAGAAGCTTTCTGAGAAACTTCTTTGTGATGTCTGCATTCATCTCACAGAGATGAAACTTACTGTTCATTGAGCAGTTAGGAAACAGTCCTTTCGTATAATCTACCAAGGTATATTTGTGTGCAGTTTGAGACCTATGGGGAAAAAGGAAATATCTTCACATAAAAAGTAGACAGAAGCTTTCTGAGAAACTACTTTGTGATGTGTGCTTTCATCTCACAGAGTTGAATCTTTCTTTTGACTGAGCATTTTGAAACAGCCTTTTTGTAGAATCTGCAATTGGATATTTAGAGCGATTAGAGACCTAAGGTGAAAAAGGAAATATCTTAACATAATCACTAGAAAGAAACTTTCTGAGAAACTTCTTTGTGATGTCTGCTTTCATCTCAAACAGTTGAACCTTTCTTTTCATTCAGCAGTTTGGAAACAGTCTTTTTGTAGAGTCTACAAAGGTATATTTGTGAGCTGTTTGAGGCCTATGGTGAAAAAGGAAATATATTTATATAAAATCTACACAGAAGATTTTGAGAAATTTCTTTGTGATCTTTGTATTCATCTCACAGAGCTGAACCTTTCTTTTGATTGAGCAGTTTGGAAACAGTCTTTTTGTAGAAGTTGCAAATGGATATTTGGAGTGCTTTGAGGCCTATAATGAATAATGGATATCTTCATATAAAAACTGGACAGAAGATTTCTGAAAAACTTCCTTGTGATGTGTGCATTCATCTCACAGAGTTGAAACTTTCTTTTCATTGAGCAGTTTGGAAAGAGTCTTTTTGAAGAATCTACCACGGGATATTTGGAGGGCTTTGAGGAATATGGTGAAAAAGGGAACATCTTAAAATAAGAACTAGACAGAAGTTTTCTGATAAACATCTTTTTGATGTGTGCATTCATCTCACAGAGTTGAAACTTTCTTCTGATTGAGCAGTTTTGAAACAGTCCTTTTGTAGAATCTGCAAAGGGATATTTTTGAGTGGTTTGAGGCCTATGGTGAAAAAGGAAATATCTTAAAATAAAACCTAGACAGAAGCTTTCTGAGAAACTTCTTTGTGATGTGTGCATTCATCAAACAGAGTTGAAACTTCTTTTCATTGAGCAGTTTGGAAAAAGTCTTTTTGAAGAATCTACCAAGGGATACATGGAGCTCTTTTAGTCCTATGGTGAAAAAGGAAATATCTTAACATAAAAACTAGATAGAATTTTTCTGAGAAACTTCTTTGTGGTGTGTGCATTCATCAAACAGAGTTGAAAGTTTCTTCTCATTGAGCAGTTTGGAAAAAGTCTTTTTGAAGAATCTACCAAAGTATACATGGAGCTCTTTTAGTCCTATGGTGAAAAAGAAAATATCTTAACATAAAAACTAGATAGAATTTTTCTGAGAAATTTCTTTGTGATGTGTGCATTCATCTCACAGAGTTGAAACTTTCTTCTGATTGAGCAGTTTCAATACAGTCTTTTTGTAGTATCTGCCAAGGGATATTTGTGAGTGGTTTGAGGCCTATTTCAAGAAAGGAAATACCTTCACTTAAAACTAGACGGAAACTTTTTGGGAAACTCCTCTGTGATGTGTGCATTCATCTCACAGGTTGAATCTTTCTTTGATTGAGTAGTTTGGAAACAGTCTGTAGAATCTGCAAATGGATATTTGGAGTGCTTTGAGGCCTAAGGTGAAAAAGGAAATAGCGTCACAAAAAAACTAGACAGAAGCTCTCTGAGCAGCTTCTTTGTGATGTGTTCATTCACCTCACTGTGTTGAACCTCTCTTTTGATTGAGCAGCTTGGAAACAGTCTTTTTGTAAAATCTGCAAAGGAATATTTGTGGGCAGTTTGAAGCCTATGGCAAAAAAGAAAATATCTTAACATAAAAAGTAGAAAGAAGCATTCTGAGAAACTTCTTTGTGATGTGTGCATTCATCTGACAGAGATGAATCTTTCTTTTGATTGAGCACTTTGGAAACAGTCTTTTTGTAGAATCTGCCAAGGGATATGGGGAGTGCTTAGAGGCATATGGTGAAAAAGGAATTTTCTTCACATAAAAACTAGACAGAAGCATTCTGAGAAACCTCTTTGTGATGGATGCACTCATCTCACATAGTTGAACATTTCTTCTCAATGAGCAGTTTTGAAGTGGTCTTTTTGTATTATCTAAAAAGGGATAATTGGAGCACTTTGAGGCCTATGATGAAAAAGGAAATATCTTCACATAAAAACTAGACACAAGCTTCTTCAGAAACTACTTTTTGATGTGTGCATTCATCTCACAGAGTTGTACCTTTCTTTTGATTGAGCATTTTGGTAACTGTCTTTTTGTAGAATCTGCAAAGGGATATTTGTGAGCGATTTAAGGCCTATGGTGAAAAAGGAAATATCTTCACATAAAAACTAGACAGAGGCTTTCTGAGAAACTTCTTTGTGATGTGTGCATTCATCTCACAGAGTGGAACCTTTCTTTTGATTGAGTAGTTTGGAAAAAGTATTTTTGTAGAATCTGCAAATGGAAATTTGGAGCACTGTGAGGCAAAGGTGAAAAAGGAAATATCTTCACATAAAAACTAGACAGAATCTTTATGAGAAACTTCCTTGTGATGTGGGCATTCATCTCACAGATTTGAACCATTCTTTTGATTGAGCAGTTTGGACACAGTCTTTTTTAGAATCCGCAAAGGAATATTTCTGAGCAGTTTGAGGCTTATGGTGACAAAGGAAATATCTTCACATAAACACTAGACAGAACCTTTTTGATATACTTCTTTGAGATGCATCAATTCATCTCACAGAGTTGAACATTTCTTTTAATTGAGCAGTTTGGAAACAGTCTTTTTGTGGAAACTGCAAAGGGATATTTGGAGTACTTTGTGGCCTATGGTGGAAAAGAAATATCTTCACATAAACGCTAGACAGAAGATTTCTGAGAAACTTCTTTGTGATGTTTGCATTCATCTGACACTGTTACACCATTCTTTTGGATGATCAGTTTGGAAACAGTCTTTTTGTATAATCTGCAAATGGATACTTGTAGCACTTTGAGGTCTGTGGTGTAAAAGGAAGTATCTTCACGTAAAAACTAGAAGGAAGCTTTCTGAGAAACTTATTTGTGATGTGTGCATTCATCGCACAGTGTTGAAAGTTTCTTTTGATTGAACAGTTTGGAAACAGGCTTTTTGTAGAATATGCCAAGGGATATTAGGAGTGCTTTGAGGCCTATGTTGAAAGAGGAATTATCTTCACATAAAATCTAGACAGAATCTTCTTTGTGATGTGTGCATTCATAATACACAGTTGAACCTCTCTTTTCACTGAGCAGTTTGGAAACAGTCTTTTTGTAGAATCTGCAAACGAATATTCGGAGGGCTTTGTATCCTATGGTGAAAAAGGAAACATCTTCACATAAACACTATACAGAAGCTTTTTGAGAAACATCTTTGTGATGTGTGCATTCATCTCACAGCGTTGAAACTTTCTTTTCATTGAACAGTTTGCAAACAGTCTTTTTGTAGAATCTGCATAGGGATATTTGGAGCCATTTGAGGCCTACAGTGAATAAGGAAATATCTTCACATAAAAACTACACAGACACATTCTGAGAAACTTTGTGATGTGTGTATTCATGTCACATTGTTGAAAATTTATTTCAATTAAGTAGTTTGGAAAGAGTCTTTTTGTAGAATCAGCAAAGGGATATTTGAGACCCATTTGAGGCCTATAGTGAAAAAGAAAATATCTTCACATAAAAACTAGACAGAAGTTTTCTGAGAAATTTCTTTGTGACGTGTGCATTCATCTCTCAGAGTTGAACCTTTCTTTTGATTGAGCAGTTTGGAAAAAGTCTTTTGCAGAACCTGCAAAGGGATAATTGGAGCGCTTTCAGGCCTATGGGGAAAAAGGAAATATTTCCACATAAAAACTAGACAGAAGCTTTCTTAGAAACTTCTTTGTCATGTGTGCATTCATCTCACAGAGATTAACATTTCTTTTGATGGAGCAGTTTGGTATCAGGCTTTTTGTAGAATCTGCAAATGGATACTTGGAGTGTTTTGAGGCTTATGGTGAAAAAGGAAATATCTTCACATAAAGACTAGACAGAAGATTTCTGAGAAACATCTTTCCAATGTGTGCATTCACATCAGAGATTTGAAACTTTCTTTTGATTGAGCAGTTTTGAAACAATATTTTTGTAGGATATGCAAAGGGGTAATTGTGAGGGGTTTGAGGCCTATGGTGGAAAAGGAAATATCTACACATAAAAACTAGGCAGAAGCTTTTTGAGATACGTCTTTGTGATGTGTGCACTCATCTCACAGAATTGAACCTTTCTTTTCATTGAGCAGTTTGGAAACAGTCTTTTTGTGGACTCTGCAAAGGACTATTTGGACCGCGTTGTGCATATGGTGAAAAAGGAAATATCTTCACATAAACACTACATAGAAGCTTTCTGAGAAACTTTTTTGTGATGTGTGCATTCATCTCACAGAGTTGAAACTTTCTTTTGATTGAGCAGTTTAGAAACTGTCTATTTATAGAATCTTCATAGGGATATTTTTGAGCCCTTTGAGGCCTATAGTGGAAAATGAATTATCTTCACATAAAAATCAGAGAGAAACTTTTTGAGAAACTTGTATGTGATGTGTGCATTTATCTCACAGAGTCAAAGAGTTCTTTTGATTGAGCAGTGTGGAAACAGTCTTTTTGTAGAATCTGCAAAGGGATATTTGTGAGCACTTTGAGGCTTATGGTGAAAAAGAAATATCTTCACATAAGAACTAGAAAGAAGGCATCCGAGAGACTGCTTTCTGATGTGTAAATTCTTCTAACAGAAGCAAACATTTCTTTTAACTGAACAGATTGGAAACTCCTTTCTTGTAGAATATGCAAACGGATATTTTTGAGCACAGGGAGGACTATGATGAAAAAGGAAATATCTTCACATAAAAATTAGAAAGAAGCTCTCTGTGAAACTTCTTTGTGATGTGTGCATTCTCACAGAGTTGAATCTTTATTTTGATTGAGCAGTTTAGAAACAGTCTCTTTATAGAATCTGCAAAGGAATATTTGTGAGCCCTTTGAGGCCTATGGTGAAAAAGGAAATATCATCACATAAAAACTACACAGAAACTTTCTGAGAAACTGCTTCATGCTGTGTGCATTCATCTCACATAGTTGAATCTTTCTTTTGATTGAGAAGCTTTGACAGACTCTTTTTGTGGAATCTGCAATGGGATATTTTTGATGGCTTGAGACATATTTTGAGAAAGAAATATCTTCACATTAAAACTAGAAAGATGGCTTCTGAGAAACAGCTGTCTGGTGTCTGCATTCATCTCACAGAGGTAAACGATTATTTTCATTGATCAAATTGCAAACTCTGTTCTTGTAGATTCTTCAAAGGGATATTTGTAAGCGCTTTGAGGCCTGTGGTGCTATGGTGAAAAAGGAAATATCTTCACATAAAAACCAGACAGAAGATTTCTGAGAAACTTCATTGTGATGTGTACATTCATCTCTCAGAGTTGAACTTTCTTTTCATTGAGCAGTTTGGAAACAGTTTTCATGTAGAATCTGCAAACGGATATTTCTGTGCGCTTTGATGCCTATGTTGAAAAAGGAAATATCTTTACGTAAAAAGTAGACAGAAGCTCTCTGAGAAACTTATTTGTGATGTGTGCCTTCATCAGGCAGAGTTGAACCATTCTTTTGATAGAGCAGTTTGGAAACAGTCTTTTTGTAGAATCTGTAAAGGGATATTTGTGTTCACTTTGAGGCCGATGGTGAAAAATAAAAATCTTCACATAAAAACTAGAAAGATGGTATCTGAGAAACTACTTTCTGATGTGTGAATTCTTCTAACAGAAGTAAAAGTTTCTTTTCACTGAGCAGATTAGAAACTCTTTTCTTGTAGAATATGCAAACGGATATTTTTGAGCACAGTAAGGACTATGTTGAAAAAGGAAATATCTTCACATAAAACTAGACAGATGTTTTTTGAGAAACTTCTTTTTTATGGGTGTATTATTCTCACAGAGTTGAACCCTTATTTTGATTGAGAAGTTTGGAAACAGTTTTTTTGTAGAATCTGCAAAAGGATATTTGTGAGTGCTTGGAGGACTATGGTGAAAAAGGAAATCTCTTCACATAAAAACTAAACAGAAGCTTTCTGAAAAACGTCTTTGTGATTTTTGCATTCATCTCACAGAGTTCAAACTTTGTTTTGATTGAGCAGTTTGGAAATAGTCTTCTTATAGAATCTGCATAGGGATATTTTCAAGCCCTTTGAGGCCTATGGTGGAAATATCTTCACATAAAAATTAGATAAAAGGTTTCTGAGAAACTGCTTCATGATGTGTGCATTCATCTCACAGAGGTAAATGTTACCTTTCATTGAGCAGATTGGAAACTCTGCTCTTGTAAAATATGCATAGGAATATTCGCAAGTGCTTTGAGGCCTACGGTAAAAAACGAAATATCTTCACAGAAAAACTAGACCGAAGCTTTCTGAGAAACTTCCTTGTGATGTGTGCATTCATCTCACAGAGATAAAACTTTCTTTTCATAGAGCAGTTTGGATGCAGTCCTTTTTTAGAATCTTCATAGGGACATTAGTGAGCGGCTTCTGGACTGTGGTGAAAAAGGAAATATGTTCACATAAAAATAGACAGAATTCTTCTGAGAAACTTTTTTTGATGCATGCATTCATCTCACAGAGTTGAAATTTTCTTTTGATTTAGCAGGTTGGAAAGAGTCTTTTTGTAGTGTCTGCAAAGTGAAATTTGTGAGCATTTTGAGGCCTATTGTAAGAAAGGCAATATCTTCACATAAATCTAGACAGAAACATTCTAAGAAACTCCTTTGTGATGAGTAGATTCATCTGACACATGTGAACCTTACTTTTGATTGAGTTGTTTTGAAAGAGTCTTTTTGTAGAATATGCAAAGGGACAATTTTTAGTGCTTTGAGGCCTGCTTTGTGATCTGTGCATTCATCTCACAGAGTTGAAATATTATTTTTTGAGAGGTTTGGAAACAGACTTTTTGTAGAATCTGCAGATGGATATTTGTGAGCAGTTTGAGCCCTATTGTCAAAAATAAATATCTTCACATAAAAAGTATGAAGACAGTTTCTGGGACACTGCTTTGTGATGGTTGCATTCATCTCTCAGAGGTAAACGATTCTTATCATTGAGCAGATTGGAAACTCTGTTCTTGTAAAATCTGCAAAGGGATATTTGTGAGTGCTTTGAGGCCTATGGTGAAAAAGGAAGTATCTTCACATAAAAACTAGAAAGAAGCTTTCTGAGAAACTTCTTCATGATGTGTGAATTCATCTCACAGAGTTGAACCTTTCTTTTGATTGAGCAGCTTGGAAACAGTATTTCTGTAGAATCTGCAAAGAGATATTTGTGAGTGCTTTGAGGTGTATGGTGAAAAAGAAATACCTTCACATGCTTATGACCTGAATGGTATTGCCTAGGTTTTCCTCTAGGATTTTTATTTTTTAGATCTAACATGCAAGTCTTTAATCAATCTTGAATTAATTTTTTTATAGGGTGTAAGGAAGGGATCCAGTTTCAGCTTTCTACATATGGCTAGCAGGTTTTCCCAGCACCATTTATTAAATAAGGAATCCATTCCCCCTTACTAGTTTTTGTCAGGTTTGTCAAAGATCAGAGAGTTGTAGATATGTGGCATTATTTCTGAGGGCTCTGTTCTGTTCCATTGATCTATACCTCTGTTTTGGTACAAGTACCATGCTGTTTTGGTTACTGTAGTCTTTTAATATGATTTGAAGTCAGGTAGCGTGATGCCCCCAGCTTTGTTCTTTTGGTTTAGGATTGACTTGGTGATGTGGGCTCTTTTCTGGTTCCATATGAACTTTAAAGTAGTTTTTCCAATTCTGTGGAGAAAGTCATTGGTAGCTTGATGGGGATGGCATTGAATCTATAAATTACCTTGGGCAATATTGTCATTTTAACGATATTGATTCTTCCTACTCATGATCATGGAATGTTCTTCCGTTTGTTTGAATTCTCTTTTATTTCATTGAGCAGTGGTTTGTAGTTCTCATTTAAGAGGTCCTTCACATCCCTTCTAAGTTGCATTCCTAGGTATTTTATTCTCTTTGAAACAATTGTGAATGGGAGTTCACTAAAACTCCAAAAGCAATGGCAACTAAAGACAAAATTGAGAAATGGGATCTAATTAAACTAAAAAGCTTCTGCACAGCAAAAGAAACTACCATCAGAGTGAACAGGCAACCTACAAAATGGGAGAAAATTTTTGCAACCTACTCATCTGACAAAGGGGTAACATCAAGAATCTACAATGAACTCAAACAAATTTACAAGAAAAAAACAAACAACCCCATCAAAAAGTGGGTGAAGAATATGAACAGACACTTCTCACAAGAAGATATTTATACAGCAAAAAAAAAAAAAAAAACATAAAAAATGCTCATCATTACTGGCCATCAGATAAATGCAAATCAAAACCACAATGAGATACCATCTCACACCAGTTAGAATGGTGATCATTAAAAAGTTAGGAAACAACAGGTGCTGGAGAGGGTGTGGAGACACAGGAACACTTTTACACTCTTGGTGGGACGGTAAAATAATTCAACCATTGTGGAAGTCAGTGTGGTGATTCCTCAGGGATCTAGAACTAGAAATACCATTTGACCCAACCATCCCATTACTGAGTATATAACCAAAGGATGATAAATCATGGTGCTATAAAGACACATGCACACGTATGTTTATTGTGGCACTATTCACAATAGCAAAGACTTGGAACCTACCCAAATGTCCAACAACGATAGACTGGATTAAGAAAATGTGGCACATATACACCATGGAATACTATGCAGCCATAAAAAATGATGAGTTCATGTCCTTTGTAGGGACATGGATGAAACTGGAAACCATCATTCTCAGGAAACTATCACAAGGAGAAAAAACCAAACACTGCATCTTCTCACTCATAGGTGGGAATTGAACAATGAGAACACATGGACACAGGAAGGGGAACATCACGCTCTGGGGACTGTTGTGGGGTGGGGATAGGGTGGAGGGATAGCATTTGGAGATATACGTAATGTTAAATGATGAGTTAATGGGTGCAGCACACCAACATGACACATGTATACATATGTAACAAACCTGCAAATTGTGCACCTGCACCCTAAAACTTAAAGTATAATAATAATAAAATAAAATAAAAAAAGATATCTTCACATAAAAAATAGAAAGAAGGTTTCTGAGTAACTTCTTTCTGATGGCTGCATTCATCTCACAGAGGTAAACCTTTCTTTTCATTGAGCAGACTACAAACTCTGTTCTTGTAGGATCTTCAAAGTGATTTTTATGAGCACTTTGAGTCCTATGGTGAAAAATGAAATATCTTCACATAAAAACTAGACAGAAACTTTCTGAGAAACTTCTTTGTGATGTGTACATTCATCTCACAGAGTTGAACCTCTCTTTTGATTGAGCAGTTTTTAAACCATCTTTTTCTGGAAACTGCAAAGGCATATTTGTGAGTGTTTTGAGGCTTACGATGAAAAAGGAAATATCTTCACATAAAAACTAGACAGAAGCATTTTGTGAAACTTCTTTGTGATGTGTGCATTCATCTCACAGAGTTGACCCTTTCTTTTGATTGAGCTGTTTGGAAACAATTTTTTGTAGAATCTTCAAAGGGATGCTTGTGAGTTCTTTGAGGCCTATGGTGTAAAATGAAATATCTTCACATAAAAACCAGACAGAAATCTGAGAATGGGCAGACTGCCTCCTCAAGTAGCTCCCTGATCCTCTTGTAGCCTAACTGGGAGGCACCCCCAGCAGGGGTGTACTGACACCTCACATGGCCAGGTACTCTTCTGAAACAAAACTTCCAGAGGACCGATCAGGCAACAGCATTTGTGGTTTACCAATATCCGCTGTTCTTCAGCCACTGCTGCTGATACCCAGGCAAACAGGGTCTAGACTGGACCTCCAACACACCCTAACAGACCTGAAGCTGAGAGCCCTCACTGTTAGAAGGAAAACTAACAAACAGAAAGGACATTCACACCAAAAACCCATCCGTATGTCACCATCCTCAAAGACCAAAGGTAGATAAAACCACAAAGATGGGCATAAAACAGAGCAGAAAAACTGGAAACTCTAAAAATCAGAGTGCCTCTCCTCATCCAAAGAACACCGCTACTCACCAGCAATGGAACAAAGCTGGACAGAGAATGACTTTGACGAGTTGAGAGAAGAAGGCAACAGACGATCAAACTACTCTGAGCTAAAGGGGGAAGTTCAAGCGAATGGTGAAGAGTTTAAAAACCTTGAAAAAAAATTAGACGAATGGCTAACTAGAATAACCAATGCAGAGAAGTCCTTAAAGGAAGTGATGGAGCTCAAAACCAAGGAAGAAGAACTAATTGATGAATGCAGAAGCCTCAGTAGCTGATGCGATCAACTGGAAGAAAGGGTATCAGTGATGGAAGATGAAATGAATGAAATGAAGTGAGAGGAGAAGTTTAGAGGAAAAAAGAATAAAAAGAAATGAACAAAGCCTCCAAGAAATATAGGACTATGGGAAAAGATCAAAGCTACGTCTGATTGGTGTACCTGAAAGTGACTGGGAGAATGGAGCCAAGTTGGAAAACACTCTACAGGATACTATCCAGGAGAACTTCCCCAATCTAGCATGGCAGGACAACATTCAAATTCAGGAAATACAGAGAACACCACAAAGATACTCCAAGACACATAATTGTCAGATTCACCATAGTTGAAATGAAGGAAAAAAATGTTACTGGCAGCCAGAGAGAAAGGTCGGGTTACCCACAAAGCGAAGCCCATCAGACTAACAGCTAATTTCTCAGGAGAAACTCTACAAGCCAGAAGAGAGTGGGGGCCAATATTCAACATTATTAAAGAAAAGAATTTTCAACGCAGAATTTCATATCCAGCCAAACTAAGCTTCATAAGTGAAGGAGAAATAAAATACTTTACAGACAAGCAAATGCGGAGAGATTTTGTCACCACCAGGCCTGCCCTTAAAAGAGCTCCTGAAGGAAGCACTAAACATGGAAAGGAACAACCAGTACCAGCCACTGCAAAAACACGCCAAATTGTAAAGACCATCAAGGCTGGGAAGAAACTGCATAAACTAATGAGCTAAATAACCAGCTAACATCATAATGACAGGATCAAATTCACACATAACAATAGTAACCTTAAATGTAAATTGGCTAAATGCTCCAATTCAAAGACACAGACTGGCAAATTGGATAAGGAGTCAAGACCCATCAGTGTGCTCTATTCAGGAAACCCATCTCACGTGCACAAACACATATAGACTCAAAATAAAGGGATGGAGGAAGATCTACCAAGAAAATGGAAAACAAAAAAAGGCAGGGATTACAATCCTAGTCTCTGATAAAACAGATTTTAAGCCAACAAAGATCAAAACAGACAAAGAAGGACATTACATAATGGTAAAGGGATCAATTCAACAAGAAGAGCTAACTATCCTAAAAATATATGCACCCAATACAGGAGCTCCCAGATTCATAAAGCAAGGCCTTAATGACCTACAAAGAGACTTAGACTCCCACACAATAATAATGGGAGACTTTAACACCCCACTGTCAATATTAGACAGATCAACGAGACAAAAAGTTAACAAGTATATCCAAGAATTGAACTCAGCTCTGGACCAAGCAGACCTAATAGATATCTACAGAACTCTCCACCCCAAATCAAAAGAATATACATTATTTCAGGACCACACCAGATCTATTCCAAAATTGGCCCCATAGTTGGAAGTAAAGCACTCCTTAGCAAATGTAAAAGAACAAAAATTATAATAAACTGTCTCTCAGACCGCCTTGCAATCAAACTAGAACTCAGGATCATCCTAGCCATCAGAGAAATGCAAATCAAAACCACAATGAGATACCATCTCACACCAGTTAGAATGGCGATCCTTAAAAAGTCAGGAAACAACAGGTGCTGGAGAGGATGTGAAGAAATAGGAACACTTTTACACTGTTGGTGGGACTGTAAACTAGTTCAACCATTGTGGAAGTCAATGTGGCGATTCCTCAGGGATCTAGAACTAGAAATACCATTTGACACAGCCATCCCATTACTGGGTATATATCCAAAGGACTATAAATCATGCTGCTATAAAGACACATGCACACGTATGTTTATTGCGGCACTATTCACAATAGCAAAGACTTGGAACCAACCCAAATGTCCAACAACGATAGACTGGATTAAGAAAATGTGGCACATATACACCATGGAATACTATGCAGCCATAAAAAATGATGAGCTCATGTCCTTTGTAGGGACATGGATGAAATTGGAAATCATCACTTTCAGTAAACTATTGCAAGAACAAAAAACCAAACACCACATAAACTCACTCATAGGTGGGAATTGAACAATTAGATCACATGGACACAGGAAAGGGAACATCACACTCTGGGGACTGTTGTGGGGTGCGGGGAGGGGGGAGGGATTGCTTTAGGAGATATATCTAATGCTAAATGATGAGTTAATGGGTGCAGCACACCAGCATGGCACATGTATACATATGTAACTAACCTGCCGTTGTGCACATGTACCCTAAAACTTAAAGTATAATAGTAATAAAATAAAATAAAAAAATAGAAAAAAACCACTCAACTACAGGGAAAGTGAACAACCTGCTCCTGAATGACTACTGGGTATGTAACGAAATGAAGGCAGAAATAAAGATGTCCCTTGAAACCAGCAAGAACAAAGACACAACGTACCAGAATCCCTGGGACACATTCAAAGCAGTGTGTAGAGGGAAATTTGTAGCACTAAATGCCCACAAGAGAAAGCAGAAAATATCCAAAATTGACACCTTAACATCACAAATAAAATAACTAGAAAAGCAAGAGCAAACACACTCAAAAGCTGGCAGAAGGCAAGAAATAACTAAGATCAGAGCAGAACTGAAGGAAATAGAGAAACAAAAAACCCTTCAAAAAATCAAAGAATCCAGGAGGTGGATTTTTGAAAAGATCAACAAAATTGATAGACCGCTAGCAAGACTAATAAACAAGAAAAGAGAGAAGAATCAAATAAATGCAATAAAAAATGATAAAGGGGATATCACCACTGATCCCACAGAAATACAAACTACCATCAGAGAATACTATAAACACCTCTACACAAATAAACTAGGAAATCGAGAAGAAATGGATAAATTTCTCAACACATACATCCAAGACTAAACCAGGAAGACGTTGAATCTCTGAATAGATCAATAACAGGCTCTGAAATTCAGGCAATAATCCATAGCTTACCAACCAAAAACACTCCAGGACCAGATGGATTCACAGTCGAATTCTACCAGAGGTAAAAGGAGGAGCTGGTACCATTCCTTCTGAAATTATTCCAATCAATAGAAACAGAGGAAATCCTCTCTAACTCATTTTATGATGCCAGTACCATCCTCATACCAAAGCCTGGCAGAGACACAACAAAAAAAGAGAATTTTAGACCTATATCCTTGATGAACATTGATGCAAAAATCCTCAATAAAATACTGGCAAACCGAATCCAGCAGCACATCAAGAAGTTTATCCACCATGACCGAGGGGGCTTCATCCCTGGGATGCAAGGCTGGTTCAACATACACAAATCAATAAACATAATCTAGCATATAAACAGAACCAAGGACAAAAACCACATGATTATCTCTATAGATGCAGAAAAGGCCTTTGACAAAATTCAACAACCTTCATGCTAAGAACTCTCAATAAATTAGATATTGATGAGACGGATCTCAAAATAATAAGAGCTATCTATGAAAAACCCACAGCCAATATCATACTGAATGGAAAAAAACTGGAAGCATTCCCTTTGAAAACTTGCACAAGACAGGGATGCCCTCTCTCACCACTCCTGTTCAACATAGTGTTGGATGTTCTAGCCAGGGCAATCAGGCAGGAGAAAAAAATAAAGGGTATTCAATTAGGAAAAGAGAGAGTCAAATTGTCCCTGCTTGCAGATGACATGATTGTATATCTAGAAAACTCCATCGTCTCAGCCCAAAATCTCCTTAAGCTGATAAGCAACTTCAGCAAAGTCTCAGGATACAAAATCAATGTACAAAAATCACAATTCTTATGCACCAATAACAGACAAACAGAGAGCCAAATCATGAGTGGACTCCTATTCACAATTGCTTCAAAGAGAATAAAATACCTAGGAATGCAACTTACAAGGGCCATGAAGGACCTCTTCAAGGAGAACTACAAACCACTGCTCAATGAAATAAAAGAGGATACAAACAAATGGAAGAACATTCCATGCACATGGGGAGAAATAATCAATATCGTGAAAATGGCCATACTGCCCAAGGTAATTTGTACATTTAATGCCATCTCCATCAAACTTCCAATGACTTTCTTCACAGAATTGGAAAAAACTACTTTAAAGTTCATATGGAACCAAAAAAGAGCCCGCATCACCAAGTCAATCATAGGCCAAAAGAACAAAGCTGGAGGCATCATGCTACCTGACTTCAAACTACACTAAAGGGTTATGGTAAAGAAAACAGCATAGTACTGGTACTAAAACGAAGATATAGACCAATGGAACAGAACAGAGCCCTCAGAAACAATGCCACATATCTACAACTCTCTGATCTTTGACAAACCTGACAAAAACAAGCAATGGGGAAAGGATTTCCTTTTTAATAAATGGTGCTGGGAAAACTGGCTAGCCATATATAGAAAGCTGAAACTGGATCCCTTCCTTAAACCTTATAGAAAAATTAATTAGACATGGATTAAAGACTTAAATGTTAGACCTAAAACCATAAAAACCCTAGAAGAAAACGTATGCAATGCCATTCAGGACATAGGCATGGGCAAGGAGTTCATGTCTAAAACACAAAAAGCAATGGCAACAAAAGCCAAAATTGACAAATGGGATCTAATTAAACTAAAGAGCTTCTGCACAGCAAATTAAACTACCATCAGAGTGAACAGGCAACCAACAGAATGGGAGAAAATTTTTGCAAACTACTTATCTGACAAAGGGCTAATACCCACAATCTACAATGAACTCAAACAAATTTACAAGAAAAAAAAAACAACCCCATCAAAAAGTGGGTGAAGGATAAGAACACACACTTCTCAACAGAAGACATTTATGCATCAAAAAAACACATGAAAAAATGCTCATCATCACCGGCCATCAGAAAAAATGCGAATCAAAACCACAATGAGATACCATCTCACACCAATTAGAATGGCAATCATTATAAAGTCAGGAAACAGCATGTACTGGAGAAAATTTGGAGAAATCGGAACACTCTTACACTATTGGTGGGACTGTAAAATAGTTCAACCACTATGGAAGTCAGTGTGGTGATTCCTCAAGGACCTAGAACAAGAAATACCATTTGACCCAGCCATCCCATTGCTGGGTATATACCCAAAGGATTATAAATCATGCTGCTATAAAGACACAATCACACATATGTTTATTGTGGCAATATTCACTATAGCAAAGACTTGGAACCAACCCAAATGTCCAACAATGATAGACGGGATTAAGAAAATGTGGCACATATACACCATGGAATACTATGCGGCCATAAAAAATGATGAGTTCATGTCCTTTGTAGGGACATGGATGCAGCTGGAAACCATCATTCTCAGCAAACTATCCAAGGACAAAAATCCAAACACCACATGTTCTCACTCAGAGGTGGGAATTGAATAATGAGAAAACATAGACACAGAAAGGGAAACATCACAAAAGGGGGAATGCTGTGGGGTGGGGGGAGTGGAGAGGGATTGCATTAGGAGATATACCTAATGATAACTGACGAGTTAATGGGTGCAGCACACCAGCATGGCACATGTATACATACGTAACAAACCTGCACATTGTGCACATGCACCCTAAAACTTACAGTATAATAATAATAGAATAAAAAAAATAAAACTTCTCTCTAGTTTTTATGTGAATATACTTGTTTTTCACCATAGGCCTCAAACTGCTCACAAATATTCCTTTGCAGATTCTACAAAAAGACTTTTTCCAAACTGATCAGTCAAATCAAATGTTCAACACTGTGAGATCAATGCACACATCATGAAGATGTTTCTCAGAAAGCGTCTGTCTAGTTTTTATGTGAAGATATTTCCTTTTTCACCACAGGCCTCAAAGTGCTCAAAAGTATCCCTTTGCAGATTCCACAAAGAGACTGTTTCCAAACTGCTCAATGAAAAGAATCATTTACATCTCTGAAATGAATGCACACAACACAAAGCAGTTTCTCTGAAAAACCTGTCTAGTTTTTATGTGAAGATATTCCCTTTTTCACCATAGGCCACAAAGGGCTCACAAATATCCCTTTGCAGATTCTACAATAAAACTGTTTCCAAAATGCTCAATCAAAAGAAAGGTTCAACTCTGTGAGATGAATGCACACATCAGAAAGAAGTTTCTCAGAAACTTCTGTCTAGTTTTTATGTGAACATACTTCGTTTCTCACCATAAGTCTCAAAGCACTCACAAATATCCCTTTGAATATTCTACAAGAACAGAGGTTCCAATCTGCTCGATTAAATAAATCTTTCCTTCTGTGAGATGAATGTACACATCACAAATCAGTTCCTCAGAAACCTTCTTTCTAGTTTTAATGTGAAGACATTTCTTTTTCACCATAGGCCTCAAAGCTCTGACAAATATCCCTTTGCACATTCTGCAAAAAGACTGTTTCAAAGCTGCTCAATCAAAAGAATGGATCAACACTGTGAGATGAATGCACACATCACAAAGAAGTTCCTCAGAAAGATTTTTCTAGTTTTTATGTGAGGATATTTTCCTTTTTGCCATAGGCCTCAAACCGCTCAAAATATCCCTTTGCAGATTCTACCAAAAGACTGCTTCCGGACTGCTCAATCAAAAGAAAGTTCAACTCTGTGAGATGAATGCGCACATCACAAAGAAATTTCTCAGAGATCTTTTGTCCAGTTTATGTGATGGTATTTCCTTTTTCACCATAGGTCTCAAAGCACTCACAAATATCCCTCTGCAGATGCTACAAAAAGACTGTTTCCAAACTGCTCAATCAAAAGAAAGGTTCAACTTTGTTAGATGAATGCTCACATCACAAAGAAGTTTCTCAGAAAGTTTCTGTCTATTTTTTATGTGAAGATATGTCCTTTTTCACCATAGGACTCAATGTGCTCACAAATATCCCTTTGCAGATACTACAAGAACAGATTTTCCAACATGCTCAATGAAAAGAAACTTTTACCTCTGTGAGATGAATGCACACATCACAAAGCAGTTTCTCAGAAACCTTCTGTCTAGTTTTTATGTGAAGATACTTCCCTTTTCACCATAAGCCTCCAATCGCTCACACATATCCCTCTGCAGATTCTACAAACAAACTCTTTCCAAGTTGCTCAATGAAAAGAAAGTCTCAACTCTGTGAGATGAATGCACACATCACAAAGAAGTTTCTCAGAAAGAGTTTCTCTTGTTTTTATATGAAGATACTTCCTTTTTCACAATAGGTCTCAAAAAGCTCCCAAATATACCTTTGCAGATTCTAGAAGGAGACAGTTTCCAAAGTGCTCCATGAAAAGAAACGGTTTCTTCTGTGATATGAATGCACACATCAAAAAGCAGTTTCTCAGAAAGCTTCTCTGTACTTTTTATGTGAAGATATTTCCTTTTTCACCATAGAGCTCAATGTGCTCCCAAATATTGCTTTTTAGATTCTACAAAAAGTCTGTTTCCAAACTCCTCTATCAAAAGAATGGTTCATCTCTGTGAGATGAATGCACACATCACAAAGAACTTTCTCAGGAAGCTTCCATCTGGTTTTCGTGTGAAGGTGTTTCCTTTTTCACCATAGGGCTCAATGCGTTCCTAAATATTCCTTTGTAGATCCTACAAAAAGACACTTTCAAAACTGCCCAATCAAAAGGATGGTTCACCTCTGTGAGATGAATGCACACATTCCACAGAAGTTTCTCAGAAAGCTTCTCTATAGTTTTTATGTGATGATATATACTTTCTCACCATAGGCCTCAAGGCACTCACAGGTATCCCTATCCAGATACTAGAAGAACAGAGTTTCCAAACTGCTCAATGAAAAGAAACGTTTACTTCTGTGAGATGTATGCCGAATTCACAAAGCAGTTTCTCAGAAAGCTTCTTCCTAGTTTTAATGTCAAGATTTTTTTTTCACCATAGGCCTCAAAGCACTCTCAAATATCCCTTTGCAGATTCTACAAAAAGGCTTTTGCCAAATTGCTTAATCAAAAGGATGGTGCAACTTTGGGAGATGAATGCAAGCTTCACAAAGAAGTTTCACAGAAAACTTCGGTCTAGTTCTAATGTGAGAATATTTCCTTTTTCACTATAGGCCTTAAAGCACTCAAAATATCCCTTTGCAGATCTTCCAAGAACTGATTTTCCAAACTGCTCAATGATAAGAAACTTTTACCTCTGTGAAATGAATGCACACATCACAAAGAAGTTTCTCAGAAAGCTTCTTTCTAGTTTTTATGTGAAGATATTTCCTTTTACACCATAGGCCTCAGCGTGCTCCCAAATATCCCTTTGCAGATTCTACAAAAACTGTTACCAAACTGCTCAAACAAAAGAATGTCACAGCTCTGTGAGGTGAATGCACACATCAAAAAGATGTTTCACAGAAAGCTTCTGTCTAGTTTTTATGTGAAGATATTTCCTTTCTCACCATAGGACTCAGTGCGCTCCCCAATATCTGTTTGCAGACTCTACAAAAAGACTGCTTCCGAAGTGCTCAAAGAATGGTTCCACTCGGTGGGATGAATACACACATCACAAGGAAGTTTCTCAGAAAGCTTTTGCCTACTCTTTCTGTGAAGGTATTTCCTTTTTCAACATTTACCTCAAATCACTCACAAATATCCCATTGCAGATTGGAGAAGAACAGAGTTTCCAAACTTCTCAATGAAAAGAAACGTTTGCTTCTGTGAGATGAATACACACATCACAAAGCAGTTTCTTAGAAAGCTTCTGCCTAGTTTTTATGTGAAGATATTTCCTTTTTCACCATAGACTTCAATGCACTCCCAAATATCCCTTTGCAGATTCTACAAAGAGAATATTTGCCAACTGCTCAATCAAAACAATGGTCCAAATCAGTGAAATGAATGCTCTCATCACAAAGAAGTCTGTCAGTAAGCTTCTATCTAGTTCTTATGTGAAGGTATTTTCTTTTTCTCCCTAGCCCTCAATGCACTCCCATATATCCCTTTGCAGATTCTACAAAAAGAATGTTTCCAAACTGCTAAATCAAAGAATGGTTCCACTCTGTGAGGTGAATGCACACATCACAAAGAAGTTTCTCAGAAAATTTCTGTCAATTTTTTATGTGAAGATATTTCCTTTTTCACCATAGGTCCCAAAGCTCTCACAAATATCCCTTGGCAGATTCTACAAAAAGACGGTTTCCAAACTGCTCAATGAAAACAAACATTTAGATCTGTGAGATGAATGCACACATCAGAAAGCAGTTTCTCAGAAAGCTTCTTTCTATTTTTACTGAGAAGATATTTCCTTTTTCACCATAGACCTCAATGCAGTATGAAATATCCACTTGTAGATACTACAAAAGACTGTTTCCAAACTGCTCAATCAAAAGAATGGTTCAGCTATGTGAGAAGAACGCACACATCAAAAAGAAGTTTCTCAGAAAGTTTTTTCCTAGTTTTCATGAGAAGATATATCCTTTTTCATGGTATGCCACAAAGCGCTCACAAATATCCCTTTGCAGATTCTAGAAGAACAGTTTTCATACTGCTCAATGAACAGAAACATTTACCTCTGTGAGTTGAATGCACACATAACAAAGCAGTTTCTCTGAAAGATTCTTTCAACTTTTTTTATGAAGAAATTTCCTTTTTCATCATAGGCCTCAAAGCACTCCCAAATATCCCTTTGCAGATTCTGCAAAAAGACTGTTTCCAAACTGCTCAATCAAAAGAATAGTTCAACTCTGTCAGATGAATGCACACATCACAAATAAGTTTCTCAGAAAACTTCTGTCTAGTTTTCCTGTGAAGATATTTCCTTTTTCACCATAGACCTCAAAGTGCTCACAAATATCCCTTTGCAGATTCTAGAAGAATAGAGTTTCCAAAATGCTCATTGAAAAGAAGTTTTACCTCTTTCAGGTAAATGCACACATCACAAAGCAGTTTCTCTGAAAGCTTCTTTCTAGCTTTTATGTGAAGATATTTCATTTTTCACCATAGACCTCAAGGTGCTCCTATATATACTTATGAAGATTCTACAAAAAGACTGTTTCCAAACTGCTCAATCAAAAGAATGATTCAACTCTGTGAGATGAATGCACACATCACAAAGAAGTTTCTCAGAAAACTTCTCTTTAGTTCTTATATGAAGATATGTCCTTTTTCACCATAGGTCTCAAAGCACTCACAAATATCCCCTTGCAGATTCCAGAAGAATAGAGTTTCCAAAGTGCTCCATTAAAAGAAACGTTTACCTCTGTGATATGAATGCATGCATCAAAAAGCAGATTCTCAGAAGGATTCTTTCTACTTTTTATGTGAAGATATTTCCTTTTTCACCATAGGCCTCAAAGCACTCTCAAATGTCCCTTTGCAGATTCTACAAAAAGACTTTTCCAAACTGCTCAATGAAAGAATGATTCAACTCAGTGAGATGAATGCAGACATCACAAAGAAGTTTCTCAGAAAACCTCTGTATAGCTTTTATGTGACAATATTTCCTTTTTCATCATAAGCCTCAAAGTGCTCACAAATATCCCTGTGCAGAATCTAGAAGAGCAGAGTTGCCAAACTGCTCAATAAAAAGAAACGTTTACCTCTGTGAAATGAATGCACACATCACAAACCAGTTTTTCAGAAAGTTTCTTTCTAGTTTTTATGTGAAGATATTTCCTTTTTCACCATAGACCTCAGTGCGCTCCCAAATATCCCTTTGCAGATTCTACAACAGGACAGTTTCCAAACTGCTCAAACAATAGCATGTCACAGCTCTGTGAGGTGAATGCACACATCACAAAGATGTTTCACAGAAAGCTTCTGTCTAGTTTTTAGGTGAAGATATTTACTTTTTCAACATAGGCCTCAATGCACTCCCCAATATCCCTTTGAAGATTCTACAAAAAGACTGCTTACAAAGTGCTCAATCAAAAGAATTGTTCAACTCTTTGAGATGAATGCACACATCACAAGGAAGTTTCTCAGAAAGCTGCTGTCTATTTATATGTGAAGGTATTTCCTTTTTCAACATTTGCCTGAAAGCACTCCCAAATATCCCTTTGCAGCTTCTACAAAAAGAGTGTTTCTAAATTGTGCAATCAAAAGGATTGTTCAACTCTGTGAGATGAATGCACACATCACAAAGAACTTTCTCCAAAATCTTCTGTCTAGTTTTTATTTGAAGATATTTCCTTTTTCACCATAAGCCTCAAAGTGCTCACAAATATCCCTTTGCAGATTCTAGAACAGTGTGTCCAAACTGCTCAATTAAAAGAATCTTTACCACTAGAGATGAATGCACACATCACAAAGAAGTTTCTCAGAAAGCTTCTTTGTAGTTTTTATGTGAAGGAATTTCGTTTTTCACCATAGGCCTCAGCGTGCCCCCAAATATCCCTTTTTAGAATCTGCAAAAAGACTGTTTCCAAACCGCTCTATGAAAAGAATGGTTCAACTCTGTGAGACGAATGCACACATCACAAAGACGTTTCTTAGAAAGTTTCTGTGTGGTTTTTATGGAAAGATACTTCCTTTTTCAACATAGGCTGCAAAGTGCTCACAAATATCCATTTGCAGCTTCTAGAAGAACAGGGTTTCCAAACTGTTCAGTGAAAAGAAACCTTTACCTCTGCAAGTTTAATGCACATATCAAAAAGAAGTTTCTCAGAATTCTTCTTTCTAGTTTTTATGTGAAGATATTTCCTTTTTCACCATAGGGCTCAATGCACTCCCAATTATCCCTTTGCAGTATCTATGAACAGACTGTTTACAAACTGCTCAATGAAAGGAAAGTTTCAACTCTGAGATGAATGCCCACATCACAAAGAAGTTTCCCAGAAAGCTTCTGTCTAGTTTTTGTGTGAAGATACTTCCTTTTTCACCATAGGCCTCAACGCACTCCCAAATATCCCTTTTCTTGATTGTACAAAAAGACTGTTTCCAAACTGCTCTATGAAAGGAATGGTTCAACTCTATGCGATGAATGCACACATCACAAAGGAGTTTCTCAGAAAGCTTCTTTCTGCTTTTTATATGAAGATATTTCCTTTTTCACAATAGGCCGCAAAGAACTCACAAATATCCATTTGCAGCTTCTAGAAGAACAGAGTTTCCAAACTACTCAGTGAAAAGAAACCTTTACCTCTGTGAGTTGAATGCACACATCACAAACAAGTTTCTCAGAATGCTTCTTTCTAGTTTTTATGTGAAGATATTTCCTTTTCACAAGAGCTCAACGTGCTCCCAAGTATCCCTTTGCAGTTTCTATGAACAGACTGTTTCCAAACTGCTCAATGAAAAGAAAGTTTCAACTCTATGAGATGAACACCCACATCACAAAGTAGTTTCCCAGAAAGCTTCTGACTAGTTTTTATGTGAGGATATTTCCTTTTTCACCATAGGCCACAAAGGGCTCAAAAATATGCCCTTGCAATTCAACAAAAAGACTGTTTCCAAGCAGCTCACCAAAAGAAATGTTCAACCCTGAGATGAATGCACACATCACAAAGAAGTTTCTCAGAAAGCTTCTTTCTAGTTTTTATGTGAAGATATTTCCTTTTTCACCATACACTTCTAAGCACTCCAAATATCCATTTGCAGATTCTAGAAGAACAGGTTTTCCAAACTGCTCAATGAAAACAAACTTTTACCTCTGGGAGATGAATGCACACATCACAAAGCAGTTTCTCAGAAAGTTTCTTCCTAGTTTTTATGTGAAGATATTTCGTTTTTCACCATAGGACTCCAAATGTTCCCAAATATCCCTTTGCTGATTGTACAAAAAGACTGTATTGAAAGTGCTCAATCAAAAGAATAGTCCAACTCTGTTAGAGGAATGCACACATCACAAAGAAGTTTCTCAGAAAGATTCTGTCTAGTTTTTATGTGAAGATATTTCCTTTTTCAATGTAGGCCTCAAAGAACTCTCAAATATTCCTTTGTAGATGCTAGAAAAACAGAGTTTCCAAATTGCTCAATGAAAACAAATGTTTACCTCTGTGAGATGAATGCCCAGATCACAAAGCTGTTTCTCAGAAAGGTTCTTTCTAGTTTTTAAGTGGAGATATTTCCTTTTTCAGCATAGATCTCAAAGCTCTGAAAAATATCACTTAACAGATTCTACAAAAAGACTGCTTCCAAATGGCTCAATCAAACGAATGCTTCAACTCTGTGAGATAAATGCACAAGTCAAAACGAAGTTTCTCTGAAATCTTCTGTCTAGTTTTTATGTGAAGATATTTCCTTTTTCACCATAAGCCTCAAAACACTCACAAATATCCCTTTGCAGATTCCAGAAGAACAGTTTCCAAACTACTCAATGAAAAAAAAAAAAATTTACCTCTGTGGGATGAATGCACACATCACAAAGCACTTTCTCAGAAAGCTTCTTTCTACTTTTTATGTGAAGATATTTCCATTTTCAGTATAGGCATCAAAGCACTCTAAAATATCCGTTTGCAGATTCCACAAAAAGACTGTTTCCAAACTGTTCAATTAAAAGAATGTTTCAACTGTGTGAGATGAATGCACTCGTCACAAAGAAGTTTCTCAGAATGGTTCTGTGTGGTGTTTTTGTGAAGATATTTCCTTTGTCACCGTAGGCCTCAAGGCACTCACAAATATCCCTTTTCAGATTCTGGAAGAACAGAGTTTCCAAACTGCTCAATGAAAAGAATCATTTACCTCTGTGAGATGAATGCACATATCACAAAGAAGTTTCTCAGAAAGCTTCTTTTAAGTTTTTATGTGAAGATATTTCCTTTTTCACCTTAGGTCTCAAAGCTCTCCCTGATATCCTTTGGCAGAATGTACAAAAATACTGTTTCCAAACTGCTAAATCAAAAGAATGGTTCAACTCTATGACACGAATGAACATATGATGAAGAAGTTTCTCAGAAATCCTGTGTCTAGTTTTTATGTGAAGATATTTCCTTTTCACCGCAGGCCTCAAAGCACTCAAAAATATCCCTTTGCAAATTCTAGAATAACAGAGTTTCCAAACTTCTCAATGAAAAGAAAGTTTTACCTCTGTGAGATGAGTGCAAACATCCTAAACCAGTTTCTCAGAAAGCTTCTTTCTACTTTTCATATGAAGATATTTCACTTTTCACCATAGGCCTCAGCACACTCCCAAATATCCCTTTGCAGATTCTATAAAAGACTGTTTCCAAACTGCTCAATTGAAAGTATGGATCAACTCTGGGAAAGGAATACAAACATCATAAAGAAGTTTCTCAGAAAGCTTCTGTCTGGTTTTCATATGAAGATATTTCTATTTTCACCATAGTCCTCAACATGTTCCCAAATATCCCCTTGCAGATGCCAAAAACAGACTGTTTCCGAATTGCTCTATCAAAAGAATGGTTCAGCTCTGTGTGATGAATGCACACATTACAAAGAAGTTTCTCAGAAAGATTCTGTCTAGTTTTTATGTGAAGATATTTATTTTTTCACCATAGGTATCAAAGCACTCACGAAAATCCCTTTGCAGATTCTAGAACGACAGAGTTTCCAAAGTGCTGAATGAAAAGAAATGTTTACCTCTGTGAGATAAATGCACACATCATAGAGAAGTTTCTCAGAAAGCTTGTTTCTAGTTTTTATGTGAAGATATTTCCTTTTTCACCATAGGCCTCAAAGAGCTCCCAAATATCCCTTTACAGATTCTACAAAAAGACTGTTTCCAAACTGCTCAATCAAAAGAATGGTTGACCTCCACGAGATGAATGCACACATCATTAAGTAGTTTCTCAGAAAGCTTATTTCTTGTTTTTATGTGAAGATATTTATTTTTTCACCATAGGTATCAAAGTGCTCATGAATATCTCTTTGCAGATTCTACAACAACAGGGTTTCCGGAGTGCTCAATGAAAAGGAATGTTTACCTCTGTGAGATAAATGCACACATCATAAAGAAGTTTCTCAGAAAGCTTGTTTCTAGTTTTTATGTGAAGTTATTTCCTTTTCACCACAGGCCTCAAAGTGCACCCAAGTATCCCTTTGCAGGTTCTCCAAAAACACTATTTGAAACTGCACAATCAAATGAATGGTTCATCTCTGTGGGATGAATGCACACATCACAAAGCAGTTTCTCAGAAAGCTGTTTTCTAGTTTTTACATGAAGGTATTTCCTTTTTCACCACAGGCATCTAAGCGCTCCAAAATATCCCTTTTCAGATTCTGCAAAAAGACTGTTTCCAAACTGTTCAATCAAACGAATGGTTCAAGTCTGTGAGATGAAGGCACACATCACAAAGGAGTTTCTCAGAAAGCTTCTTTCTAGTTTTTATATGAAGATATTTCCTTTTTCACCATAGGCCTCAAAGTGCTCCCAAATACACCTTTGCAGATTCTCCAAAAACAGTTTCCAAACTGCTCAACCAAACGAATGGTTGATTTTTGTGAGGTGAATGCACACATCACAAAGCAGTTTCTCAGGAAGCTTCTGTCTAGTTTTTATGTGAAGATATTTCCTTTTTCACCATAGGCCTCAAAGTACTCACAAATATTCTTTGTAGATTGTAGAAGAACAATGTTTCCAAACGTCTCAATGAAAAGAAATGTTTACCTCTGTGAGATGAATGTTCACATCACAAAGCAGTTTCTTAGAAAGCTTCTTCTTGTTTGCATGTGAAGATAATTCCTTTTTCACCATAGATCTCAAAGCGCTCACAAATATCCCTTTTCAGATTCTAGAAGAACAGAGTTTCCAAACTGCTCAGTCAAAAGAATTGTTCAACTCTGTGAGATGAATGCACACATCACAAAGTAGTTTCTCATAAACTTCTGTCTAATTTTGATTTGAAGATATTTCCTTTTTCACCATGAGCCTCAAAGCATTCCCAAATATCCCTTTGCAGTTTCTACAAAAAGACTGTGTGCGAACTGGTCAAACAATAGAATGGTTCAACTTGGTGAGATGAATGCACACATCACAAATAAGTTTCTCAGAAAGCTTCTGTCTAGTTTTTATGTGAAAATATTTGCTTTTTCACCATAGAAAAACAAAATAACTTCAGATAAAAACAAGAAATAAGCTTTCTGAGAAACTGCATTTTGATGGGTGCATTTGTCTCACAGAGTTTAACAGTTCTTTTGATTGAGAAGTTTTGAAAAGCTGTTTTTTTCCCATTCTAGGAATGGACATTCAGTAGCTCCTTTAGTCCGTTGGTGAAAAAGTGGATTTCCCAGTATTAAAACTAGAAGGAAGCTATCTGAGAAACCGCTTTGTGATTTTTGTATTCCTTTCACATAGTGAAATCTTTCTTTTTATTCAGCTGTTAAGAAACACTGTTTTTTAGAATCTGCAAAGGGATATCGGAAGCACATACAGGCCTATGGTGAAAAAGAAAATAACTTCAGATAAGAACTAGAAAGAAACTTTCTGAGAAACTGCTTTGTGATGTGTGCATTCATCTCACAATGTTAAACCTTTCTTTGATTCAGCATTTTGGAAACAGTTTTTCTCTATTCAGCAAATGGACATTTGGGAGTTCATTGAGGCCAATGGCAAAAAAGCAAATATCGCAGGATACAAACTAGAAAGAAGCTGTCTGACAAACCGCTTTGTGATATGTGCATTCTTCTCACAGAGATAAACCATTCTTTTCATTAAGCCATCTGGAAACAGTTTTTGTAGAATCCGTGAAGGGATATTTGGGAGCTCTTTGAACCTATTGGGGAAAGAGCAAATATCCAAGGATAAAAACTAGAAGGAAATTATCTGAAAAACCTCTTTGTAATGTGTCCGTTCATCTTTCAAAGTTAAACCCTTCTTTTCATTCAGGAGTTTGGAAACACTGTTTTTGTAGAGTCTGCAAAGGGATATTTTGGAGTGCATTGAGACCTGCAGTGAAGAAGAAAATATCTTCAGATAAACACAAGAAAGAAACTTTCTGAGAAACTGCTTTGTGATGCATGCATTCATCTCACAGACTTAAACCTTTCTTTTGAATCAGCAGTTTGGAAACACTGTTTTTGAAGAATCTGCAAAAGGATATTTGGGAGCACATTGAGTCCTGTGGAGAGAAAGAAATTATCTTTACATAAAAACTAGAAATAAGCTTTTGGAGTAACTGCTCTGTGGTGTGTGCACTAATCTCAGAGATAAACCTCTCTTTTCATTCAACTCTTTGGAAGCAGTGTTTTTTTAGAATCTGTGAATGGACATCTGGGAGTATATTGAGGCTGATGGTGAAAAATAAAAAATCTTCAGATAAAAACTAGAAAGAACCTTTCTGAGAAACTGCTTTGTGATATGTGCATTCATCTCACAGAATTAAACTTTTCTTTGATTCTGCAGTCTTGAAAGCCTGTTTTTGTCCATTCAGTGAATCAACATTTGGGAATACACTGTGGCCAATGGTGAAAAAGCAAATATCCCAGGATAAAAATTAGAAGGAATTTTTCTGAGAAACCAATTTCTGATGTGTGCATTCATCTTGCAGAGTTAAAACTTCCTTCTCATTCAGCAGTTTGGAAACACTGTTTTTGTAGAATCTGCAAAGGGATATTTGGGAGTGCATTAAGGCCTGTGGTGAAAAAGACAATATATTCGATAAAAACTGAAAAGAAGCTTTATAAGAAACTGCACTCCTCTCACAGAGTTAAAGCTTTCCTTTGATTCAGAGGTTTGGAATCACTCTTTTTGTTGAATCTGTGAAGTGATATTTGGGAGCGCTTTGAGACCTATGGTGAAAAACAAAATATCTTTAGATAAAAACTAGAAAGAAGCTTTCTGAGAACTCCTCTGTGATATGTGCATTCATCTCACAGAGTTAAACATTCCCTTTGATTCAGCAGTTTGGAGACACTGTTTTTGTCCATTCTGAGAATGGACAATTTTTAAGCTCATTGAGGCCAATGGCAAAAAAGTAAATATCACTGGATAAAAACTAGAAGGAAATTATCTGAGAAACTACTCTATTATGTGTGCGTTCATCTCGCAGAGATAAACAGTTCTTTTCATCAAGCAGTTTGGAAATATTGTTTTTGTAGAATCTTCCAAGGGATATTTGGGATATCATTAAGGCCAAAGACAAAGAAAATATCCCGGGTAAAAACTAGAAGGAAGCTGTCTGAGAAACTGCTTTGTGATGTGTGCATTCATCTCACAGAGGTAAACCTTTCTTTTAATTCAGCAGTTTGGAAACACTGTTTTTGTCCATTCTGTGAATGAACCATTTGGAGCTCATTGAGACAAAGGAGGAAAAAGGTAATATCCCATGATAAAAATGAGAAGGAATCTATTTAAGAAACTGCTTTGTGATGTGTGCATTCATCTGGCCGAGTTAAACCATAAGTTTCATTCAGCAGTTTGAAAACACGGTTTTCGTAAAATCTGCAAAATGATATTTGAGAGCACTTTGAGGCCTATGGTGAGAAAAAAACAATGTTCAGGTAAAAAATAGAAAAATGCTTTCTAAGAAACAGCTTTGTGATGTGTGCATTCATCTCACAGAGTTAAACCTTTATTTTGATTCAGCAGTTTTGAGACACTGTTTTTTTCCATTCTGTGAATGGACATTTGGGAGCTAATTGAGGCAAGAGGGGAAAAAGCTAATATCCCATGATAAAAACTAGATAGAAGCTATCTGAGAGACTGCTTTGTGATGTGTGCATTCATCTTGCAGAGTGAAATCTTTCTTTTCATTCAGCAGTTTGGAAAGACAATTTTTGTAAATCTGTGAAGGGATATTTGGGAGCTCATTGGTGCCAATTGCAAAAAGCTAGTATCCCAGGATAAAAATGTGAACGAAGGTATCTGAGAAACGGCTTTGTGATGTGTGCATTCTTCTTGCAGACTGAAATCTTTCTTTTCATTCAGCAGTTTGGAAACACTGTTTTTGTAAAATCTGCAAAGGGATCTTTGGGAGCACTATGAGTACTATGGTGAAAAAGAAAATATCCTCAGATAAAGAGTAGAAAGTAGCTTTCTGAGAAACTGCTTTGTGATGTGTGCATTCATCTCATGGAGTTAAAACTTTATTCTTATTCAGGAATTTGGAAATCCTGTTTTTGCCCATTCTGCAAACTCATTGATGCCAATGGTGAAAAAGCAAATATCTCCGGATAAAAAATGGAAGGAAGCTATCTCAGAAACAGCTCTGTGATGTGTGCATTCATCTGGCAGAGTTAAACCTTTCTTTTCATTCAGTAGTTTGTAAACACTCTTTTTGTAGAATCTGCCAAGGTGTATTTGGGAGCACTGTGAGACCTATGGTGAAAAATAAATTATCTTCAATGAAAAGTAGAAAGACGGTATCTGAGAAACTACTATGTGATGCGTGCATTCATCTAACAGAGTGAAAACTTTCTTTTCATTCAGCAGTTTGGAAACACTGTTTTTGTAGAATCTGTGAAGGGATATTTGGGAGCACATTGAGGCCTATGGTCAAAGAGGAAATATCTTGAGATAAAAGGTGGAAGGAAGCTTTATGAGAAACTGCTTTGTGATGTGTGCATTCCTCTCACAGAGTTAAACCTTTCTTTTGATTCAGCAGTGTGGAAACACTGTTTTTGCCCATTATGCAAATGTACATTTGGGAGCTCATAAAGGTCAGTGGCAAAAAAGCGAATATCCCAGGATAAAAACCAGAAGGAAGCTTTCTGAGAAATCACTTTGTGATGTGTGCATTTGTCTCACATAATGAAATCTTTCTTTTCATTCTGCAGTTTGGAAAAACTATTTTTGTTGAATCTGTGAAGTTGTATTTCAGAGTGCATAGGGAGCTATTGTGAAAAAATATATACATTCAGATAAAAAGTTGAGGAAGCATTTGAGAAACTGCATTCTGTTGTGTGCATTCATCTCACAGAGTTAAACTTTTCTTTTCATTCAGCAGTTTGGAAATACTATTTTTTTTCCATTCTCTGAGTGGATATTTGGAAGCTCTTTGGGGCCAGTGGTGAAAAAGCTGATATCCCTGGATAAAAACTAGAAGGAAGCTCTGTGAGAAACTGCTTTGTGATGTGTGCATTCATCTCACAGATTTAAAACTCTCTTTTGATAGAATAGTTTGGAAACACTGTTTTTGTAGAATCTGTGAAGGGATATTTGAAATCACATTGATTCCTATGGTGAAAAAGGAAATATCTTCACATAAAAACTAGAAAACAGCTTTATGAGAAACTGCTTTGTGATGTGTGCATTCATCTCACAGAGTTAAAGCTTTCTTTTGTTTGAGCAGTACGAAAAAAATGTTTTTTTGGGGAACCTACAAAGGGATATTTGAGAGCACCTTGAGACATAAGGTGAAAAAGGAAATTTCTTCAGATAAAAACAGGAAAGAAGCTGTCTGAGAAGGTGCTTAATGATGTGTGTGTTCAACTCACAACAATAAACTTTTCTTTTGATTCAGCAGTTTGGGAACACTGTTTATGTAGAATCATAACAGAGAGGGAGAGCAGTGAGGCATAGGGTGAAAAAGAAAATATCTCCATATAAAAACTAGAAAGAAGCTTTCTGAGAAACTACTTTGTGTGTGTGCATTCTTCTCAGAGAGTTAAACCTTTATTATGATTGAGCAGTTTGGAAACACTGTTTTTGTAGAATCTACGAAGGGATATTTGGGACCGCATTGAGGCCTTTGGTGAAAAAGGAAATGTCTTCAGAGAAAAACTAGAAAGAAGCTTTCTGATAAACGGCTTTGTAATGTGTGCATTCATCATACAGAGGTAAACCTTTCTTTTGATTGAGCTGTTTGGAAACACTGTTTTTGTAGAATCTGCAAAGGCATATTTGGAAGAACTTTGAGGCCTATGGTGAAAAACGGATTATCTTCAGAGGCAAACAACTAGAAAGAAACTTTCTGAGAAACTGCTTTCTGATGTGTGCATTCAACTCACAGAGTTAAACCTTTCTTTTGATTGAATAGTTAGGAAACACTGTTTTTGTAGGAACTGTGAAGAGATATTTTGGAACACATTGAGGCCTGTGGTGAAAGAGGAAATATCTTAAGATACAAACTAGAAAGAAGATTTCTGAGACAGTGCTGTATGATGTGAGAATTCATCTCTCAGAGGCAAGCCTTTCTTTTGATTGAGCAGTTTGGAAACAATGTTTTTGTAGAATCTGTGAAGGGATATTTTGAAGCGCATTGAGTCCTATGATGAAAACCCATATATCTTCAGATAAAACCTATAGACATGCTTTCTGATGAACTGCTTTGTGATGTGTGCATTCACCTGACAGACTTAAACCATTCTTTTGATTGAGTGCGTTGTAATCACTCTTTTTGTAGAATCTGCAAAGGGGTATTTGTGAGCACATTGAGGCATATGGAGGAAAATGAATTATTTTCAGATTAGAAACTACAAAGAAGTTTTCTGAGAAACTGCTTTGTCATGTGTGCATTCATCTCACAGAGCCAAAACTTTCTTTTGATGGAGCAGTTTGAAAACACTGTTTTTGTACAAACTGCAAAAGTATATTTGGGAGAGCATTGAGACCTATGGTGAAAAAAATATGCTTCAGATAAAACAGGAAAGAAGCTTTCTGAGAAACTGTTTTTGATGTGTGTATTCATCTCACACAGCTAAACCTTTCTCTTCATTGAGTAGTTTGGAAACACTGTTTTTGTAAAATCTGTGAGGGGGATCTTGGAGCACACTGAGGCCTATGGTGAAAAAGGAAATATCTTCAGATAAAAAATAAAAAGAAGCTTCTTAGAAACTGCTTAGTTTGTGTGCATTCATCTCACACAGTTAAAACTTTCTTTTGGTTGAGCAGTTTGGAAACTCTGTTTTTGTAGAATCTGCAAAGGGATATATGGCAGCACATTCAGGCCTCTGCTGTAAAAGGAAATACCTTCAGATAAAAACTAGAAAAAAGCTTTGTGAGAAACTGCTTTGTGATGAATGCATTCATCTCAAAGAGGTAAATCTTTCTTTTCATTGAGCAGTTTTGCAACACTGTTTTTTGGGAATCTGAGAAGGGATATTTGGGAGCATTTTAAGGCCTATGGTAAAAAATAAAATATCTTCAGATAAAAACTAGAAGGAACCTTTCTGAGAAACTGCTTTGTGATGTGTGCATTAATCTAAGAGTTAAAACTCTTTTTTGGATTGAGCAGTTTGGAAAAACTTTTTCTATAGAATCTGTGAAGGCATATTTAGGAGCGCTTGGAGGCATATGGTGAAAAAGGAAATATCTTCAGAGAAAAACAAGGAAGAAGCTTTCTGGCAACTGCTTTGTGATGTGTACATTCATCTCACAGAGTTACAATGTTATTTTGATTGAGCAGTTTGGAAATACTGTTTCTGTTAAATTGGCCAAAGGATATTTGGGAGCGCATTGAAGCTGAGAGTTAAAAAGGAAACATCTTAAAATAAAAAGTAGAAAGAAACTTTCTGAGAAACTGCTTTGTGGTGTATGCATTCATCTCACAGGGTTAAACCTTTCTTTTGATTGAGCAGTTTGGAGAAAGTGTTTTGGTAGACTGTGCGAAGGGATATTTGGGAGCACTTGAGGCCTATGGTGAAAAAGGAAATATCTTCAGATACAAACTAAAGAAAAAGCCTTTTTATAAACCACTTTGGGATGTGTGCATTCTTCTCACAGAGTTAAACATTTTTATTAATTGTGCAGTCTGGAAACACTGTTTTTGTTGAATCTATGAGTTGACATATGGGAGTGCATTGAAGCCAAACGTGAAAAAGTAAATATATTGGAAGAAAAACTAGAAAGAAGCTATCTGAGAAACTGCTTTGTGATGTGTGCATTCGTCTCAAAGAGTTAAACCTTTCTTTTGATTGAGAAGTTCAGAAACAGTTTTTGTACAATCTGCAAAGGGATATTTGGGGAGAGTTTGAAGCCTATGGTGAAAAAGGAAATATCTTCAGATAAAAACTAGAAAGAAGCTTTCTGAGAAACTGTATGTGATGAGTGCATTCATCTAACAGGTTTAAAACTTTCTTTAGATTGTGCAGTTTGGAAACCCTGTTTTTGTAGAATCTATGAAGTGGTATTTGGGAGTACATTGAGGCCTTTGGTGAAAAAGGAAATATGTTCAGATAAATACTAGAAAGAAGATTTTCAGCAACTGCTTTGTGGTTTGTGCATTCTTCTCACAGAGTTAAACGTTTCTTTTGATTGAGCAGTTTGGAAACACTGTTTTGGTAGAATCTAGGAAGGGATATATCAGAGCACATTGAGGCCTGGGAAGAAATAGGAAATATCCTCAGAGAAAAATTAGAAAGATTTCTGAGAACCTGCTTTGTGATGTGTGCATTCATCTCACAGAGTTAAAATTTCTTTTGATTGAGCATGTTGGCAACAGTGTGTTTGTAGAATCTCAGAAGGGATATTGAGAGCAGTTTTAGACCTATGTTTAAAAATGAAATATCTTCAGATAAAAAATAAAAAGAAGCTTTCTGGGAAACTGCTTTTTGATGTGTGCATTCATCTCACAGAGTTAAACCTTTCTTTTGATTGAGCAGTTTGGAAACACTGTTTTGGTAGAATCTATGAAGGGATATTTCGGAGTGCACAGATGCCTATGGTGAGAAAGAAAATATCTTCAGGTAAAAATTAGAAAGATTTCTGAGAAACTTTTGTCTGATATATGTATTTATCTCACAAAGTTAGACATTTCTTTTGATTGACCAGGTTGGAAACACCATTTTCATCCATTCTGTGAATGCAAATTTGGAAGCTCATTGAGGCCGATCATGGAAAAGTGAATATCCCAGGATAAAAATTAGAATGAAGTAAGTTGAGAAATGGTATTGTGATGTGTGCATTCATGTCTCACAGTTACACAGTTATTTTCATTCAGCAGTTTTGAAACACTTTTTTTAGAATCTGCAAAGGGATATTTGGGAGTGCATTTTGGACTGTGACAAAAAGTAATGTATCTTCAGATAAAATCTTGGAGGAAGCTTTCTGATAAACTGCTTTGTGATGTGTGCATTCATCTCTCAGAGTTAAACCTTTCTTTTGATTCAGCAGTTTGAAAACACAGTTTTTGTAGAATATAGAAGGGATATTTTGGAGCAAATTGAGGCCTGTGGTGAAAATAATATTTCTTCAGATAAAAAGTAGGAGGAAGCTATCTAAGAAACAGCTTTGTGATGTGTGCTTTCATCTCATAGAGTTAAACTTACCATTTCATTCAACAGTTTGGAAACACTGTTTTTTTTAGAATCTGCGAATTGACATTTGGGAGTGCATTGAGGCCAATGGTGAAAAATAAAAAATCTTCAGATAAAAACTAGAAAGGAGCTTTCTGAGAAATTGCTTTGTGATATGTGGATTCATCTCACAGAGTTAAACTTTTCTTTGATTCAGCAGTTTTGAAAGCCTGTTTTTGTCCATTCAGTGAATCAATATTTGGGAATGCACTGTGGCCAATGGTGAAAAAGCAAATATCCCAGGATAAAAACTAGAAGGAATTTATCTGAGAAACCACTTTCTGATGTTTGCATTCATCTTGCAGAGTTAAACCTTTCTTTTCATTCAGTAGTTTGGAAACACTGTTTTTGTAGAATCTGTGAAGGGATATTTGGGAGTGCATTAAGGCCTGTGGTGAAAAAGAAAATATATTCAGACAAAAAATTGAAAAGAAGATTTATAAGAAACTGCTTTCATCTCACAGAGTTAAACCTTTCCTTAGATTTAAAGGTGTGGAATCACGGTTTTTATGAATCTGTGAAGTGATATTTGGGACCGCTTTGAGGCCTATGGTGAAAAAGAAAATATCTTCGTATAAAAACTAGAAGGAAGCTTTTGAGCACTGCTTTGTGATGTGTGCATTCATCTCACAGAGTTAAACCTTCCCTTTGATTTAGCAGTTTGGAGACAGTGTTTTTGTCCATTCTGAGAAAGGACATTTGGAAGCTTATTGAGGCCAATGGCAAAAAAAGTGAATATTTCTGGGTAAAAACTAGAAGGAAATTATCTCAGAAACTGCTCTATGATGTATGCATTCACCTCACAGAGATAAACCATTCTTTTCATTAAGTAGTTTGGGAACACATTTTTGTAGAATCTTCCAAGGGATATTTGAGAGATCATCAGGGCCACAGGCAAAGAAGTGAATATCCCAGGGTAAAAACTAGAAGAAAGCTATCTGAGAAACCACATTGTAATGTGCACATTCATCTCACAGACTTAAACCATTCTTTTGACTTGGCAGTTTGGAAACACTGTTTTTGTCCATTCCGCAAATGGACATTTGGGAGCTCCTTGAGTCCAAAGGCGAAAAAGGGAATACTCCAGGATAAAACTGACAAGGAAGCTGTCTGACAAACCGCCTTGTGATTTGTGCATTCATCTTGGAGAGTTAAACATTTCTTTTCATGCAGTAGTTTGGAAACACTCTTTTTCTAGAATCTGCAAACAGATATTTGGGAGCGCATTGAGAACTACGGTGTAAAAGGAAATATATTCAGTAAAAAACTAGAAAGAAGATTTCTGAGAAATTGCTTTTTGCTATGTGCATTCATGTCACAGAGTTAAAGCTTTCTTTTGATTGAGCAGTTTGGAATCATTGTTTTTGTTGAATCTGCAGTGATATATTTGGGACCACACTGAAGCCTATGGTGAAAAAGAAAATATCTTCACAGGAAAAATTGGAAAGAAGCTTTCTGAGAAACCATTTTGTGTTGCATGCATTCTTCTCAAAGAGTTCAACCATTCTTTTGATTGAGCAGTTTGGAAACACTGCTTTTGTAGAATATGCAAAGGGATATTTGGGGGCGCATTGAGGCCAATGGTGAAAAATGAAATATCTTCAGATAAAAGCTAGAAAGAAGTTTTCTGGTAAACTGCTTTGTGATGTGTGCATTCATCTCATATAGGTAAACCTTTCTTTTGATTGAGCAGTTTGGAAACACTGTTTTGGTAGAATCTGTGAAGGGTTATTAGGGATTGCATTGGGGACTGTGGTGAAAAAGGAAATATCTTCAGATAAAAACTAGAAAGAAGCTTTCTGAGAAACTGCTTTGAGATGTGGGCATTCGTCTCACAACGTTAAAACTTTCTTTTGATTGTGTAGTTTGTAAACATTGTTTTTGTAGAATCTACGAAGGGATATTTGGGAGCACATAAAAGCATATGGTGAAAAAGGAAATATCTTCAGATAAAAACTAGACAGAAGCTTTCTGAGAAACCATTTTGTGATGTGACATTCTTCTCATAGAGTTAAACCATTCTTTTGGTTGAGTAGTTTGGAAACTGTTTTTTTTAGAATCTGTGAAGGGATATTTGGGAGCCAATTGAGGCCAAGGGTGAAAAAGGAAATATCTTCACATAAAAACTAGAAAGAAGTTTTCTGAGAAACTGCTTTGTGATGTGTCCATTCATCTCACAGAATTAAAACTTCCTTTTGAATGGGCAGTTTGGAAACACAGTTTTTGATGTATCTGTGAAGGGATATTTGGGAGCGCATCAAGATCTATGGTTAAAAAGGAAATATCTTGGGATAAAAAGTAGAAAGAAGCTTTCTCAGAAACTGCTTCGTGATGTCTGCATTCTTCTCACAGAGTTAAACCTTTCTTTTGATTGAGCAGTTTGGAAACACTGTTTTTGTAGAATCTGTGAAGTGATATTTGGGAGGGCATTCAGGCCTATGGTGAAAAAGGAAATATCTTCAGATAAAAACTAGAAAGAAACATTCTGAGAAACTGCTTTCTGACGAGGGCATTCATCTCACACAGTTAAATCTTTCTTTTGGATGAGTAGTTTGGAAACACTGTTTTGGTAGGATCTGAGAAGAGATACTTGGGAGCACATTGAGGCCTATGCTGAAAAAGGAAATATCTTCATATAAAAACTAAAAAGAAACTCTCTAGGAAACTGCTTTGTGATTTGTGCATTCATCTCACAGAGTTAAATCTTTCTTTTCATTTTGCAGTTTGGCAACACTGTTTTTATTGAATCTGTGAAGGGACAATTGGGAGCACATTGAGGTCTATGGTCAAAAAGGAAATATCTTCAGATAAATACTAGAAAGAAGTTTTCTCAGAATTGGCTTTGTGATGTGGGCATTCTCCTGACAGAGTTAAACTTTTCTTTTGATTTAGCAGTTTGGCATCAACGTTTTTGTAGAATCTGAGAAGGGGTGTTTGGGAGCACTTTGAGGCCTACGGTTAAAAAGGGAACATCTTCAGATAAAAACTAGAAAGAAGATTTCTGGGAAACTGCTTTATGATTTCTACCTTCATCTCTCAGAGTTAAACCTTTCTTTTGATTGAGCAGTTTGGAAACACTCTTTAGGTAGGATCTGCAAAGAGATATTTCAGAGCGAGTTGAGGCCTATGGTGAAAAAGGAAATATATTCAGAAAAAAACTAGAAGGAAGTTTCTCAGAAACCGCTTTGTGTTCAGGGCGTTCTTCTCACAGAGTTAACCTTTATTTTGATTGAGCAGTCTGGAAACACTGTTTTTGTAGAATCTACAAAGGGATATATTGTAGTGCTTTGTGGTCTACAGTAAAAAAAGAAATATCTTCAGATAAAAACTAGAAAGAAGGTTTCTGAGAAACTGCTCTGTGAAGTGTACATTCTTCTCACACAGTTAAACATTTCCATTGATCAAGCAGCCTGGAAAGATTGTTTTGGTAGAATCTATGAAGGGATATATGGGAGTGTATTGAGGCCTATGGTGAAAAAGAAAATATCTTCAGAGAAAAACTAGAAAGAAGCTTTCTGAGAAACTGCTTTGTGATGTGTGCATTCATCTCACAGAGTGAAACCTCTCTTTTGACTGAGCAGTTTGGCAACAGTGTGATTGTAGAATCTGAGAAGGGATGTTTGGGAGTGCTTCAGGGCCTATGGTGTAAAAGGAAGTATCTTCAGATAAAAACTAGAAAGAAGCTTTCTGGGAAACTGCTTTGTGATGTGTTCATTCATCCCACAGAGATAAACCTTTCTTTTGATTGTGCAGTTTGGCAACACTGTTTTTGTTGCATCTGTAAAAGGACACTTGGAAGTGCATTGGGGTCTATGGTGAAAAAGGTAATATCTTCAGATAAATATGAAGCAGTGTGGGAAATCTATTTTTATGGAATCTGTGAAGGGACATTTGGGAGTGTATTGAGTCCTATGGTGAAAAAGGAAATATCTTCAGATAAAAACTAGAAAGATGCTTTCTCAAAAACAGCTTTGTGATGGGTGCATTCTTCTCACAGAGTTAAATCTTTCTTTTCATTGAGCAGTTTGGAAACACTGTTTTGGTAGACTCTGCGAAGGGATATTTTGTAGAGCTTTGAGGCCTATGGTGAAAAAGGAGATAACTTCAGATTAAATTAGAAAGAAGCTTTCTCAGAAACAGTTTTGTGATGTGTGCATTCTTCTCACAGAGTTAAATATTTCCTTTCATTAAGCAGTCTGGAAACACTGTTCTTTTTTTTTAAATCTAGGAAGGGATATATGGGAGCACATTGAGGTCAGTGGTGAAAAAGGAAATATCTTCTGAGAAAAACTAGGCAGAAGCTTCCTGAGAAACTGCTTTGTGATGAGTGCATTCGTCTCACAGAATTCATACTTTCTTTTGATTGAGCAGTTTGGCAACACTCTTTTTGTAGAATCTGAGAAGGTATATTTGGGAGTGGTTTGAGGCCTATGGTGAAAAAGGAAATATCTTCAGAGGAAAACTAGAAAGAAGCTTTCTCAGTAACCACCTTCAGATGTGTGCATTCATCTCAGAGAGTTAAACCATTCTTTGAGCAGTTTGGAAACACTGTTTTCGTAGGATGTATGAAGGGATATTTGGGAGCGCTTACAGGCCTATGGTGAAAAATAAATATCTTCAGATAAAAACTAGAAAGAAGCTTTGTGAGAAACACTACTTTGTGATGAGTAAGTTCATCTCACAGAGTTAAAATTTTCTTTTGATTTTTCAGTCTGACAACGGTGTTTTTAAAAATCTGAGAAGGGATATTTGGGAGTGCTTTGAGGCCTATGGTGAAGAACAATATATCTTCAGATATAAAATAGAAAGAAACATTCTGGGAATCTGCTTTGTGATGGGTGCATTCTTCTCACAGAGTTAAACCTTTCTTTTGATTGAGCAGTTTGGAAACACTGTTTTTTTAAAATATAGAAAGGGATAAATTGGAGCACACTGAGGCCAGTGGTGAAAAAGGAAATATCTTCAGATAGAAACTAGAAAGCAGCTTTCTGAGAAAATGGTTTGTGATGTGTGCATTCATCTCATAGAGTTTAACCATACTTTTCATTGAGAAGTTTGAAAACACTGTTTTGGTAGAATCTGCAAAGGGATATTAAGGATCGCTTATAGGCCTCTGGTGAAAAATTAAATATCATCAGATAAAAACTAGAAAGATGCTTTCTGATAAACTGGTTTGTGACGAGTGCACTCATCTCAAAGAGTTAAATGTTTCGTTTGATTGAGCAGTTTGGAAACAGGGACTTTGGAGAATCTAGAAGGCATATTTGGAAGCACTTTGAGGCCTAAGGTCAAAAAAGAAATATCTTCAGATAAAAACTAGAAAGAAGCTTTCTGGGAATCTGTTTGTGATGTGTGCATTTATGTCACAGTGTTAAAACTGTCTTTTGATTCAGCAGGATGGAAAGACTGTTTTGGAAGAATCTGCGAGACACATTTGGGATCACTTTGAGACATCTGTTGAGAAAGGAAATATCTTCAGGTAAAAACTAGAAAGAAGCTTTCTGGGAAACTGCTTTGTGATGTGCATATTCTTCCCACAGAGTAAAACCTTTCTTTGATTGAACAGTCTGGAAACACTGTTTTTGTAGAGTCTATGCAGGGATATACGGGTGCACATTGAGGACTATGGTGAAAAAGGAAATATCTTCCAAGAAATACTAGACAGAAAATTTCTGAGAAACTGCTTTGTGATGTGTGCATTCATCTCACAGAGTTAAACCTTTCTTTTGATTGAGGAGTTTCCAAACCCCGTTTTGGTACTATCTGTGAAGGGATATTTGGGAGGGCATTCAGACCTATGGTGAAAAAGGGAATACCTTCACATAAATAGTAGAAAGAAGCTTTCTCAGAAAACGCTTTGTAATGTATGCATTCTTCTTACAGAGTTTAACCATTCTTTTGAGCAATTTGGAGACCCTGTGTTTGTGGAGTCTGTGAAGGTATATATAAGAGCGCATTGAGGCCTATGATGAAAAAGAAAATATCTTCACAGAAAAAGTAGAAAGAAGCTTTTTGAGAAACTTCTTTGTGATGTGTGTATTCTTCTCACAGAGGTAAAACTTTCTTTTCATTGAGCAGTTTGGAATCACTGTTTTGGTAGAATCTCCGAAGGGATATTTGGGAGTGCATTCAGGCCTATGGTGAAAAAGGAAATATCATCAGAGAAAAATTAGAAAGAAGCTTTCTGAGAAACCCCTTTGTGATGTGTGCATTTTTCTCCCAGAGTTAAACCTTTCTTTTCATTTAGCAGTCTGGAAGCACTGTTTTTATAGAATCTTGGAAGGGATATATGAGAGTGCATTGAGGCCTATGGTGAAAAAAGAAATATCTTTAGATAAAAACTAGAAAGAAGCTTTCTGAGAAACTGCTTTGTGATGAGTGCATTCATCTCACAGAGTTAAAACTTCCTTTTGATTGAACAGTTTGGCAACACTCTTTTTGTAGAATCTGAGAAGTGATATTGGGAGCAATTAGAGGCTTATAGTGAAAAAGGGAATATCTTAGGATAAAAAATAGAAAATGAATTTTGAGAAACTGGTTTATGATGTGTGTATTCATTTCACAGAGTTAAACCTTTCTTCTCATTGAGGAGTTTGGCAACACTGTTTTTGAAAGATCTGTGTGGGTATATTTGGGAGCGCTTTGAGGCCTATGGTGAAAAAGGAAATATCTTCAGACTAAAACTAGAAAGAAGCTTTCTCTGAAACTGCCTTCTGATGTGTGCATTCATTTCACAGAGTTGAAGCATTCTTTTGATTGAGCAGTTTGGAAACACTGTTTTGGTAGGATCTGCGAAGGGATATTTGGGAGCACTTACGGGTCTATGGAGAAAAATACCTTCAGATAAAAACTAGAAAGAATCTTTGCGAAAAACTGTTGTGATATGTAAGTTCATCTCACAGAGTTAAACTTGTTATTGTGCAGTTTGGCAACAGTGCTTTTGTAAAATCTGAGAAGGATACTTGGGACTGCTTTGATGTCTATGGTGAAAAACAAAATATCTTCAGATATAAAATAGAACTTTTCTAGGAGAATGCTTTGTGATGTACACATTCTTCTCACAGGGTTAAACCTTTCTTTTCTTTGAGCATATTTGAAACACTGTTCTTGGAGAAAATGCCATGGGATATATGGGAACGCATTGAGGCCTAGGGAGAAAAAGGAAATATCTTCAGATAAAAACTATAAAGAATCTTTCTGAGAAACCACTTTGTGATGTGTGCATTCATCTCACACTTATACCATTCTTTTCATTGAGCAGTTTGGAAACACTGTTTTGGTAGGATCTGCAAAGGGATATTTGGGAGCGATTTCAGGCCTCTGGTGAAAAATAAAATATCTCTGGTTAAAAACTAGAAAGAATCGTTCTGAGAAACTGATTTGTGAGGAGTACATTCACCACAAACAGTTAATTGTTTATTTTGATTGAGCAGTTTGGCAACAGTGCTTTTGTAGGATCTGTGAAGGCATATTTGGGTGCGCTTTGAGGCCAATGGTCAAAAAAGAAATATCTTCAGATAAAAATTAGAAAGAAACTTTCTGGGAACGTTTTTGTGATATGTGCATTCATCTCACAGAGATCAAATTTTCTTTTGATTAAGCAGTCTGGAAACACTCTTTGTGTAGCATCTACCCAGGGATATATCGGAACACATTGAGGCCTATGGTGAAAAAGGAAATATCTTCCGAGAAAAACTAGACAGAAGCTTTCTGGTCAAATTCTTTGTGATGTGTACATTCATCTCACAGAGTTAAACCTTTTTTTGATTGAGCAGTTTGCCAATACTCTTTTTGTAAAATCTGAGAAGGGATATTTCGGAGGGCTTTGAGTGAAAAAGGAAACGTCTTGAGATAATAAGTAGAAAGAAGCTTTCTGGGAAACTGCTTTTGATGTATTCATTCTTCTCACAGAGTTAAACCTTTCTTTTGATTGAGCAATTTGGAAAAACTGTTGTTGGAGAAAATGCAAAGGGATATATGGGCACGCATTGAGGCCTATGGTGAAAAATGAAATATCTTCAGATGAAAACTATAAAGAAGCTATCTGAGAAACCACGTTGGGATGTGTGCATTCATCTTACAGAGTTAAATCATTCTTTTCATTGAGAAGTTTGGAAACACTGTTTTGGTAGAATCTGTGAAGGGATATTTGGGAGCACTTTCAGGTGACTGGTGAAAAATTAAATACCTTCAGATAAAAACTAGAAAGAAGCTTTCTGAGAATCCACCTTCTGAATAGTATGTTCATCTAAAAAGTTAAACATTTATTTTGATTGAGCTGTTTGGCAACAGTGCTTTCATAGAATCTGCAAAGACATATTTGTGAGTACTTAGAGGCCAATGGTCAAAGAATAAATATCTTCAGATAAAAACTAGAAAGAAGCTTTGTGGGAACTGTTTTGTGATATGTGCTTTAATCTCACAGAGCTAAACAGTCTTTTGATTGAGCATTGTGGAAACGCTCTTTTGGTAGAATTTGCAAAGACATACATGGGATCACATCGAGGAGTATGGTGAGAAAGGAAATATCTTCAGATAAAAACTAGAAAGAAGTTTTCTGGGAAACTGCTTTGTGATGTGTGCACTCATCAAACAGAGTTAAACCTTTCTTTTGCTTGAGCAATTTGGAAACACTGTTTTGGAAGTATCTGTGAAGGGATATTTGAGAGCCCATTGAGGGCTTTGGTGAAAAGGACATATGTTCAGATAAATACAAGAAAGAAGCTTTCTCAGAAATGGCTTTCTGAAGTGTGCATTCTTCTCACAAAATTAAAAATTTCTTTTGATTGAGTAGTCTGGAAACATTGTTTGCATAGAGTCTACTAAGGGATATATAGGAGGGCATTGCGGCTTACGGTATAAAAGGAAATATCTTCAGAGAAAAACTAGACAGAAGCTTTCTGAGAAACTGCTTTGGGTTGTGTCCATTCATCTCACAGAGATAAACCTTTCTTTTGATTCAGTAGTTTGCAAAAACTCTTTTGGTAGTATCTGCCAAGTGATATTTTGGAGCCCATTCAGGCCAATGGTGAAAAAGGAAATATCTTCAGATAAAAACAAGAAAGACACCTTCTGAGAAACAGCTGTGTGTTGAGGACATTAATCTCACACAGTTGAAAGTTTCTTTAGATACACTAGTGTGGAAACACTGTTTTGGCAGAATCTGTGAAGAGATATTTCGGAGTGAATTGAAGCCTACTGTAAAAAAGGGAATATCTTCAGATAAATACTAGAAAGAAGCTTTCGCAGAAACTGCTTTGTGATGTGTGCATTCTTCTCACAGAGATAAACCTTTATTTTGGTTGAGCAGTTTACAAACCCTGTTTTGGTTTTATCTGCAAAGTGATATTTGGGAACGCATTTAGGCCAATGCTGAAAAAGGAAATATCTTCAGAGAAAAACTGAAAAGAAGCTTTCTGAGAAACTGCTTTGTGATGTGTGCATTCAACTCACAGAGTTAAACGTTTCTTTTGATTGAGCAGTCTGGAAATGCTGTTTTGGTAGAATCTGCGAAGGGATATTTGGGAGCACATTCAGGACAATGGTGAAAGAGGAAACATCATCAGAGAAAAAGTAAAAAGAAGCTTTCTGAGAAACTTCTTTGTGAAGTATGCATTCTTCTCACAGAGTTAAACCTTTCTTTTCATTGAGCAGTCTGGAACCATTGTTTTTTTTAGAATCTAGGCAGGGATATATGAGAGCACATTGAGGCTTGTAGTGAAAAAGGAAGTGTCTTCAGATAAAAACTAGAGACAAGCTTTCTGAGAAACTGCTTTGTGCTGAGTGCATTCATCTCACAGAATTAAACCTTTCTTTGATTGAACAGTTTGGCAACACTCTTTTTGTAGAATCTGAGAAGGGATATTTGTGAGCACTTTGAGGCCTATAGTGAAAACGGGAAGGTCTTCAGATAAAAAGTAGAAATAAGATTTCTGGGCAACCGCTTTATGATGTGTGCATTCATCTCACAGAGTCAAACCTTTCTTTTGATTGAGCATTTTGCCAATACTCTTTATGTAGAATCTGAGAAGGGTTACTTGTGAGCACTTTGTGGCCTATAGTGAAAAAGGGAACATCTTCAGATAAAAAGTAGAAAGAAGCTTTCTAAGCAACTGCTTTCTAATGTCTGCATTCACCTCACAGAGTTAAACTTTCTTTTGATTGAACAGTTTGGAAACACTCTTTTTGTAGACTCTGAGAAGGGATATTTGGGAGCATTATGAGGCCTATAGTGAAAAAGGAAATATCTTCAGATGAAAGCTAGAAATAAGCCTTCTCATAAACCACCTTTTTATGTGTGCTTTCTTCTCACAGAGTTAAAGAATTCTTTTGATTGAGTAGTATGGAAACTCTGTTTTGATAGGATCTGCGAAGGGACATTTGTGGGCACTTTCAGGCCTATAGGGAAATGTTAAATATTTTCAGATAAAAACTAGAAAGAAGCTTTGTGAGAAACTGCTTTGTGATTATTAAGTTCATCTCACAGAGGTAAAACCTTAATTGTGCAGTTTGGCAACAGAGCTGTTGTAAAATCTGAGAAGGGCTATTTGGGAACGCTTTGAGGCCTATGTTGAAAAACAAAATATCTTCAGATATAAACTAGAAAGAAGCTTTCTGAGAATCTATTTTGTGATGTATGCATTCTTCTCACAGAGTTAAACCTTTCTTTTGATTGAGCATTTTGGAAACACTGTTTTTGGAGAATCTGCCAAGGGATGTATGAGAGCTCATTGAGGCTTATAGTGAAAAAGGAAATATCTTCAGATAAAAACTAGACAGAAGTGTCTGTTCATGTCTTTCGCCCACTTTTTGTGGAAGTCAGTGTGGTGATTCCTCAGGGATCTAGAATTAGAAATACCATTTGACCCAGCCATCCCATTACTGGGTATAAACCCAAAGGATTATAAATCATGCTGCTATAAAGACATATATACACGTATGATTAGAGCGGCACTATTCACAATAGCAAAGACTTGGAACCAACCCAAATGTCCAACAATGATAGACTGGATTAAGAAAATGTGGCACATATACACCATGGAATACTACGCAGCCATAAAAAATGATGAGTTCATGTCCTTTGTAGGGACATGGATGAAATTGGAAATCATCATTCTCAGTAAACTATCGCAGGAACAAAAAACCAAACACCGCATATTCTCACTCATAGGTGGGAACTGAACAACGAGAACACATGGACACAGGAAGGGGAACATCACACACTGGAGACTGTTGTGGCGGGGGAGGGGGAAGGATAACATTGGGAGAAATACCTAATGCTAGATGACGAGATAGTGGGTGCAGCACAACAGCATGGCACTTGTATACATATGTAACTAACCTGCACATTGTGCACATGTACCCTAAAACTTAAAGTATAATAATAATAAATAATAAATAAATGAAAATAAAGTTATGGCCATTACAGAATAAGAAATAAACATTAAAAAAACTAGAAAGAAACCATCAAAGAAACTGCTTTGTGATATGTACATTCACCTCACAGTAGTAAACTATTCTTTTCATTAAGCAGTTTGGAAACACTGTTTTGGTAGAATCTGCAAAGGGATATTTGGGAGCAACTAGAGTCCTATGTTAAAAAAGGAATGATCGTCTGAGAAAAAGTAGAAAGAAGCTTTGTGAGAAACTCCTTTATAATGTGTACATACTTCTCACAGAGTTAAAGCTTTCATTCTATTGAGCAGCCTGGAACTTCTTTTTCCTTAGAATCTAGGAAGGGATATATGGAGCATATTGAGGCCAACAGTGAAAAAGGAAATATCTTCAGAGAAAAACGAGAAAGAAGCTTTCTGAGAAACTGTTTTGTGATGTGTGCATTAGTCTCACAGAGTTAAACATTTATTTTGATTGAGCAGTTTGGAAACACTGTTTTGATAGAATCTGCAAAGAGATATTTGGGAGCACATTGAGACCTCTGGTGAAAAAGAAAACATCATCAGAGAAAAAGTAGAAAGAAAATTTCTCAGAAATTGCTTTGTGATGTGTGCATTCTTCTCACAGAGTTAGACCTTTCTTTTCATTGAGTAGCCTGGAACCACTGTTTTTTTCAGAATCTAAGAAGGGATATATGACAGCACATTGAGGCTTATAATGGAAAAGGAAATATATTCAGATAAAAACTACAATGAAATTTTCTGAGAAACTTCTTTCTGCTGAGTGCATTTATCACACACAATGAAACCTTTCTTTTGAATGAGCAATTTGTCAACACTCTTTTTGTAGAAACCGAGAAGGGATATTTGTGAGTGCTTTGAGGCCAATAATGAAAAAGGGAATGTCTTCAGATAAAAACTAGAAAGAAACTTTCTGGGAAACTGCTTTCTGATGTGTGCATTCTACTCACAGAGGTAAACCTTTCTTTTGATTGAGCAATGTGGAAACACTGTTGTTGGAGAAACTGCAAGGGATATACGGGAGCTCATTGAGGGCTATGGTGAAAAAGGAAACATCTTCCAATAAAAAGTAGAAAGAAGCATTCTAAGAAATTGCTTCATGATGTGTGCATTAATCTCACAGAGTTAAACGTTTCTTTTGATTGAGAAGTTTGGAAACACTGTTTTGGTAGGATCAGTGAAGGGATATTTGGGACCGCCTTGAGGCCTGTGGTAAAAAGCGAAACATCATCAGAGAAAAAGTAGAAAGAAGATTTCTGAGAAACTCCTTTGTGATGTGTGCATACATCTCAAAGAGTTATACCTTATATCTTATTGAGCAGTCTATAAACTTTGTTTTTTTATGGACTATTGGTTTTTTATTTCATTTTACTTTATTTTATTATTATACTTTAAGTTTTAGGGTACACGTGCACAAAGTGCAGGTTTGTTACATATGTATACATGTGCCATCTTGGTGTGCTGCATCCATTAACTCGTCATTTAGCATTAGGTATATATCAAAATGCTATCCTTCCCCCTCCTCCCACCCCACAACAGTCACCAGAGTGTGATGTTCCCTGTCCTGTGTCCATGTGTTCTCATTGTTCAATTCCCACCTATGAGTGAGAACATGCGGTGTTTGGTTTTTTGTCCTTGTGAGAGTTTGCTGAGAATGATGGTTTCCAGTTTCATCTGTGTCCCTACAAAGACATAAACTCATCATTTTTTATGGCTGCATAGTATTCCATGGTGTATATGTGCCACATTTTCTTAATCCAGTCTATCGTTGTTGGACATTTGGGTTGGTTCCAAGTCTTTGCTATTGTGAATAGTGCCACAATAAACATATGTGTGCCTGTGTCTTTATAGCAGAATGATTTATAATCCTTTGGGTATATACCCGGTAATGGGATGGCTGGGTCAAATGGTATTTCTAATTCTAGATCCCTGAGGAATCGCCACACTGACTTCCACAATGGTTGAACTAGTTTACAGTCCCACCAACAGTGTAAAAGTGTTCCTATTTCTCTACATCCTCTCCAGCACCTGTTGTTTCCTGACTTTTTAATGACCACCATTCTAACTGGTGTGAGATGGTATCTCATTGTGGTTTAGATTTGCATTTCTCTGATGTACAGTGATGATGAGCATTTTTTCGTGTGTTTTTTGGCTGCATAAATGTCTTCTTTTGAGAAGTGTCTGGTCATATCCTTTGCCAGTTTTTTGATGGGGTTGTTTGTTTTTTTCTTGTAAATTTGTTTGAGTTCATTGTAGATTCTGGACATTAGCACTTTTTCAGATGAGTAGGTTGTGAAAATTATCTCCCATTTTGTAGGTTGCCTGTTCACCCTGAAGGTAGTTTCTTTTGATAATGGGAGACTTTAACACCCCACTGTCAACATTAGACAGATCAGGGAGACAGAAAGTTAACAAGGATACCCAGGAATTAAACTCAGCTTTGCACCAAGCAGACCTAATAGACATCTATGGAACTCTCTACCTCAAATCAACAGAATATACATTTTTTTCAGCACCACACCACACCTATTACAAAATTGACCACCTAGAAAGAAGTAAAGCACACTTCAGCAAATGTAAAAGAACAGAAATTATAACAAACTGTCTCTCAGACCACAGTGCAATCAAACTAGAACTCAGGATTAAGAAAATCACTCAAAACTGCTCAACTACATGGAAACTGAACAACTTGCTCCTGAATGACTACTGGGTACATAACGAAATGAAGGCAGAAAAAAAGATGCTCTTTGAAACCAATGAGAATGAAGACACAACACATCAGAATCTCTGGGACACATTCAAAGCAGTGTGTAGAGGGAAATTTATAGCCCACAAGAGAATGCAGGAAAGATCCAAAATTGACACCCTAACCTCACAATTAAAAGAACTAGAAAAGCAAGAGCAAACACATTCAAAAGCTAGCAGAAGGCAAGAGATAACTAAAATCAGAGCAGAACTGAAGAAAACAGAGACACAAAAAACCCTTCAAAAAAATAATGAATCCAGGAGCTGGTTTTTTGAAAAGTTCAACAAAATTGATAGACAACTAGTAAGACTAATAAAGAAGAAAAGAGAGAAGAATCAAATAGATGCAGTAAAAAATGATAAAGGGGATATCACCACCGATCCCACAGAAATACAAATTACCATCAGAGAATACTATAAACAGCTCTATGCAAATAAACTAGAAAATCTAGAAGAAATGAATAAATTCCTCAACACATACATCCACCCAAGACTAATCCAGGAAGAAGTTGAATCTCTGAATAGATCAATAACAGGCTCTGAAATTAAGGCAATAGTCAATAGCTTACCAACCAAAAAAAGTCCAGGACCAGATGGATTCACAGCCGAATTCTACCAGAGGTACAAAGAGGAGCTGGTACCATTCCTTCTGAAATGATTCCAATCAATAGAAAGAGAAGAAATCCTCCCAAACTCATTTTATGAGGCCAGCATCATCCTGATACCAAAGCCTGGCAGAGACACAACAAAAAAAGAGAATTTTAGACCAATATCCTTGATGAACATTGATGCAAAAATCCTCAATAAAATACTGGCAAACTGAACCCAGCAACACATCAAAAAGATTATCCACCATGATCAAGTGGGCTTCATCCCTGGGATGCAAGGCTGGTTCAACATATGCAAATCAATAAATGTAATCCAGTATATAAACAAAACCAAAGAAAAAAACCACATGATTATCTCAATAGATGCAGAAAAGGCTTTTGACAAAATTCAGCAACGCTTCATGCTAAAACTCTCAATAAATTAGGTATTGATGGGACGTATCTCAAAATAATAAGAGCTGTCTATGACAATCCCACAGCCAATATCATACTGAATGGGCAAAAACTGGAAGTATTCCCTTTGAAAACTGGCACAAGACAGGGATGCTCTCTCACCACTCCTATTTAACATAGTGTTGGAAGTGTTGGCCAGGGCAATTAGGCAGGAGAAGGAAATAAAGGGTATTCAGTTAGGAAAAGAGGAAGTCAAATTTTCCCTGTTTGCAGATGACATGATTGTAGATCTAGGAAACCCCATCATCTCAGCCCAAAATCTCGTTAAGCTGATAAGCAACTTCAGCAAAGTCTTTGCATACAAAATCAATGTGTGAAAATCACAAGCATTCTTATTCACCAATAACAGACAGAGAGCCAAACCATGAGTGAACTCCCATTCACTATTGCTTCAAAGAAAATAAAATACCTAGGAATCCAACTTACAAGGGAGGTGAAGGACCTCTTCAAGGAGAACTACAAACCACTGCTCAATGAAATAAAAGAGGATAAAAAGAAATGGAAGAATATTCCATGCTCATGGGTAGGAAGAATCAATATCGTGAAAATGGCCATACTGCCCAAGGTAATTTATAGACTCAATGCCATCCCCATCAAGCTACCAATGACTTTCTTCACACAATTGGAAAAAACTACTTTAAAGTTCATATGGAACCAAAAAAGAGCCCTCATCACCAAGTCAATCCTAAGCCAAAAGAACAAAGCCAGAGGCATCACGCTACCTGACTTCAAACTATACTACAAGGCTACAGTAACCAAAACAGCATAGTACTGGTACCAAAACAGCATAGTACTGGTACCAAAACAGAGATATAGATCAATGGAACAGAACAGAGCCCTCAGAAGTAATGCCGCATATCTACAACCATCTGATCTTTGACAAACCTGACAAAAACAAGCAATGGGGAAAGGATTCCAGATTTAATAAATGGTGCTGGGAAAACTGGCTAACCATATGCAGAAAGCTGAAACTGGATCCCTTCCTTACACCTTATACACAAATTAATTCAAGATGAATTAAAGACTTACATGTTAGACCTAAAACCATAAAAATCCTAGAAGAAAACCTAGGCAATACCATTCAGGACATAGTCATGGACAAGGACTTCATGTCTAAAACACCAAAATCAATGGCAACAAAAGCCAAAATTGACAAATGGGATCTAGTGAAACTTTGTTTTCTTGGAATCTAGGAAGAGATATATTGGAGCTCATTGAGGCCAACGGTGAAAAAGGAAATATCTTCACATAAAAACTAGAAGGAAGCTTTCTGGGAAACTGCTTTGTGCTGAGTGCATTAATCTCACAGAGTGAAACCTTTCTTTTTAATGAGAAGTTTGGCAGCACTCTTTTTGTGCACTCTGAGAAGGGATATTTGGGAGTCCTTTGAGGCCTATAGTGAAAATGGAACGTCTTCAGATAAAAAAACGAAAAGCTTTCTGGGACTGCATTGTGAAGAGTAAGTTCATCACAAAGAGTTAAACATTTCTTCTGATTGTGCAGTTTGGCAACCGTGCTTTTGTAAAATCTGAGAAGGGTTATTTGGGAGCACTTTGAGGCCTATGTTGAAAAACATAATATCTTCAGGTATAAAGTAGAAAGACACTTTCTGGGAATCTGTTTCATGATGTGTGCATTCTTCTCACACAGGTAAACCTTTCTTTTGATTGAGCAGTTTGGAAACACTGTTGTTGGAGAATCTGAGAAGGGGTATTTTGGAGCACTTTGAGGCCTATAGTGAAAAACGGAACATCTTCATATAGAAACTAGAAAGAATCTTTCTGGGAATCTGTTTTGTGAAGTCTGCATTCTTCTCTGAGAATTAAACCTTCCTTTGGATTGAGCAGTTTGGAAGCCCTGTTTTGGTTGTATCTGTGAAGTGATTCTTGGGAGCACATTCAGGCCGACGGTGAAAAAGGAAATATCTTCAGAGAAAAATGAGACAAAAGTTTGCTGAGAAACTTCTTTGTGATGTGTGCATTCATCTCACTGAGTTAAACGTTTCTTTTGATTGAGGAGTTTGCAAACACTGTTTTGGTAGAATCTGCTAAGGGATATTTGGAAGTGCATTGAGGCCTATGGTGAAAAAGGAAACATCATCAGAGGAAAAGTAGAAAAAAGCTTTCTGAGAAACTCCTTTGTGATGTGTGCATTCTTCTCACAGAGTTAAACCTTTCTTTTCATTGAGCATTCTGGAACCACTATTTTTTTTAGAATCTAGGAAGTGATATATGACAGTGCATTGAGGCCTATAATGAAAAAGGAAATATCTTCAGATAAAAACTAGAAAGAAGCTTCTTGAGAAAATGCTTTGTGCTGAGTGCACTCATCTCACAGAGCTAAAAGTTTTTTCTCATTGAGCAGTTTGGCAACACTCTTTTTGTAGGATCTGAGAAGGGATATTTGTGAGCACTTTGAGGCCTATAGTGAACAAGGGAACATCTTCAGATAAAAACTAGAAAGAAGATTTCTGGGCAACTGCTTTATGATGCATGCATTCATCTGACAGAGGTAAACCTTTTTTTTGATTGAGCAGTTTGGAAACACTGTTGTTGGAGAATCTGCCAAGGGATATATGGGAGCTCATTGAGGGTGACGGTGAAAAAGGAAATATCTTCTGATGAAAAGAAGAGAGAAGGTTTCTAAGAAACTGCTTCATGATGTGTGCATTCACGTCATAGAGTTAAACGTTTCTTTTGATTGAGCAGTCTGGAAATACTGTTTTGGTAGGATCTGCAAAGGGATGTTTGGGAGTGTGTTGAGGCCTATGGTAAAAAAGGAAACATCTCAGAGAAAAAGTAGAAAGAAGCTGTCTGAGAAACTCCTTTGTGATGTGTGCATACTTCTCACAGAGTTAAATCTTGCATTTCATTGAGCAATCTAGAACCTCTGTTTCCTTAGAATCTAGGAAGGGAGCTCCATATCCATATGGGAGCACATTGAGGACAAAGGTTAAAAAGGAAATATCTTCAGATAAAAGCTAGAAAAAAGCTTTCCGAGAAACTGCTTTGTGCTGAGTGCATTCATCCCACAGAGTTAAACCTTTCTTTTGATAGAGCAGTTTGGCAACACTTTTTCTGTAGACTCTGAGAAGGGATAATTGGGAGCACTTTGAAGCCTATTGTAAAAAAGGGAACGTCTTCAGATAAACACTAGAAAGAACCTTTCTGGGAAACTGCTTTGTGATATGTGCATTCTTCTCAGAGAGGAAAACCTTTCTTTTGATTGAGCAGTTTGCAAACCCTATTTTGGTTGTATCTGCGAAGTGATATTTGGGAGCTCATTCAGTCCTAAGGTGAAAAAGGAAATATCTTCAGAGAAAAGTTAGAAAGAAGCTTTCTGAGAAACTGCTTTGTGATGTGTGCATTCGTCTCACAGAGTTAAAAGTTTCTTTTGATTGAGCAGTTTGGAAACACTGTTTTGGTAGAATCTGCGAAGGGGTATTTGGGAGCACCTTGAGGTCTATGGTAAAAAAGGAAACATCATCAGAGAAAAAGTAGAAAGAAGCTTTTTGAGAAACTTCTTGGTGATGCAGGCATTATTCTCACAGAGTTAAACCATGCTTTTCATTGATCCGTCTGGAAACACTGTTCTTTTAGAATCTAGGAAAGGATATTTGAGAGTGCATTGAGGCCTATAGTGAAAAAGGAAATATCTTCAGTTAAAAACTAGAAAGAAGCTTTCTGGAAAACTGCTTTTTGCTGAGTGCATTCACCTCACAAAATGAAACCTTTCTTTTGAATGAGCAGTTTGGCGACACTCTTTTTGTAGACTCCAAGAAGGGATATTTGTGAGCACTTTGAAGCCTCTAGTGAAAAAGGGAACATCTTCAGATAAGTAATGGAAAGAAGTTTTCTGGGAAACTGCTTTGTGAAGAGTAAGTTCATCTCACAGAGTTAAACCTTTATTTTGATTGTGGAGTTTGACAACAGTGCTTTTGTAATATCTGAGAAGGCATATTTGGGATCACTTTGAGGCCTATATTGAAAAACTTAGTATCTTCAGGTATAAAGAATAAAGAAGCTTTCTGGGAATCTGCTTCATGATGTGTGCATTCTTCTCACACAGTTAAACCTTTTGTTTGATTGAGCAGTTTGGAAACACTGTTGGATAATCTGCCAAGGTCTATGGTGAAAAAGGAAATATCTTCAAATCAAAACTAAAAAGAAGATTTCTGAGAAACTTCTTTGTGATGTGTGCATTCTTGTCCCAGAGTTAAACTTTTCTTTTCATTCAGCAGTCTGGAAACACTGTCTTTTTAGAATCTAAGAACGGATATATGAGAGTGCACTGAGGCCTGTAGTGAAAAAGGAAATACCTTTAGATAAAAGCTAGAAAGACACTTTCTGAGAAACTGCATGGCACTGAGTGCATTCATCTCACACAGTTAAAACTTTCTTGTGATTGAGTAGTTTGTCAACACAGTTTTTTTAGATGCTGTGAAGGGATATTTGGAAGTGCTTTGAGGCCTATGGTGAAAAAGGAAATATCTTCAGATGAAAACTAGAAAGAAGCCTTTTCAGAAACCACCTCTGGATGTGTGCATTCATCTCACAGAGTTAAAGCATTCTTTTGATTGAGCAGTTTGGAAACACTGTTTTGGTAGGATCTGCAAAGGGATATTTTGGAGCACTTACAGACCTATAGTGAAAAGTCAAATATCTTCAGATAAAAACTAGAAAGAAGGTTTGTGAGAAACTGCTTTGTGATGAGTAAGTTCATCTCACAGAGGTAAACTTTTCCTTTGATTGTGAAGTTTGGCAACTGTACTTTGGTAAAATCTGAGATGGGAAACTGGGAGCACTTTGAGGCCAGTGTTGAAAAACAAAATATCTTTATATATAAACTAGAAAGCTTTCTGGGAATCTGCTTTGTGATATATTCGTTCTTCTCACAGAGTTAAACCTTCCTGTTGATTGATTGAGCAGTTTGGAAACGCTATTGTTGGAGGATCTGCCAAGGAATATATGGGAGCTCATTGAGGCCTATGGTGAAAAAGGAAATATCTTCAGTTAAAAAATAGGAAGAAGCTTTCTAAGAAACCGCTTTGTGACGTGTGCATTCACCTCATAGAGTTAAACCATTCTTTTCATTGAGCAGTTTGGAAGTACTTTTTTGGTAGAATCTGTGAAGGGATATTTGGGAGTGCTTTGAGGCCTATACTAAAAAAAGAAACATTATCAGAGAAAAGTTAGAAAGAAGCTTTCTGAGAAACTTCTTTGTGATGTATGCATTCTTCTCACAGAGTTAAAACTTTCTTTTCCTTGAGAAGTCTGGAACCACTGTTTTTTTAGAATCAAGGAAGGGATATATGAGAGCTCTTTGTGGCCTATAGTGAAAAAGGAAATATTTTCAGATAAAAACTAGAAAGAAGTTTTCTGAGAAGCTGCTTTGTGGTGAATGCATTCATCTCACAGAATTAAGCCTTTCTTTTGATTGAGCAGTTTGGCAACACTCTTTTTGTAGAATCTGAGAAGGGATATTAGGGAGTGCTATGAGGCTTATAGTGAAAAAAACAACATCTTCAGATAAAAACTAGAAAGAACTTTTCTGGACAACTGCTTTATGATGTGTGTATTCAAATCATAGTGTTAAAACTTTCTTTTGATTGAGCAGTTTGCCAATACTCTTTATGTAGAATCTGAGAAAGAATATTTTGGGGTGATTTCAGGCCTATAGTGAAAAAGAGAACATCTTCAGATAAAAATTAGAAAGAAGCTTTCTGAGCAACTACTTTCTGATATGACCATTCATCTCAGAGAGGTAAACCTTTCTTTGATTGAGCAGTTTGGTAACACAGTTTTTGTAGATTCTGTGAAGGGATATTTGGGAGCACTTTGAGGCCTGTGGTGAAAAGGAAATATCTTCATATGAAAACTAGAAAGAAGCTTTCTCTGAAACTGCCTTCTGATGTGTCCATTCATCTCATAGAGTTAAAACATTCTTTTAATTGAGCAGTTGGGACACACTGTTCTGGTAGGATCTGCGAAGGAATATTTGGGAGCACATACAGGCTTATAATGAAAAGTTATATGTCTGCAAATAAATACTAGAAAGAAGCTTTGTGAGATAATGCTTTGTAATGAGTAAGTTCTTCTCACACAGTTAAATCTTTCTTTTGATAGTGCAGTATGGCAACATGGCTTTTGTAAAATCTCAGAAAGGATATTTTGGAGTGCTTTGAGGCTTGTGTTGAAAAACAAAATTATCTTCAGGTACAAACTAGGAAGAAGCTTTCTGGTAATCTGCTTTGTGATGTGTGCATTCTTCTCAAAGAGTTAAACTTATCCTTTAGTTGAGCACTTTGGAAATACTGTTGTTGGAAAATTTGCCAAGGGATATATGGGAGCTCATTGAGGCCTATGTTGAAAATGGAAGTATCTTCAGACAAAAACCAGAAGGAAGCTTTCTAAGAAACTGTTTTGTGATGTATGCATTCAGCTTACAGAGTTAAACCATTCTTTTCATTGAGCAGTTTGAAAACACTGTTTTCGTAGAATCTGCAATGGGATATTTGAGAGTTCCTTGAGGCTTATGTTAAAAAAAGGAAAGATTATCAAAAAAAAAAAAGTAGAAAGAAGCTTTCTGAGAAACTCCTTCATGATGTGTGCATACTTCTCACAGAGTTAAACCTTTCATTTCATTGAACAGTCTGGAACCTCTGTTTCTTTAGCATCTAGGATGGGATATATACAAGTACTTCGAGGTCAATGGTGAAAAAGGAAATATCTTCAAATAAAAACTAGAAAGAAGCTTTCTGACAAACTACTTTGTGCTGATTACATTCATCTCTCAGTGTTAAACCTTTCTTTTGATTGTGCAGTTTGGCAACAGCTCTGTTGTAAAATCAGAGAAGGGATATTTGGGAGTGCTTTGAGGCCAATGTTGAAAAACAAAATATCTTCAGATATAAACTAGAAAGAAGCTTTCTGGGAATATGCTTTGTGATTGTGCATTCTTCTCACAGAGTTAAACCGTTCTTTTAATTGAGCAGTTTGGAAATGCTGTTGTTGGAGAATCTGCCTAGGGATGTATGGGAGCTCATTGAGGCTCCTGGTGAAAAAGGAAATAACTTCAGATAAAAACTAGAAAGAAGTTTTCTAAGAAACAGCCTTGTGATGTGTGCATTCACCTTACAGAGTTAAACCATTCTTTTCATTGAGCAGTTTAGAAACAATGTTTTAGTGGAATCTGCAAAGGGATATTTTGGAGCGCCTTGAGGTGTATGGTAAAAAAGGAAACAACATCTGAGAAAAAGCAGAAAGAAACTTTCTGAGAAACTCCCTTGTGATGTGTGCATGTTTCTCACAGAGTTAAACATTTCATTTCATTGAGCAGTCTGGAAACTCTGCTTTTTCAGAGACTAGCAAGGGATATATGGTAGCACATTGAGGTCAATGGTGAAAAAGGAAATATCTTCAGATAAAAACTAGAAAGAAGCATTCTGAGGGACTGCTTTGTTCTGAGTGCATTCATCTCATAGAGTGAAACCTTTCTTTGATTGATCAGTTTGGCCACCCTCTTTTTGTACATCTTGAGAAGGGATATTTGGGAGCACTTTGAGACCTTTAGTGAAAAAGGGAATGTCTCCAGATAAACACTAGAAAGAAACTTTCTGGGAAACTGCTTTGTGATGTATGCATTCTTTTCACAGAGGTAAACCTTTCTTTTGATTGAGCAATTTGCAAACCCTGTTTTGGTTGTATCTGTGAAGTGATATTTGGGAGTACATTCAGGCCTATGGTGAAAAAGGAATTACCTTCAGAGAAAAACAAGAAAAAAGCTTTCTGAGATACTGCTTTGTGATGTGTGCATTCATCTCAGAGGTAAACGTTTCTTTTGATTGAGCAGTTTGGAAACATAGTTTTTGTAGAATCTGTGAAGGGGTACTTGGGAGTGCCTTGAGGCCTATGGTGAAAAAGGAAACATCATGAGAGAAAAAGTAGAAAGGAGCATTCTCAGAAACTTCTTTGAGATGTGTGCATCCTTCTCACAGAGTTAAAGTTTTCTTTTCATTGAGCAGTCTGAAAACACTTTTTTTTTAGAATCTAGGAAGGGATATATGAGAGCTCAATGAGGCCTGTAGTCAAACAGGAAATATCTTCAGAAATAAAACTAGAAAGAAGCTTTCTGAGTAACTGCTTTGTGATGAGTGCATTCATCTCACAGAGTTAAAATTTCCTTTGATTGAGTAATTTGGCAACATTCTTTTTGTAGAATGTGAGAAGGGATATTTGGGAGTGCTTTGTGGCCTATAGTGAAAAAGGGAACGTCTTCAGATAAATAGTAGAAAGAAGCTTTCTGGGCAACTGCTTTATGACGTGAGCATTCCTCTCACAGTGTTAAACGTTTCTTTTGATTGAGCAGTTAACCCATACTCTGTGTGTAGAATCTGAGAAGGGTTATTTGGGAGTTATTTGAGGCCTATAGTGAAAAAGGGAACATCTTCAGATAAAAAGTAGAAAGGAGCTTTCTGGACAACTGCTTTCTGATGTGTGCATTCATCCCACAGAGTTAAACCTTTCTTTTGATTTAGCAGTTTGCACACTCGGTTTTTTTTAGATTATGTGAAGGGATATTTGGGAGTGCTGTGAGGTCTATGGTGAGAAAGGAAATATCTTCAGATGAAAACTAGAAAGAAGCCTTCTCATACACAGCCTTCTGATATGTACCTTCATCTCACAGAGTTAAAGCATTCTTTTGATTAAGCTATTTGGAAAAACTGTTTTGTTAGGATCTGTGAAGGGATATTTGGGAGCACTTACAGGCCTATTGTGAAAAAGTTAAATATCTTCAGATAAAAACTAGTAAGAAGCTTTGTGAGAAACTGATTTGTAATGAGCAAGTTCATCTCACAGAATTAAACGTTTCTTGTGATTTTGCAATTTGTCCAGAGTGATTTTGTAAAATCTGAGAAGGGATATTTGGGAGCGCTTTGCTGTCTATGTGGAAAAACAAAATATCTTCAGATATAAATTAGAAAGAAGCTTCCCAGAATCTGCTGTGTGATGTGGGCATTCTTCTCACAGAGTTTAACTGTTCTTTCAATTGAGCAGTTTGGAAACATTGTTGTTGGGAAATCTGCCAATGGATATATGGGAGCTCATTGAGGCCTATGATGAAAAAGGAAATATCTTCAGATAAAAACTAGAAAGAAGCTTCATAAGAAACTGCTTTGTGATGTGTGCATTCACCTCACAGAGTTAAGCCATTATTTTCATGGAGCAGTTTGGAAACATCGTTTTGGTAGAATCTGTGAAGGGATATTTGGGAATGCCTTGAGGCCTATGGTAAAAAAGCAAACATCATCAGAGAAAAGGTCGAAAGAGTCTTTCTGAGAAACTCCTTTGTGAAGTGTGCATATTTCTCACAGACTTAAACCTTTCATTTCATTGAGCAGCCTGGAACCTCTGTTTTTGCAGAATCAAGGAAGGTATATATGAGAGCACATTGAGGCCAATGGTGAAAAGGAAATATCTTCAGATAAAAACTACAAAGAAGGTTTCTGAGAAAGTGCTTTGTGCTCAGTGCATTCATCTCACAGAGTTAAACCTTTCTTTTGATTTAGCAGTTTGGAAACACTCTTTTTGTAGATTCTGTGAAGGGATATTTGGGAGCACTTTGAGGCCTATGGTGAAAAAGGAAATATCTTCAGATGAAAACTAGAAAGAAGCATTCCTGTAAACCACCTTCTGATGTGTGCATTCATCTCACAGAGTTAAAGTATTCTTTTGATTGAGCTATTTTGAAACACTGTTTTGGTAGGATCTGAGAAATGTTATTTGGGAGTGCTTACAGGCCTATTGTGAAAAGTTAAATATCTTCACATAAAAACTAGAAAGAAGCTTTGTGAGAAACTACTTTGTGATGAGCAAGTTCATCTCACAGAGCTAAACCTTTCTTGTGATTGTGCACTTTGGCAACCTTGCTTTAGTAAAATCTGAGAAGGAATATTTGGGAGTGCTTTGAGGTCTATGTTGAAAAACAAAATACCTTCAGTTATAAACTAGAATGAAGCTTTTTCGAAATCTGCTTTGTGATGTATGCATTCTTATCACAGAGGTAAACCATTATTTTAATTGAGCAGTTTGGAAACACTGTTGTTGTAGAATCTGCCAACGGATGTATGGGAGCTCATTGAGGCCTAAGGTAAAAAAGGAAATATGGTTAGATAAAAACTAGAAAGAAGCTTTCTAAGAAACCACTTTGGGATGTGTGCATTCACCTCACAGAACTAAACCATTAATTTCATTGAGCACTTTGGAAACACTGTTTTTGTAGAATCTGTCAACAGATATTTGGGAGTGCACTGATGCCTATGGTGAAAAAGGGAATATCTTCAGATTAATACTAGAAACAAGCTTTCTCAGAAACTGCTTCATGAAGTGTGCCTTCTTCTCACAGAGTTAAACTGTTCTTTTGATTGAGCAGTTTGGAAGCACTGTTTTTGTAGAATCTGTGAAGGGGTATACAGGAACACATTGAGGCCTATGGTGAAAAAGGAAATGTCTTCAGAGAAAAACTAGAAAGAAGGTTTCTGAGAACCAGCTTTGTGATTTGTGCATTCATCTCACAGAGTTCAACGTTTCATTTCATTCAGCAGTCTGGAAGCATACTTTTGGTAGAATCTGCTAAGGTACATAAGGAGTGCTTTGAGGCCTATGGTGAAAAAGGAAATATCGTCAAAGAAAAAGTAGAGAGAGGCTTTCTGAGAAACTCCTTTGTGATGTGCCCATTCATCTCACAGAGGTAAACTTTTATTTTGATTGATCAGTCTGGATACACTGTTTTTGTAGAATCTAGGAAAGGATTTATGGGAGTACATTGGGGCCTATGGTGAAAAAGACAATATCTTCAGATAAAAACTAGAAAGAAGCTTTCTCCAAAACTGCTTTGTGACGTGGGCATTCTTCTCACTGAGTTAAGCATTTCCTTTGATTGAACAGTCTGGAAACACTGTTTTTCTAAAATCTATGAAGTGATATGTGGGAGCAATTTGAGGCCTATTGTGAAAAAAGAAATATCCTCAGAGAAAAACTAGAAAGAAGACTTCTGAGAAACTGCTTTGTGATGGGTGCATTAATCTCAAGGAGTTAAACCTTTCTTTTGATTGAGCAGTCTGGCAAAAGTATTTTTGTAGAATCCGAGAAGGGATATTTAGGAGTGCTTTGAGACCTATGGTGAAAAAGGAAGTATCTTCAGATAAAAACCAGAAAGAAGCTTTCTGTGTAACTGCTTTGTGATGTGTGCATTCATCTCACAGAGTTAAGCCTTTCTTTTGATTGAGCAGTTTGGCAACATAGTTTTTGTTGAATCATGAAGGGACATTTGGGAGCACATTGAGGTCTTTGGTGAAAACCGAAATACCTTCATATAAACAGGAGAAAGAAGCTTTCTCAGATGCCGGTTTGTGATGTGTGCAATCTTCTCACTGAGTTAAACCTTTCCTTTGATTGAGCAGTTTGGAAACACTGTTTCTGTAGAATCTGTGAAGGGACACTTGGGAGCACATAGAGGCCTATGGTGAATAACAAAATAACCCCAGATAAAAACTAGAAATAAGGTATCTGTAGAACTGCATTGTGATGTGTGGATTCACCTCACACAGTTAAACATTTCTTTTGATTTGGCATGTTAAAAACACTCTTTTCTAAGATCTGTGAAGGGAAGTCTTGGAGCCCATTGAAGTAAACGATGTGGAGTAAACGAATATTCCCTGATAAAAACTGAAAAGAAGCTATCCGTGAAACTACTTTGAGATGTATGGATTCTTCTCACAGTTTTAAAATTTCTTTTGATGCAGTTGGTTGGAAACACTTTTTTGGTAGAATCTGCAAAGGGACATTTGCAAATCCATGGAGGACAATGGTGAAAAACAGAATATCCCAACATAAAAACTAGAAACTGTTAATGAAACTGCTTGGTGATGAGTGGATTCACCTCACAGAGGTTAACCTTTCTTTTGATTCAGCAGGTTGGAAACACTCTTTCTGTAGAACCTGCAAAGGGACATTTGGGAGTCCACTGAGGTCTACTTTGAAAAACTGAATATCGCCAGATAAAACTAGAAATAGGTTATCTGTGAAACTGTTTGTGATGTGTGGAATCATCTCCCAAAGTTAAACATTTCTTTTGATTCAGCAGCTTGGAAACACTCTATTTGTAGAAGCTGCGAAGGGACATTTGAGAGCCCGCTGAGGCCTATGGTAAATAATTGAATATCCTGAGGTAAAAACTAGAAAGATGCTATCTGTGAAACTGCTTTGTGATACGCAGACTCATCTCAAAAAGTTAAACCTTTCTTCTGATTCATCAGGTTACAAACACTTTTTTTGTAAATTCAGTGAAGGGATATTTAGAAATCCTTTGAGGTCTGCAGTAATAAACCAAGTAATTCCAGAAAAAAACAAGAGAGAAGCTGTCTGTAAAACTGCGTTTGTGATGTGTGTATTCATCTCACAGAGTTACTCCTTTCTTTTTATACTGTAGCATTGAAATAGTCTTTAGATAGAATCTGCGAATGGACATTTTGGAGCCCTTAGAGGCCTATGATGAAAACCCAAATATATCCAGATAAAAACTTCAAAGAAGCTATCTGTGAAACTTCGTTGTGATGTGAGGATTCATTTCACAGAGCTAATCCTTTCTTTTTATTCAGTAGGTTGTAAACATTATTTTGGTAGAATCTGTGAAGGGACACTTGGGAGCCCATGCTGAGAAATGGAATATCCTCAGATAAAAACCAGAAAAAAATCTACTTGAAAATGCTTTATGGTTTTAGGTCTAACATTTAAGTCTAATCCATCTTGAATTAATTTTTGTATAAGGTGTAAGGAAGGAATCCAGTTTCAGCTTTCTACACATGGCTAGCCAGTTTCACAGCACCATTTATTAAATAGGGAATCCTTTCCCCATTTCTTGTTTTTGTCAGGTTTGTCAAAGATCAGATAGTTGTAGCTATGTGGCATTATTTCTGAGGGCTCTGTTCTGTTCCATTGGTGTATATCACTGTTTTGGTACCAGCAAGATGCTGTTTTGGTTACTGGAGCCTTGTAGTATAGTTTGAAGTCAGGTAGCATGATGCCTCCAGCTTTGTTCATTAGACTTAGGATTGACTTGGCTATGCGGACTTTTTTTTTTGTTCCATATGAACTTTAAAGTAGTTTTTCCCAATTGTGTGAAGAAAGTCGTTGGTAGCTTGATGGGGATGGCATTGAATCTATCAATTACCTTGGGCAGTATGGCCATTTTCATGATATTGATTCTTCCTACCTATGAGCATGGAATGTTCTTCCATTTCTTTGTATCCTCTTTTATTTCATTGAGCAGTGGTTTGTAGTTCTCCTTGAAGAGATCCTTCACATCTCTTGTAAGTTGGATTCCTAGGTATTTTATTCTCTTTACAGCAATTGTGAATGGGATTTCACTCATGATTTGGCTCTCTGTTTGTTTGTTATTGGTGTATAAGAATGCTTGTGATTTTTGCACATTGATTTTGTATCCTGAGACTTTGCTGAAGTTGCTTATCAGCTTAAGGAGATTTTGGGCTGAGATGATGGAGTGTTCTTGATATGCTATCATGTCATCTGCAAACAAGGACAATTTTATTTCCTCTTTTCCTAATTGAATACCCTTTATTTCTTTCTCCTGACTGACTGCCCTGGCCAGAACTTCCAACACTATGTTGGATAGGAGTGGTGAGAGAGGGCATCCCTGTCTTATGTCAGTTTTCAAAGGGAATGCTTCCAGTTTTTGCCCATTCAGTATGATATTGGCTGTGGGTTTGTCAAAGATAGCTCTTATTATTTTGAGATACGTCCCATCAATACCTAATTTATTGAGAGTTTTAGCATGAAGTGTTGTTGAATTTTGTCCAAGGCCTTTTCTGCATCTATTGAGATAATCATGTGGTTTTTGTCTTTGGTTCTGTTTACATGCTAGATTACATTTATTGATTCACGTATGTTGAACCAGCCGTGCATCCCAGGGATGAAGCCCACTTGATCATGGTGGATAAGTTTTTGATGTGTTGCTGGATTCGGTTTGCCAGTATTTCATTGAAGATTTTTGCATTGATATTTTTTGCATTGACCAATCTTGCATTGATGGGATATTGGTCTAAAATTCTCTTTTTTGTCATGTTTCTGCCAGGCTTTGGTATCAGGATGATGCTGACTTCATAAAATGAGATGGAAAGGATTCCTTCTTTTTTACTGATTGGAATAGTTTCAGAAGGAATGGTACCAGCTCCTCTTTGTACCTCTGGTAGAATTCGGCTGTGAATCCATCTGGTCCTGGACCTTTTTTCTTTGGTAAACTATTAATTATTGCCTCAATTTCAGAGCCCGTTATTGGTGTATTCAGAGATTCAACTTCTTCCTGGTTTAGTCTTGGGAGGGTGTATATGTCAAGGGATTTATCCATTTCTTCTAGATTTTGTAGTTTTTTTGTGTAGAGGTGTTTATAGTATTCTTTGATGGTAGTTTGTATTACTGTGGGATTGGTGGTCATATCCCCTTTATCACTTTTTATTGCATCTATTTGATTCTTCTCTCTTTTCTTCTTTATTAGTCTTGCTAGTGTTCTATCAATTTTGTTGATCTTTTCAAAAACCAGCTCCTGGATTCATTGATTTTTTGAAGGTTTATTTGTGTCTCTATTTCCTTCAGTTCTACTCTGATCTTAGTTATTTCCTGCCTTCTGCTAGCTTTTGAATATGTTTGCTCTTGCTTCTATAGTTCTTTTAATTCTGATGTCAGGGTGTCAATTTTAGATCTTTCCTGCTTTCTCTTGTGGGCATTTATTGCTATAAATTTCCCTCTACTGACTGCTTTGAATGTGTCCCAGAGAATCTGGTATGTTGTGTCTTTGTTCTCATTGGTTTCTAAGAACATTTTTATGTCTGCCTTCATTTCGTTATGTACCCAGTAGTCATTCAGGAGCAGGTTGTTCAGTTTCCATGTAGTTGAGTGGTTTTGAGTGAGTTTCTTAACCCTGAGTTCCAGTTTGATTGCACTGTGATCTGAGAGACAGTTTGTTATAATTTCTGTTCTTTTACATTTGCTTATTAGTGCTTTACTTCCAACTACATGGTCAATTTTGGAATAGGTGTGGTGTGTTGCTGAAAAGAATGTATATTCTGTTGATTTGGGGTTGGAGAGTTCTGTAGATGTCTATTAGGTCCTCTTGGTGCAGAGCTGAGTTAAGTTCCTGGATATCCTTGTTAACTTTCTGTCTCATTGATCTGTCTAATGTTGACAGTGGGGTGTTAAAGTCTCCCATTATTATTGTGTTGGATTCTAAGTCTCTTTGTAGGTCTCTAAGTACTAGCTTTATGAATCTGGATGCTCCTGTATTGGGTGCATGTATATTTAGGATAGTTAGCTCTTCTTGTTGAATTGATCTCTTTACCATTACGTGATGTCCCTCTTTGTCTCTTTTGATCTTTGTTGGTTTAAAGTCTGTTTTATCAGAGACTAGGATTGCAACCCCTGCCTTTTTTTGTTTTCCATTTGCTTGGTAGATCTTCCTCCAACCCTTTATTTTGAGACTATGCGTGTCTCTGCATAAAAACCGAAGAAGAAAACCTAGGCATTACCATTCAGGATGTAGCCATGAGTAAGGACTTCATGTCTAAAACACCAAAAGCAGTGTCAACAAAAGCCAAAATTGACAAATGGGATCTAATTAAAAATAAAGAGCTTCTGCACAGCCAAAGAAACTACCATGAGAGTGAACAGGCAACCTACAGAATGGGAGAAAATTTTTGCAATCTACTCATCTGACAAAGTACTAATATCCAGAATCTACAATGAACTGAAACAAATTTACTAGAAAAATCAAACAACCCCGCCAAAAAGTGGGCGAAAGGTATAAACAGACCCTTCTCAAAAGAAGATGTTAAAGCAGCCAAGAGACACATGAAAAAATGCTCATCATCCCTGGCCATCAGAGAAATACAAATCTAAACCACTATGACGTACCACCTCACACCAGTCAGAATGGCAATCATTAAAATGTCAGGACACAACAGGTGCTGGAGAGGATGTGGAGAAATAGGAAAACTTTTACACTGTTTTTGGGACTGTAAACTAGTTCAACCATTGTGGAAGTCAGTGTGGCAATTCCTCAGGGATCTAGAACTAGAAATACCATTTGACCCAGCCATCCCATTACTGGGTATATATCCAAAGGATTAAAAATCACACAGCTATAATGAAACATACACAGGTATGTTTATTGTGCATTATTCACGATAGGAAAGACTTGGAACCAACCCAAAAGTCTAACAATGGTAGACTGGATTAAGAAAATGTGTCACATATACACCATGGAATAGTATACAGCCATAAAAATGGTGAGTTTATGTCCTTTGTAGGGACATAGATGAAGCTGGAAACCATCATTCTCAGCAAACTATCACAAGGACAAAAAACCAAGCACTGCATGTTCTCACTCATAAGTGAGAATTGAACAATGAGAACACATGGACAAAGGAAGGGGAACATCACACACCAGGGTTTGTTGTGGGGTTGGGGGAGGGTGGTGGGATAGCATTAGTAGATTTACCTAATGTTAAATAACAAGTAAATTAGTGCAGCACACCAACATGGCACATGTATACATATGTAGCTGGCACCTTGTGCACATGTACCCTGAAACTTAAAGCATAATAAAAGAAAAGCAATTTGAGTAACTAAAATTCTGAAAAATTAAAAAAAATATTCTGTGATGTGTGGATTCATCTCACAGAGAAAAACCTTTCTTTTGATTCTGCAGGTTGGAAAAGTTCTTTGGATAGAATTATAGAGGGAAAATTGGGAGCACATAGAGGCCTGTGGTGAAAAACTGAATATCCCCAGATAAAAACTAGAAAGAAGCTATATGTGAAGGTTCTTTTTGATGTGTGGAATCATCTCTTAAAGTTAAACCTGCCTTTTTGATTCAGGAGTTTGCAAATACTTCTTTTGCAGAATCTGCGAAGGGACATTTGAGAGCCCTTTGAGGCTCATGGTGAGAAACCGAATATCAACAGATAAAAACTAGAAGGAAGCTATCTGTAAAACTGCTTCATAATGTGTGGATTCATCTCACAGAGTTAAACATACATTTTCATTCTGGAAGTTGGAAGGTGCTTTAGGTGCAATCTGCAAAGGGACATTTGGGAGCCCATTGATGCTGATGATTTAAAACAAAATATTCCAAGATAAAAACTAGAAAAAACTATCTTTGAAACGGCATTGGGATGCGTGGATTCATCTCACAGAGTTAAATTTCTCTTTTGATTCAGCAGGCTGGATAGACTTTTTTCGTATAATCTGTGTAGGGACATTTGGGAGCCATTTCACACCTGTCATGAAAAACCAAATATCCCCAGATAAAACTAGACAGAAACTATCTATGAAACTGGATTGCGATGTGTGGATTCACATCATTGATATAAACCTTTATTTTGATTCTACAGATTGCAAAACTCTTTCAGAAGAATCTGCAAAGGGACATTTGGAAGCCCATAGAAGCCAATTGTGAAAAAGCAAATAGTCCCAGATGAAAACTAGAAGAAGCTATATTTGAAACTGCATTGTGATGTGGCGATTCATCTCACAGAGTTAAACCTTTCTTTGGGTTCAGCAGGTTTGAAACACTCTTTTGGTAGAATCTGTAAAGGGATACTTGGGAGACTATAGAGGCCTATTTTGAAAAGCCAGGTATCTCCAGATAAAAACTAGAAGGAAGCTACCTGTGAAACTGTTTTGTGATGTGTGTATTCATCTTATCTCACAGAGTTAAAACTTTCTTTTGATTCAGTAGGTGGTAAACACTCTTTTGGTAGAATCTGCAAAGTGACATATCACAACCCATTGATGCCTATGGTGAAAAAACGGATATCCCCATATAAAAACTAGAAAGAAGGTATTTCTGAAACTGCATTGTGATTTGTGCATTTATCTCACGGAGTTAAATATTTCTATTGATTCAGCATAATGGAAGCAATCTTTTTGTAGAATCTGCAAAGGGACATTTGGGAGCCCTTTTACTGCTATGGTGAAAAATCGAATATCCCCAGACAAAAACAAGAAGCAAGCTATCTGTGAAACTGCTTTGTGATGAGTGGATTCATCTCACAGGTTTTAACCTTTTGTTTTACTCAGTGAGTTGAAAACACTCTTTTTTTTTAGAATCTACCAAGGGACACATGGGAACCCACAAAGGCCTATGGTGGAAAAGTGAATATCCCCAGATAAAAACTAGGAACAAGCTGTCTGTGAAACTACATTGTGATGTGTGGTTTACTTCCCACAGTTAAACATTTCTTTTGATTCAGCAGGTTGCAAACACTGTTTTAATAGAATCTGTGAAGGTACATTTGGGAGACTATTCAGGCCTATGGTGAAAAACCAAATACATTCAGAAAAAAACCTGAAAGAAGCTATCTGTGACACTGCTTTTTGATGTGTGGATTCATCTCACAGAGTTAAACACTTCTTTAGATACAGCAGTGTTGAAATATTCTTTAAATAGAATCTGCCAAGAGACGTTTTTAAGCCCATATAGGCCTAAGTTGAAAAACAGAATATCACCAGATAAAAACTAGAAACAAGCTATTGGGGACATTTCTTTGTGACATGTGGATTCCCCCACAGAGTTAAAACTTTTTTGACTTAGCACTTTATAAACACTCTTTTCTTGAAACTGTGAAGGGAAATTTGTGAGCCCATTTTAGCCTATGGTGAAAAATGGAATATCCCAAGATAAAAACCAGAAAGACGCTATCAGTGAAACTGTTTTGGATGTTTCGATTCACCTCACAGACTTAAACCTTCTTTTGATTAAGCAGGTTGGAAACACTCTTTTGGTAAAATCTGCAGAGGGACATTTGGGAGCCCTTTAAGGTCAATAGTGAAAAATTGAATATCACCAGATTATAACTAGAAAGAAGCCATCTGTAAAACTGCTTTGTTATGTGTGGATTCATCTCACTGACTGAAAACTTTCTGTCAATTCAGCAGGTTTGAAATAATCTTTTTGTAGAAGCCATGAAAGGACATTTGGGAGCCCTTTGTGAATAACCAAATATCCCCAGATAAAAAAATAGGAGGAAATTATCTGTGAAATTGCTTTCAGATGTGTGGGTTCATCTCAGAGTTACATTTTTCTTTTCCTTCAACAGGTGTGAAACTATTTTTGGTAGAACCTGTGAAGGGATATTTGGGATCCCATAGGAAAAACAATATCTGCAGATAAAAACTAGAATCAAGCCCTCTGTGAAACTATTTTGTGATATGTAGATTCGTTTCACAGATTTAAACCTATTTTTTGATTCAGCAGGTGGGAAACACTCTTTGGGTAGGATCTGTGAAGGGATATTTTGGAGACCTTTGAGGCCTATGGTGAAAAACCAAAATTCCCTAGATACAAACTAGAAAGAAGATCTCATGAAAGAGCATTGTGATGTGTGGATTCATCTCACAGAGTTAAAATTTTTTTTTGATTCAGTAGTTTTGAAACACTGTTTTGGTAGATTCTGTGAAGGGACATTTTGAAGCCCTTTGAGGCATATGGTAAAAACCATGATTTCCCCAGATATATCAAGAAGAAGCTAACTGTGAAAGTGCTCTGTGATGTGTGGATTCACCTTAGACTTAAACCTTTCTTTTGATTCGGCATGTTGGAAACATTCTTTTGGTAGAAACTGCAAAGACATATTTGGGAGCCCATTGAGGCCTGTAATGAAAAACAACATACCCAAAGATAAAAACTACAAAGAAGATATCTGTGAAACTGCTCTGTGATGTATGGATTTATCTCACAGAATTAAACCTTTCTTTTGATTCAGCTGTTGGAAACACTCTTTTGCTAGAATCTGAGAAAGGACATTTGCCAGCACACTGAACCCTATGTTAAAAAACCGAATATCCCAAGATAAAAATTAGATAGAAGCTATCAATAAAATGTATTTTTGATGTGTAGATTCATTCCACAGAGGTAAACTTTTCTTTTTCATTTAGCAGGTTGCAAACACTCCTTTTGTATAATATACTAAGGGATATTTGGAGGCCCATTGAGGTCTATGGAGAAAACAGAATATCACCAGACATCTGTGAACTGCTTTGTGAGGTCTGGATTCATCTCAAAGAGGTAAAACGTTCCTGAAAGCAGCGTGTGGGAAACACTCTTTTGGTAGAAACTGCAAAGTCCTTTGAGGTCTATGGTGAAAAACTGAACGTCCACAAATAAATATTAGAAAGGAGCTGTCAGTGAAATTGCTTTGTGATGTGTGGATTCGTCCCACTGATTTAAATCTTTCTTTTGATACAGCAGGATTGAAACAGTCTTTAGTTAGAATCTGTGAAGGGACATTTGAAAGCCCATAGAAGCCAATGTTGAAAAACTGAACATCCAAAGATAAAAACTAGAAATAAGCTATCTGTGAGCTTGCTTTGTTATGTGTGGAATCATCTCAGAGATTTAAACCTCTCTTTTGATTCAGCAGGTTGCAAACATTCCTTTGCTAGTATCTGAGAAAGGACAATTGAAAGCCCATTGTAGCACTTTGTGAAAAATTGAATATTCAAAGATAAAAGCTAGAAAGAAGCTTTTAGTGAAACTACTTAGTGATGAGTGGATTCTACTCAGAGAGTGAAACTTTTCTATTGTTCAGCAGTTTGGAAACTCTCTTTTCGTAAAACTGGGAAACGGACATGTGGGAGCCCATTGAGACCTATGGTGAAAAATCATATATTTCCAGAGAAAAACAAGAAAAAAGCTATCTGTGAAACTGCTCTGTGTTGTGTGGATTCATCTCACAGAGTTAAAACTTTATTTTGATTAAGGAGGTTGGAAAAACTTGTTTGGCAGAATCTGCGAAGGAAGCTTTGGAAGCTTTTTGAGGCCTATGGTGAAAAACAGAATATCCACAGATAAAAACTACAAAGTAGCTATCTGTAAAACTGCTTTGTGACTTGTAGCTTCATCTCACAGAGGTAAGCCTTTCATTTGATTTAGCACGTTGAAAACCCTCGTTTTGTAGAACCTGAGAAGGGATACTTTGAAGCCCATTGACTCCTATGGTGAAAAAAGAAATATCCCTAGTTCAAAACTAGAAGGAAGCTACCTGTGAAACTGATTTGTGTTGCATGGATTCACCACTTATAGTTAAACTTTTCTTTTGATCCAGCAAATCTGAAACACTCTTTAGGGAGAATAAGTGTAGGGTCATTTGGGAGAATGTAGAGGCCTATGGTGAAAAAGAGTATATCGCCAGATAAAAACTAAAAAGAAAGTGTCTGTGAACTGCTGTGTGATGTGTGGATTCACATCACAGAATTAAACTTTTGTTTTGATTCAGCAGGTGTGAAACCCTCTTTTGGTGGGATCTGCAAAGGGACATTTGGAAGCCCAAAGATGTTTATGGTGAAGAACCGAATATATCTAGATAAAAACTAGAAAGAAACTACTCGTGAAACTGCCTTGTGATGTGTGGATTCGTTTCACAGAGTTAAATATGTCTTTTGGTTCAGTAAATTTTAAACACTCTTGGGGTAGAACCTTTTAAGGGACATTTCAGAGTCCTTAGAGGCCTATGGTAAAAAAACAAATATCCCCAGGTAAAAACTAGAAAGAAGCTATCTGTTAAACTGCTTTGTGATGTCTGTATTCAAATCACAAAGTTAAGCCTTTCTTTGGATTCAGCATGTCACAAACACTCTTTTTATAGAATCTGTGAAGGTACATTTGGGAACACTTTCAGGAATATAGTGAAAAACAGAATACCCCCAGATACTAACCAGAAAGAAGCTCTTTCTGAAACTGCTTTTTTGATGTGTGGATTCATCTCACAGGGTTAAACCTTCCTTAGATTCAGCAGGTTGGAAACGCTCGTTTTTTAGAATCTGCGTGGGGCATTTTGAAGCCATTTGAGGCCTATGATTAAAAAAAAAAGACACTATATCCCCAGATAAAAACTAGGAATCAGCTATCGGTGAACTTCTTTGTGACATGCAGAGTCATCTAACAGAGGTAAACGTTTCTTTTGAAACAGCGTGCTGGAAACATTGTTTTTGCAGAAACTGCAAAGACAAATTTGGAAGCTTTTAGAGGCCTATGGTGAAAAACAGAATGTTCATAGATAAAAACTATAAAGAAGCTATCTGCAAAACAACCCTGCGATCTGTGGATTCATCTCACAGAGATAAACCCGTCTATTGAATCAGCAAGTTGCAAACACTCTTTTTGTATAATCTGCAAAGAAACTTTTGGAGTCCATGGAGGCCTATAGTGAAAAACGGAGTATCCCCAGATAAACACTAGAAAAAAGCTATCTTTGAAACTGCTTTGTAATGTGTGGATTCATCTCACAGAATTAAACCTTTTCTTTTATTATCCAGGTTTGAAACTCTCTTTTGGTAGAATTTGTGAAGGAAGGTTTGGGAAGCCATAGAGGCCTATGGTGAAAAACAGAATATCCCCAGATAAAAACTAGAAAAAGCTGCCTGTGAAACTGCTTCATGATATGTGGATTCATCTCAAAGGGTTAAACTTGTTTTTGATTCACTAGATTAGAAACACTCTTTTTCTGGAATCTCCGAAGGCACATTTTGCAGGCCACTGTAGTCTATGGTAACAAACAGAATATCCCAAGCTCAAAACTAGAAAGAGGCTATCTGTGAAACTTCTTTGTGATGTGTGGATTCATCCCAGAGAAGTGAACCTTTCTTTTAATTCAGCAGGTTGCAAGCACACTTTTGCAGAGTCTGAAGAGACTTTTGAAAGCTGTTTGAGTCCTTTGGTGAGAAACAAAATGTCCACAGATAATCACAGGGATAAAACTATCTGTTAAACTACTTTTTGATATGTGGTTTCATCTCACAGTGTTGAACCTTTCGTTTTACTCAGCAGGTTGGAAACACTCTTTGGTTAGAAGTTATGAGGAAACATTTGGGAGCTTTTTGAGGCCTATTCTGAGAAACTAAACATCCCCAGATAAAAACTAGAAAAAAGCTATCTTTGAAACTGCTTTGTGATGTGTGTATTCATCTTACAGAGCTAAATTTTTATTTTGACACAGCAGGTTTGAAACTCTCTTTAGGTAGAATCTGCAAAGGTATATTTGGGAGTGCCTTGAGGCTTACAGTGAAAAATAAAATATCCCCAGATAAAAACTAGAAAGAAACTATCTGTGAAACTTCTTTGTAATGTGTGGATTCACCTCACAGAGTTAAACCTGTCTTTTCATTCAGCAGGTTGGAAACCCTCTTTTTGGAGATCCTGCCAAAGGACGTTTGTGAGCCCTCAGAGGCCTGTGGTGAAAAACAGAATATCCAATGATAAAAACTAGAGAAAACGTATCAATGAAACTGCCTTGTGATATGTGGATTCATCTCACAGAGCTAAACATTTCTTTTGATTCAGTATCTTGGAAACACTTGTTGTGTAGAATTGGTGGAAAGACATTTGGGAGCCAATAGAGGCCTAAGGTGAAAAACTGAATATCCCCAGATAAAAACTAGAAAGAAACTATCTGTGTAACTGCTTTCATAAGTGTGGATTCCTCTCACAGAGTTAAACCTTTCTTTTAGATTCAGCAGGTTGCAAATACTTATGTTTTGTAATCTGTGTAGTGACATTTGGGAGCCCATTAAAGCCTATGATGAAAAATCAAATATCCCCAGATAAAAACCAAAAAGAAGCTATCTTTGAAACTGTTTAGTGATGTGTGGGTTCATCTCAAAGTCTTAAATCTTTCTTTTGACTCAGCGTGTTGGAAACACTCTTTTGCTAGAATCTGCAAAAGATTTTTGAGCCCACTGTAGTCTAGGGTAAAAAAACCCCACAAATATTGCAGAATAAAAACTAGAAAGAAGCTATCAGTGAATCTGCTTTGTGATGCATGGATTCATTTCACAGAATTAAACCTTTATTTTGATACTTCAGGTTGGAAACACTTTTTTGTAGAATCTGTGAAGGGACATTTGAGAGAGATTTGAGGCCTATAATGAAAAACTGAAAATCCCCAGATAAAACCTAGAAGGAATCTCTTTGTGAAACTGTTTGGGATGTGTTTATTCAGCTAATAGAGTTAAAATTTTCTGCCAATATAACATGTTTGAAACAATATTTAGATAGTATCTGTGAAGGGACATTTAAGAGCCCATAAAGGCCTATGGTGAAAAAAAGAATATCGCCAGATATAAAGTAGAAGAAAGCTAAAGATGTAACTCCTTTGAGATGTATGGATTCATGTCACATAGTTAAAACTTTCTTTTGTCACAGCAGGTATGAAACCCTCTTTAGTTATCATCTGTGAAGGGACTTTCAAGAGCCCATAGAGGCCTATGGCAAAAAACTCAAAAACTCCAGATAAAAACTAGAAGGAAGCTCTGTTTAACTTGTTTGTAATGTCTGGATTTATCTCACAGAGATACAATTTTATATTGATTCAGAAAGTTGGAATCACTCTTTTGGTAGAATCTGCCAAGGGACATTTGGGATCCCTTAAAGGCCTATGGTGAAAAACTGAATACACCTTGATAAAAACTAGGAAGAAGCTATCTGTGAAATTGCATTGTAAAGTGTGGATTCATGTCACAGAGTTAAACATTTGTTTTGATTCATCAGGTTGGAATCACTGATTTTGCAGATTCTGTGAAGAGACATTGTAGAGCCTATTGAGTCCTATGGTGAGCAACCCAATATTTCCAGATAAAAACCAGAAGGAAGCTATTTGTGAAACTGTTTTGTGAGGTGCGATTCATCTCACAGATGTAAACACTTTTTTTGATTCAGTAGGTTGGAGATACTCATTTTGTAGAATTGGCAATGGGATATTTCAGGGCCCATTGAGGCCTAAGCTTGCAAACCCAATATCCCGAGATAAAAACTAAAAAGGAGCTGTCAGTGAAACTGCTTTGTGATGTTGGGATTTATTTTACAGAATTAAACACTTCTTTTGACTTAGCAGGTTGTAAACACTCTTTTCGTAGAATCTGCATAGAGACATATCACAGCCCATTGAGGCCTATGGTGAAAAAACAGATATCCCCAGATAAAAACTAGAAAGAGGCATTTCTGAAACTGCATTGTGATGTCTGCATTTATCTCACAGAGGCAAATCTTTGTATTGATTCAGCAGGATGGAAAAACTCTTTTTGAATAATCTGCAAAGGGATATTTGGGAGATCTTTTAGGCCTGTGGTGAAAAATAAATATCCCCAGATAAATACTGCAAAGAACTGAAGAGTGACACAGCTTTTCTGATGTGTGGATTTATCTCACAGACTTAAACCTTTCCTTTCATTCTGCAGGTTTGAAACACTCATTTTGCAGAATCTGTGAAGGGACATTATAGAGCCCCTTGAGGTCTATTGTGAAAAATAAAATATCCTCAGATAAAAACTAGAAAGAAGCTGTCTGTGAAGTGCTCTGTGATGTGTGGATTCATTGCACAGAGTTGAAACTTTCTTTTGATGCGCCAGGATGGAAACACTCTTTAGATATTATCTGCAAAGGAACATGTATTAGCCCATACAGGCCTAGGGTGAAAAAACGAATATCCCCACATAAAAACTATCAAGAAGCTATCTGTGAAACTGCTTTGTTAAGTGTAGATTCAGCTCAAAGGGTTAAACCTTTCTTTGGATTCAGCAGGTTGCAAACACTCTTTTGCTAGAACCTGCCAAGGGACATTTGTGAGCCCATTGTTGCTCACTGTGAGAAATGGAATATTCAAAGACAAAAACTAGAAAGAAGCTTTCTGAGAAACTGCTTTGTGATGTGTGCATTCTTCTCACAGACTTAAACCTTTCATTTGATTGAGCAATTTTGGAAACACTGTTTTTGCTGAATCTACACAGGGATATATGGGATTGCATTGAGGCCTATGGTGAAAAGAGAAATATCTTCAGATAAAAAATAGAAAGAAGCTTTCTGGGAAACTGCTTTGTGATGTGTGCATTCACCACCCAGAGTTAAACTTTTTTTTGATTGAGCAGTTTGGATACACTGTTTTTGTAAAATCTGTGAAGGGACATCTGGGAGTGCTTGGAGGCCTATGGTGAAAAAGTAAATGTCTTTAGACAAAAAGTAGAAAGACTCTTTCTCAAAAACCGCTTAGTGATGTGTGGACTCTTCTAACAGTGTTAAACTGTTCTTTTGTTTGAACAGTTTGGATACACTGTTTTGGTAGAATCTGTGAAGGGATATTTGGGAGTGCATTGTGGCCTTTTGTGAAAAAGAAATATCTTCAGGGAAAAACTAGAAAGAAGCTTTCAGAGAAACTGTTTTGTGATGAGTGCATTCAGCTCACAAACTTAAAACTTTCTTTTGATTGAGCACTTTGCAAACACTGCTTTTGTAGAATGTTCGAAGGGATATTTGGGAGCCATTAGAGGCCTATATTGAAAAAGGAAATATGTTTGAGAAAAACTGGAAAGAAGTTTCTGCATAACTGCTTTGAGAAGTGTGCATTCATCTCACAGAGTTAAACTTATAGTTTGAGAAGATTGGAAACACTGTTTTGGTAGAATCTGTGAACAGATTTTTTGGAGTGCTTTCAGACCTATGATAGAAAAGGAATTATCTTCAGATAAAAACTAGAAGGAAACATTCTGAGAGATGGCTTTGTGATGAGCACGTTTATCTCACAGAGTTAAACCTTTATTTTGATTGAGCAGTTTGGCAACTGTGTTTTGTAGGCACTGAGAAGGGCTAATTAGGAGTGGTTTTAGGCCTATGGTGAAAACCGAAATATTGTCAGTTAGAAACAAGTGAGAAGATTTCTGGGCAACTTCTTTGTGATGTGTGCATTCATCTCACAGAGTTAATCCTTTCTTTTGATTGAGCAGTGTGGAAACACTGTTTCAGTAGAATCTATGAAGAGATATTTGAGTGCACTGAGTGCTATGGTTCAAAAAGAAATATATTCAGCTAAAACTTAAAAGGTTTCTCAGAAACTGCTTTGTGATGTGTGCATTTTTCTCACAAAGTTAAACATTTCTTTTGATTGAGTTGTCTGGAAACATTGTTTTTGTAGAATATACAAAAGGATATATGTGAGAGCTTTGAGGCCTATGGTGAAAAAGGAAATATTTTCAGTTAAAAACTAGAAAGAAGCTTTCTGAGAAACTGCTTTATGATGATTGCATTCATCTCACAGATAAACCTTTCTTTTGATTGACCAGTTTGGAAACACTGTTTTTGTAGATTCTGTGAAGGGACATTCTGGAGCACATTGAGGCCTATGGTGAAAAAGGAAAAATCTTCAGATAAAAACTAGAAAGAAGCTTTCTTAGGAACCACTTTTTGTTGTGTTCATTCTTCTCACAGAGTTAAAACTTTCTTTTGATTGAATAGTATGGAAACACTGTTTTCGTAGAATCTACAAAGGGATATATGGGAGCCCATTGACACCTATGATCAAAAAGGAAATATCTTCAGATAAAAACTGGAAAGAAGCTTTCTGAGAAACTACTATGTGATGACAGCATTCGTCTCATAGAGTTAAACCTTTCTTTTCATTGAGCAGTTTAGAAACACAGTTTTTGTAGAATGTGAGAAGGGATATGTGGGAGGGTTTGAGGCCTATGGTGAAAAACAAAATGTCTTCAGATAAATACTAGAAAGAAGCTTTCTGGGTGACTGCCTTGTGATGTGTACACTCATGTCACAGAGTTAAACATTATTTTTTGATTGATCAGTTTGGAAACACTCTTTTGGTAGAATCAATGAAGAGATATTTGGGAGCGTATTGAGCTCTATGGTGATAAAGGAAATATCTTTAGATAAAAACTAGAAAGAAGCTTTCTCAGAAAGTGTTTTGTGATGTGTGCATTCTTCTCACAGAGTTAAACCTTTCTTTTCATTGAGCAGTCTGGAAACACTGTTTTTGTAGGATCTATGAAGAGATATATGGGAGCACATTGAAGCCTATGGTGAAAAAGGAAATGTCTTCAGATAAAAAATAGAAAGAAGCTTTCTGAGAAACTGCTTTGTGATATGTGCATTCATGTCACAGAGTTAGACCTTTCTTTTGATTGTGCAGTTTCACAACATTGTTGTTGTGGAATCTAAGAGGGGATATTTGGGAGTGCTACAAGACCTTGAATGAAAAAGGAAATATCTTCAGATAAAAATTAGAAAGAAGCTTTCTGGGAAACTGTTTTGTGATGTGTGCATTCATTTCTCAGAGGTAAAACTTTTTTTTGATAGAGAAGTTTGGAAAACGTATGTTTGTATAATCTGCGAAGGGACTTTTGGGATTGATTTGAGGCCTATGCTGAAAAAAGGAAATATCTTCAGATAAAAAGTAGAAAGAAGCTTTCTGAGAAACTGCTTTGTGATGTGTGCATTTATCCCACAGAATTAAAACTTCCCTTTGATTGGGCAGTTTGGAAACACAGTTTTTGAGGTACCTGTGAAGGGTTATTTGGGAGCACATCAAGATCTATGGTGAAAAAGGAAATATCTTCAGATAAAAAGTAGAAAGAAGCTTTCTCAGAACCGCTTTGTGTTGTCTGCATTCTTCTCACAGAGTCAATCCTTTCTTTTGATAGAGCAGTTTTTAAAACCTGATTTTATAGAATCTGTGAAGGCATATATGGGAGCCCATAAGGCCAATTGTTAAAAAGATAATATCTTGAGGGAAAAACTAGAAAGAAGCTCTCTGAGAAACTGCCTTGTGATGTGTGCATTCTTCTCACAGAGTTAAACCTTTCTTTTGATTGAGCAGTCTGGAAACACTGTTTTCGTAGGACCTATGAAGAGATATATGGGAGCGCATTGAAGCTTATGGTGAAAAAGGAAATATCTTCAGATAAAACTAGAAAGAAGCTTTCTAGGAAACTGCGTTGTGATGTGTGCATTCATCTCACAGAGTTAAACCTTTCTTTTGATTGTGCAGTTTTGCAGCATTGTTGTTGTGGAATCTAAGAAGGGATACTTGGGAGTGCAATAAGACCTTGAATGAAAAAGGAAATATCTTCATATAAAAATTCGAAAGAAGCTTTCTGGGAAACTGTTTTGTGATGTGTTCATTCATTTCTCAGAGTTAAACCTTTTTTTTTGATAGAGAAGTTTGGAAACCGTGTGTTTGTATAATCTGCGAAGGGATGTTTGGGATCGATTTGAGGCCTATGGTGAAAAAAGGAAATATCTTCAGATAAAAACTAGAAAGAAGCTTTCTGAGAAACTGCTTTGTGATATGTCCATTCATCTCACAGAATTAAAACTTCCTTTTGATTGGGCAGTTTAGAAACACAGTTTTTGAGGTATCTTTGAAGGGATAATTGGGAGCGTATTGAGATCTATGGTTAAAAAAGAAATATCTTCAGATAAAAAGTAGAAAGAAGCTTTCTCAGAAACTGCTTTGTGATGTCTGCATTCTTCTCACAGAATTAAACCTTTTTTTTTGATTGAGCAGTTTGGAAACACTGTTTTTGTAGAATCTACACAGGGATATATTGAAGAGCATGGAGGCCTATGGTGAAAAAAGAAATCTCTTCAGATAAAAAGTAGAAAGAATTTTTTTCAGAAACTGCTTTGTGATGTGGACATTCCTCTTTCAGAGTTAAACCATTCTTTTGATTGAGCAGTTTGGAACCACTGTTTTTGTAGAATCTATGAAGGGATATATGGAAGGGCATTGGCACTTGTGGTGAAAAAGGAAATATCTTCATAGAAAAACTGGAAAGAAACTTTCTGAGAAACTGCTTTGTGATGTGTGCATTCATCTCACAAAGTTAAACCATTCTTTTGATTGAGCAGTTTAGAAACACTGTTTTTGTGGAATTTTCAAAGGGATATTTGAGAGTGCTTTGAGGTCTATGCTGAAGAAGGAAATGTCTTCAGATAAATACTAGAAAGAAGCTTTCTCAAAAACCGCTTTGTGCCTTTGTGCGTTCTTCTGACAGAGTTAAATCTTTCATTTGATTGAGGAAATTGGAAACACTGTTTTTGTAGAATCTGAGAGGGGATATTTGGAGGCACTTTGAGAACTATAGTGAAAACAGAAATATCTTCAGATAAAAAGAAGAAAGAAGTTTCTCAGAAGCTGCATTGTGATGTGTGCATTCTTCTCACAGAATTAAACCTTTCTTTTGATAGAACAGTTTGGAAATACTGTGTTTGTAGAATCTACACAGAGATATATGAGAGCACATTGAGTCGTAAGGTGAAAAAGGAAATATCTTCAGATTAAAAATAGAAAGAAGGTTTCTAATATGTGCATTTCTCTCACAGAGATAAACTTTTTTGATTGTGTGGTTTGTAAACACTTTTTGTAAAATCAATAAGGGATATTTCAGAGCACTTTGAGGCCTAAGGAAGAACAAGAAATGTGTTGAGATAAAAACTAGAAAGAAGATTTCTGAGAAACTGCTTTGTGATGAATGCCTTCATCTCACAGAATTAAAACTTTCTTTTGATTGAACAGTGTGGCAACACGCTTTTTGTGGATTCCGAAGGGGATATTTTGGAGTGCTTTAAGGCCTAAGTGAAAAGGAAATACCTTCAGATAAAAATTAGAAAGAAGCTTTGTAGGAAACGGCTTTGTGATTTGTGCATTAATCTCAAAAATTTAAAACAGTATTTTGATTGAGCACTTTGGAAACACTGTTTTGGTGGAATCTGTAAAGGGATATTTCTGGAAAGATGCATTCTGGTAAACTGCTTTCAGATGTGTGCATTGATCTCACAGAGATAAAATTTTCTTTGGATTGAGCAGTTTGGAAACACTGTTTTGGTAGGATCTGTGAAGGGATATTTGGGAACACATTGAGGCCTACAATGAAAAAGGAAATATCTTCAGATAAAATCTAGAAAGAAGCTTTTGAGAAAGTGCTTTGTGATGAGTGAATTCATCTCCCAGAGTTAAACTTTCCTTTTCATTGAGCATTTTGGCAATACTCTTTTTGTGGAATCTCAGAAGGGATATTTGGGAGCTCTTTAAGGCTTAGGGTTGAAAAAGGAAATAAAATCAGATAAAAACTACAAAGAAGCTTTCTGAGAAACTGCTTTGTGATGTGGGTATTCATCTTACAGAATTAAACCGTTCTTTTGATTGAGCAGTTTGGAACCATTGTTTTTGTAGAAACTATGAAGGGATATATGGGAGGGCATTGATGCCTATGTTGAAAAAGGAAATATCTTCATAGAAAAACTGGAAAGAAACATCCTGAGGAACTGCTTTGTGACGTCTGCATATATCTCACAAAGTTAAACCATTCTTTTGATTGAGCAGTTTGGAAACACAGTTTTTGTAGAATTTGCAAAGGGGTATTTTGGAGTGCTTCGAGGCCTATGCTGAAGATGGAAATATCTTCAGATAAATACCAGAAAGAAGCTTTCTCAGAAGCCGCTTTGTGATGTGTGCATTCTTCTCACTGAGTTAATCCTTTATTTCGATTGTGCAGTTTGGAATCACTGTTTTGGAAGTATTTGCAAAGGGATATTTAGGAGTGCATTGAGGTCTATGGTGAAAAAAGAAATATCTTCTGATAAAAACTAGAAAGAAACTTTCTCAGAAACCATTTTGTGATGTGTGCATTCTTCTCATAGCGTTAAAACTTTTTTTGATTGAGCAGTCTGGAAAAACTGTCTTGGTAGAAACTATAAAGGGATACATGTGAGCATCTTGAGGCCTATGGGAAAAGGGAAATATCTTCAGAGAAAAACTGGAAGGAAACATTCTGAGAAACTGCTTTGTGATGTGTGCATTCATGTTACAGGGTTAAAACTTCCTTTTTATTGAGCAGTTTGGAAACACTGGTAGAATCTGTGAAGAGTTATTTGGGAGCTCTTTGAGGCCTATGGTGAAAAAGGAAATATCTTCAGATACAAACTAGAAAGAAGCTTTCTTTGAAACTTCTTTGTGATGAGTGCATTCATCTCACAGAGGTAAAACTTTCTTTTGATTGAGCAGTTTGGCAACACTGATTTTGTAAAATATGAGAAGTGATATCTGGGAGTGGTTTGAGGTCTATGGTGAAAAAGGAAATATCGTCAGATAAAAACTAGAAAGAAGCTTTCTGGGAATCTGCTTTGTGATGTGTACATTCATCTCACAGAGTTGAACCTTTCTTTTGATTGATCATTTCAGAAACTGCTTTTGTAGAATCTGTGAAGGGATATTTGGGAGCATTTTGAGGCCTATGCTGAAAAAGGAAATATCTTCAGATGAAAACTACAAAGAATGTTTCTGAGAAACTGCTTTGCAATGAGTTCATTCGTCTCACAGAGTTAAACATTTCTTTTCATTAAGCAGTTTGGCAACACTATTTTTTGTAGAATCTGCAAGGTCTATGGAGAAAAAGAAAATATCTTGAGAAAAAACTAGAAAGAAGCTTTCTGAGAAACTGCTCTGTGATGAGTTCATTCATCACAGAGAGTTAAGCCTTTCTCTTGATTAAACAGTTTGGACACACTGTTTTTGTAGAATCTGTGAAGGATTATTTTGTATTGCCTTGAGGCCTGCGGTGTAAATTGAAATATCTTTAGATAAAAACTAGAAAGAAGCTTTCTCAGAAACTGCTTGGTTATGTGTGCATTCATTTAACATAGATAAACTTTTTTTGATTGAGCAGTTTGGCAACACTATTTTTGTGGAATCTGCAAAGGGATATTTGGGAGTGCTTTGAGGCCTATGGTGAAAAAGGAAGTATCTTCAGACAAAAACTGCAAAGAAGCTTTCTGAGAAACTGCGTTGAGATGTGTGCATTCTTCTCACAGAGGTTTTTTGTTTGTTTTTTTGTTTGTTTGTTGACCAGTCTTGAAACACTGATTTGTAGAATCTGCATAGAGATATTTGGGAGCAGATTGAGGCCTATGGTGAAAAAATAAATATCTTTACATAAAAACTAGAAAGAAGCTTTCTAACAAACCACTTTGTGATGTGTGCATTCTTCACACAAAGTTAAAACTTTCTTTTGATTGAACAGTCTGGAAACAGTCTTTTTGTAGAATCTACGAAGTGATATATAGGAGTGGATGAGGCCTGCAGTGAGAAAGGAAATGTCTTCAGAGAAAAACTAGAAAGAAGCATTCTGAGCAACTTCTTTGTGATTTCTGCATTCATCTCCCAGAGTTAAATCTTTCTTTTGATTGCACAGTTTGGAAACACTGTTTTGGTAGAATCTGTGAAAGGAAATTTGGGAGTGCATTGAGGCCAATGAGAAAAAGGAAATATCTTCAGATAAAAGCTACAAAGAAGCTTTCTGAGAAACTGCCTTGTGATTAGTGCATTCGTTTCAAAGGTTTAAACCTTTCTTTTGATTGAGCAGTTTGGCAACACTCTTTTTGTGGAATCTGAGAAGGGATATTTGGGAGTGTTTCAAGATCTAGGGTGAAAAAGGAAATATCATCAGATAAAAAGTACAAGGAGTTTTCTGGGAAACTGCTTTGTGATGTGTGCATTCATCTCACACAGTTAAACCTTTTTTTGATTGAGCAGTTTGGAAACACTGTTTCTGTAAAATTCTCCAAGGGATATTTGGGAGGGCTTTGAGTCCTATGGTGAAAAAGGAAATATCCTTAGATACAATCTAGAAAGATTTCTGAGAAACAGCTTTGTGATGTGTGATTTTGTCTAACAGACTAAATCCTTTCTTTTGGTTGATCAGTTTGAAAACTGTTTTTCTACAATCTGTGAATGCATATTTTGGAGTGCATTGATGCCTATGGTGAAAAAGGAAATATCTTTACATAAAAAACTATAAAGAAATTTCTGAAAAACAGCTTTGTGATGTGCATATTCATTTCTCAGAGTTAAAACTTTCTTTTGATTGAGGAATTTGTAAACACTGTTTTTGTATAACCTGCGAAGGGCTGTTAGGGAGAGCATTGAGGCCTATGGTGAAAAAGAAAATATCTTCAGATAAATATTGAAAAGAAGCTTCCAAAGAAACTGCTTTGTGATGTTTGCATTCATCTCACGGAGTTAAAGCTTTATTTTGATTGACCAGTTTGGAAACACTGATTTTGTATTATCTTTGAAGGCATATTTGGGAGTGCATTGTGGAGTATGGAGAAGAAGAAAATATCTTCAGAAGAAAACCAGAAAGAAGCTTTCTGAGAAACTGCATTGTTATGTGTGCATTCATCTCACAGAGTTAAAACTTTCTTTTGATTGAGCAGGTTGGAAACCCTGTTGTTGGAGAATCTGTGTTGGGATATTAGGGAGTGCCGTGAAGCCTATGGTGGAAAAGGAAATATCTCCAGATAAAAACTAGAAAGAAGCTTTTTGAAACACTGATTTGTGATGTGTGCATTCATCTCACAGAGATAATCCTTTCATTTCATTGAGCAGTTTGGAAAGACTGTATTTGTAGAATCTGCAAAGGCATATTTGGGAGCACACTGAGGCTTACAGAGAAAAAGGATACACCTTCTGATAAATCTAGAAATACGCTTTGTGAGAAACTGCTTTGTGATTGGGGCATTCATCTCACAGAGTTAAACCTTTCTTCTCATTGAGAAGTTTGGAAACACTGTTTTTGTGGAAACTGTGAAGGAGTATTTGGGACTGATTTGAGGCCTATAGCAAAAAAGGAAATATCTTGAGATAAATTTAGAGAGAAGATTTGTGAGAAACTGCTTTGTGGTGGGTGCATTCATCTCACATATTTGAATCTTTCTATTGATTGAGCAGTTTGGAAACACTCTTTTTGTAGATTCTGCAAAGGTATATTTGGGAATGCCTTGAGGCCTATGGTGAAAAAGGAAATACCTTCAGATGAAAACTAGAAAGATTCCTGAGAAACAGCTTTGGGATGTGCTCATTCTTCTAATGGAGTTAATACTGTCTTTTGATAGCGCTGCTTGGAAACACTGTTTTTGCAGAATCTGTCATGGGATATATGGGAGCACATCGAGGCCTAAGGTGAAAAAGGAAATATCTTCACATAAAAACTAGAAAGAAGCTTTCTCAGAAACCGTTCTGTGGTGTCTGCATTCATCTCACAGATTTATAGTATGTTATTTTATTGACCAGTATGGAAACTGATTTTGTAGAATTTGTGAAGGGATATTTGGGAGCACATTGAGGTCTATGGTGAAAAAGGAAATATCTTCATATGAAAACTAGAAAGAAGCTTTCTGAGGAACTGCTTTGTGATAAGTGCATTCATCTCAGATATTCCAACTTTTCTTTAGATTGACCAGTTTGGAAACACAGTTTTTGTAGAATCTGCGAAGGGACATTTTGGAGCCCATGGATGCCTAGGCTGAAAAACTAAATATCTTCAGATAAATACTAGAAAGAAGCTTTCTCAGAAACTGTTTTGTGATGTGTGCATTCTTCTCAGAGAGTTAAACCTTTCTTTAGATTGAGCACTTTGGAAGTACGGTTTTTGCAGAATCTGTGAAGGGCTAAATGGGAGTGCATTGAGGCCTATTGTGGAAATGGAAATATTTAAAGTGAAAAACTAGAAAGAGGCTTTCTGAGAAAATGCTTTGTGATGTGTGCATTCTTCTCGCAGAGTTAAGCCTTTGTTTTGATTGTGCAGTTTGGCAACGCTGTTATTGTGGAAACTAAGAAGGGATATCTGGGAACACTTTAAGAACTAAGGTGAAAACTGAAATATCTTCAGATAAAAAGGATAAAGAAGTTTAATGCAAAACTGATTTCTGATGTAGGCATTCATCTCACAGAGTTAAACTTATTTTTAATTGAGCCATTTGGAAACACTGTTTTTGTAGAATCTGTGAAGATATATTTGGGAGTGCTTTGAGGCCTATGGTGAAAAAGGAAATATCTTCAGATAAAAAGTAGAAAGAAGCTCTTTGAGAAACTGCTTGTGATGAGTTCATTAACCTCACAGAGTTAAAACTTTCTTTTGATTGAGTAGTTTGGAAACACTGTTTTTGTAGAATCTGTAGAATCCTCGAATGGATATTTGGGAGCATTTAGAGGCCTTTGGTGAAAAAGGAAATATTTTTGAGAAAGACTAGAAAGAAACTTTCTGAGAAACTGCTTTGTGATGTGTGCATTCACCTCACAGAGTTAAACTTATCTTTGCATGAGCAGTTTGGAATCACTGTTTTGGTAGGATCTGTGAATGGATATTTCAGAGCACTTACAGGCCTATGATAAAAAAAAGGACGTATCTTCAGATAAAAACTAGAAAGAAGGTTTCTGAAAAACTGCTTTGTGATGAGCACATTCATATCACAGAGTTAAACCTTTCTTTTGATTCAGCAGGTTGACACAGAGTTTTTGTAGAACCTGACAAGGGATATTTAGCAGTGCTTTGAGGCCTATTGTGAAAAATGAAATATCTTCTGATAGAAACTAGAAAGAAGCTTTCTGGGAAACTGCCTTGTGATGTGTGCATTCATCTCACAAAGTTAAACCTTTCTTTTGATTGAGCAGTGCAGAAACACTGTTTTGGTAGAATCTGTGAAGAGATATTTTGGGACATACTTGGGTATATGTTTAAAAAGGAAATGTCTTCAGATAAAAACTGGAAAGAAGCTTTCTAAGAAACTGCTTTGCAATAAGTGCATTCATCTCATGGAGTTAAAAACTTCTTTTCATTGAGCAGTTTGGGAACAGAGTTTTTGTAGAATCTGAGAAGGGATATTTGGTAATGCTTTGAGGCCTATGGCAAAAATCAAAATATCCTCAGTTAAAAACTAGAAAGAAATTTTCTGAGAAACTGAATTGTGATGAGTGCATTCGTCTCAAAGAGTTAAACCCTTCTTGTGATTGAGCAGTTGGAAACACTCTTTTGGTAAAATCTGCAAAGGGATATTTGGGAATGCTTTGAGGCCTATGGTGAAAAAGGAAATAGCTTCAGAAAAACACTAAAAAGAAGGTTTCTCAGAAACTGCTTTGCTTTGTATGCATATTTCTCACCGAGTTAAACCTTTGTATTGATTGGCCAGTTTGGAAACACTGTTTTTGTAGAATATGCAAAGGAATATATGGGAGCCCTTGAGGCCTATTGTGAAAAAGGAAATATCTTCATGGAAAAACTGGAAGGAAGCCTTCTGAGAAACTGCGTTGTGATGTGTGCATTCAGCTCACAGAGTTAAACCTTTCTTTTGATTGACCAGGTTGGAAACACTCTTCTGGTATAATCTGTGAAGGGATAATTGGGAGCATATTTTCATCTATGGTGAAAAAGGAATTATCTTCAGAGAAAAACTAGAAAGAAGTTTCCTGAGAAACTGCTTTTTGATGAGTGTATTAATTTCACAGGGTGAAACCTTTCTTTTGATTGAGCAGTTTGGAAACAATGTTTTATTAGAATCTGAGAAAAGATATTTGGGAGCGCTTTGAGTCCTATGGTGAAAAAAGAAATATCTGCAGATAAAAATATAAAGAAGATTTTGGGAAACTGCTTTGTGATGTGTGCATTCATCTCACAGAGTTAAACCTTTCTTTTGATAGAGCAGTTCGGAAACACTGTTTATGGAGAATCTGTAAAGGGATATTTAGGCATGCATTGAGGCTTATGTTGAACAAGGAAATATCTTCAGAGAATTACTAGAAAGAAACTTTCTCTAAAACCACTTGTGAGATGGGTATTCTTCTCACAGAGATAAACCTTTCTTATGACTGAGTAGTTTGGAAACACTGTTTTTGTAAAATCTGTGAAGGGATATTTGGGAGTGCATTGAGGCCTATGTTGAAAAAGGAAATATCTTCAGAGAAAAACAAGAAAAAAGCTTTTTGGGAAAATGCTTTGTGATTTGTGTATTCATCTCACAGAGTTAAATCTTTCTGTTTATTGAGCTGTGGTTGAAAACACTCTTTTAGTAGAATCTGAGAAGGGACCTTAGGGAGCCCATTGAGGCCTTTGGTGAAAAACCAAATATCCCAAGATAAAAATTATAAAGAAGCTATCTGTGAAATTACTATGTGATGTATGGATTCATCTCACAGTTTTAAAACTTTCTTCTGATTTAATGGGCTGGAAACCCTATTTTTGTAGAATCTGTGAAGGGAAATTTGAAATCCCTTTGAGGGCTTATGAAAAACAAAATATCCCCAGATAAAAACAAGAAAGAAGCTATCTGTGAAACTAACTTGTGATGCGTGGATTCGTCTCACAGAGTTAAACCTTTCTTTTGATTCAGCAATTTGCAGACACTCCTTTTTGGAATCTGTGAAGGAATATTTGGGAGCCCATTTCAGCTTATGGTGAAATATCAAATATCCCCAGATAAAAACTAGAAAGAAGCTAACTGTGAGACTTCTTTGTGATATAGGATTCATGTCACAAGGTTAAAACTTTGTTTTGACTTAGCGAGTTGGAAATATTTTTTGACAAAATCTGTTGAGGTACTTGGAAACAGTGCTTTTGTAGAAACAGTGAATGGATATTTGGGACTGCTTTAAGGCCTATGGTGAAAGAGGAAATGCCTTCAGAGAAAAACTCAAATTAAGCTTTCTGAGAGACTGCTTTGTGATACATGCATTCATCTCATGGAGTTAAACATTTATTTTGATTGAGCAGTTTGGAAACACTGTTGTGGTAGAATCTGTGAAGAGATATTTGGGAGCACTTTGAGGCCTATGGTGAAAAACTCAATAACTCCAGATAAAAACTAGAAAGAACTATCTGTTTAACTTATTTGTAATGTCTGGATTTATCTCACAGAGGTAAACCTTTATATTGATTCAGCAAGTTGAAATCACTCTTTTGATAGAATCTGCCAAGGGACATTTCAGATCCTTTAGAGGCCTATAGTGAAAAACTGAATATACCTTGATAAAAACTAGAAAGAAGCTATCTGTGAAACTTCATTGCAAAGTGTGGATTCATGTCAGAGTTAAATATTTCTTTTCATTCATCAGGTGGGAAACACTCGTTTTGTAGATTCTGTGAAGATACATTTTGGAGCCCATTGAGTCCTATGGTGAACAACCCAATATTTCCAGATAAAAACCAGAAGGAAGCTATCTGTGAAACTGCTTTAAGACACGTGATTCATCTCAAAGAATTAAACTTTATTTTTGATTCAATAGGTTGGAGACACTCATTTTGTAGAATTGGAGACATGATATTTTGGATCCCATTGTGGCCTATGGTCGCAAACCCAATATCCCAAGATAAAAACTAAAAAGGAGCTGTGAGTGAAACTGCTTTATGATATTTGGATTTATCTCACAGAGTTAAACTGTTCTTCTGATTCAGCAGGTTGTGAACACTCTTTTTGTAGAATCTGCATAGGGACCTATCACAGCCCATTGAATACTATGGTGAAGAAATGGATAACCCGAGATAAAAACCAGAAAGAAGCTATTTCTGAAAGTGCATTGTGATTCTTGCATTTATCTCACAGTGTTAAATCTTTCTATTGATTCAGCAGGATGGAAACACTCTTTAGATAAAATGTGCAAATGAACATTTATAAACTCATAGAGGCCTGTGGTGAAAAACAGAATATCCCCACATAAAAACTATCAAAAACTATCTGTGAAACTGCTTTGTTAAGTGTGGATTCAGCTCAAAGGGTTAAACCTTTCTATTGATTCAGCAGGTTGCACACGCTCTTTTGCTAGAATCTGCAAAGGGACATTTTTGAGCCCATTGTAGCACACTGTGAAAATGGAATATTCAAATATAAAAACTGGAAAGAAGTTTTTAGTGAAACTTCTTGGTGATGTGTGGATGCTACTCACAGAGTTTAACTTTTCTATTGATTCAGCAGTTTGGAAACACTCTTTTGGTAAAAGCAGAAAATGGACATGTGGGAGAACTTTGAGACCTATGGTAAAAAAAAAAAAATATTTCCAGATAAAAATTATAAAGAAGCTATCTGTGAAACTGCTCTATGATGTGTGGATTCATCTCACAGAGTTAAACATTTCTTTTGATTCGGCAGGTTGGAAACACTTTCTTGGCAGAATCTGCAAAGGGAGATTTAGAAGATTTTTGAGGCCTATGGTGAAAAACAGAATATCCACAGATAAAAACTACAAAGTAGCTATCTGTGAAACTGCTTTGTGGTGTGTGGACTCATCTCCCAGAGATAAGCCTTTCCTTTGATTCAGCACTTTGGAAACACTCGTTTTGTAGAACCTGAGAAGGGACATTTTGAAGCCGACTGAGCATTGGAAGCTTTTTGAGGCCTATGGTTGAAAACAGCATATCCACAGATAAAAACTACAAAGTAGCTATCTGTGTAACTACTTTGTTATGTGTGGATTCATCTCACAGAGTTAAACTTTTCTTTTGTTTCAGCAGGCTGCAAATATTTATGTTTTGTAATCTGCATAGTGACATTTGGGAGCCCATAAAAGCCTATGGTGAAAAATCAAATATCCCCAGATAAAAATCAGAAAGAAGCTCTCTTTGAAACTGCTTTGTGATGTGTAGATTCATCTCAAAGACTTCAACCTTTCTTTTGACTCAGCATGTTGGAAAGACTCTTTTGGTAGAATCTGTGAAAGGAGATTTGTGAGCCCACTGTAGTCTATGGAAAAAAAACAAATATTTCAAGGTAAAAACTAGAAATAATCTATCAATGAATCTGCTTTGTGATACATGGATTCATATCACAGAGTTAAAACTTTCTTTTGATTTAGCAGGTTGGAAAATCCTCTTTGTAGAATCTTCGAAGTTACATTTTAGAGATCTTTGAGGCCTATAATGAAAAACCGAAAATCCCTAGATAAAAACTAGAAGGAAGTTCTTTGTGAAACTGTTTGGGATGTGTTTATTCATCTAACAGAATTAAACCTTTCTGTCAATATAGCATGTTTGAATCACATTTAAGGTAGTTTCTGTGAAGGGACTTTTCAAAGCCCTTACAGGCCTATGGTGAAAAACAGAATATCTGCAAACAAAAAGTAGAGAAAAGCTAAATATGTAACTGCTTTTGATGTATGGATTCATCTCACAGAGTTAAACCTTTCTTTTATTGTAACAGGTTGGAAACACTCTTTTGTTGGAATCTGTGAAGGGAAGTTTGGGAACCCATCAAGGCCTAAGGTGAAAAACAGAATATCCCCAGATAAAAACTAGAAAAAACTCTCTGTGAAGCTACTTAGTCATATGTGGATTCATCTCAAAGGGTTAAACTTGTTTTCAATTCAAGGGGTTAGAAACACTCTTTTTCTAGAATCTGCAAAGGCACATTTGTGAGCCCACTGTAGTCTATGGGGACAAACAGAATATCCTATGATCAAAACTAGAAAGAGGCTATGTGTGAAACTCCCTTGTGATGTGTGGATTCATCCCAAAGAGGTAAACGTTTCTTTTAATTCAGCAGGTTGCAAGCTGTACTTTTGCAGAGTCTGAGAAGGGACATTTGAAAGCCCTTTGGGTTCTTTGGTGAGAAACCAAATGTCCACAGATAAAAAGTAGGAAGAAACTATCTGTTAAACTGCTTTTTGATATGTGGTTTCATCTCACAGTGTTGAACCTTTCTTTTTACTCAGCAATTTGGGGACAGTCGTTGGTTAGAATGTATGAGGAAATATTTGGGAGCTTTTTGAGGCCTATGGTGAAAAACCGAATATCCCCAGATAAAGCCTAGAAAAAAGCTGTCTTTGAAACTGCTTTGTGATGTGTGTATTCATCTTACAGAGTTAAATTTTTATTTTGATACAGCAGGTTTGAAACTCTCTTTAGGTAGAATCTGTGAAGGGACATTTGGGAACACTTTGAGCCCTATGGTGAAAAATAAAATAGCCCCAGATAAACACGAGAAAGAAGCTAACTGTGAAACTGCTTTGTAATGTATGGATTCACCTCACTGAGTTGAACATTTCTTTTGATTCAGCAGGTTGGAAACCCTCTTTTTGGAGATTCTGCAAAGGGACATGTGTGAGCCCTTAGAAGCCTATTGTGAGAAACAGAATATCCACAGATAAAAACTAGAAATAAGGTATCAGTGAAACTGCTTTGTGATATGTGGATTCATCTCACAGAGGTAAGCCTTTCTTTTGATACAGCAGGTTTGAAAGACTTTTTTGGAAGAATCTGCAAAGGGACATATGGAAGCCCATAGAGGTTTCTGTTCAAAAACTGAATATCTTCACATAAATACTAGGAAGAAGCTATAAGAAGCTATTGGTGAAACCTCTTTGTGATGTGAAGATTCATCTCACAGAGTTAAACATTTCTTTTGATTCAGCAGCTTGGAAACACTCGTTCTGTAGAGCCTGCAGAGAGACATTTGGGGGCTCATAGAGACCTAAAGTGAAAAGCCCAATATCCCCAGATAAAGACTCGAAGGAATCTATCCGTGAAACTGCTTTGTGATGTGTGGATTCATCTCCCTGAGTTAAACCTATCTTTTGATTAAGCATGTTGGAATCACTCTTTTGGTAGAATCTGCAAAGTAACATTTGGGCACCCTTTAAAGCCTACAGTGAAAAACCGAATATCTCCAAATAAAAACAAGAAAGAAGCTATCTGTGAAAGGGCTTTGTGATGTGTTGATTCATCTCACAGATTTCGACCTTACTTTTCATTCAGCATTTTTAGAACACTCTTTATGTAGAATCAACGATGGGACATTTGGCAGCGGTTTTTTGGCCTCTGGTGAATAACTGAATATTCCAAGATAAAAATTAGAAAGACTCTGTCTGTAAAACGGCTTTTTGATGTGTGGATTCATCTCACAGAGTTAAACATTATTTTTGATTCAGTAGCTTGTAAACACTCATTAGGTAGAATCAGTGGAAAGACATTTGGGAGCCCATAGAGGCCTAAGGTGAAAAACTGAATATCCCCAGATAAAAACTAGAAAGAAGCTATCTCTGTAACTGTTTTGTTATGTGTGGATTCATGTCACAGAGCTAAACCTTTCTTTTGATTCAGAAGGTTGCAAATACTTATGTTTCATAATCTGCATAGTGACATTTGGGAGCCCATTAAAGCCTACAGTGAAAAATCGAATATCCCCAGATAAAAACCAGAAAGAAGCTATCTTTGAAACTGCTTTGTGATGTGTGGTTTCATCTCATAGTCTTAAACCTTACTTTTGACTCAGTATTTTGGAAACACTCTTTTGCTAGAATCCAGGAATGGAGATTTGTGAGCCTACTCTAGTTTATGGTAAAAATAAAAACAAACAAATATTTCAAGATAAAAACTAGAAAGCAGCTATCAGTGAATCTGTTTTGTGATGCGTAGATTCATCTCACAGAGTTAAACCTTCCTTTTGATTTAGCAGTTTGGAAACACCTTTTTGTAGAATCTGTGAAGGGACATTTGAGAGAACTTTGACACCTATAAGGAAAAACAAAAATCCTCAGATAAAAACTAGAAGGAAGCTCTTTGTGAAACTGTTTTGGATGTGTTTATTCACCTAACAGAGTTAAACCTTTCTGTCAATATAGCAGGTTTGAAACATTTTTTAGATAGAATCTGAAGAGCCCATAGAGGCCTATGGTGAAAAACAGAATATCCCCAGATAGAAAGTAGAAAAAAGCTAAATATGTAACTGCTTTGTGATGTGTGTATTCATCTCACAGAGTTAAATCTTTCTTTTGACACAGCATATATGAAACACTCTTTAGATAGTATCTGCAAAGGGACATTTAAGAGCCCTTAGAGGCCTATGGTGAAAAACTCAAAAACTCTAGATAAAAACTAGAAAGAAGCTATCTGTTTAACTTATTTGTAATGTCTGGATTTATCTCACAGAGATAAGCATTTATATTGATTCAGCAAGTTGGAATCTCTCTTTTGGTAGAATCTGCCAAGGGACATTTGGAATCCCTTAAAAGTCTATTGTGAAAAACTGAATATACCTTGATAAAAACTAGAAAGAAGCTATCTGCAAAACTGCATGATAAAGTGTGGATTCATGTCAGAGAGTTCAACATTTATTTTGATTCATCACGTTGGAAACACTCGTTTTGTACACTCTGTTAAGAGACATTTTGGAGCCCATTTTGTCCTATGGTAAACAACACAATATTTCCAAATAAACACCAGAAGAAAGCTATCTGTGAAAGTGGTTTGTGATGTGTGATTCATCTCACAGATTTAAACTTTTTTTTATTCAATAGGTTGGAGACACTCATTTTGTAGAATTGGCAATGGGATATTGTGGAGCCCAGTGAGGCCTATGGTGAACAATCCAATATTTCCAGATGAACACCAGAAAGAAGCTACCCGTGAAACTGCTTTGTGATGTGTGATTCATCTCACAGATTTAAACTTTTTTTTTGATTCAGTAGGATGGAGACACTCATTTTTTTGAATCAACTATGGGATATTTTGGAGCCCATTGGGGCCTATGGTGAACAATCCAATATTTCCAGATGAAAACAAGAAGGAAGCTATCCATGAAACTGCTTTGTGATGTGCAATTCATCTCACAGATTTAAACTATTTCTTTATTCAGTAGGAAGGAGATATTCTTTTTTTTGAATTGACTATGGGATATTTTGGAGCCCATTGAGGACTATGGTTGAAAAGAAAATATCCCAAGCTAAAAACTAAAAAGGAGCTATCTGTGAACCTGCTTTGATGTTTGGATTTATCTCACAGAGTTAAACCTTTCTTTTGATTCAGCAGGTTTTAAACACTCTTTTGGTAGCATCTGCATAGAGACGTATCACAGCCCATCGAGGCCTATGGTGAACAAATGGATATCACCAGATAAAAACTAGAAGGAAGCTATTTCTGAGACCGCATTGTGATCTGTGCATTTATCTCACAGAGTTAAATCTTTCTATTGATTCAGCAGGATGCAAACACTCTTTTTGTAGAATCTGCAAAGGGACAGTTGGGAGCCCATTTAAGCCTATGGTGAAAAATTGAATATCCCCAGATAAAAACTAGAAATAACCAATCAGCGAAACTGCTTTTTTGTTGTGTGGATGTATCTCACAGACTTAAAAATTTCCTTTGATTTTGCAGGTTTGAAACATACCTTTTGCAGAATCTGTGGAGGGACATTTTGGAACCCCTTAAGGCCTGTCGTGAAAAAGAAAATATTCCGAGATGAAAACTAGAAAGAAGCTATCTGTGAAGTGCTCTGTGACGTATGGAGTCATTGCACAGAGCTATACCCTTCTATTGATACAGCAAGATGGAAACAATCTTTACATAGAATCTGCGAAGGAACATTTATAAGCCCTTAGAGGACTATGGTGAAAAACAGAATATCCCCACATAAAAACTATCAAGAAGCTATCTGTGAAACTGCATTGTTAAGTGTGGAATCAGCTCAAAGGCTTAAAACTTTCTTTTGAATCAGCAAGTTGCAGACACTCTTTTGCTGGAATCTGCGAAGGGACATTTGTAAGCCCATTGTAGCACACTGTGAGAAATGGAATATTCAAAGATAAAAACTAGAAAGAAGCTTTTAGTGAAACTACTTCATGATGTGTGGATTCTACTCACAGAGTTAAACTTTTTATTGTTTCAGCAGGTTGGAAACACTCTTTTGGTAAAATTGGGAAAGGCACATGTTGGAGCCCATTGAGACCTATTGTGAAAAACTGAATATTCCCAGATACAAACTACAAAGAAGCTATCTGTGAAACTGCTCTATGATGTGTGGATTCATCTCACAGAGTTAAACCTTTCTTTTGATTCAGCAGGTTGGAAACACTTTTTTGGCAGAATCTGCAAAGGGAGATTTGGATCTTTTTGCAGCCTATGGTGAAAAACAGAATACCCAGAGTTTAAAAACTGCAAAGTAGCTCTCTGTGAAACTGCTTTGTGATGTGTGGATTCATCACACAGAGATAAGCCTTTCCTTTGATTTGGCAGGTTGGAAACCCTTGTTTTCTAACCTGATAATGAATATTTTGAAGCTTGTTGAGGCCTATGGTGAAAAAAAAAATCCCTAGTTAAAAACTAGAAGGAAGCTACCAGTGAAACTGCTTTGTGATGTGTGGATTCACCACTGAGAGTTAAATCTTTCTTTTCATCCAGAAAATTGGAAATATTCTTTAGATAGAATATGCACAGGGACATTTGGGAGACCATAGAGGCTAATGGTGAAAAACAGAATATCCTCAGATAAAAACTAGAAAGAAGGTGTCTGTGAAACTGTTTTGTGATGTGTGGATTCACCTCACAGAATTAAACGTTGTTTTGATTCAACAGGTGTGAGACCCTCTTTTCATAGGATCTGTGAAGGGACATTTGGAAGCCCATTGAGGTTTATGGTGAAAAACCGAATATTTCTAGATAAATACTAGAAATAACCTAGCTGTGAAACTGCCTTGTGATGCGTGCATTCATTTCACAGATTTAAACAATCCTTTTGATTCTGTAAATTGGAAACACTCTTATGGTAGAATCTTTCAAGGGACATTTCGGAGCCCTTAGATGCCTATGTAAAAAACCAAGTATACCCAGATAAAAACTAGAAAGAAGCTATCTGTGAAACAGCTTTGTAATGTTTGGATTCAAATCACAAGCTTAAACCTTTCTTTTGATTCAGCGGGTTACAAACACCATTTAATAGAATCTGCGAGGGTAGATTTGGGAACCATTTCAGGAATGTAGTGAAAAACTGAATACACCCAGATACAAACCAGAAAGAAACTATTTGTGAAACTGCTTTTTTTTTTTGTGGATTCTCCTCACAGAGATAAACATTTCCTTTGATTCAGCAGGTTGGAAACACTCATTTTGTAGAATCTGAATGGGGCATTTTGAAGCCCTTTGAGGACTATGGTAAAAAAAAAATAAAAACACAATATCCTCAGATAAAAACTATGAAGAAGCTATCTGTGAGCTTTTTTGTGATGTGTGGATTCATCTCACAGAGGTAAAAGTTTCTTTTGATACAGCATGTTGGAAACACTGTTTTCATAGAATCTTCAAAGTGAAATTTAGGAGCTTTTTGTGGAGTATGGAGAAAAACTGAATGTTCACACATGAAAACTGGAAAGAAGCTATCTGTGAAACAGCTTTGTGATCTGTGGAATCATCTCACAGAGCTAAACCTGTCTATTGAATCAGCAAGTTGCATACACTCTTTTTGTAGAATCTGCGAATAAACTTTTGGGAGACCATTGAGCCTATGGTGAAAAACTGAATATCCCCAGAAAGCACTAGAAAAAAGTGATCTGTGAAACTGCTTTGAGTTGTGTGGATTCCTTTCACAGTGTCATACCTTTCTTTTGATTTAACAAGTTGGAAATACTATGTTGTTAGAATCTGTGAAGGGACATTTGGGAGCCCATGGGGTCCTATGGTGAAAAACCAAATATCCCCAGATAAAAACCAGAAAGAAGCTATCTTTGAAACTGCTTTGTGATGTGTGGATCATCTGAAAGACTTAAACCTTTCTTTTGACTCAGCATGTTGGAAATACTCTTTGGCTACAATCTGCAAAAGGAGATTTGTGAGCCCACTGTACTCTATGGCAAAATATGTGTGTGTGTGTGTGTGTGTGTGTGTGTGTGTGTGTGTGTATCAGTGAGTCTGCTTTGTGATGCATGGATTCCTCTCCCAAATTTAAACATTTGTTTAGATTCAGAAAGTTGGAAACACCTTTTTGTAGAACCTGCAAACGGAAATTTGTGAGACCATTGAGGCCTATAATGCAAAACAGAAAATCTCCAGATAAAAACTAGAAGAGAGCTCTTTGTGAAACCTTTTGGGGTGTGTTTATTCATTTGACAGAATTAAACCTTTCTGTCAATATAGCATGTTTGAAACATTTTTTGGATAGAATCTGTGAAGGTTACATTTAAGAGCCCATAGAGACCTATGGTGGAAAACAGAATATCCCTGGAAAAAAAGTAGAAAAAAGCTAAATATATAACTGCTTTGAGATGTATGCATTCATCAAACAGAGTTAAACCTTTCTTTTGACACAGTAGGTGTGAAACACTTTATAGTTAGATCTGTGAAGGGACATTTAAGAGCCCACAGATGCCTATGGTGAAAAACTAAATAACTCCAGATGAAAACTAGAAAGAAACTATCTGTTTAACTTATTTGTATTGTTTGGATTTACCTCACCAAGATAAATATTTCTATTGATTCAGCAAGTTGGAATCACTCTTTTAGTAGAATCTGCCAAGGGACATTTGGGATCCCTTAGAGGCCTAATGTGAAAAACTTAATATAACTTGATAAAAACTAGAAAGAATCAATCTGTAAAACTTTATTGTAAAGTGTCATTTCATGTCACATAGTTAAACAGTTATTTTGATTCTTCAGGTTGGAAACACTCGTTTTGTACATTCTGTGAAGAGACATTTTGGAGCCCATTGAGTCCTAAGGTGAAAAACCCAATATTTCCAGATAAAAACCAGAAGGAAGCTACTATGAAACTGCTTTGTGTTCTGTGCATTCTTCTCACAGAGTTAAATTTTTCTTTTGATTCAGCAGTATGGACACACTCTTTTTGTAGAATCTACAAACTGATACAGGGGAGCACATTGAGGCCTGTAGTGAAAAAGGACATATCTTCAGAGAAAAACTAGAAAGAATCTTTCTGAGAAACTGTTTTGTGATGTGTGCATTCATCTCACAGAGTTAAGCCTTTCCTTTGATTGAGCAGTTTGAAAGCATTATTTCAGTAGAATCTGTGAAGGGATATTTGGGAGCACGTTGGGGGCTATGGTGAAAAAGGAAATATACTCAGAGCAAAACGAGAAATAAGTTTTCTGAGAAACTACTTTGTCATGAGTACTTTCATCTCACAGAGTTAACACTTTCTTTTGATTGATAAGTTTGGTAACAGTGTGTTTTGTAGAATCTGAGAAGGGATATTTGGGAGGGCTTTGAGGCCTATGGTAAAAATGAAATATCTTCAGATAAAAACTATGAAGAAGCTTTCTGGGTAACTGCTTTGTGATTTGTGCATTCATCTCACAGAGTTAAACATATCTTCTGATTGAGCAGTTTTGAAACACTGTTTTTGTAGAATCTGTGAAAGGATATTTAGGAGCCCTTTGATGGTGAAAAAGGAAATATCTTCAGAAAAAAACAAAAAGAAGCTTTCTGAGAAACTGCTTTGTGATGAGTGCATTTATCTCACAGAATTTAACCTTTCTCTTGGTTGAGCAGTTTGGAAACACTGTTTTTATAGAATCTGCAAAGAGATATTTGGGAGCTCACTGAAACCTATGGTGAAAAAGGAAATATCTACAGAAAAATACTAGAAATAAGCTTTCTCAGAAATAACTTTGGAATGTGTGCATTCTTCTCACAGAACTAAAGCTTTCTTTTTACAAAGCCATTTGGAAACACTGTTTTTGAAGAATCTGCAAAAGGATATTTGGGAGCGCTTTGAGGCCTATGGTGAAAAAGGAAATATCTCCAGATAAAAACGAGAAAGAAGCTTTCTCAGAAACTGCTTTCTGGTGTGTGCATTCTTCTCACAGACTTAAAATTTTATTTTGATTGAGCTGTGTGGACACACACTTTTTGTAGAATCTATGAAGGGATACGTGGGAGTGCTTTGAGCCCTAACATGAAAAAGGAAATATATTCAGAGAAAAACTAGAAAGAAGCTTTCTGAGAAATGGCTTTGTGATATGTGCATTCATCTCATGGAGTTAAACGTTTCTTTTGAATGAGAGGTTTGGAAATAATGTTTTGGTAGAATCTGTGAAGGGATATTTGGGAGCGCTTTGAGGACTATGGTGAATAAGGAAATATCTTCAGAAAAAAAAAGAAGCTTTCTGAGAAACTGCTTTGTGGTGAGTGCATTCATCTCACAGAATTAAACCTTTCTATTGATCAAGCAGTTTGGAAACAATGTTTTTATAGAATCTGCAAAGGGATATTTGGGAGTGCATTGAAGTCTATGGTGAAAAAGGAAATATCCCCAGAAAAATACTAGAAAGAAGCTTTCTCTGAAATCCTTTTGTGATGTGTACATTCTTCTCACAGAATTAAACCTTTCTTTCGATTGAGCAGTTTGGAAACACTGTTCTTGTAGAAAGTTCAAAGAGATATTTGGGAGTGCATTGAGGCCTATGGTGAAAAAGGAAATATCTTCAGATTAAAAACTGGAAAGAAGACTTCTAGAAATTGCTTTGTGGAGGGTGCATTGTTCTTACAGAGTTAAACCTTCATTTTGATTGAGCAGTTGGGACACAGAGCTTTTGTAGAAACTATGAAGGGATATTTGGGAATGCACTGAGCCCTAGGGTGAAGAAGGAAATATATTCAGAGTAAAACTAGGAAGAAGCTTTCTGAGAAACTGCTTTGTGATATGTGCATTCATCTCATGGAGTTAAACATTTCTTTTGATTGAGCAGTTTGGAAACACTGTTGTGGTAGAATCTGTGAAGGGATATTTGAGAGCAACTTGTGGTGTATGGTGAAAAGGGAAATAATTTCAGATAAAAACTAGAAAGAAGCTTTCTGAGAAACTGCTTTGTGATGGGTGCATTCATTTCAGACTTAACCTTTTCTTTTGATTCAGAAGTTTGGCTACACTGTTTGTAGAATCTGAAAAGGGATACTGGGGAGTGCTTTGAGGCCAATGGTGAAAAGCAAAATAACTAAAAGAAGCTTTCTGAGAAACTGCTTTGTGATGAGTCCATTCATATCACAGAGTTAAACATTTCTTTTGATTGAATAGTTTGGCAGCATTATTTTTGTAGAATCTGAGAAGGGATATTTGGCAGCCAATTGAGGCCTATGGTGAAAAAGGAAATATATTCAGATAAATATGAGAAGGAAGCTTTCTCAGATACCACTTTGAGATGTGTGCATTCTTATGAGACAGTTAAACCTTTCCTTTGATTGAGCAATTTGGAACCACTGTTTTTATAGAATCTGTGAAGGGATATTTGGGAGTGCTTTTAGGCCTGTGGTGAAAACAGAAATATCTTCAGATAAAAACAAGAAAGAGGCTTTCTCAGAAACTGTTCTGTGATGTGTGCATTCTTCCCACAGAGTTAAACTTTTCTTTTGATTGAGAGTTTGGAACACTGTTTTTGTAGAATCTACGTAGTGATATATGGAAGCACATTGAGGCCTACTCTGAAAAAGGAAATATCTTCAGAGAAAAACTAGAAACAGGCTTTCTGAGAAACTACTTTGTGATGTGTGCATTCATCTCACAGAGTTCAACCTTTCTTTTGATTGAGCAGTTTGGAAACACTGTATTGGTAGAATCTGCAAAGGTATATTTGGGATAGCTCTAAGGCCTACTAGGGTGAAAAAGAAAATATCTTCAGATAAAAAATACAAAGAGTCTTTTTGGGAAAGTGCTTTGTGATGTGTGCATTCATCTCACTGACTTAACATTTTCTTTTCATTGAGCAGTTTGGAAACACTGTTTTTGTAGAATCTGTGAATTGATATTTGGGAGAGCATAGTGACCTGTGATGAAAAAGGAAATATCTTCAAACAAAAACTAGAAAGAAGCTTTCTGAGGAGCTGCTTTGTAATGAGTGCACTCATCTCTCAGAGTTAAACTTTTCTTTTGATTGAGCAGCTTTGGAACAGTGTCTTTGTAGAATCTGAGAAGGGATATTTGGGAGCGCTTTGAGGTGTAAGGTGAAAAATGAAATATCTTCAGCTAAAACTAGAAAGAGACTTTTGGGAGTCTGCTTTGTGATGTGTACATTCATCTCACAGATTTAAACTTTTCTCTTCATTGAGCAGTTTGGCCATACTGTTTTGTACAATCTGAGAAGGTGTATTTGAGAGCCCCTTGAGACCTTTGGTGAAAAAAGAAATACCTTCAGATAAAAACTAGAAAGAATCTTTCCAGGAAACTGCTTTGTGATGTGGGCATTCGTCTCACAGATATAAAACTTTTTTTTGATTGAGCAGTTTTGAAACACTGTTTTTCTAGAATCTGGGAAGGGATATTTGGGAGTGCATTGTGGCCAATGGGAAAAACAGAAGAACTTCAGATAAAAACTACAGAAAACTTTCTGAGTAACTGCTTAGTGATGAGTGCATTCAACCCACACAGTTAAACTTTTCTTTTAATACAGCAATTAAGAAACAGTGTTTTTCTAGAATCTGAGAAGCGATATTTGGGAGTGCTTTGAGGCCTATGGTGAAAAAGGAAATACCTTCAGATAAAAACTAGAAAGAAGCTTTCTGAGACACTGCTTTATGATGAGGGCATTCAACTCACACAGTTAAACCTTTTTTTTTTTTTTTTTTGATTGAACAGTTTGGGAACAGCGTTTTTGTAGAATCTGAGAAGGGATATTAGGGAGCACTTTGAGGCCAACGGTGAAAAATAAAATATCTCCAGATAAAAACTAGAAAGAAGCTTTCTGGGAAACTGCTTTGTGATGTGTGCATTCATCTCCCAGGTTTAAACATTTCTTTTGATTAAGCAGATTGGAAACACTGTCTTGGTAGTATCTGCGATGGGATATTTGGGATCACTCTAAGGCCTATCTTGAAAAAAGAAATATATTCAGATAAAAAATAGAAAGAAGCTTTCTGAGAAACTGCTTTATTATGAGTGCATTCATCTTACACAGTTAAACCTTTCTTTAGATTCAGCATTTTGGGAACAGTGTTTTTGTAGAATCTGAGAAGGGATATATGGGAGCGCTTTGAGGTGTTTGGTGAAAAACGATATATCTTCAGATAAAACTGGAAGAAAGCTCTTAGGAATGTGATTTGTGATATCTGCATTCATCTTACAGAGTTATGCCCTTCTTTTCAGTGAGCAGTTTGGAAACACTGTTGTTGGAGAATCTGCCAAGGGATATATGGGAGCCCATTGAGGGCTACAGTGAAAAAGGAAATATCTTCTGATAAAAAGTAGAAAGAAGCTTTCTAAGAAACAGCTTTGTGATGTGTGCATTCATCTCACAGAGTTAAACGTTTCCTTTGATTGAGCAGTTTGGAAACACTCTTTTGGTAGAATCTGAGAAGGGATATTTGGGAGCGCCTTGAGGCCTATGGTAAAAAAGGAACATCATCAGAGAAAAAGTAGAGAGAAGCTTTCTGAGAAACTCCTTTGTGATGTGTGCATACTTCTCACAGAGAAGAGTGTTTTGAAACACTCTTTTTGTAGAATTTGAGACGGGATACTTGGGAGTGCATTGAGGCCTACGTTGAAAAAGTAAATATCTTCACATAAAAATTAGTAAGAAGCTTTCTGAGAAACCACTTCGTTATGTGTTCATTCTTCTTCCAGAGTTACAATTTTCTTTTGATTGAGCAGTGTGGAAATGCTGTATTTGTAGAATCTACAAAGGGATATACAGGACGGCATTTAGAACTATGTGAAAAAGTAAGTATCTTCAGAGGAAAACTAGAATGAAGCCTTCTGAGAAACTGCTTTGTGCTGTGTGCAATCATCTCACAGAATTAAACCTTTCTTAGAATCGAACAGTTTGACAAGACTGTCTTTGTATAATCTGCAAAGAGATATTTGGGAGCACATTTAGGCCTATGGTGAAAAAGGAAATATCTTCAGATAAAAACTAGAAAGAAGATTCTGAGAAACCACTTTGTGATGTGTGGATTCTTCTCATAGAGTTAAACTTTCCTTTTGATAGAGCAGTTTGGAAACAGATTTTGTGGAATGTACCAATGATATATGGGAGTGCATTGAGGTCTATGGTGAAAAAGGTAATATTGTCAGAGAAAAACTAGAAGGAAGGGTTCTCAGAAACTGCTTTGTGATGTGTGCATTCAGTTCACAGAGTTAAACCTTTCTTTTGTTTAAGCCATTTTGAAACACTCTTTTTGTAGAATCTGTGAAGGGATATTTGGGAGCACATTGAGGCTTCTGGTGAAAAAGGTAATATCTAAGGATAAAAAGAAGAAAGATGCTTCCTGATGAACTGCTTTGTGATAAGTGCATTCATCTCACAGAGGTAAACCTTTCTTTTGATTGAGCAGTTGGCAACACTGCTTTTGTGGAATCTGAGAAGGGATACTGGGAGCACTTTGAGGCCTATGGTGAAAAGCAAAATATGTACAGATAATAACTAGTAAGAAGATCTTTCAGAAACTGCTTTGTGATGTGTGTATTCATCTCAGAGTTTGATCTTTCTTTTGATTGAGCAGATCTGAAACTCTTTTTGTAGAATCTGCAATGTGATATTTGGGAGCACATTGAGGCTTAAGGTGAAAAAGGAAACATCTTTACATAAATACTGGAAAGAAGCTTTCTCAGAAATTGCTCCATGATATGTGCATTCTTATCACAGAGTTAAACCTTTCTTTTGATTAAGCAATTTGCAAACACTGTTTTTGTAGAATCTACAAAGGGATATTTGGGAGCACTTTGAGGCCTATGATGAAAACAGAAATATCTTCAGATAAAAATAAGAAGGAAGCTTTCCCAGGAACTGCTTTGTGATGTGTGAATTCTTCTCAGAGAGTTAAACATTTATTTTGATACAGAGTGTGGAAACACTGTTTTAGAAGAACCTACACAGGGATATATAGGAGCACATTGAGGCCTATGGTAAACGAGGAAATATCTTCTGAGAAAAACTAGAAAGAAGCTGTCTGAGAAACTGCTTTGGGACATGCGCATTCATCTAACGGAGTTAAACCTTCTTTTTGATTGAGCAGTTTGTAAACACTGTTATGGTACAATCCCCAAAGGGATATTTGGGATCACTTTAAAGCCTAGGGTGAAAAAGGAAACATATTCAGAAAGAATATTTCCTAGAAAGAAGCTTTCTGGGTAACAGCTTTGTGATGTGTGCATTCATCTCACAGAATTAAATCTGTGTTTTGATTGAGCAGGTTAGAAACACTGTTTTTGTAGAATCTGCAAAGGGATATTTGGGAGCATATTGTGGCCTATGGTGAAAAAGGAAATGTCTTCAGATAAAAACTTGAAAGAAACTTTCTGAGAAACGGCTCTGTGATGAGTGCATTCATCTCACACAGTTAAACCTTTCTTTTGATTGAGCAGTTTGAGAACAGTGTTTTTGTAGAATATGAGAAGGGATATTTGGGAGTGCTTTGAGTCATAGTGTGAAAAACTATATATCTTCATGTAAAAACTAGCAAGAAGATTTCTCAGAAACCGCATAGTTTTGTGTTCATTCTTCTCATAGAGTTAAACCTTTGTTTTGATTTAGAAGTGTGGAAACACTATTTTTGTAGAATCTACGAAAGGATGTATGGGAATGCATTGAGATCTATGGTGAAAAAGTAAGTGTCTTCAGAGAAAAACTAGAATGAAGCTTTCTGAGAAAGTGCTTTGTGGTATGAGCATTCATCTCACAGAGTTAAACCTTTTTTCTGACTGAACCATTTGAAAACACTCTTTTGGTTTCAATCTGTGAAGAGATATTTAGGAGCACATTGAGGCCTATGGTGAAGAAAGAAATATCCTCAGATAAAAACTAGAAAGAAGCTTTCTGAGAAACTGCTTTGTAATGATTGCATTCATCTCACTGAGTTAAACTTTTCTTTTGATTCAGCAGTTTGGTCTTACTATTTTGTAGAATCTGAGAAGGCATATTTGAGAGTGATTTGAGTCCTTGGGTGAAAAAGGAAATATCTTCTGATAAGAATTAGGAAGAAGCTTTCTGGGACACTGCTTTGTGATGTTTGCACTCATCTCACGTAGTTAAAACTTTCTTTTGATTGAGCAGTTTGGCAACACTGTTTTTGTAGAATCTGTGAAGTGACATTTGGAAGTGCTTCGAGGCCTAAGCTGAAAAGGGACATACCTTTAGAAAAAACTAGAAAGAAGCTTTTTGAGAAACTGCTTTGTGATGTGTGCATTCATCTCACAGAGTTAAACCTTTCTTTTTATTGAGCAGTTTGGAAACAATTTGGTACAATCTGAGAAAGGATATTTGGGAGTGCATTGAGGTCTATGGTGAAAAAAGAAATATCTTCAGAGAAAAACCAGAAAGCAGCTTTCTGAGAAACTGCTTTGTGATGAGTGCATTCATCTCAGAGGGTTAAACCTTTGTTTTGATAGAGCAGTTTGGCAAAACTGTTTTTGTAGAATCAGAGAAGGGATTTTTGAGAGTGCTTTGAGGACTATGGTGAAAAAGGAAATACCTTCAGATAAAAACTGGGAAGAAGCATTCTGGGAAACTGCTTTGTGATGTGTGCATTCACCTCACAGAGTTAAAAACTTTCTTTTGATTTAGCAGATTGAATATACTGTTCTTGCAGAATCTACAAAGGGATATTTGGGAGTGACTTGAGGCCTATGGTGGAAAAGGAAATATCTTCAGAAAAAGACTAAAAACAAGCTTTCTGAGAAACTGCTTTGTGAGAGTACATTCATCTCACGGAATTAAACCTTTTTTTAATTGAAAGTTTGGAAATACTGTTTTGGTAGAAACTGCAAGCTATATTTGGGAACGATTTAAGTCCTAGGGAGAAGAAGGAAATATCTTCAGAAAAAACTAGAAAGAAGCTTTCTGGGAAACCTCCTTAGTGATGTGTGCATTCACCTCACAGTATTAAATTTTTCTTTTGATTGAGCAGTTTGGAAACCTTGTTTCAGTAGGATGTGCAAAGAGATATTTGGAAGGGCATTGAGGCATATGGTGAAAAAGGAAGTATCTTCTGAGAAAAACTAAAAAGAAACTTTCTGAGAAACTTCTTTCTGATGAGTGCATTTATCTCACAAAGTTAAACCTTTCTTTTGATTGAGCAGTTGAAAACACTGTTTTGGTGGAATCTGCAAATGCATATTTGAGAGTACTTTTAGGCCTAGAGTGAAAATAGAAATAACTTCAGATGAAAACTACAAAGAAACTTTCTGGGAAACTGCACTGTGATCTGTGCTATCAACACACAATTAAAGCTTTCTTTTAATTGAGCAGTTTGGAAACAATGTACTCCTAGATCTGTGAAGGGATATTTGGGAGCGCTTTGAGTCATATGGTGAAAAGGGAAATATTTTCAGAAAAAAATTGGAAAGAAGCTTTCTAAGACACTGCTTAGTGACGAGTGCATGCATCACAAAGAGATAAACATTTATTTTGATCGAGCAGTTGGAACACTGTTTTTGTGGAATCTACAAAGAGATATTTGGTGTGAATTGAGGCCTATGGTGAAAAAGGAAACATCTTCAGATAAATACTAGAAAGAAGCTTCTCAGAAACTTTTTTTGATGAGTCCATTTTTCTCACAAAGTTAAACATTTCTTTGGATTGAGGAGTTTGTAAACACTGTTGTGGTAGAATGAGTGAAGGAATATTTGAGAGTGCATTGAGGCTTATGATAAAAAAGAAATTATCTTCAGAGAAAAACTAGAAAGAATTTTTCTGAGTAACTGCTTTGTGATGAGAGCATTCATCTCAAAGAATTAAACCATTCTATTGATTGAGCAATTTTTAAAAACTTTTGGTAGGATCTGCAAAGTGATATTTCAGAACACTTTGAGGCTTATGGTGAATAGGAAATATCTTCAGATAAAAGCTAGAAAGAAGCTTTTGGGGAATTGCTTTGTGATGATTTCCTTCATCTCACAGGGTTAAACCTTTCTTTTGATTGAGCAGTTTGGCAACAGTGTTTTTGCAGTATCTGAGAAGAGACATTTGGTAGAGCTTTGACCCCTATGGTGAAAAATGAAATATCTTCAGATAAAAACTAGAAAGAAGCTTTCTGGGAAACTGCTTTGTGATATGTGCATTCATCTCCCAGAGTTAACCCTTTCTGTTGATAGAGCAGTTTGGAAACACTGTTTATGTAGAAACTGCAAGGGAATATTTGGGAGCACATTGAGGCTTCTGGTGAAACAGGAAAAACTTTCAGATAAATACTAGAAAGAAGATTTCTGAGAAACCGCTTTGTGATGAGTGCATTCTTCTCAAAGAGTTAAAGCTTTCTTTTGATTGAACAGTTTTGAAACACTGTTTTTGTAGAATCTGCAAAGGGATATTTTGGAGCATATGTAAGCCTATGGTGAAAAAGGAAATATCTTCAGATAAAAACAAGAAAGAAGCGTTCTAAGAAACCACTTTATGATGTTTGCACTCTTCTCACAGATTTAAACCTTTCTTTTTATTGAGCAGTTTGGAAACACTGTTTTGGTAGAATCTGTGAAGGTATATTTTGGATTGCTTTAATTCCTGGGGTGAAGAAGGAAATATCTTCAGTTTAAAACTGGAAAGAAACTTCCTGGGAAACTGCTTTGTGATGTGTACCATCATTTCAAATAATTAAACTTTTCTTTTCATTGAGCTCTTTGGAAACAATGTTTGACAGAACCTGGGAAGGGATATTTGGAGTGCATTCAGGCATACAGTGAAAAAGGAAATATATTCACCTAAAAAGTTGTAAGAAGCTACCTCAGAAACTGCTTTGTGATGTTTGCACTCTTCTCACAGAGTTAAACCTCTCTTTTGATTGAGCAGTTTGGAAACACTCTTTTTGTAGAATGTGGGAGGGGAAATTTGGGATTGCTTTAATTCCTAGGGTGAAAAAGAAAATATCTTCAGATAAAAACTAGAAAGAAGCTCTCTGGGAAACTGCTTTGTGATGTGTGCATTCATTTCATAGAATTAAGCTTTTCATTCAATTGAGCAGTTTGGAAACAATGTTTGGTAGAATCTGCAAAGGGATATTTGGGAGCACATTAAGGCCTATGGTGAAAAAGGAAATATCTTCACATAAAAACTAGTAACAAGCTTTCTCAGAAACCACTTTGTTATGCATTAATTCTTCTCACAGAGTTAAACCTCTCTTTTGATTGAGAAATCTGGAAACATTGTTTTTGTACAATTCACAAACGGATATATGGGAATGCATTGAGACCTATGGCGAAAAAGAAAATATCTTCAGAGAAAAACTAGAATGAAGCTTTCTGAGAAACTGCTTTGGGATGTGTGCATTCATCTCGTGGAGTTAAACATTTTTTCTGATTGAACCATTTGGAAACACTGTTTCAGTAGAATCTGTGAAGGGATATTTGGGAGGTCATTGAGGTCTATGGAGAAAAAGGAAATATCTTCAGATAAAAACTAGAAAGAATATTTCTGACAAACTGCTTTGTGATGAATACATTCATCTCACAGAGGTAACTTTTCTTTTGATTCAGCACTTTGGCCATACTATGTTTGTAGAAACTGAGAAGGTATATTTGAGAGTGCTTTGAGGCCTATGGTGAAAAAGGAAATATCTTCACATAAAAACTAGTAAGAAGTTTTCTGGAAAGAAAAAAACAAACAACCCCATCAAAAAATGGGCAAAAGATATGAACAGACACTTCTCAAAAGAAGACATTTATGCAGCCAAAAAACACACGAAAAAATGCTCATCATCACTGGCCATCAGAGAAATGCAAATCTAAACCACAATGAGATACCAACTCACACCAGTTAGAATGGCAATCATTAAAAAGTCAGGAAACAACAGGTGCTGGAGAGGATGTGGAGAAATAGGAACACTTTTACACTGTTGGTGGCACTGTAAACTAGTCCAATCATTGTGGAAGTCAGTGTGGCGATTCCTCAGGGATCTAGAACTAGAAATACCATTTGACCCAGCCATCCCATTACTGGGTATATACCCAAAGCATTATAAATCATGCTGCTATAAAGACATATATACACGTATGTTTATAGCGGCACTATTCACAATAGCCAAGACTTGGAACCAACCCTAATGTCCCACAATGATAGACTGGATTAAGAAAATGTGGCACATATACACCATGGAATACTATGCAGCCATAAAAAATGATGAGTTCATGTCCTTTGTAGGAACATGGATGAAACTGGAAACCATCATTCTCAGCAAACTATCGCAAGGACAAAAAACCAAACACTGCATGTTCTCACTCATAGGTGGGAATTGAACAATGAGAACATATGGTCACAGGAAGGGGAACATCACACAACGGGGACTGTTGTGGGGTGGGGGAGGGGAGGGGGACAGCATTAGGAGATATACCTAATGCTAAATGATGAGTTAATGGGTTCAGCACACCAACATGGCACATGTATACATATGTAACAAACCTGCATGTTGGGCACGTGTACCCTAAAAATAAAGTACAATAATAATAAAATTAAAAACAAAAGCTTTCTGGGAAACTGCTTTGTGATGTTTGCATTCATATCACAGAGTTAAAACTTTCTGTTCATTGAGCAGTTTAACAACACCATTTCTGTAGAATCTGTGAAGGGATATTTGGGAGCATGTTGAGGCTTATCATGAAAAAGACATATCTTCAGACAAAACTAGAAAAAAGCTTTCTGAGAAACTGCTTCGTGATATGTGCATTCATCTCACACAGTTAAAACTTTCTTTTGATTAAGCAGCTTGGAAACACTATTTGGTACAATCTGCGAAAGGATATTTTGGAGTGCATTGAGGCCCATGGTGAAAAAGGAAATATCTTCAGAGAAAAACTGGAAAGAAGCTTTCTCAGAAATAGCTCTGTGATGAGTGCATTCATCTCACACAGTTAAAACTTTCTTTTGATTGAGCAGTTTTGTTAAACTGTTTTTGTAGAATCTAAGAAGGGATACTTGAGAGCACTTTGAGGCCTACAGTGAAAAAGGAAATATCTTAAAAAAAATTAAAAATAAGTTGTCTGAGAAACTGCCTTGTGATAAGAGTATTCAACTGACATAGTTAAACCTTTCTTTTGATTGTGCAGTTTGGGAACAGTGCTTTTGTAGAATCAGAGAAGGGATATTTGGGATCGTTTTGAGGCCAATGGTGAAAAATGAAATATCTTCAGGTAAATACAAGAAAGAAGCTTTCTCAGAAACTGCTTTGTGATGTGTGCATTCATCTCACTGAGTTAAAACTTTCTTTTGATTGAGCAGTTTGGAAACACTGTTTTGGTAGAATCTGCCAAAATATATTTTCGAGCCTATTGAGGCCTATGGTGAAAAGGGAAATATCTTCAGATTAAAACTAGAAAGAAGCATTCTCAGAAACCAGCTTGTGATGTGTCCATTCTTCTCACAGAGTTAAACCTTTCTTTAGATTGAGCAGTTCGGAAACACTGGTTTGGTAGAGTGTGCAAAGGATATTTGGGAGCACATTGAGGTCTATGGTGTAAAGGGAATTATCTTCAGAGAAAACTAGGAAGAATTTTTTGGAGAAACTACTTTGTGATGTGTGTATTCATCTCACAGTGTTAAACTTTTCTTTTGAGTGAGCAGTTTGTAAACACTGTTTTTATAGAATCTGTGAAGGGATATTTGGGAACACATTGAGGCCAATGGTGAAAAAAGTAATATCTTCAGATAAAAACTAGAAAGAAGCTTTCTCAGAAATGGCTTTGTGATGTGTGCACCCTTCTCACAGAGTTAAACCTTTCTTTTAATTGAACAGTTTGGAAATATTGTTTTGCTAGAATCTATGAAGGCATGTTTAGAGAACTATGAGGACTACAGTGAAAAACGAGATATCTTCAATTAAAAACTGGAAAGAAGATTTGCGAAAGACTGCTTTGTGATGTTTGCATTCACCTCACAGAGTTAAACCTTTCTTTTGATTGAGCAGTTTGGAAGCGTTGTTTTGGTAGAATCTGTGAAGGGATATTTGGGAGTGCTTTGGGGACTATGGTGAAAAAGAAATTATCTTCAGATAAAAACTTGAAAGAAGCTTCCTGGGAAACTGCTTTGTGATGTGTGCATTCATCTCACAGAGGTAAACTTTTCCTTTGATTGAGCAGTTTGGAAACACTGTTTTGGTAGAATCTGTGAAGGGATATTTGGGATCACATTGAGGCCTATGATGAAAAAGTAAATATCATCAGAAAAAAAAACGAGAAAGAAGCATTCTGAAAAACTGCATTATGATGAGTGCATTCATCTCACAGAGTTAAATTATTCTTTTGATTGAGCTGTTTGGAAACACTGTTTTTTTGTAATCTGAGAGGGGATATCTGGGAGCACTTTAAGACCTAGGGTGAAAAATGAAATAACTTCAGATAAAAAACATAAAGCAACTTTGTACTAAAAATTAAAAACTAGAAATTAGCTTCCTGAGAAACTGCTTTGTGATATGTGAATTCATCTCACAGAATTAAGTCTTTTTTTTGTTGAGCAGTTTTTTAAACCCTATGTTTGTGGAATTTGCGGAGGGATATTTGGGAGAGCATAGAGGCCTATGGTGAAAAAGCATATATCTTCAGATAAAAACTACAAAGAGGCTTTCTCAAAAACTGCTTTGGGTTCATTGCATTCTTCTCACAGTGTGAAACCTGTCTTTTAATTGAGTAGTTTGCAGAAACTCCTTTGTGATGAATATGTGAAGGGATATTTGGGAGGCATGAGGCCTACGTTGAAAAAACAAATATCTTCAGATAAAAACTAGAAAGAAATTTTCTGAGAAACTGCTTTGTGATGAATGCATTCATCTCACTGGGTTAAAACTTTCTTTTGATTGAGCAGTTTGGAAACACTGTCTTTGTAGAATCTACGAAGGGATATTTGGGAGTGCGCTGATGCCTTTGGTGAAAAAGGAGGTATCTTCAGATAAAAAGTAGCAAGAAGCCTTCTGGGAAACTGCTTTGTGGTGTGTTTATTCTCCTAACAGAGTTACACCTTTCTTTTGATTGAGCAGTTTGGAAACACTGTTTTTGTAGAATCTGTGAAGGGAAACCTAGAAGCGCATTGTGGCCTATGATGTAAAAGGAAATATCTTGAGATAAAAACTAAAAAGAAGCATTCTGAGAAACTGCTTTGTGATGAACGCATTCATCTCACAGAGTCAATCCTATCTTTGGATTGAGCAGTTTTGCAACACTGTTTTTTAAGAATCTTAGAAGAGATATTTGAGAGTGATTTGAGGACTATGGTGAAAAGGAAATACCTTCAGATAAAAACTATAAAGAAACTTTCTGGGAAACTGCTTTGTGATCTGTGCAATCATCTTCTCACAGAGTTAAAAATTGCTTTTGATTGAGCAGTTTGGAAACAATGTTCTTGTAGGATCTGTGAAGGGATATTTAGCAGTGCTTCAAGGCCTATGGTGAAAAAGGAAGTATCTTCAGATAAAAACTAGAAAGAAGCTTTCTGAGAAACTATTTTGTGTTGAGTGCATTCATCTCACAGAGTTAAAGCTTTATTTTGATTAAGCAGTTTGGAAAAACTGTTTTGGTAGAACTTGCCAAAGGATATTTTGGAGCACTTTGAAGCTTATGGTGAAAAAGGAAATATCTTCACATAAAATCTAGAAAGAAGCTTTCTGATAAATTGCTTTTTGATGATTGCATTCATCTTCTTTTGATGGAGATGGATTCATCCATCTTCTTTCGATGGAGCAGTTTTGCAACAGTGTTTTTGTAGAATCTCAGCAGGGATATTTGGGATTGCATTAAGGACTAAAATGAAAAACGAATTATCTTCAGATAAAAACTAGAAAGAATCCTTCTGGGAAACTGCTTTGTGATGTTTGCATTCATCTCAGAGAGTTAAACATGTCTTTTCATTGAGCAGTTTTGAAACACTGTTTATGTAGAATCTGCAAAGGGATATTTGGGAGCACATTGAGGCTTTGGGTAAAAAAGAAAATATCTTCAGATAAATAATATAAAGAAGCTTTCTCAGAATCTGGTTTGTGATGTGTGCATTCATCACACAGAGTTAAATCTTTCTTTTGACTGAGCAGTTAAAACGCTTTTTGTATAATCGGTGAAGGGATATTTGGGAGCACATTGAGGACTATGGTAAAAAAGGAAATATCTTCAGATAAAAACTAGAAAGAATCTTACTCAGATAATGCTTTGTGATGTGTGCACTCTTCTAACAGAGTTAAACCTTTCTTTTGATTGAGTAGTTTGGAAACACTGTTTTCGTAGAATGTGTGAAAGGATATTTGGGAGTGCTTTGAGGCCTATGGTGAAAAAGGAAATATCTTCAGATAAAAACTAGAAAGAAGCTTTCTAAGAAACTGCTTTGTGATGTTTGCATTCATCTCACAGTTAAAGCTTTCTTTTGATTGAGCAGTTTGGAAACTGTTTTGCTAGAATATGTGAAGGGATATTTGGGAAAATGTTGAGGTCTATGGTGAAAAAACAAATATCTTCAGAGAAAAACTAGAAAGAAGCTTTTGGAAAAACCGTTTTGTGATTAGTGCTTTCATCTCACAGAGGTAAACCTTTTTTTTGTTTGAGCAGTTTGGAGACACTGTTTTTGTGGAATTTGTGAGGGGACATTAAGGAGCACATTGAGGCCGATGGTAAAAAAGCAAATATCTTCAGATAAAAACTAGAAGGAAGCTTTCTCAGAAACTGCTTTGTGTTGTGTGCATTCTTCTCACAGAGTTAAACCTTTCTTTTGATTGAGCAGTATGGCAGCAGTGTTTTTGGAGAATCTCAGAGGGATATTTCAGAGGGCTGAGGACTAGACTGAGAAATGAAATATCTTCAGATAAAAACTAGAAAGAAGCTTTCTTAGAAACAGCTTTGTGATGAGTGCATTCATCTCAAAGAGTTAAACTTTTCTTTTGATTGAGCAGTTTGGCAATGGTGTTTTTGTAGAATCTGCGAGGGGATATTTGGGTGTGCATGGAGGCCTATGGTGAATAAGGAAATAACTTCAGATAAAAACTTGAAAGAAACTTTCTTAGAAATAGCTTTGTGTTGTGTGTATTCTTATCATAGAGCCAAACCTTTCTTTTGATAGAGCAGTTTGGAAACACTGTTTTTGTAGAATCTGCAAAGGCATATATGGGAGCCCCTTAAGGTTTATTGGGAAAAAGGAAATAACTTCAGATAAAATTACAAAGAAGCTTTCTCAGAAACAGCTTTGTGTTTTGTGCATTCATATCACAGAGGTAAACCTCTCTTTTGACTGAGCAGTTTGGCAACACTGTTTTTGTGGAATCTGCGAAGGGATATTTGGTAGCACATGGAGGCCTAGGGTGAAAAAGTAAGTAACTTCAGAGAAAATTAGAAAGAAGCTTACTCTGAAACCGTTCTGTAATCTGTTCTTTCTTCTTACAGAGTTAAACCTTTCTATTGATTGAGCAGTTTGAAAACACTGTTTTGGTAGAATCAATGAAGGGATATTTGGGAGCGCATTGAGGCCTATGGTGAAAAAGGAAATATCTTCAGATAAGAACTAGAAAGAAGCTTACTCAGAAACTACTTTGGTATTTGTGCATTCTTCTAGCAGAGTTGAAACTGTCTTTTGACTGAGCAGTGTGCAAACACTGTTTTTGCAGAATCTACAAAGGGATATAAGGGAGCACATTCAGGCCTATGGTGAAAAAGAAAATATCTTCAGGGAAAAACTAGAAAGAAGCTTTCTGAGAAACTGCTTTGTGATGTGTGCATTCATCTCACAGAGTTAAACCTTTCTTTTAAACACTGTATTGATAGAATCTGCCAAGATTTTTTTGGGAATGATTTCAAGCCTATTGTGAAAAAGGAAATGTCTTCAGATAAAAACTAGAAAGAAGCTTCCTGAGAAACTGCTTTGTGATGAGTACATTTATCTCACAAATATAAACCATTCTTATGATTGAGCAGATTGGCAACAGTGTTTTTGTAGAATCTGATTAGGGATATTTGGGATCACTTTGAGGACTACAGTGAAAAATGAAATATCTTCAGAAAAAAACTAGAAAGAAGCTATCTGGAAAACTGCTTTGTGATGAAGGTATTTAACTCACATAGTTAAATATTTCTTTTGATTGAGCAGTTTGGGAACAGCGTTTTTGTAGAATCAGAGAAGGGATATTTGGGAGTGTTTTCATGCTGATGATGAAAAAAGAAATATCTTCAGATAGAAACTAAAAAGAAGCTATCTTGGAAACTGATTTGTGATGAGGGTATTCAACTCACATAGTTAAACCTTTCTGTTGATTGAGTAGTTTGGGAACAGTGTTTTTGTAGAATCAGAGAAGGGATGTTTGGGAGCATTTTGAGGCCGATGGTGAAAAATGAAATGTCTTCAGATAAATACTAGAAAGAAGCTTTCTCAGAAACTGCTTTGTGATGTGTGCATTCATCTCACAGAGTTAAACTTTTCTTTTGATTGAATAGTTTGGAAACACTGTTTTCAGAGAATCTACCAAAGGATATTTGGGGGCACATTGAGACCTATGCTAACAAAGGAAATATCTTCAGATTAAAACTAGAAAGAAGCTTTCTCAGAAACCGGTTTGTGATGTGTTCATTCTTCTCAGAGAGTTAAACCTGTCTTTTCATTGGGCTGTTTGGAAATACTGTTTTTGTAGAATCTGAGAAATGATATTTGAGAGTGTTTTGAGGCCTATGGTGAAAAAGGAGATATCATCAGATATAAAACTCTAAAGAAACTTTCTGGGAAAGTGTTTTGTGATCTGTGCTGTCATCTCACAGAGTTAAACCTTTGTTTTGATTGGGAAGTGTGGAAACACTGTTCTTGTAGAATCTGTGAAGGGATATTTGGGAGCGCTATGTAGGCCTATGTTGAAAAACGAAATATCTTCAGAAAAAAACTGGAAACAAGCTTTCTGAGACACTGCTTGGTTGTGAGTGCATGCATCTAACAAAGTTAAACTTTTCTTTTGCTTGAGAAGTTTGGAAATACTGTTTTTGTAGAATCTGTGAAGGAATATTTGGGAGCAAATTGAGGGCTATGTTGAAACATGAAATATCTTCAGATAAATACTAGAAAGAAGATTTCTTACAAACCATTTTTTGATGTGACCATTTTTCTCACAGAGTTAAACCTTTCTTTGGATTGAGCAGTTTAGAAACACTGTTTTGGTAGAATGTGTGAAGGGTATTTGGGAGCTCCTTGAGGCCTATGATGAAAAAGGAATTATCTCCAGAGAAAACTAGAAAGAAGCTTTTTGAGAAACTACTTTGTGATGTGTGCATTCGTCTTACAGAGTTAAACTTTTCTTTTGATTGAGCTGTTTGGAAACACTGTTTTGGAAGTATCTGGATAGGGATATTTGGGAGCACATTGAGGCCTAGGGTGAAAAAGGAAATATCTTCAGATTAAAACTAGAAAGAAACTTTCTGAGAAAGTGTTCTGTGATGAGTGCATTCATCTCACAGAGTGAAAACTTTCTTTTGATTGAGCAGTTTGGCAACAGTGTTTTTGTAGAATCTGAGAAGGGATATTTGGGAGCAATTTATGGTCTATAGTGAAAAAGGAAATATCTTCAGATAAAACTAGAAAGAAACTTTCTGGGAAACTGCTTTGTGATGTGTGCATTCATCTAACAGAGTTAAATCTTTATTTTGATTGAGTAGTTTGGAAACATTGATTTTGTAGAATAGTCAAAGGGAAATTTCAGAGCTTTTTGAGGCCTATGGTGAAAAAGAAAACATCTTCAGGTGGAAACGAGAAAGAAGTGTTCTGAGAAACTGCTTTTCGATGAGTTCATTTATCTCAGAGATTTCAACATTTCTTTTGATTGAGCTGTTTGAAAACCAAGTTTTTCTAGAACCTGAGAAGGGAAATTTGGGAGCACTTTGTGGCCTATGTTAAAAAAGGAAATATCTTCAGATAAAAACTAGAAAAACTTTTATAGGTAACTACCTTCTGATGTGTGCATTCTTCTCACAGAGTTAAACATTTCTTTTCATTCAGCAGTTTGGAAACACTCTTTTTGTAGAATTTGTGAAGGGCCATTTTGGAGTGCATGAACGTCTATGGTGAAAAAGGGAATATCTTCAGAGAAGAACAAGAAAGAAGCTTTCAGAGAAAGTAATTTATGATTTGCACATTCATCTCACAGAGTTAAACCTTTCTTTTGATTGAGGAGTTAGGAAACCTAGTTTTTGTAGAATCTGAGAAGGCATATTTGGGAGTGCATTGAGGCCTATGTTGAAAAAGGAAGTATCTTCAGATAAGAACTAGAAAGAAGCTTTCTCAGAAACTGCTTTGTATTGTCTGCAATCTTCTCACAGAGTTAAATCATTTTTTTTGATTGAGCAGTTTGGAAACCCTGTTTTTGTAGAATCTGCCAAGGCATATAAGGGAGCGCCTTAAGGCTTACTGTGAAAAAGGAAATATCTTCAGGGAAAAACTAGAAAGAAGCTTTCTTAGAAATTGCTTTGTGATGCATGCATTTGTCTCACAGAGTTAAACCTTTCATTTGATTGAGGCTTTTTGAAACACTGTTTTGGAAGAATCTGTGAATTGATATTTCGGAGATCTTTGAGCCCTTTGATGAAAAAGGAAATATCTTCAGAGGAAAACTGCAAAGAAGATTTCTGAGAATCTGCTTTGTGACATGTGCCTTCATCTCACAGTTAAAACTTTCTTTTGATTGAGCAGTTTGGAAACACTGTTTTGGTAGAATTTGCAAAGGTATATTTGGAAGTGCATTGTGGCCTATGGTGAAAAGGAAATATCTTCAGGAAAAAAGCAGAAATAAACTTTCTGAGAAATTGCTTTATGATGAGTGCATTCATCTCACAGAGTTAAACCTTACTTTTCATTGAGTAGTTTGGGAACAAAGTTTTTGTAGAATCTGAGAAGGCATATGTGGCAGTTCCTTAAGGCCTATTCTGAGAAAGGAAATATCCTCAGGGAAAAACTAGAAAGAACTTTCTGGGAAACTGCTTTGTGATGTGCACATTCATCTGACAGAGTTAAAACTTTCTTTTGATTGAACAGTTTGGAATCACTGTTTTGGGGGAATCTGTGATGGGATATTTCGGAGCTTTTTGAGGCCTATGGTGAAAAAGGAATTATCTTCAGATAAAAACTAGAAAGAAGCTTTCTGAGAAACTGGTTTTTGATGAGTGCATTCACCTCACTGACTTAAACCTTTCTTCTGATTGAGCAGTTTGGAAACACTGTTTTTGTAGTATCTGCAAAAGGATATTTGGGATTGCCTTGATGACTGTGGTGAAAAATGAAATATCTTCAGATAAATAGTAGACAGAATCTCTCAGAAACTGCTTTGTGATGTGCACATACTTCTCACAGAGTTAAAACATTCTTTGATTGGGTGGTTTGGAAGCACTGTTTTTGTGGAATCTATGAAGGGATAATTTGGAGCACATGGAGGCCTATGGTGAAAAAAAAATCTTCAGATAAATAATACAAAGAAGCTTTCACAGAAACAGCCTTGTGTTGTGTGCATTCTTCTCACAGAGTTAAACCTTTCTTTTGATTTAGCAGATCGGAAACACTGTTTTGTAGAATCTGCAAAGACATATATGGGAGTGCATTAAGGCCTATTGTGAAAAAGAAGATATCTTCAGGGAAAAACTATAAAGAAGCTTTCTGAGAAACTGCTTTGTGATGTGTGCATTCATCTCCAAGAGGTAAACCTTTCTTTTCTTTGACAAGTTTGGAAACACTGTTGTGGTACTATCTGTGAAGGGTATTTCAGAGTGCATTGAGGAGCTTGGAGAAAAAGGATATATCAACAGAGAAAAACTGGAAAGAAGCTTTCCGAGAAACTGCTTTGTGATGTGTGCATTTATCTCATGGTGTCAAACTTTTCTTTTGATTGAGGAGTTTGGAAACACTGTTTTGGTAGAATCTGTGAAGGGATATTTGGGAGCTCATTGAGGCCTTTGTGAAAAAGGAAATATCTTCAGAGATAAGAAAGAAGCATTCAGAGAAACTGCTTTGTGATGTGTGCATTCATCTCACAGAGTAAAACCTTCCATTGATTGAGCAGTTTGGAAACACTGTTTTGTTAGAATCTGTGAAGGAATATTTGGAAGTGCATTGTGGCCTATTTTGAAAAAGGAAGTATCTTCAGATAAAAACTAGAAAGAAGCGTTCTGAGAAACTGCTTTGTGATGAGTGAATTCATCTCACAGTGTTAAACTTTTCTTTTCATTGAGGAGTTTTGGGAACAGTATTTCTGTAGAATCTGAGATGGGGTATTTTCAAGTCCATTGTAGCCTATGGTGAAAAAGGAAATATCTTCAGATAAAAAATAGAAAGACGGTTTCTGAGAAACTGCTCTGTGATGTGTGCATTCTTCTTAAACACTTAAACATTTCTTTAGTTTGAGCAGTCTGGAAACACTGTTTTTGTAGAATCTACGAAGGAATATATAGGTGAGCTTTGAGGTCCATGGTGAAAAAGGAAATATCTTCAGAAAAAAACTAGAAAACAGGTTTCTGAGAAATAGCTTTGTGATGAGTACATTGAGCTCACAGCTGAGTAGTTTGGGAACCGCGTTTTTGTAGAATCAGAGAAGGGATATTTGGGAGTGTTTTCATGCTGATGGTGAAAAAAGAAATATCTTCAGATAGAAACTAAAAAGAAGCTATCTTGGAAACTGATTTGTGATGAGGGTATTCAACTCACATAGTTAAACCTTTCTTTTGATTTAGCAGTTTGGTCACTGTTTTTGTAGAATCTCTGAAGGGATATTTGGGAGCACTTTGAGGCTGTGGTGAAAAACAAAATATCTGCAGATAAAAACTAGAAAGAAGCTTTCTGGGAAACTGCTTTGCAATGTGTGCATTCATCTTACAGAGTTAAACTTTCTTTTTCTGAGCATTGTAGAAACACTGTTTTGGAAGAATCTGCAAAAAAATATTCAGGAGCACATTGAGGCCGATGGTGAAAAAGGAAATATCTTCAGATAAAAAAGAGAAACAAGCTTTCTCAGAAAATTCTTTGTGATGTGTGCAATTGCATCAGAGAGTTAAGCCTTTCTTTCTGAGCAGTCTGGAAACACTGCTTTGGTAGAATCTGTGAAGGGATATTTGGGAGCACATTGAGGCCTATGGTGAAAAAGGAAATATCTTTATATAAAAACTAGAAATAAGCTTTCTTAGAATCAGCTTTGTGATGGGTGTATTCACCATATACAGTTAAAACTTCCTTTTGATTGAGCAGTGTAGAAACACTGTTTTGGTAGAACCTGTGAAGGGACATTTGGCAGTGCATTGAGGCTTATGGTGAAAAAGGAAACATCTTCAGATAAAAATTAGAAAAGAGCTTTCTGAGAAACTGCTTTGTGATGAGTGCATTGATCTCACTGAGTTAAAAGTTTCTTTTCGTTGAGCTGTTTGGCCACAATGTTTTTGTAGAATCTGAGAAGGGATATTTGGAAGCACTTTGAGGCCAACGGTGAAAAAGAAAACAATTTTCAGATTCATAGAAGAAGGAAGCTTTGTGGGAAACTGCTTTGTGATTCGGGCATTCATCTCACTGATTTAAAATTTTCTTTTGATTGAGCTGTTTGGAAACACTGTTTTTGTAGAATCTGTGAAGGGGTATTTGGGAGAAATTTGAGCCCAATGGTGACAAAGGAAATATCTTCAGGAAAATACTGATAAAAATATTTACCAGAAACTGCTTTGGGATGTGTGCATTCTTCTCAGAGAGTTTAACCTTGCTTTTGATTGAGCAATTTGGAATCTCTGTTTTTGTAGAATATGGGAAGGGATATTTGGGAGCACTTTAAAAACTATGGTGAAAAATGATATATCTTCAGAGAAAAACTAGAAAGAAGCTTTATGGAAACTGCTCTGAGATGAGTACATTCTTCTGGCAGAGTTAGAACATTATTTTGATTCAGCAGTTTGCAAACACAGTTTCTATGAAATCTACCAAGGGATATTTGGGCGTGTATTGAGGCTTACAGTGAAAAAGGAGATATCTTCAGGTAAATATGAGAAAGAAGATTTTCAGAAGCTGCTTTGTGATGTGTGCATTCTTCTGACAGAGTTTAATCTGGCTTTTGATTAAACAGTTTAGAAACACTGTTTTTGTAGAATCTGTGAAGGGATATTTGAGAGCCCTTCGAGGACTACAGGGAAAAAGGAAATATCTTCAGATAAAAACTAGAAAGAAGCGTTCTGAGAAACTGCTTTGTGATGTGTGCATTCACCATATAGACTTAAAACATTCTTTTGATTGACCAGTTTGGAAACTCTGTTTTTGTAGAATCTGCACAGAGATATTTGGGAGCGCCTTTAGGACAATGGGGAAAAAGGAAATATCTTCACATAAAACTAGAAAAAGACTTTCTGAGAAACTGCTTGGTGATGAGTGACTTTAACTCAGAGAGCTAAACCTTTTTTTGGTTAAGAAGTTTGACAAAATTGTTTTTGCCGAATCTGCAAAAGGATATTTCCGAGTGCATTGAGGCCTATGGTGATAAAGGAAATATCTTAAGATTAAAACTAGAAAGAAGCTTTCTCAGAAACTACTTTGTGAATTGTACATTCTTATCACAGAGTTAAACTTTTATTTTGATTGAGCAATCTAGAAGACCTGTTTTTGTAAAATCTACAAAGAGTTGTATGGGAGGGCCTAGAGGCTTATGGTGAAAAAGGAAATAACTTCAGAGGAAAACTAGAAAGAAGTTTTCTGGGAAACTGCTTTTTGATGTGTGCATTTATCTCACAGAGTTAAACCTTTCTTTTGATTGAGCATTTGGCAACTCCATTTTTGTATAATCTAGAAGGGATATTTGGGAGCACTTTGAGGCCTATTTTCCAAAAGAAATATCTTCAGGTAAATACTAGGGAGATATTTGCCGGGAAACGGCTTTGTGATTTGTGCATTCATCTCAAGGAGTTAAATGGCTTTGGGATGTGTGCCTTCTTCTCAAAGAGATAAACTTTTCTTTTCATGGAGCTGTCTGGAAACACAGATTTTGTAGACCCTACAAGGATTATATGGGAGCACATTTAGGCCTGTGGTGAAAAAGGAAATATCTTCAGAGAAAAACTAGAAAGAAGCATTCTGAGAAACTGCTTTGTGATGTGTGCATTCATGTTACATAGTTAAAACTTTCTTTTGATTGAATAGTTTGGAAATACTGTTTTTGTATATTCTGCGAAGGGATATGTGGGATTGTATTGAGGCCTAAGGTGAAAAAGGAATATTTTCAGAGAAAAACTTGGAAGAAACTTTCTGAGAAACTGCTTTGTGAAGAGTGCTTTCTTCTCACAGAGTTAAACCTTTCTTTTGATTGAGCAGTTTGGAAACACTCTTTTGGTAGAATCTGCGAAGGAATATTTGGGAGCACTTTGAGGCCTATTGTGATAAATGAAATATCTTCAGATAAAAAGTAGAAAGAAGCCTCTATGAAAATGCTTTGTGATGTGTGCATTCACCTCATAGAGTTAAACCTTTCTTTTTATTGAGAAATTTTGAAATACTCTTTTGATACAATCTGTGAAGGGATATTTGGGAGTGCATTGAGGCCTACAGTGAAAAAGGAAATATCTTCAGATAAAATCTAGAAAGAAGCTTTTTGAGAAACTCCTTTCTGATGAATGCATTCATCTCATCGAGTTAAACCTTTCTTTTAAGTGAGCAGTTTGGAAGCAACATTTTGGTGTAATCAGCCAAGGGATAATTGGGAGCACATTGAGGACTTAGGTGATAAAGAAATATCTTCAAAGAAAAACTGCTTTGTGATCTGTGCATTCACCTCACAAAGTTAAACCTTTATTTTCATTGAGCAGTTTGGGAACAGTGTTTGGTAGAATGTGTGAAGGGATATTTGGGAGTGCTTTGAGGCCTATGGTGAAAAAGGAAATATCTTCACATAAAACTAAAAAGAAGCTTTCTCAGAAACTGCTTCTCATTCTTCTTACAGAGTTAAACCTTTCTTTTGATTGTGCAGTTTGGAATCACTGTTTTTGAAATATCTGCAAAAGGATATTTTGGTGTGCATTGAGGTCAATTGTTAAAAAGGAAATATCTTCAGATAAAAACTAGAAAGAAGTTACTCAGAAATCACTTTGTGATATGTGCATTCTTCTCACAGAGTTAAACTTTCTTTTGATTGAGCAATTTGGTAACAGTGTTTTTGGAGATTCTGAGAAGAGATATTTTGAAGAGCTTTGAGTCCTATGGTGAAAAAGGAGATATCCTCAGATAATAACTAGAAAGAAGATTCCTGGAAATTGCTTTGTGATGTGTACATTCATCTCACAGAGTTAAACCATTATTTTGATTGAGCAGCTTGTAAACAGTGTTTATGTAAAATCTACCAAGGGATATTTGGGAGCACTTTGAGGCCTACAGTGAAAAAGGAAATATCTTCAGAAAAAAAACTAGAAAGAAGCATTCTGAGAAACTGCTTTGTGATGTGTGCATTCAACATATGGAATTAAAACTTTCTTTTGTTTGAGCTGTTTGGAAACACTATTTTTGTAGAGTCTGAGAAGGGACTTTTTGGAGCACTTTGAGGCTTATGGTGAAAAAGGAAATATCTTCAGCTAAATACTAGAAAGAAACTTTCTCAGAAACTGCTTTGTGATGTGTGCATTCTTCTCACAGAGTTAAACCTTTCTTTTGATTCAGCAGTTTGGAAACACTGTTTTTGCGAATCTGCAAATGGATATTGGGAGAGCATTGAAGCCTAGGTTGAAAAAGAAAATATCTTCAGAAAAAAACAAGAAGGAAGCTTTCCAAAAAAGTGCTTTGTGATGTTCGCATTCATCTCACAGACTTAAACCTTTCTTTTGATTGAGCACTTTGGCAACAGTGTTTTTGTAGTTTCTGAGCAGGGATACTTGGGAGTGCTTTGAGGTAAATGGTGAAAAAAAGAAATATCTTCAGATAAAAACTAAAAGGAATCTTTCTGAGAAATTGCTTTGTGATGAGTGCATTCATCTCACAGAGTTTAAACTTTCTTTTGATTGAGCAATTTGGCAACACTGTTTGTGTAAAATCTGTGAAGGGATATTTGAGAGTGCATTGAGGCCTATTGTGAAAAAGGAAACATCAGAGAAAAAACTAGAAACAAGCTTTCTGGACACTGTTTTGTGATATGTGCTTTCCCAATGCTGTGAACATCTGCTTCTCTAGGATAGGAATATTGATTATGTGAAACCTCCCTAAATGCACGCTTGTTTATAGGCTCTCTGCAGGGGGAAACACATCATGTGTTGTTGGCTTATTCTGGCATCCCAACCTGGCATTGTCTTTACACAATCCAACATGCAATTTTGTATTTACAATAATCAGGAGCATTTCATCTTTTATCCTGTAGCAATAGTTTCAGGGGTTCCCCCTACACATTTGGAAGCCCATAAAGGCATATGGCAAGAAACCGAATATCTCCAGATAAAAGCTAGAAAGAAGGTACCTGTGAAAGTGTCTTGTGTTGTGTGGATTCATATCACAGAGTTAAACATTTCTTTGCATGTAGCAGTTTTGGAGCACTCTTTAGGTAGAATCAGTGAAGAAATATTTGGGGCCATGGAAGCCTATAATGAAAACCTGAACATCCCCAGATAAAAACTAGGATGAAGCTGTCTGTGAAACTTCTTAGTGATGTGTGAATTCATCTCACAGAATTAAACATTTGATTTCATACAGCAGATTTGAAACACTTGTTGGATAGAATCTGCGAAGAGGCATTTGGAAACCCATAGAGGCCTAGGGTGAATAACCAAATAACCACAGATAAAAATTAGATATAAGCTATCTGTGAAACTGCATTGTGATGTGTGGATTCACCTCACACAGTTAAACATTTGTTTTGATCTGGCATGTTAAAAACACTTTTTTTTCTAGGATCTGTGAATGAAAGATTTGGAGTCCATTGAAGCCTATGGGGAAAAAATGAATATTACCAGATAAAAACTAGAAAGAAGCTATCTGTGAAACTGTTGAAGGAAGTCAGAGACCCCAAACAGAGGGAGCAGCTGAAGCCATGGCAGAAGAAGGTGGATTGTGAAGATTTTATGAACATTTATTAGTTCCCCAAATTAATAACTTTATAATTTTTTATGCCTGTCTTTACTTCAATCTCTAAACATAAATCGTAAAGATTTCTTGGACATTTATCACTTCCCCAATCAATATCCTTGTGATTACCTATGCCTGTCTTTACTTCAATCTCTTAATCCTGTCAGCTGAGGAGGATGTGTGTCCCCTCAGAACCCTATGATAATTGCATTAACTGCACAAATTGTAGAGCATGTGTATTTGAACTGTAAGAAATCTGGGCACCTTGGAAAAAGAACAGGATAACAGCAATGTTTAGGAAACAAGAGAGATAACCTTAAACTCTGATCACCAGTGAGCCAGGTGGAACAGGGCCATATTTCTCTTCTTTCAAAAACAAACGGGAGACATATCACTGAATTCTTTTTCTCAGCAAGGAACATCCCTGGGAAAGAGAATACACACCTGGGGGTAGGTCTACAGACGGCCCCCCTGGGTGTGGTCGTCTTTTATGGTCAGTAGACTGTTGGGATGAAATAGAACCCAGTCTCCCATAGTGCTCCCAGGCTTATTAGGAAGAAGAAAGTCCCACCTAATAAATTTTGGTCAGACCGGTTGCTCTCAAAACTCTGTTTCCTGATAAGATGTTATCAATGACAGTGGTGCCCAAAACTTCATTAGCAATTTTAATTTTGCCCCAGTCCTGTGGTCCTGTGATTTCACCCTGCCTCCATTTGCCTTGTGATATTCTATTACCTTGTGAACTACTTGATGTCTGTGACCCACACCCTATTCCTATACTCCCCTTTTGAAACTCCCTAATAAAAACTTGCTGGTTTTACGGCTTGTGGAGTATCACAGAACCTACCAACATGTGATGTTTCCCCCGGACACCCAGCTTTAAAATTTCTCTCTTTTGTACTCTGTCCCTTTATTCTCAAATGGCCAATGCTTAGGGAAAATAGAAAAGAACCTACATGACTATCTGGGCAGGTTCACCGGTATCTGGTGCCCATGTAGTCTTTCTTTTTTCTTAAGTGCATGAGGGAGCCCAATTCCCTTTGGTAGGTGTGGTGAAACGTCATCAGCTTGGTCCACAGATACACGTGTTTGACTCCCTGATGAGTGGTGAGTAGTCTGTGTATGGTCTGGGTTAACTATGAGTCATGTGGAGTCTATGCATCATACTTATCTCTGCTATACTAAACTCCTGTTAAAACAGGGCGGTATTTGAGTGCCTATGGAAAATATGGTCACTCTATTCAGGGCAGTAGAAAAATACTGTCCTTGGTTTCCTGAAAAAGAAACCTTAGGTGTAGAACTATGGGATCATGTTGGTACAACATTCAGGGAACTGGTCTCCACAGGGAATTATGTTCCCATCACTGTTTCGGGTGACTGGACCTTGGTATGTGCTGTCCTGATGACATACCAATCCTGTGGCCCCTTACAGTTACCACAATTTTCTGAATCTGATGATCCTCCACATTTTCCTCAGCCTTACTCTCCTGCACAGCTTTCATTATCTGAACAGCCTCTCTCTCCAGCTACTCCTCCCCTACCTGACAATGTAGGGAATTCAATGTCTAACTCCGGTAACTTTGACTTATGGTCACCCCTTGATGATCTTATTTCTTTTCATGAAGAGCCAGTACGTGTAACTCCTGTGGCCCTGACTCACACAGCCAGGATCCTATATATGCTAATCCTTCTCTTCTCAAACCTCCAGATCACCTAGTGGCTCTGGGACCAAACTACCAAACTACACTTTACCTATAATTCTGCAGGCCCTGCCCCATCCACTTCAGCCCCTCAACCTCCTGTCATTTTGGTTCCTCAACTGGTCACTTTACTGTCCACTCAGCCTGCTTCTCTGTACTCTTCTTCACATGTGAACACCAGTAATCACCAGTATACTTCTGCTCCTCCAATGCCCCTTTCTCACACTCTCATTCTGGTCCAACCCTCTCACCCTCAGTTTCCCTTATCTACACATGCTTTTCCTGTCACTTCTATGCCGACTCCGTCTCAGATGCCTACTCATGAAACTTCAATGCAATGCTTATTACGCCAAAACAAAGAAACAAGTGGATTAGATACATGGACTTATCTGGTCATGCTAGGCCCACCTAACTTCCAAGGGTTACAAATGCATCATTATGTACCTCTTACTCTTACATTTTTTTAAGAATTTAAGGATGCTTGTTCAAGTATGGTCCTACTTCTCCTTATGTTAAAATGGTTTTACAAACTTTTTGTACTGAGTTCACTTTACTTCCTTTTGATTGGGACCTGTTGGCAAAAGCTGTTCTAACCCCAGCTCATCATTTACAATTCTGTATCTGGTGGTCAGAGGAGGCCCTTTTGCAGACTCAGCTAAATTGGAGTAATGGCATTCTAATTACTCAGGCTCAGCTCACAGGCTCCAATAGTTTCTCTGATGCTTATGCCCAATTAAACTTTGATGCCCTTACCACAGAACAAGTAACAAAGGTGTATATGAGAGTTTGAGATAAATTATGCACTCCAGGCCAAGCTTCTGTTTCTTTTACCATGGTTAAACAAGGTCACTCTGAATTATACCCTGATTTTTTAGCTAAATTACAAGATGCTGTTGAAAAATCTGTCTCTGATGAGCATGCTCAAGGCATTCTCCTTCGTATGTTAGCTTTTGAAAATGCAAACCGTGAATGTAAAATGGCCATGCGTTCTGTGTAATGACAAAATTTACCTGATCACGAGGTGTTGCTAGCATGTATTAAAGCTTGTGAAGGCATTGGATCAGACACCCACAAAGCTATTCTGTGGGCATGGGCCATGAAGGACATCAACCAAACTGGTCCCACTAATTCTTCTCTTGCAGCATGCTATAATTGTGGCCAACTTGGTCATATTCGAAAAATTTGTGCTGTTAAAAACTTACAAGTGGCCAAGCTGGTTCAACAAACACAGACAAATCCTGCTCCTATTGTTTGTCCACGTTGTCACAAAGGTAAACATTGGCAAATATTTGTCACTCTAAGTATGATATAGATGGAAACCCTCTACCACAATGTCAGGGAAATTGGGAGCAGGGCTGATCCCAGGCCCTGACATCAAATGGGACACTTCCAACTCAGACCAATGTTGTGTTTCCACTTCTGGTGGTCCCAACGCAACCTGCAGCACAAACAAATCTACCTACAGCCAAACCATATGGGTCCCAGCCTCTTCTTCTGTCTCCGTACAATGATTGTCCATCTCCATATTAAAAGGTGGGGCAGTGGATCTCTGTAGTACTATTCCTCTGAATTTACTTCCTGATTCTTTGCCCTTGGTTGTCCCCACGGGGGTCACTGGCCCTTTACTTCAAGGTTCGGTGGGCCTGGTGTTAGGTAGGGCATCCACCACTGCTAAAGGAATCACCATTCATACTGGTCTCATTAATTCTGATTCTGTTGATGAGATTAAATTAATCATTTCTGCCAAGGTTTCTGTTTCCATTCCAGCCAGTGAGTCAGTTGCTCAATTGCTTTTACTACCTAATATCATTTTAAAGATTTGAAACACTGGTTGGATAGAATCTGCAAAGGGACATTTGGAAACCCATAGAGGCCTAGGGTGAATAACAAAATAACCACAGATAAAAACTAGAAATAAGCTGTCTGTGAAACTGCATTGTGATGTGTGGATTCACCTCACACAATTAAACATTTATTTTGATACAGCATGTTAAAAACACTCTTTTCTAGAATCTGTAAAGGAAAGATTTGGAGCCCATTGAGGCCTATGGGGAAAAAACGAATATTACCAGATAAAAACTAGAAAGAAACTATCTGTGAAACTGCTTTGAGATGTGTGGATTCTTCTTACAGTTTTAAAACTTTCTTTTGATGCAGTTGGTTGGAAACACTTTTTTGGTAGAATCTGAGAAGGGACATTTGCAAACCCATTGAGGATATGGTGAAAAACTGAATATCCCAACATAAAAACTAGAAAGAAACCGTTAATGAAACTGCTTGGTGATGGGTGGATTCACCTCACAAAGGTTAACCTTTTTTTTTTATTCAGCAGGTTGGAAACACTCGTTTTGTAGAACCTGCAAAAGGACATTTGGGAGTCCACTGAGGTCTATGTTGAAAAATGGAATATCGCCAGATAAAACTAGAAAGAGGTTATCAATGAAACTGTATTGTGATGTGTCGATTCTTCTCACAAAGTTAAGCATTTCTTTTGATTCAGCAGCTTGGAAACACTTTTTGTAGAAGCTGCAAAGGGACATTTGAGAGCCCATAGAGGTCTATGGTGAATAACCAAATATCTTGAGGTGAAAACTAGAAAGATGCTATCTGTGAAACTGCTTTGTGATATGTGGATTCATCTCAAAAAGTTAAACATTTCTTCTGATTCAGCAGGTTGCAAACACTTTTTTTGTAAAATCAGTGAAGGGACTTCTGGAGCCCTTTGAGGCCTACTGTAATAAACCAAATATTTCCATAAAAAAATAAGAGAGAAACTATCTGTAAAACTGCTTTGTGATGTGCTTATTCATCTCACAGAGTTACACCTTTCTTTTGATACTGCAGCATTGAAATACACTTTAGTATTCACCAATCTGTGAATGGACATTTTGGAGCCCTTAGAGGCCTATGGTGAAAACCCAAATATATCCAGATAAAAACTTCAAAGAAGCTATCTGTGAAAATTCTTTGTGATGTGAGGATTCATCTCACAGAGCTAAAACTTTCTTTTTCTTCAGAAGTTTGGAAACATTATTTTGGTAAAATCTGTGAAGGGACACTTGGGAGCCCATTCTGAAAAATTGAATATCCCCAGAAAAAAAAAACCCAAAAATCTATCTTTGAAAATGCTTTGTCATGTGTGGATTCATCTCAAAGAGATAAACCTTTTTCTAATTCAGCATGTTGGAAATGCTCTTTGGATAGAATTACAAAGGGAAAGTTTGGAGCATATAGAGGCCTATATAGTGGTGAAAACTTAATATCCCCAGATAAAAACTACAAGGAAGCTATCATTGAAAGTGCTTTGTGATGTGTGGATTCAACTCACAAAATTAAACTTTTCTTTTTGATTCAGGAGTTTGCAAATACTTCCTTTCCAGAGTCTGGGAAGGGATATTTGAGAGCCCATTGATGCCTATGGTGAGAAACTGAATATCAACAGATAAAAACTAGTTAGAAGCTATCTGTGAAACTGCTTTGTACTGTGTGGATTCATCTTACAGAGTTAAACATACGTTTTGATTCTGGAGGTTGGAAAGACACTTCAGGTAGAATCTGCGAAGGGACATTTGGGAGCCCATTGACGCTGATGGTTTAAAACTGAATATTCCAAGGTAAAAACTATAAAAAACAATCTTTGAAACTGCATTGAGATGCGTGGATTCATCTCAGAGTTCAACTTTTCTTTTGATTCAGCAGGCTGCATACACTTTTTTGGTATAATCTGTGCAGGGACATTTGGGAGCCCTTTCACACCTGTCATGAAAAGCCAAATAATCCCAAATAAAAACTAGACAGAAACTACCTATGAAACTGTATTGTGGTGTGTGGATTCATCTCATTAATTTAAACCTTTCTTTTGATGCTGCAGATTGAAAAACTCTTTTGGAAGAATCTGCAAAGGGACATTTGGAAGCCCATAGAAGATGATTGACAAAAACCAAATATTCCAAGATGAAAACTAGAAACAAGCTATATTTAAAGCTGTATTGTGATGAGCAGCTTCATCTCACAGAGTCAAACCTTTCTTTGGAAACAGCAGGATGGAAACTCTCTTTTTGTAGAATCTTCAAGGGACATTTGGGAGCCCTTTTAGGCCTATGGTGAAAAACCAAATATCCCCAGACAAAAACTAGAAACAAGCTATCTGTGAAACTGCTTTGTGATGTGTGGATTCATGTCACAGATTTCAACCTTTCTTTTCATTGAGCGAGCTGAAAACACTCTTTTTTTTTTTTTTTGGAATCTGCAAAGGGAAACATGGGAGCCCATAAAGGCCTGTGGTGAAAAACTGAATATCCCCAGATGAAAACTAGAAACAAGCTGTCTGTGAAACTGCATGGTGATGTGTGATTTATCTCCCATAGTTAAACATTTCTTTTGATTCAGCAGGTTGCAAACACTGTTTTAGTAGAATCTGTCAAGGTATATTTGGGAGCCTATTCAGGCCTATGGTGAAAAACCGAATACTTTCAGAAAAAATTCTGAAAGAAGCTATCTGTGAAACTGCTTTTTGATGTGTGGATTCATCTCACAGAGTTAAACATTTCTTTAGATACAGCAGTTTTGAAATATTCTTTAAATAGAATCTGTGAAGAGACGTTTTTAAGCCCCTATAGGCCTAAGTTGAAAAACAGAATATTGCCAGATAAAAACTAGAAGAAGCTATCTGTGAAACTGCTTTGTGATGTACGGATTCATCTCACAGAATTAAACCTTTCTTTTGATTCAGCAGCTTGGAAATACTTTTTTGGCACAATATGCCAAGGTACATATGGGAGCCCTTTGAAGCCTATGGTGAAATACCGAATATCTCCGGATAAAAACTAGAATGAAGTTATCTGTAATAATAGTTTCTGACGTGTGGATTCTTTGCAGAGTTTAAAGTTTATTTGATTCAGCAGGTTGCAAACACTCCTTTGCTAGAATCTGCAGAGGGACATTCCAAGTCTACTGTAGCCTATGGAGTAAAACAGAATATCCCAGGATAAAAACTAGAAAGAAGCTATATGTTAAACTGCTTTGTGATGTGTGGATTCATCTCACAGAGTTAAAGGTATCCTTTGCTTAAGTAGCTTGCAAACACTCCTTTTGTAGGATCTGCCAAGGGACATTTGGTAGTACTTTGAGAACTGTAGTAAAAAACCGAATATCCTCAGATAACAACAGGAAAGCAGCTATAGTTACAACTGCCTTGTGGTGAACGCATTCATCTCACACAGTTAAACCTTTCTTTTGATTTAGCTGTGGTTGAAAACACTCTTTTTGTAGAATCTGAGAAGGGATCTCAGGGAGCCCATTGAGGCCTTTGGTGAAAAACAAAATATCCCCAGAATAAAATTAGAAAGAAGCTATCTGTGCAATTGCTTTGTGATGTGTGGATTCATCTCACAGTTTTAAAACTTTCCTCTGATTTAACGGCTGGAAACCCTATTTTTGTAGAATCTGCAAAGGGATATTTGAAGTCCCTTTGAGGCCTCTTGTGAAAAACTGATTATCCCCAGATAAAAACAAGAAAGAAGCTATCTGTGAAACCACTTTGTGATGTGTGGATTCATCTCACAGAGTTAAACCTTTCTTTTAATTCACCTATTTGCATACACTCCTTTTGTAGAATCTGTGAATGAATAGTTGGGAGCCCATTTCAGCCTATGGTGAAAGTTAAAATATCCCCAGGTAAAAACTAGAAAGAAGTTAACTGTGAGACTGCTTTGTGATATGGGAATTCATGTCACAGAGTTAAACCTTTGTTTTGACTGAGCATGTTGGAAATAATCTTTTGGCAGAATCTGTTGAGGTACATTAGGGAGCCCTTTGCAGGTTATGGTGAAAAACAAAATATTCCCAGATAAAAAGTTGGAAGAAGCTATCTGTGAAACTGCTTTGTGATGTGTGGATTCATCTCACAGAGTTAAACCTATCTTTGATTCAGCAGTATGAAACACTCTTTCACAGAATCTGCGAAAAGACATTAGAAGGCGAATGAAGCATACAGTGAAAAACCGAACATCCCCAGATAAAAACTAGAAAAGAGCAATCTGTGAAACTGCTTTGTGAAGGGTGGATGCATCTCACAGAGTTATACCATTCCTTTGGTTGGGTAGGTTGCAAATACTTCTTTTGTAGAATCTGCAAGGGACATTCAGGAGCCCATCGAGGACTATGGTGAAAAACAAATTTCCCCAGATAAAAATTCGAAAGAAACTATCTGTGAAACTACTTTGTGATGTGTGGATTCATCTCAAAGAGTTAAACCCTTCTTTAGTTTCAGCAGGTTGGAAACACTCGTTCTGTAGAATCTGCAAAGGGACATTTGTGAGTCAATTGAGCCTTATGATGAAAAACCGAATATACGCAGATAAAAACTGGAAAGAAGCTATCTGCGAACCTGCTTTATGATGTGTGGATTCAACTCACAGTGTTAAACCTTTCTTTTCATTCAGCAGCTTGCAAATACTCTTTTTGTAGTATCTGAAAAGGGACACTTAGGAGCCCTTTGAAGACTGTAGTGAACAACTTAATATCTTCACATAAAAACCAGAAAGATGCTATCCGTGAAACTGCTTTTTTGATGAGTGGATTCGTCTCACAGAGTTAAACCTTTCCTTTGATTCAGCAGGTTGGAAGCACTCATTTTGTAGAATCTGCAAAAAGATATTTTGAAGCCCATTGTGGCATATAGTGAAAAACCCAATATCCCCAGATAAAAACTAGAAAGAAGCTCTTTGTGAACTGCTTTGTGATGTGTGGATTCATCTCACAGAGGTAAGCCTTTCTTTCAATTTACCGTGTTGGAAACACTCTTTTGGTAAAATCTGCAAAGGGATATTTGGGAGCCTTTTGTGGCCTATCGTGAAAAACCAAATGTCCACAGGTAAAAACACTCATTTTGTATAATATGCTAAGTGATATTTGGAAGCCCATTGAGGCCTATGGTGAAAGAGAGAATATCACCAGGTATCTGTGAACTGCTTTGTGACGTCTGGATTCATCTCAAAGAGCTACAACTTTCCTTAATACAGTGTGTTGGAAACACTCTTTTCGTAGAATCTGCAAAGCCCTTTGAGGCCTATGGTGAAAAACCAAATGTCCACAAATAAAAACTAGAAAGGAGCTATCTGTGAAATTGCTTTGTGACGTGTAGATTTCTCTCACCAAGTTAAAGCTTTCTTTTGATACAGCAGGATTGAAACACTCTTTAGCTAGAATTTGTGAAGGGACATTTGAAAGCCCATAGAAGCCATTGTTGAAAAACAGAATATCCCCAGATAAAAACCAGAAATAAGCTATCTGTGAACCTGCTTTTTTATGTGTGGAATCATCTCAGAGAGTTAAACCTCTCTTTTGATTCAGCAGGTTGTAAACATCTGCTAGTATCTGAGAAAGGACGTTTGTGAGCCCAATGTAGCACACTGTGAAAAATTGAATATTCAAAGATAAAAGCTAGAAAGAAGCTTTTAGTGAAACTACTTAGTAATGTGTGGATTCTACTCACAGAGTGAAACTTTTCTATTGTTCAGCAGTTTGGAAACACTCGTTTGGTAAAATCAGGAAATTGACATGTGGGAGCCCATTGAGACCTATGGTGAAAAACCGTATACTCCCAGATAAAAACAATAAAGAAGCTACCTGTGAAACTGCTCTGTGATGTGTGGATTCATCTCACAGAGTCAAACATCTATTTTGATTAAGCAGTTTGGAAACACTTGTTTGGCAGGATCTGTGAAGGGAGATTTGGAAACTTTTTGAGGTCTATGGTGAAAAGCAGAATATCCACAGATGAAAACAACAAAGCAGCTATCTGTGAAATGGCTTTGTGATGTGTGTATTCATCTCAGAGGGATAAGCCTTTGCTTTGATTCAGCAGGTGGGAACACTCGTTTTGTAGAACTGTGAAGGGATATTTTGAAGCCCATTTGAGGCCTATGGTGAAAAAACAATAACCCCAGTTCAAAACTAGAAGGAAGCTACCTGTGAAACTGCTTTGTGATGTGTGGATTCACCACTCAGATTTAAACCTTTCTTTTGATACAGCAAATTTGAAATACTCTTTAGGTAGAATATGTGAAGGGTCATTTGGGAGCCCATGGGGACCTAGGGTGAAAAAATAATATCCCCAGATAAAAACTAGAAAGAAGCTATCTGTGAAACTGCTTTGTGATGTCTGTATTCATATCACAAAGTTAAAACTTTCTTTGATTCAGCAGTTACAAACACTCTTTTTATAGAATCTGCGAAGGTACATATGGGAACCCTTTCAGGAATGTAGTGAAAAAACAAATACACACAGATACAAACCAGAAAGAAGCTATTTGTGAAACTGCTTTTTTTTTTTTTGTGGATTCATCTCATGGAGATGAATTTCCTTTGATTGAGCAGGTTGGAAACACTCTTTCATATAATCTGAATGGGGCATTTTGAAGCCCTTTGAGGACTATGGTTAAAAAAAAAACACAGTATCCCCAGATAAAAACTAGGAAGAAGCTATCTGTGAACTTTTTTGTGCTATTTTGAGCTATTTGTGAAACTGTTTTGTGATGAGTGGATTCTTCTCACAGAGTTAAACCTTTTCTTTTATTAACCAGGTTTGAAACACTCTTTTGGTAGAATATGGGAAGGGAGGTTTGGAATCCAATAGAGAACTATGGTGAAAAAATATCCCCAGATGAAAACTAGAACGAAGCTCTCTGTGAAACTGCTTAGTGATATGTAGATTCATCTCAAAGGGTTAAACTTGTTTTTGATTCACTAGGTTAGAAACACTCTTTTTCTGGAACCTGCAAAGGGACATTTATGAGCCCACTGTAGTCTATCGTAAGAAACCAAATATCCCAAGATCAAAACTAGAAAGAGGTTATCTGTGAAACTTCTCTGTGATGTGTGGATTCATCCCAGAGAGTTGAACCTTTCTTTTAATTCAGCAGGTTGCAAACTGTACTTTTGCAGAGTCTGTGAAGATAATTTTGAAAGCCGTTTGAGTCCTTTGGTAAGAAACCATATGTCCACAGATAACCACTAGGATAAAAGTATCTGTTAAGCTGCTTTGTGATACGTGGATTGATCTCACAGAGATCAACATTTCCTTTGATTCAGAAGGTTGGAAACACTCGTTTTGTAGAATCTGCATGGGGCATTTTGAAGCCCTTTGAAGCCTATTTAAAAAAATACAATATCTCCAGATAAAAACTAGGAAGAAGGTATCTGTGAACTTCTTTGTGATGTGTGGATTCATCTCACAGAGGTACATGTTTCTTTTGTTATAGCATGTTGGAAACACTGTTTTCATAGAATCTGCAAAGAGAAATTTGAGAGCTTTTTGTGGCCCATGGTGAAAAACCGAATGTTCACGGATGAAAACTAGAAAGAAGCTATCTGTGAAACAGCCCTGTCGTCTGTGGATTCATCTCACAGAGATAAACCTGTCTATTGAATCAGCAAGTTGCGTACACTCTTTTTATAGAGTCTGCAAAGAAATTTTGGGAGTCCATTGAGGCCTATGATGAAAAACGAATATCCCCAGATAAACACTGGAAAAAAAAGTGATCTGTGAAACTGCTTTGTGATGTGTGGATTCATCTCACAGGGTTAAACCTTTCTTTGGATTTAACAGGTTGGAAACACTCTTTGGTTAGAATTTGTGAAGGAACATTTGGGAGCCCCTGGAAGCCTATGGTGAAAAACAAAATATCCCCAGATTAAAACCAGGAAGAAGCTGTCTTTGAAACTGCTTTGTGATGTGTGGATTCCTCTCAAAGACTTAAATCTTTCTTTTTACTCAGTATGTTGGAAACACTCTTTTGCTAGAATCTGCAAAATGAGATTTGTGAGCCCACTGTAGTCTAGGGTAAATATATATATATGTATTTCAAGATAGAAACTAGAAAGAAGATGTCAGTGAATGTGCTTTGTGATGCGTGGATTCATCTCACAGAGTTAAAATTTTATTTTGATTCAGCAGGTTGGAAACACCTTTTTGTAGAATCTGCCAACAGAAATTTGAGAGACCTTTGAGGCCTAGAATGAAAACCAGAAAATCCCCAGATAAAAACTAGAAGGAAGCTCTTTCTGAAACTGTTTGGGATGTGTTTATTCATCTAACAGAGTTAAACTTTTCTGTCAATATAGCATGTTTGAAATATTTTTTAGATAGAATCTGTGAAGGGACATTTAAGAGCCTATATAGGCCTATGATGGAAAACAGAATATCCCAAGATAAAAACTAGAAAAAAGCTAAATATGTAACTGCTTTGAGATGTATGGATTCAACTCACAGAGTTAAACATTTCTTTAAACACAGCAGCTATGAAACACTTTTTAGTTAGTATCTGTGAAGGGACATTTAAGAGCCCGTAGATGACTACAGTGAAAAACTCAATAACTTCAGATGAAAACTAGAAAGAAACCATCTGTTTAACTGATATGTAATGTCTGGATTTATCTCAGAGAGATAAACATTTCTATTGATTTAGCAAATTGGAATCACTCTTTTGGTAGAATCTGCCAAGTGACATTTGGGATCCCATGGAGGCCTACTGTGAAAAACTGAATATACCTTGATAAAAACTAGAAAGAAGCTATCTGTGAAACTGCATTGTAAAGTGTGGTTTTAGGTCACAGAGTTAAACATTTCTTTTGACTCATCAGGTAAGAAACACTCGTTTTGTAGACTCTGTGAAGAGACATTTTGGAGCCCATTGAGTCCTATGGTGAACAACATAATATTTCCAGATAAAAACCAGAAGGAAGCTATCTGTAAAACCCCTTTGTGTTGTGTGCATTCTTCTTACAGAGCTAAACCTTTATTTTGATTGAACAATACGGACACACAGTTTTTGTGGAATCTACGATGGGATATATGGGAGCACATTGAGACCTACAGTGAAAAAGGAAATATCTTCAGAGAAAAACTAGAAAGAAGCTTTCTAAGAAACTGCTTTGCAAAGTGGGCATTCATCTCACAGAGTTAAACTTTCTTTTGATTGAGCAGTTTGGAAACAGTGTTTTGGTAGAATCTGCAAAGGGTTATTTGGGAGTGCATTGGAGACTATGGTGAAAAAAGAGATATCATCAGAGAAAAACCAGAAAGAAGCTTTCTGAGAAACTGCTTTGTGATAAGTGCATTCATCTCACAGAGTTAACACTTTCTTTTGATTGAGAAGTTTGGCAACACCGTTTTTGTAGAATCTGAGAAGGGCTATTTGGGAATATTTTGAGGCCTATGGTGAAAAAGGAAATATCTACAGAAAAATACTAGAAGGAAGCTTTCTCAGAAATCCCTTTGTGATTTGTGCATCCATCTCACAGAGTTAAACGTTTCTTTTGATTGAGCAGTTTGGAAACACTGTTTTTGTAGAATCTGCAAAGGGATATTTGGGAGTGCTTTAAGGACTGTGGTGAAAAAGGAAATATCTTCAGAAAAAAACAAAAAGAAGCTTCTTGAGAAATTGCTTTATGATGAGTACATTCATCTCACAGAATTAAACCCTTCTATTGAATGAGCAGTTTGGATACACTGCTTTTGCAGAATCTAAAAAGGGATATTTGGGAGCACATTGAAGCCTATGGTGAAAAATAAAATATCTAAAGAAAAATACTAGAAAGAAACTTTCTCAAAAATCCCTTAGTGATGTGTGCATTCTTCTCACAGAATTAAACCTTGCTTTTGATTGAGCAGTTTGGAAACACTGTTTTTGTAGAATCTGTGAAAGGATATTTGGGAGCGCTTTGAGGCCTATGGTAAAAAAGAAAGTGTCTTCAGATAAAAACTACAAAGAATCTTCTCAGAAGCTGCATTGTGGTGTGCGCATTTTCTCACAGAGTTAAATCTTTATTTTGATTGAGCAAATTGGACACACCCTTTTTATGGAATCTAAAAAGGGATACTTGGGAGCCCATTGGGCCCTAGGGTGAAAAAGGAAATATATTCAGAGAAAAACAGAAAGAAGCTTTCTGAGAACACTGTTTTGTGATGTGTGCATTCACCTCAAAGAGTTAAACATTTCTTCTGATTAAGAGGTTTGGAAACACTTTTTTTGTAGAATCTGCCTAGGGAAATTTGGGAGTGCATTGAAGCCTATAGTGAAAAAGAAACTATCTTCAGAAAAATACTAGAAATAATTTTTCTCAGAAATCCCTTTGTGATGTGCACATTCTTCTCACAGAATTAAACTTTTCTTTTGATTGTGCAGTTTGGAGACACTATTTTTGTAGAATCTCAGAAGGGATATTTGAGAGCTCTTTAAGGCCTATGGTGAAAAAGAAAATATCCTCAGGGAAACACTAGAAAAAAAAATCCTGAGAAATTGCTTTGCAAAGTGTGGATTCATATCACAGAGTTAAACCTTTTTTTGATTGAGCAGTTGTAAACACTGTTTTGGTGGAATCTGCAAAGGGATATTTGGGAGTGCCTTGAGGCCCAAGGTATAAAAGGAAATATCTACAGATCAAAACTAGAAAAGCTTTCTGAGAAACTGTTTTGTGATGTGTGCATTCATCTCACAGAGTTAAACCTTTCTTTTGATTGTGCAGTTTGGAAACACTGTTTTTGCATAATCTGTGAAGGGATATTTCAGAGCACTTTGAGGCCTATGGTGAAAAAGGAAATATCTTCACATAAATACTAGAAGGAAGCTTTCTGTGAAACTGCTTTTGGATTTGGGCATTCATCTCACACATTTAAACGTTTCTTTTGATTGGGAAGTTTGGAATGACTGTCTTTGTAGAATCTGTGAAGGGCTATATAGGAGTGCTTCGAGGCCTATGGTGAAAAAGGAAATATTTTCAGAAAAATACTAGAAAGAGACTTTCTCAGATACCACTGTGTGATGTGTTCTTTCTTTTCACAGAGTTAAATGTTTCTTTTGATTGAGCAGTCTGGAAACACTGTTTTTGTAGAATCTACATAGGTATGTATTGGAGCACATAGAGGCCTATGGGGAACAAGGAAATACGTTCAGAGAAAAACTAGAAAGAAGCTTTCTGAGAAACTGCTTTGTGATGTGTGAATTCATGTCAGAGTTAAACTCTTTTTTTTTGATTGAGCAGTTTGGCAACACTGTTTTTGTTGAATCTGAAAAGCAATATTTGGGGGCGCATTGAGTCCTATGCCAAAAAAGGAAATATCTTCAGATAAAAACTAGAAAGAAGCTTTCTGAGAAATGGCTTTGTGATGTGCGCATTAGTCCCACTGAGTTCAGCCTTTCTTTTGATTGAGCTGTTTATAAACACTCTTTTTGTAGAATCTGCAAAAGGATCTTTGGGAGTGCTTTGAGGCTTATGGTGAAAAAGGAAATATCTTGAGAAAAACTAAAAAGAAGCTTTCTGAGAAACTGCTTTGTGATGAGTGCATTCATCCCTCAGAATTAAACTTTTCTATTTACTGAGCAATTTGGAAGCACTGTTTTTGTAGAGTCTGCAAAGGGATACTTAGGAGCTCCTTGAATCCTATGGTGAATAAGGAAACATCTTCAGATAAATACTAGAAAGAAGCTTTCTCAGAAACCCGTTGGTGATGTGTGCATTCTTCTCACAAAGTTAAACCTTTCCTTGATTGAGCAATTTGTAAACACTGTTTTTGTAGAATGTGTGAAAAGATATTTTGGAGCAAATTGAGTTCTATGGTGAAAAAGGAAATATCTTCAGAAAAAACGAGAAGGAAGCTTTCACAGAAACCACCTTGTGATGTGCACATTCATCTTATAGAGTTAAAACTTTGTTTTCATTTAGCAGTTTGGAGACACTGTTTCTGTACAATCTGCAAAGGGCTATTTGGGAGCTTATTGAGACCTATGGAGAAAAGGGAAATATCTTCAGAGATGAATTAGAAAGAAGCTTTCTGAGAATCTACTTGGTGACAAGTGAATTCATCTCATGGAGTTAAACATTCCTTTTGATTGAGCAGTTTGGCAACAGTGTTTTGTAGAATCTATGAAGGGATATTTTGGAACACTTAGAGGCCTATGGTGGAAAATGAAATGTATTCAGAGAAAAACTAGAGAGAAGCTTTCTGAGAAACTGCTTTGTGATGAGTGTTTTCCTCTCACGAATTAAAACGTTCTTTTGATTGAGCAGTTTGGAAACACTGTTTCTGTAAATTTTACCAAGGTGTATTTGGGAACGCATTGAGACCTATGGTGAAAAAGGAAATATCTTCAAATAAATACTAGAAAGAAGCTTTCTGAGAAGCTGCTTTGTGATGAGTGTATTCACCATATAGAGTTAAAACTTTCTTTTGATAGAGCAGTTTGGAAACACTGTTTCTGTAAATTTTACCAAGGTATACTTGGGAGCACATTGAGGCCTATGGTGAAAAAGGAAATAGCATCAGATAAAAACTAGAAAGAAGCTTTCTGAGAAGCTGCTTTGTGATGTGTGTATTCATGATACAGAGTTGAAACTTAGTTTGGAAAAACTGTTTTTGTAGGATCTGCGAAGGGATGTTGGGAGCATATTGAAGCCTACAGTGAAAAAGTAAATATCATCAGATAAAAACTAGAAAGAAGTTTTCTCAGAAACTGCTTTGTGCTGTGTGCATTTTCTCACAGAGTTAAACCTTTCTTTTGATTGAGAAGTTTAGAAATACTATGTTGGTAGGAAATTCAAAGGGATATTTGGGAGCGACTTGAGGCCTATGTTGAAAAAGGAAATATCGCCAGATAAAAACTACAAAGAAGTTTTCTCAGAAACTTCTTTGTGTTCTCTGCATTCTTCTCACAGATTTAAAACTTTCTTTTGATTGAGCAGTTTGGAAACACTGTTTTTGTAGAATCTGCAAAGGCATATGTGGGAGCCCATTAAGACTTACTGTGAAAAAGGAAATATCTTAAGGGAAAAACTAGAAACATGCTCTCTGAGAAACTGTTTGTGATGTGTGCATTCATATCGCAGAGTTAAACTTTTCTTTTGCTAGGACAGTTGGGAAACACTGTTTTGGTAGAATCTGTGAGGGGATGTTTGGGACTGCATAGTGGCCTATGGTGAAAAATGAAATATTTTCAGATAAAAAGTAGAAAGAATCTTTCTGAGAAGCTGCTTTGTGATGAATGCATTCATCTCAGAGGGTTTAAACTTTCTTTGACTGAGCAGTTTGGCAACAGTGTTTTTGTAGAATCTGAGAAGGAATATTTGGGAGCGATTTGAGGCTTATGTTGTAAAAGGAAATATCTTCAGATAAACACTGAAACAAGCTGTCTGGGAAACATTTTTCTGATGTGTTCATTGATCTCACAAAGTTAAACCTTTCCTTTAATTGAGCAGTTTGGAAACTCTGTTTTGGTAGTATCCGTGTAGCAATATTTGGGAGCTCATTGATGCCTATGGTGAAAAAGGAAATATCCTCAGATAAAAATGAGAAAGAAGCTTTGTCAGAAACTGCTTTGTGATGTGTTCATTCTTCCCACATAGTTAAGCCTTTCTTTTGAGTTAGCAGTGTGGAAACACTGTTTTTGTAGAATCTACAAAAGGATATAAGGGAGCCTATTGAGGCCTATGGTAAAAAAGGCAATATCTTCAAATTAAAACTAGAAAGAAGTATTCTCAGAAACCACTTTGTGATGTTTGCTTTCTTCTCACAGTGTTAAATCTTTATTTTAATGATGAGTAGTTTGGAAACACTGTTTTGGTAGCATCTGTGAAGGGATATTTGGGAGCTGTTTGAGTCCTATGGTGAAAAATGCAATATCTTCAGATAAAAACTAGAAAGAAGCTTTCTCAGAAACAGCTTTGTGATGTGTGCATTCTTCTCACAGAGTTAAATCTTTCTTTTGATTGATCAGTTTGGAAACACTGTTTTGGTAGCATCTGTGAAGGGATATTTGGGAGCTCTTTGAGAACTATGTGGAAAAAGGAACTCTCATCAGATGAATTCTAGAAAGAACCTTTCTGAGAAACAGCTTTGTGATGAGTGCATTTGTCTTACCAAGTTAAACCTTTCTTTTGATTGAGCAGTTTGGAAACACAGTATTTGTAGAATCTGATAAGGGATATTTGGGAGCATTTTGAGGCCTAAGGTCAAAAACGAAATATCTTCAGATAAAAACTAGAAAGGAGCTTTATTTTTTAATACTTTAAGTTTCAGAGTACATGTGCACAACGTGCAGTGTTGTTACATATGTACACATGTGCCATGCTGGTGTGCTGCACCCATTAAATCGTCATTTAGCATTAGGTATATTTCCTAATACAATCCCTCCCTCCTCCCCCACCCCACAACAGTCCATGTTTTGTGATGTTCCCCTTTCTGTGTCCATGTGTTCTCATTGTTCAATTCCCACCTATGAGCGAGGACATGTGGTGTTTCGTTTTCTGTCCTTGCGATAGTTTGCTGAGAATGATGGTTTCCGGCTTCAACCTTGTCCCTACAAAGGACATGTACTCATTATTTTTTATGGCTGTATAGTCTTCCACGGTGCATATGTGCCACATTTTCTTAATCCAGTCTATCATTGTTGGATATTTGGGTTGGTTCCAAGTCTTTGCTATTGTGGATAGTGCTGCAATAAACATGTGTGTGCATGTGTCTTTTTAGCAGCATGATTTATAATCTTTTGGGTATATACCCAGTAATGGGATGGCTGGGTCAAATGGTATTTCTAGTTCCAGATCCCTGAGGAATGGCCACACTGACTTCCACAATGGTTGAACTAGTTAATAGTCCCACCAACAGTGTAAAAGTGTTCTTATTTCTCCACATCCTCTCCAGCACCTGTTGTTTCCTGATTTTTAATAATTCCCATTCTAATTGGAGTGAGATGGTATCTCATTGTGGTTTTGATTTGCATTTCTCTAATGGCCAGTGATGATGAGCATCTTTTCATGTGTCTTTTGGAGATTGCAAAAATTTTCTCCCATTCTGTGGGTTGCCTATTCACTCTGATGGTAGTTTCTTTTGCTGTGGAGAAGCTCTTTAGTTTAATTAGATCCCATTTGTCAATTTTGGCTTTTGTTGCCACTGCTTTTGGTGTTTTAGACATGAAGTCCTTGCCCATGCCTATGTGCTGAATGGTATTGCCTAGGTTTTCTTCTAGGATTTTTATGGTTTTAGGTCTAACATTTAAGTCTTTAATCCATCTTGAATTAATTTTTGTATAAGGTGTAAGGAAGGAATTCAGTTTCAGCTTTCTCCATATGGCTAGCCAGTTTTCCCAGCACCATTTATTAAATAAGGAATCCTTTCCCCATTTCTTTTTTTTGTCAGGTTTGTCAAAGACCACATAGTTGTAGGTATGTGGCATTATTTCTGAGGGCTCTGTTCTGTTCCATTGGTCAATATCTCTGTTTTGGTACCAGTACCATGCTGTTTTGGTTACTGTAGCCTTGCAGTATAGTTTGAAGTCAGGTAGGGTGATGCCTCCAGCTTTGTACTTTTGGCTTAGCATTGACTTGGCAATGCAGGCTCTTTCTTGGGTCCATATGAACTTTAAAGTAGTTTTTTTCCAATTTTGTGAAAAAAGTCATTGGTAGCTTGATGGGAATGGCATTGAATCTATAAATTACCTTGGGCAGTATGGCGATTTTCATGATATTGATTCTTCCTACCCATGAATATAGAATATTCTTCTATTTGTTTGTATCCTGTTTTATTTCATTGAGCAGTGGTTTGTAATTCTCCTTGAAGAGGTCCTTCCCATCCCTTGTAAGTTGGATTCCTAGGTATTTTATTCTCTTTGAAGCAATTGTGAATGGGATTTCACGCATGATGTGGCTCTCTGTTTGTCTGTTATTGGAGTATAAGAATGCTTGTGATTTTTGGACATTAATTTTGTATCCAGGAATTGAACTCAGCTCTGCACCAAGTGGACCTAATAGACATCTACAGAACTCTCCACCCCCAAATCAACAGAATATACACTCTTTTCAGCACCACACCACACCTATTCCAAAATTGACCACATAGTTGGAAGTAAAGCACTCCTCAGTAAATGTAAAAGAACAGAAATTATAACAAACTCTCTCTAAGACCACAGTGCAATCAAACTAGAACTCAGGATTAAGAAACTCACTCAAAACCGCTCAACTTCATGGAAAATGAACAACCTGTTCCTGAATGACTACTGGCTACAAAACAAAATGAAGGTAGAAATAAAGATGTTCTTTGAAACTAATGAGAACAAAGACACAACATACCAGAATCACTGGTACATATTTAAAGCACTATGTAGAGGGAAATTTATAGCACTAAATGCCCACAAGAGAAAGCAGGAAAGATCTAAAATTGACATCCTAACATCACAATTAAAAGAACTGGAGAAGCAAGAGCAAACACATTCAAAAGTTAGCAGAAGGCAAGAATCAACTAAGATCAGAGCAGAACTGAAGGAAATAGAGACACAAAAGACCCTTCAAAAAATCAATGAATCCAGGAGCTGTTTTTTTTAAGAGATCAACAAAATTGATAGACCACTAACAAGACTAATAAAGAAGAGAGGAGAATCAAATATATTCAATAAAAAATGATAAAGGGGATATCACCACCAATCCCACAGAAAGACAAACTACCATCAGAGAATACTATAAACACCTCTAGGAAAATAAACTAGAAAATCTAGAAGAAATGGATAAATTCCTCAACACATACACTCTCCCAAGACTAAACCAGGAAGAAGTTGAATCTCTGAATAGATCAATAACAGACTCTGAAATTGAGGCAATAATTAATAGCTTACCAACCAAAAAAAGTCCAGGACCAGATGGATTCACAGCCAAATTCTACCAGAGGTACAAGGAGGAGCTGGTACCATTCCTTCTGAAATGATTCCAATCAATAGAAAAAGAGGGCATCCGGCCTAACTCATTTTATGAGGCCAGCATCATCCTGATGCCAAAGCCGGGCAGAGACACAACCAAAAAAGAGAATTTTAGACCAATATCCCTGATGAACATTGATATAAAAATCCTCAATAAATACTGGCAAAGCGAATCCAGCAACACATCAAAAAGCTTATCCACCATGATCAAGTGGGCTTCATCCCTGGGATGCAAGGCTCTTTCAATATATGCAAATCAATAAACATAATCCAGCATATAAACAGAATGAACGACAAAAACCACATGATTATCTCAACAGATGCCGAAAAGACCTTTGACAAAATTCAACAACTCTGCATGCTAAAAACTCTCAATAAATTAGATATTGTTGGGACGTATCTCAAAATAATAAGAGCTATCAATGACAAACCCACAGCCAGTATCATACTGAATGGGGAAAAACTGGAAGCATTCCCTTTGAAAACTGGCACAAGACAAGGATGCCCTCTCTCACCACTCCTATTCAACATAGTGTTGGAAGTGTTGGCCAGGGCAATTAGGCAGGAGAAGGAAATAAAGGGTATTCAATTAGGAAAACAGGAAGTCAAATGGTCCCTGTTTGCAGATGACATGACTGTATATCTAGAAAACCCCATTGTCTCAGCCCAAAATCTCCTTAATCTGATAAGCAATTTCAGGAAAGTCTCAGGATACAAAATCAATGTACAAAAATCACAAGCATTCTTATACACCCATAACAGACAAACAGAGAGCCAAATCATGAGTGAACTCCCATTCACAATTGCTTCAAAGAGAATGTGTTTGCTTTGCTTTTCTAGTTCTTTTAATTGTGATGTTAGGGTGTCAATTTTGGATCTTTCCTGCTTTCTCTTGTGGGCATTTAGTGCTATAAATTTTCCTCTACACACTGCTTTGAATGCAACCCAGAGATTCTGGTATGTTGTGTCTTTGTTCTCATTAGTTTCAAAGAACATCTTTATTTCTGCCTTCATTTCGTTATGTACCCAGTAGTCATTCAGGGGCAGGTTGTTCAGTTTCCATGTAGTTGGGTGGTTTTGAGTGAGTTTCTTAATCCTGAGTCCTAGTTTGATTGCACTGTGGTCTGAGAGATAATTTGTTATAATTTCTGTTGTTTTACATTTGCTGAGGATAGCTTTACTTCCAACTATGTGGTCAATTTTGGAATAGGTGTGGTGTGGTGTTGAAAAAAATGTACATTCTGTTGATTTGGGGTGGAGAGTTCTGTAGATGTCTATTAGGTCCTCTTGGTGCAGAGCTGAGTTCAATTCCTGGGTATCCTTGTTGACTTTCTGCCTCTTTGATCTGTCTAATGTTGACAGTGGGGTGTTAAAATATCCCATTATTATTGTGTTGAATTATAAGTCTCTTTGTAGGTCTCTAAGGACTTGCTTTATGAATCTGAGTGCTCCTGTATAGGGTGCAAGTAGTTAGCTCTTCTTGATGAATTGATCCCTTTACCATTATGTAATGGCCTTCTTTGTCTCTTTTGAGCTTTGTTGGCTTAAAGTCTATTTTATCACAGACTAGGATTGCAACCCCTCCCTTTTTTTTTGTTTTCCATTTTCTTGGTAGATCTTCCTCCATCCCTTTATTTTGAGCATATGTGTGTCTCTGCATGTGAGATGGGTTTCCTGAATACAGCACACTGATGGGTCTTGACTCTTAATCCAATTTGCCAGTCTGTGTCTTTTAAATAGAGCATTTAGCCCATTTACATTTAAGGTTAATATTGTTATGTGTGAATTTGATCCTGTCATTATGATGTTAGCTGGTTATTTTGCTTATTAGTTAACGCAGTTTCTTCCTTGCCTCGATGGTCTTTATAATTTGGTGTGTTTTTGCAGTGACTGGTACCAGTTGTTCCTTTCCATGTTTAGCGCTTCCTTCAGGAGCTCTTTTAGGGCAGGCCTGGTGGTGACAAAATCTCTCAGCATTTGCTTGTCTGTAAAGTATTTTATTTCCCCTTCACTTATGAAGCTTACTTTGGCTGGATATGAAATTCTGGGTTGAAAATTCTTTTCTTTAAGAATGTTGAATATTGGCCCCCACTCTCTTCTGGTTTGTACAGTTTCTGTTGAGAGATGATCTGTTAGTCTGATCGGCTTCCCTTTGTGGGTAACCCGACCTTTCTCTCTGGCTGGCCTTAACATTTTTTCCTTCATTTCAACTTTGGTGAATCTGTCAATTAAGTGTATTGGAGTTGCTCTTCTGGAGGAGTATCTCTGTGGTGTTCTCTGTATTTACTGAATTTGAATGTTGGCCTGCCTGGCCAAATTGGGGAAATTTTCCTGGATAATATCCTGCAGAGTGTTTTCCAACTTGATTCCATTCTCCCCATCACTTTCAGGTACACCAATCAGATGTAGATGTGGGCTTTTCACATAGTCCCATATTTCTTGGAGGCTTTGTTCATTTCTTTTTTTTTTTTTCCTCTAAACTTCTCTTCTCGCTTCATTTCATTCATTTGATCTTCCATCACTGATACCCTTTCTTCCAGTTGATTGAATCGGCTACTGAGGCTTGTGCATTTGTCACTTAGTTCTCGTGCCATGGTTTTCAGCTCCATCAGGTACTTTAAAGACTTCTCTGCATTGGTTATTCTAGTTATACATTTGTCTAATCTTTTTTCAAGGTTTTTAACTTCTTTGCTATGGGTTCAAACTTCCTCCTTTAGCTAAGAGTAGTTTAATCATCTGAAGTCTTCTTCTCTCAACTCATCAAAGTCATTCTCTGTCCAGCTTTGTTCCATTGCTGGTGAGGAGCTGCGTTCCTTTGGAGAAGGAGAGGCACTCTGATTTTTAATATTTTCAGTTTTTCTGCTCTGTTTTTCCCCATCTTTGTGGTTTTACCTACTTTTGGTCTTTGATGATGGTGATGTACTGATGGGGTTTTGTTGTGAATGTCCTTTCTCTTTGTTAGTTTTCCTTGTAACAGTCAGGACCCCCAGCTGCAGGTCTGTGTGAGTTTGCTGGAGGTGCACTCCAGACCTCGTTGCCTGGGAATCAGCAGCAGAAGCTGCAGAACAGAGGATATTGGTGAACAGCAAATGTTGCTGCCTGATCATTCCTCTGGAAGTTTTTTTACAGAGGAGTATCCGGCTGTGTGTGGTGTCAGTCTCCCCCTACTGGGGGATGCCTCCCAGTTAGGCTACTTGGGGTTCAGGGACCCACTTGAGTAGGCAGTCTGTCCATTCTCAGATATCAAGCTGTGTGCTGAGAGAACAACTACTCTCTTCAAAGCTGTCAAACAGTGATATTTAAGTCTGCAGAGGTTTCTGCTGCATTTTGTTTGGCTATGCCCTGCCCCCAGAGGTGGAGTCTACAGAGGCAGGCAGACCTCCTTGAGTTGTGGTGGGCTCCTCCCAGTTCAAGCTTCCTAGCCACTTTGTTTACCTACTTAAGCCTCAGCAAAGCCCCCTCCCCCAGCCTCGTTGCTGCCTTGCAGTATGATCTCAGACTGCTGTGCTAGCAATGAGTGAGGCTCCATGGGCATGGGACCCTCTGAGCCAGGCATGGGATATAATCTCCTTGTGTGCTATTTGGTAAGACCATCGGAAAAGCACAGTATTAGGGTGGGAGTGACCCGATTTTCCAGGTGCCCTCTGTCACCTCTTTCCTTGGCTAGGAAAGGGAATTCCCTGACCCCTTGCACTTCCTGGGTGAGGTGATGCCTTGCCCTGCTTTGGTTCACTCTCAGTGCACTGCACAAATTGTCCTGCAACCACTGTCTGATACTCCCCCATGAGATGAACCTGGTACCTCAGTTGGAAATGCAGAAATCATTCATTTTAGAAAAAGGCTTTCTGCAGATGCTTTGTGATGTGTACATTCATCTCACAGAGTTAAACCACTGTTTTGATTGAGCCATTTGGAAACACTTTCTGTACAATCTAACAAGGGATACTTGGGAGCACATTGAGGCCTATGGTGAAAAAGGAAATATCTTGAGATAAAAAGTAGAAAGAGGCTTTCTAAGAAACTGCTTTGTGATGTGTGCATTCTTCTCAAAGAGTTAAATCTTCCTTTTGATTAAGCAATCTGGAACCACTGTTTTAATAGAATCTACAAAAGGAATATATGGGAGTCAATTGAGGCTGATTGTGTAAAAGGAAATGTATTCAGATAAAAACTAGAAAGGAGCATTCTGAGAAACTGATTTGTGATTAGTGCATTCATCTAACTGAGTTAAAACTGTCTTTTGATTGAGTAATTTGGAAATACTGTTTTGGTAGAATCTGTGAAGGGATACGTGGGAGCACATTGTGACCTATTGTAGAAAAGGAAATAACTTCAGATAAAAATTAGAAAGAATCTTTCTGAGGAAATGCTTTGTGATGAGTGCATTCATCTCACAGAGTTAAACAATTCTTTTGATTGAGCAGTTTGGAAACACTGTTTTTGTAGAATCTGAGAAGGGATATTTGGGAGCGCTTTGAGGCCTATGATGAAAAACTAAATATCTTCAGATAGAAACTGAAAACAAGCTTTCTGGGAAACTGCTTTTTGATGTACACATTCATCTCACAGAATTAAACCTTTCTTTGGATGGAGCAGCTTGGAAACACTGTTTTGGTAGAATCTGCAATGGGATATTTTAAAGCACATCGAGGACTATGGTGAAAAAGGAAATAAGTTGAGAGAAAAGCCAGAAAGAAGCTTGCTGAGGAACTTTATTGTGATGTGTGCATTCATCTCACAGAGTTAAACCTTTCCTTTTATTGAGAAGTTTGGAAAAATTGTATTGGTAAAATCTGTGAAAGGATATTTGGGAGTGCTCTGAGTCATATGGTGAAAAAGGAAATATCTTCAGATAAAAACTAGAAAGAAGCTTTCTGAGAAACTACTTGGTGATATGTACATTCATCTCAGAGTTAAGCCTTTCTTTTGTTTGAGCAGTTTGGAAAACCACATTTGGTAGAATCTGTGAAAGTGTATTTAGGAGCACTTTAAGGTTTATGGTTAAAATAGAATTATCTTCAGATAAAAACAAGAAACATGATTTCTCAGAAACCACTCTTTGATGTGAGCATTCATCTCACAGAATTAAACCTTTCTGTTGATTGTGCAGTTTTGAAACACTGTTTTGTCAGTATCTGTGAAGGGATATTTGGGAGCACATTGAGGATGATGATGAAAAAGGAAATAGCTTCAGATAAAAACTAGTAAGAAGCTTTCTGAGAAACTGCTTTTTGATGAGTGCATTCGTCTCACAGTGTTAAACCTTTTTTTTATTAAGCCATATGGAAACACAGTTTTTGTAGGATCTTAGAAAGGATATTTGGGAGCACTTTGAAGCCTATGGTGAAAAAGGAAATATATTTAGAGAAAAACTAGAAAGAAACTTCCTGGGTAACTGCCTTGTGTTGTGTGCATTCATCCAACAGAGTTAAACCTTTCTTTTGATTGAGCAGTTTGGAAACACTGTTTTGGTAGTATCTGTGCAGAAATATTTGGGAGCACATAGAGGCCTATGGTGAAAAAGTAAATACCTTTAGATAAAAACTAGAAAGGAGCTTTCTCTGGAAACTGCTTTGTGATATGAGCATCCTTGTCGCAGAGTTAAACCTTTCTTTTGATTGAGGAGTCTGTAAACACTGTTTAGTAGAATCTACAGAGGGATATAAGGGAGCGTATTGAGACCTATGTTGAAACACGACATATACTGAGATAAAAAATAGAAAGAAGTTTTCTGAGAAACTGCTTTGAGATGAGTGCATTCATCTCACAGAGGTGACCTTTCTTTTGATTGAGTAGTTTTGCAACACTGTTTTTGTGGAATCTAAGTAGGGTTATTTGGGAGTTCTTTAAGGCCTAGAATGAAAAATTAAATATCTTCAGATAAAAACTAGAATGAAGCTTTCTAAAAACTGCTTTGTGATGAGTGCATTCATCTCACAGAATTAAACCTTTCTTTAATTTGAGCAGTTTGGATAAACTGTTTTTGTAGAATCTACAAATGAATATTTGGGAGTGCTTTGAGGCATATGGTGATAAAGGAAATCTCCTCAGATAAAAAGTAGAAGGAAGGCTTCTGGATAACTGCCTTGTGATGTGTGCATTCATCTCAAAGATTTAAATGTTTCTTTTGATTGAGCAGTTTGGAAACACTGTTTTTGTAGAATGTGTGAAGGGATATTTGGGATGGCATTGAGGCCTATGGTGAAAAAGGAAATATCTTCAGATAAAAACTAGAAAGAAATTTTCTGGGAAACTGCTTAGTGATGTGTTTATTCTCCTAACAGAGTTACACCTTTCCTTTGATTGAGCAGTTTGGAAACATTGTTTTTGTAGAATCTATGAAGGGAAACCTGGAAGCGCATTGTGTCCTACGATGTAAAAGGAAATATCTTGAGATAAAAACTAGAAAGAAGCTTTCTGAGAAACTGCTTTGTGATGTGTGCATTCATCTCACAGAGTTAAACCTTTCTTTTGTTTGAGTGGCTTGGAAAAACTCATGTGGTAGCATCTGCCAAGGGATATTTAGGAGCACATTGAGGGCTATGGTTAAAAACGAAATATCTTCTGATAAAAACTAGTAAGAAGATTTCTCAGAAAAAGTTTTGAGATGTGATCATTCATCTAACAGAATTAAACCTTTCTTTTGATTGTGTAGTTCAGAAACACTGTTTTGGGAGTATCTGGGAAGCTATATTTGGGAGCGCTTAGAGGCCTATGGTCAGTAAGAAAATATCTTCAGATAACAACTAGAAAGATGGTTTCTGAGAAACTTCTGTGATGTGTGCATTCTTCCAACAGAGATAAACCTTTCTTTAGATTGAGCAGTTTGGAAACACTGTTTTTGTAGAATCTATGAAGGGATATATGGATGTGAAATTGAGGCCTATTATGAAAAAGGAAATATCTTCTGAGAAAAACTAGAAAGAAGCTTTCTGAATAACTGCTTTGTGGTGTGTGCATTCATCTCACAGAATTAAACCTTTCTTTTGATTGAGCAGTCTGGAAAGACTGTTTTTGTAGAACAAACGTGGGATTTATGAGACTGCATTGAGGACTAGGGTGAAACAGGAAGTATCGTCAGAGTAAAACTAGAAAGAAGCATTCTGAGAAACTGCTTTGTGATATGTGCATGCATATCCCAGAGTTAAACTTTTCCTTTAATCGAAGAGTTTGGAAACACTGTTTTTGTAGAATCTGCAAAGGGATATTTGGGAGCACTTTGTGGGTTATGGTGAAAAATGAAATATCTTCAGAGAAAAACTCAAAAGAAGTTCTCTCAGAAACTGCTTTGTGAAGTGTGGTTTCTTCTCACAGAGTTACACCTTTCTTCCAATTGAGCAGTTTGGAAACACTGTTTTGGTAGAATCTGTAAAGGGATATTTGGGAGTGCATTGAGGCTTATGGTGACAAAGGAAATATTTTCAGATAAAAACTAGAAAGAAGGTTCTTCAGAATCTGCTTTTTGATGTGCTCATTCTTCTCACAGAGGTAAACCTTTCTTTTGATTGAGCAGTCTGGAAACACTGTTCTTGTAGAATCTGCAAAGTGATATACGGGAAAGCATTGAGGCCTACTGAGAAAAAGGAAATACCTTCAGAGAAAAACTAGAAGGAAGATTTCTGAAAAACTGCTATCTGATGTGTGCATTCTTGTTACAGAGTTAAACCTTTCTGTTTATTGTGCAGTTTGGCAACACAGTTTTTGTGGAATCTGAGAAGGAATATTTGGGAGCACTTTGAGGCCTATAGTGAAAACGGGAAGGTCTTCAGATAAAAAGTAGAAATAAGATTTCTGGGAAACTGCTTTGTGAAGAGTGCATTCATCACACAGATTTAAAACTTTCTTTTGATTGAGCAGTTTGGAAACACTTTTTTGCAGAATCTGGGAAAGGATATTTGGGAGTGCTTTGAGGCATATGGTGAAAAACAAAATATCTTCAGATAAAAACTGGAAACAGTCTTTCTGGGAAACCACTTTTTGGTGTGTGCATTCATCTCACAGAGTTAAACCTCTCTTTTGATTGACCAGTTTAGAAACACTGTTTTTGTATAATCTGAGAAGGGATATTTGGAACCACTTGGTGACCTATGGTGAAAAACAAAATATCCTCAGATAAAAACTGGAAGCAAGCTTCCCAGGAAACTACTCTGCAATGTTTGCATTCATCTCACGGAGGTAAACCATTCTTTTGATTGAGCAGTTTTGAAAAATGTTTTTGGTAGAATCTGCAAAGGGATATTAAGGAATGCATTGAAGCCTATGGTGAAAAAGGAAATATCTTCAGAGAAAATCTAGAAAGAAGCTTTCTGAGAAACTGCTTTGTGAAGTGTGCATTCTTCTCACAGAGTTAAACCTTTCCTTTGATTAAGCAGTTTGGAAACACTGTATTGGTAGTATCTGTGAAGGGATATTTGGGAGCACTTTGGGGCCTATGGTGGAAAAGGAAATATCTTCAGATAAAAACTAGCAAGAACCTTTCTGAGAAACTGCTTTGTGATGTGTGCATTCATCTCACAGATTTAAACCTTTCCTTTCTTTGAGGAGTTTAGAAAAACTCTTTTGGTAGAATCTGCGAAGGGATATTTAGGAGCACATTGAGGGCTATAGTTAAAAAAGAAATATCTTCAGATAAAATCTAGGAAGACAGTTTCTGAGAAACTGCTTTGTGTTGTGTGTATTCATCTCACATAATTAAACCTTTCTTTTGATTGTGCATTTTGGAACCATGGTTATGGGAGTATTGCAAAAAAAGATATTTGGATCACATTGAGGATGATGGTGAAAAAGGATATATCTTCAGATAAGAACTAGAAAGCAGCTTTGTCAGAAACCACATTGGATGTGTGCATTCTTCTCACAGAATTAAATGTTTCTTTTGATTGTGCCCTTTCAAAAGTCTGTTTTGGTAGCATCTGCAAAGGAATATTTGGGAGTGCTTTGAGGCCTATGGTGAAAGACAAAATATCTTCAGATAAAAACTAGAAAACAGATTCCTGATAAACTGCTTGGTGATGAGTGAATTCACCTCACAGAATTAAACTTTTCTTTTGATTAAGCAGGTTGGAAACACTGTTTTGGTAGAATTTGCAAAGGGATATTTGGGAGTGCATTGGGGCCTATGGTGAAAAAGTTAATATCTTCACATAGATACTATAAAGAAGCTTTCTCTGAAACTGCTTTGTGATGTGTACCTTCTTCTCAAAGAGTTAAACTTTTCTTTTGATTCAGGCTTTGGAATCACTGTTTTTGTAGAAACTGTGAAAGGATATTTGGGAGTACATGAGGCCTATGGTGAAATAAGTTATAGCTTCAGATAAAAACTACAAAGAAGCTTTCTCAGAAACAGCTTTGTGTTATGCACATTCTTCTCACAGAGTTAAACCTTTTTTTGGATTGAATAGTTTGGAAACACAGATTTTGTAGAATCTGCAAATTTATATTTGGGAGCACATTGAGGCTTATGGTGAAAAAGAAAATATCTGCAGATAAATACTAGAAAGAACCTTTTTCAGAAACCAGAAACTGCTTTGTGACGTGTGCATTTTTCTCACACATTTAAGCCTTTTTTTTTGATTGAGCAATTTGGAAAGACTGTTTTTGTAGAATCTGTGAAGGGATATTTTGGAACACATTGAGGCCTACGGTTAAAAAGGAAATAATTTCAGAGAAAAAATAGAAAAACCTTTCTGAGAACCTGCTTTGTGATGTGGGAATTCTTCTCACAGAGCTAAACCCTTCTTTTGATTCAGCAGTTTGTAAACAGTTTTGGTAGAATCTGGGAAGGGATATTTGGGAGCGTATTGAGGCCAATGGTAAAAATGGAAATATCTTCAGATAAAAACTAGAAAGAAGCTTTCTTAGAATCCACTTTGGGATGAGTGCATTCATCTCACAGAGTTAAAACTTTCTTTTGATTGAGCAGTTTGTCACACTGTTTTTGTGGAATCTTGAAAGGGATATTTGGCTGTGGTTTGAGGCCTATGGTGAAAAATGAATTACTTTCAGATAAAAACTAGAAAGAGGCATTCTGGGTAACTGCCCTGTGGTGTGTGTATTCATCTCACAGAGTTAAACCTTTCCTTTGATTGAGCAGTTTCACAACAGTTTTTTTGTAGAACCTGAGATGGGATATTTAGGAGAACTATGAGGCCTATGGTGAAAAATGAAATATCTTCAGATAAAACAAGAAAGAAGCTTTCTGGGAAACTACTTTGTGACGTGTGCATTCATCTCACAGAGTTCAACCTTTCTTTTGATTGAGCAGTTTGGAACACTGTTTTGATAGAATCAGGAAAGGGAAATTTGGGAGTGCATTCAGGCCTAGGGTGAAAAAGGAAATATATTCAGATAACAACTAGAAAGAAGCTTTCTCAGAGGCCATTTTGTGATCTTTTCATTCTTCTCACAGAGTTAAACCTTTTCTTGGTTGATTGCTCTGGAAAAACTCTATTGGTAGAATTTTTGAAGGGATATTTTTGAGTGCATTGAGGCCTATGGTGAAAAAGGAAATATCTTCAGATAAAAAATAGAAAGAAGCTTTCTGGGAAACTGCTTTGTGATGTTCTCATTCTTCTCACAGAGTTAAACCTTTCTTTTGATTGAGCAGGCTGGAAACACTGTTTTTGTAAAATCTGCAAAGAGATATTTGGGAGCACATTGAGGCCTATCATGAAAAAGGAAATATCTTTAGATAAAAACTTCAAAGAAGCTTTCTCATAAACCACACTGTCATGTGTTCATTCTTCTCACAGAGTTAAACCTTTCTTTTGATTGAGCCATCTGGAAAAACTGTTTTGGTAAAATCTGCAAAGGGATATTTGGAAGTGCATTGAGGCCTATGGTGAAAAAGGAAATATCTTCAGATAAAATGTAGAAAGAAGATTTCACAGAAACTGCTTTGTTATGTGTGTATTCTTTTAACAGAGATAAACATTTCCTTTGATTGAGGAGTTTGGCAGCACACTTTCTGTGGAATCTGAGAAGGGATATTTTGGAGCTATTTAAGGCCTAGGGTGAAAAAGGAAATATCTTCAGATAAAAAGTAGAAAGAAGCTTTCTGCGAAACTGCTTCATGATATTTGTATTCATCTCACAGAGTTAAACTTTTCTTTTGATTGAGCAGTTTGGCAACAGTGTTTTTGTAGAATCTGAGAAGAGATAATTGACAGTGGTGTGAGGCCTATGGAGAAAAAAGAAATATCTACATATAAAACTAGAAAGAAGCTTTCTAGGAAACTGCTTTGTGATGTATGCATTCGTGCACAGTGTTAAATCTTTCTTTTGCTTGAGAAGTTTTGTAACACTGTTTTTGTAGTATCTACAAAGGAATATTTTGGAGCACATTGCTGCTTAAGTTGAAAAACGAAATATCTACAGATTAATACTAGAAAGAAGGTTTCTCACAAACTGCTTTGTGAAGTGTGCATTCTTCTCACAGAGTTAAACCTTTCTTTTGATCAAACAAATTGGAAACACTGTTTTTGTAGAACCTGTGAAGGGATATTTTGGAGCACTTATAGGCCTACGCTGAAAATGGAAATATCTTCAGATAAACACTAGAAAGACGTTTTCTCAGAACTACTTTGGATGTGTGCATTCTTCTCATAGATTTAAGCCTTTCTTTTGATTGAGCAGTTTGGAAACACTGTTTTTGTAGGATCTATGCAGGGATATTTGGGAGAGCATTGAGGCCTATGGTGAAAAACTAAATATCTTCAGATAAAAAAGAAAAACAAGCTTTCTGGGAAACGGCTTTGTGATGTGTGCATTCACCTCACAGAATTAAACTTTTTTTTGATTGAACAGTTTGAATATACTGTTTTTGTAGAATCTGTGAAGGTATATCTGGGAGCAGTTGGAGGCCTACTGTGAAAAAGGAAATGTCTTCAGACAAAAAGTAGAAGGAAGATTTGCCAAAAACTGCTTTGTGATGTGTGCATTCTTCTCACAGTGTTAAATCATTCTTTTGTTTGAGCAGTTTGGGAAACTGTTTTGGTAGAATCTGTGAAGGGATATTTGGGAGCACCTTGTGGCCTGTGGTGAAAAAGGAAATATCTTCAGAGAAAAACTAGAAAGAAGCTTTCAGAGAAACTGTTTTGTGTTGGGTGCATTCATCTCACAGAGTTAAACTTTTCTTTTCATTGAGCAGTTTGGAAACACTGTTTTTTTAGAATCTTCAAAGGGATATTTGGGAGCCATTAGAGGCCTATGTTGAAAAACAAAACATATTTGAGAAAAACCTGAAAGAAGCTTTCTGAGAAACTGCGTTGAGATGGGTGAATTCGCCTCACAGATTTAAACTTAAATTTTGATTGAGCAGTTTGGAAACCCTGTTTTGGTAGAATCTGTGAATGGATTTCTCAGAGCACTTTTAGGCCTATGATAAAAAAGGAAACTTTTTTTATCAGGGTTTTTGTGAAATCTGAGAAGGGATATTTGGAAACATTTAGAGGCCTATGGTGAAAAGTGAAATATCTTCAGAGAGAAACAAGAAAGAAGCTTTCTAAGAAACTGCTGTGTGGTGTGTGCATTCATCTGACACAGTTAAGCCTCTCTTTTGATTGAGCAGTTTGGAAATTCAGTTTTTGTAGAATCTTTGAAAGGATATATGGGAGAGAATGGAAGTCTATGGTGAAAAAGGCAATGCCTTCAGAGAAAATCTAGAAAGAAGCTATCTGAGAAACTGCTTTGTGAGGAGTGCATTCATCTCACAGATTTAAACCTTTCTTTTGATTGAGCAGTTTTGAAACACTGTTTTTGTAGAGTCTGCAAAAGGATATTTGGGAATGCTTTGAGGCCTATGGTGAAACAGGAAATATCATCAGATAAAAACTAGAAAGAAGGTTTCTGAGAAACTGCTTTGTGATGAGTACATTCATCTCACAGAGTTAAACCTCTCTTTGGATTAAGCAGTTGGAAAGAGTGTTTTTGTGGAATCTGAGAAGGGATATTTGGGAACATTTAGGGGCCTATGGTGAAAAATTAAGTATCTTGAGATAAAAACCAGAAAGAAACTTTCTAAGAAACTTCTTTGTGATGTGTGCATTCATCTCACAGAATTAAACCTCTATTTTGATTGAGCAGTTTAGAAACACTGTTTTTGTAGAATCTGTGAAAGGATATATGGGAGTGCATTAAAGCCTATGGTGAAAAAGGAAATATCTTCAGAGAAAATCTACAGAGAAGCTTTCTGAGAAACTGCTTTGTGATGTGTGCATTCTTCTCACAATGTCAAACCTTTCTTTTGATTGAGCAGTCTGGAAACATTGTTTTTGTAGAATCTATGAAGGGGTATATGGGAGTGCACCGAGGCCTATGGTGAAAATGGAAATATCTTTGAGAAAAACTAGAAACAGGCTTTCTGAGAAATTGCTTTGTGATATGTGCATTGATCTCACTGAGGTAAACCTATCTTTTGATTGAGCAGTTTGGAAACACTGTTTTGGTAGAATCTGCAAAAGGATATTTCAGAGTGCTTTCATACCTATGGTAAAATAGGAAATATCTTCAGATAAAACCTAGAAAGAAGCTCTCTGAGAAACTGCTTTGGGATGAGCACATTCATCTCACGTAGTGAAACCTTTCTTTTTATTTAGCAGTTTTGCAACAGTGTTTTTGTAGTATCTGAGAAGGGCTATTTTGGAGTGCATTGAGGCCTATGGTGAAAAACAAAATATCTTCAGATAAAAACAAGAAAGAAGCGTTCTGGGAAACTGCTTTGTGATGTGTGCATTCATCTCACTGAGTAAAACTTTTCTTTTGGTTGAGCAGTTTGGAAACACTGTTTTGGTAAAATCTGCAAAGAGATATTTGGGAGCCCATTGTGGCCTACGCTGAAAAATGAAATATCTTAAGAGAAAAACTAGAAAGAAGCTTTCTGAGACACTGTTTTGTGATGAGTCCATTCATTTCAGAGAGTTAAACCTTTCCTTTGATTGAGCATTTTGGAAACACTCTTTTCATAGAATCTGCAAAGGGATATATGGGACTACATTGAGACCTATGGTGAAAAAGGAAATATCTTCAGATGAATAGTTGAAAGAAGTTTTTCAGAGTCTCCTTTTTGTTGTGTGCATTCTTCTCACAAAGTTAAACCTTTCTTTTGATTAAGCAGTTTGGGAACACTGTTTAGTATAATCTGCAAAAGCATATATAGGAGCACATTAAGGTGTATTGTGAAAAAGAAAATCTCTTCAGGGAAAAACTGGAAAGAAGCTTTGTGAGAAACTGTTTATTGATGTGTGAATTCATCTCACAGAGTTAACCTTTCCTTTGAATGAGCAGCTTGGAAACACTGTTATGGTGGAATCTGCGAAGGTATATATGGGAGCACATTGAGGCCTTTGATGAAAAAGAAATATCTACAGAGAAAAACTAGAAAGAAGTTTTCTAAGAAATTGCTTGTGATGTGTGCATTCATCTCACAGAGTTAAACCTTTCTTTTGATTGCAGTTTGGAAACACTGTTTTGGAAGTATCTGCGAAGGGATGTTTTGGAGTGCATTGAGGCCTATGGTGAAAAAGGAAATATCTTCACATAAAAGCTAGAAAGAAGCATCCTCAGAAACCACTTTGTGATGTGTGCATTCTTCTCACAGAGTTAAATCTTCGTTTTCATGGAGAGTTTGGAAACACTGTTTTGGTAGCATCTGTGAAGGGATATTTGGGAGCCCTTTGAGGTCTATTTTGAAAAAGGAAATATCTTCAGATAAAAACTGGAAAGAAGCTCTCTGAGAAACTGCTTTGTGATGAATGCATTTGACTCGCAGAGATAAACCTTTCTTTTGATTGAGCAGTTTGGTAACACTGTTTTTGTAGACTCCTCGAAGGCATATATTTGAGCTCATTAAAGCTTATTTTAAAGGAGGAAATATCTTCAGGGAAAAACTATAAAGAAGCTTCCTCAGAAACTGTTTTGTGATACGCTCATTCTTCTCACAGAGTTAAAACTTTCTTTTTATTAAGCAATCTGGAAACAATGTTTTTTTAGAATCTGCGAAGGGATATTTGGGAGCTCCTTGAGGCTTTTGGAGTTAAAGGAAATATCTTCAGAGAAAAACTAAAAAGAAGCTTTCTGAGAAAGTGCTTTGTGATGAGAGCACTCATCTCACAGAGTTAAAACGTTCTTTTGATTGAGCAGTGTGGAAACACTGTTTTTGTAGAATCTGTGATGGAATATTTGGGAGTGCAATGAGGCCTATGCTGAAAAAGGAAACATCTTCAGATAAAAACCTGAAAGAAACTTTTTCAGAAACTGTTTTGTGATACATGCATTCTTCTCAAAGAATTAAACCTTTCTTTTTATTGAGCAGTTTGGAAACACTGTTTTTGTAGAATATGCCAAGGGATATTCGGGAACATATTGATGCCTATTGTGAGAAAGGAAATATCCTCAGATAAAAACAAGAAAGATTGTTTATGAGAAACTGCTTTGTGACATGTGCATTCTTCTCACAGAGTTAAACCTTTCTTTAGATTGAGCAGTCAGGAAGCACTGTTTTTGTAAAATCTACGAAGGGATATATGGGTGCACATTGAGGTCTATGGTGAAAAAGGAAATTCCATCAGAGAAAAACTAGAATGAAGCTTTTTGAGAAGCTGCTTTGTGATGTGTGCAATCATCTCACAGAGTTAAAGTTTTAGTTTGATTGACCAGTTTGGAAACACTGATTTTGTAGAATCTGTAAAAGGATATTTGGGAGCACATTAAGGCCTATGGTGAAAAAGGAATTATCTTCAGATGAAAACTAGAAAGATGCTTTCTTGAGAAACTGATTTGTGTTGTATGCATTCATCTCACAGAGTTACATCTTTATTTTGCTTGAGCAGTTTGGAAATACTGTTTTGTTAGAATCTGCAAAGGGATATTTGGGAGCTTCTTGAGGCCTATGGTCAAAAAGGACATAACTTCAGATAGAAACTAGAAAGAAGAATTTGACGCACTGCTTTGTGTTGTGTGCATTCATCTCACATAGTTAATGCTTTCTTTTGATTGAGCAGCTTGGGGAGACTGTTTTTGTAGAATCTGTGATGGGATATTTGGAAGTGCATTGAAATCTATGGTGAAAAAGGAAATATCCTCAGAAAAAAAGTAGAAATATTTCTGAGTAACAGTTTTGTGAGTTGTGCACTCATCTCACAGAGTTACACCTTTCTTTTGATTGAGCAGTTTGGAAACACTATTTTTGTAGAATATGCAAAGGGATATTTGAGAATGTAATAAGACCTATGGTGAAAAAGGAAATATCTTCACATAAAAATTAGGAAGATTTCTGAGAAACAGCCTTGTGATGTCTGCTTTCATCTCACAGTGTTAATCCCTTCTTTTGATTGAGGAGCTTGGAAAGACTTTTTTGTAGGATCTGCAAAATGATATTTGGGAGCACGTAGAGGCCTATGGTGAAAAAGATAATATCTTGTGATGAAAACTAGTAAGAAGCTTTCTGAGACACTGCTTTGTGATGTGTGCATTCATCTCAAAGATTTAAACCTTTCTTTTGATTCAGAAGTTTGGCAGCACTGTTTGTGTAGAATGTGAAAGAGATATTTGGGAGTGTATTGAGGCCTATGGTGAAAAAGTAAATATCTTCACAAAAAAAGAGAAAGACCCTTGCTGAGGAACTGCTTTGTGATGTGTGCATTCATCTCACGCAGTTAAATCTTTCTTTTGATTGAGCAGTTTGGAAAACTGTTTTTATAGACTCTGTCTAGGGACATATGGGAGTACTTTGAGGCTTAGAGTGGAAAAGGAAATATCTTCACATAAAAACTAGAAGGAAGCTTTCTCAGAAACTGCTTTGTGATGTGTGCATTCATCTCACAGAGTTAAAGTTTTCTTTTGATTGACCAGTTTGGAAACACTGATTGTGTAGAATCTGCAAAAAGATATTTGGGAGTGCCTTGAGGGCTATGGTGGAAAACAAAATATCTTCAGATAAAAACTAGAAAGTTGCTTTCTGAGAAACTGCTTTGTGATGTTTGCATTCATCTCACAGAGTTAAACCTTTCTTTGGATTGAGCAGTTTGCAAAGACTGCTTTTGTAGAATCTGCAAAGTTGTATTTGGCAGCACATTGAGGCCCACAGTGAAAAAGGAAATATCTTCAGATAAAACTAGAAAGAAGCTTTGTGAAAAACTGCTTTGTTACGGATGCATTCATCTCATAGAGTTAAACCTTTCTACTGATTGAGCAGTTTGGAAACACTATTTTGGTAGATTCTGCGAAGGGATATTTGGGAATGCACTGAGGCCTATTGTGAAAGAGGAAATATCCTCAGATAAATCTGGAAAGTTTTCAGATAAATACTAGAAAGTATCTTTTGGAGGAACTGCTTTGTGATATGTGCATTCATCTCACAGAGTTAAGCTTTATTTTGATTTACCAGTTTGGAAAAACTGATTTTGTAGAATCTGTGAAGGGATATTTGGTAGCATATTGAGGCCTACAGAGAAAAAGGAAATATCTTCAGATAAATCTAGAAAGAATCTTTGTGAGAAACTGCTCTGTGATGGGTGCATTCATCTCACAGGGTTAAACCTGTCTTCTGTTTGAGCCGTTTGGAAACAGTATTTTTGTAGAAACTGCAAAGGAATATTTGGGCCCACTTTGAGGCCTATGATGAAACAGGAAATTCCTTCAGATAAAAACCAGAAAGAAGCTTTCTGAGAAACTGCTTTATGATGTATACATTCATCTCACGAATTAAAGCTTTCTTTTGATTGAGCTATTTGGAATCAGCATTTTTGTAGAATCTGCGAAGGGACATTTTGGAATGCAATGAGGCCTATGTTGAAAAAGGAAATATCTTCACATAAAAACTAGAAAGAAGTTTCTGATTAACTGCTTTGTGATGTGTGCATTCATCTCACCCAGATAAAGCTTTCTTTTGATTGAGCATCCTAGAAGCACTGGTTTTGTTGAATCTACAAAGGGATAATTTGGAGCACATTGAGGCCTATGGTGAAAAAGGAAATTTCTTCAGATAAAAACAAGAAAGAATGTTTCTGAGAAACTGATTTGTGATGTGTGCATTCATCTCACAGAGTTAAACTTTTCTCTTGATTGAGATTTTGGAAACACTGTTTTTATAGAATCTGTCATGTGATATATGGGAGTGCACTGAGGCCTATGGTGAAAAAGGAAATTTCCTCAGATAAGAAGTAGAAAGAAGCTTTCTGATTAACAGCTTTGTGATGTGTCTATTCATCTCACAGAATTAAAACTTTCTATTGATTGAGCATCTTAGAAACACTGTTTTTGTAGAATATTTGAAGGGATATATGGGAGCATGTTGAAGCCTATGGTGAAAAAGAAAATATCTTCACATAAAAACTAGAAAGAAACTTTCTGAGAAACTGCTTTGTGATGTGTGAATTCATCTCAAAGAGTTACACCTTTCTTTTGATTGAGCAGTTTGTAAAAACTATTTTTGTAGAATCTGCTAGGGATATTTGGGAACATATTGAGGCATATGGCGACAAAGGAAATAACCTCAGATAAAAAGTAGAAAGACTTCTGAGAAACAGCTTTGTGATGTATGCATTCATCCCACAGAGTTAAATTATTCTTCTGATTGAGCACTTTGAAAACACTGTTTTTGTAAAATCTGTCAAGGGATGTAAGGGAGCACATAGAGGCCTATGGTGAAAAAGGAAATTTCCACAGATAAAAATTAGCAGGAAGCTTTCTGATTAACATCTTTGTGATGTGTCTATTCATCTCACAGAGTTAAACTTTTCTATTGATTGAGCATCTTGGAAAAACTGTTTTCATAGAATCTGTCTAGGGACATATGAGAGGGTATCGAAGCCCATGGTGAGAAGGGGAATATCTTCTCATAAAAACTAGAAAGAAACTTTCTCAGAAACTGCTTTGTGATGCATTCATTCATCTCACAGTGTTAAACCTTTGCTTTGATTGAGCAGTTTGGAAACACTGTTTTTTTTAGAATCTGAAAAAGGATATTTGGGAGTGCCTTGAGGCCTGTGGTGGAAAAGGAAATATCTTCAGATAAAAATTAGAAAGAAGCTTTTTGGGAAACTTCTTTGTGATGTGTGCATTCATCTGACAGAGTTAATCCTTCCTTATGATTGAGCAGTTTGGAAAGTAGAATCTGCAAAGGTATATTTGGTAGCATATTGAGGCCTACTGTGAAAAAGGAAATATCTTCAGATAAATCTAGATAGAAGCTTTGTGAATAACTGCTTTGTGATGAGTGCATTCATCTCACAGAGTTAAGCCTTTCTTCTGATTGAGTAGTTTGGAAACACTATTTTTGTATATTCTGTGAAGGGATATTTGGGAACGCATTTAGGCTTATGGTGAAAAAGGAAATAACCTCCAATAAAAACTAGAAATATTTCTGAGAAACAGCTTTGTGCTGTGTGTCTTTATCTCACAGAGTTAATCCTTTCTTTTGATTGAGCAGTTTGGAAAGTGTTTTTCTAGAACCTGCAATGGGATACTTTAGAATGCTTTGGTGCCTATGGTGAAAAAGGAAATATCTTCAGATAAAAACTAGAAAGAAGCTTTCTGAGAAACAGCTTTGTGGTGTGTGCATTCATCTCACAGAGTTAAAACTTTCTTATGATTCAGGAGTTTGGAAACACTGTTTTTGCATAATCCTTGAAGGGATGTTAAGGAATGCATTGAGGCCATGTTGTAAAAGGAAATATCTTCAGATAAATACTAGAAAGAAGCTTTCAGTGAAACTGCTTTGTGATGTGTGCATTCATCTCACAGTGTTCAAGTTTTGTTTTGATTGACCAGTTTTGAAGCACTGATTTTGTAGAATCTATGGAGGGATATTTGGGACTGCAGTGAGGCCTATGGTGAAAGAGGAAATAACTTCAGATGAAAACTAGAAAGAATCTTTCTGTGAAACTGCTTTGTGATGTGTGCATTCATATCACAGATTAAAACCTTTCTTTTGATTGAGCAGTTTGGAAACCCTGTTTTTGTAGAATCTGTGATGGGATATTAGGGAGTGCCTTGAAGTGTATGTTAGAAAAGGAAATATCTTCAGATAAAAACTAGAAAGAAGTTTTTCAGACACTGCTATGTGATGTGTGCATTCATCTCACAGAGTTAATACTTTCTTTTGATTCAGCAATTCGGAAAGACTGTTTTTGTAGAATCTGTGAAGGCATATTTGGGAGTGCATTGAGTCCTACAGAGAAAAAGAAATTTCTACAGAGAAAAAGAAAATATCTTTAGATAAATCTAGAAAGAACTTTTTGAGAAACTGCTTTGTGATGGGTGCATTCATCTCACAGAGTTAAACCTTTCTTCTGATTGAGCAGTTTGAAAACACTGCTTTTGTAGAAACTGTGAAAGAATATTTGGGATGCTTTGAGGCCTATGGTGAAAGAGGAAATGCCTTTAGATAAAAACTAGAAAGAAGCTTTCTAGTTTTCTGATGTGTGCATCATCTCACACACTGATGTGTGCATTCATCTCACTGAGTTAAAGTTCTCTAGTTTTCTGATGTGTGCATTCATCTCACCAAGTTAAAGTTTTCTTTTTATTGAGCTGTTTGGAAACCCCATTTTTGCAGAATCTGTGAAGTGATATTTGGGAACGCAATGAGGCCAATGTCGAAAAAGTAAATATCTTCACATAAAAACTAGAAAGAATCTTTCTGACTAACTCCTTTGTCATGTGTGAATTCGTATCATACAGATAAAGCTTCCTTTTGATTGAGCATCTTGGAAACACTTTGTTGAATCTGCACAGGGAAATTTTTGAGCACATTGAGGCCTATGGTGAAAAAGTATATATGTTCAGAAAAAAACTAGAAAGAAGCTTTCTGAGAAACTGCTTTGTGATGTGTGCATTTATCTCACAGAGTTAATCCTTTCTTTTAATTGGGCAGTTTGGAAACACTGTTTTTATAGAATCTGTCAAGGGATATATGAGAGTGCATTGAGGCCTATGGAGAAAAAGGAAATTTCCTCAGATAAAAACTAGCAAGAAGCTTTCCAATTAACAGATTTGTGATGTGTCCATTCATCTCACAGAATGCAACCTTTCTATTGATTGAGCATCTTGGAAAATCTGTTTTTGTAGAATCTGTGAAGGGATATATGGGAGCATATTGAAGCCTATGGTGTAAAAGGAAATATCTTCATATAAAAACTAGAAAGACACTTTCTGAGAAACTGCTTTGAGATGTCTGCATTCGTCTCCCAGAGTTTAAGCATTCGTTTTTGTAGAATCTGTGAAGGGATATTTGGGAGCGCATAGGAGCCTATGGTGGGAAGGGAAATATCCTGAGATAAAACCCAGAAAGGTGTTTTGAAAGAACTGCTTTGTAATGTGTGCATTCATCTCCCAGAGTTAAATTTTGTTTTGATTGACTGGTTTTGGAACACTATTTTGTAGAATCTGTGAAGGGATATTTGGGAGTGCATTGAGGCCTATGGTGAAAAAGGAAATATCTTCAGAGAATTCTAGAAAGAAGCTTTGTGAGAAACTGCTTTGTGATGGGTGCATTCATATCACAGAGTTAATCCTTTCTCCTGATTGAAGCATTTGGAAACACTGTTTTTGTAGAATCTGCAAAGCTAGATTTGGGAATGCATTGAGGCCTATGGTGAAAAAGGAAATATCCTCAGATAAAAACTAGAAAGATTTCTGAGTAACATCGTTGTGATGTGTGCATTCCTCTAACAGAGTTAAACCTTCCTTTTTATTGAGCAGTTTGGAAACACTGTTTTTGTAGAATCTGTGAAGGGATATTTCAGAGCACGTTGAGGCCTACGGTGATAAAGGAAATATCTTTAGATAAAATGTAGAAGAAGTTCTCTGAGAAACTTATTTGTGATGTGTATATTCATCTCAGAGAGCTAAACCTTTTCTTTGATTGAGCAGTTTGGAAACACTGTTCTTGTAGAATCTGTGAAGGCACATTTGGGAGCGCAATGAGGCCTACGGTGATAAAGGAGATATCTTCAGATAAATACTGGAAAGAAGCTTTCTGAGAAGCTGCTTTGTGATGTGTGCTTTCATCTCATAGAGGTAAACCTTTCTTTTGATTTAGTAGTTTAGAAACACTGTTTTTGTAGAATCCACAAAGGGGTATTTGGGAACACATTGAGGCTTACGGTGACAAGGAAATATCCTAAGATGAAAACTAGAAAGATTTCTGAGAAACAGCTTTGTGATGTGTACATTCATCTCACAGAGTTAAAGCTTTCTTTTGATAGAGCAGTTTGGAAACCCTATTTTTGTAGAATCTGCAAAGTGATATTTGGTAGTGCATTGAGGCCTATGGTAAAAAAATGAAATATCCTACAGTATAAACTGGAAACATACTTTTTGACAATTTACTTTCTGATGTGTGCATTCATCTCACAGAGTTTTACTTTTCTTTGATTTTCAGTTTGGAAACACTGTTTTTGTAGACTCTGCCAAGGGATATCCTTGTAGATATAGGAGAGCATTGAGGTCCAGTGTGAAAAAGGAAATGTCTCCACATGAAAACCAGAAAGATGATTTCTGAGAAATTGCTTTGTGATGTGTGCATTCATCAAACGGAGTTAAACCTTCCTTTTGATTGAGCATATTGGAAACCCTGTTTTTGTAATATCTGTGAAGGGATATTTGGGAGTGCTTTGAGGCCTATAATGTAAAAGGAAATGTCTTCATATGAAAATTAGAAGGAAGGTTTCTGAGAAACTACTTTGTGATGTCTGCATTCATCTCACTGAGTTAAACCTTTCTTTTTATTAAGCAGTTTGGAAACACTCTTTTTTTATAATCTGTGAAGGGATACTTTGGAGTGAATTAAGGCCTACGGAGAAAATTGAAATATCTTCACCTAAAAAATAGACAGAAGCTTTCTGAGAAACTGCTTTGTGATGTCCGCATTCCTCTCACAGAGTTTAAGCTTTCTTTTTATTGAGTAGTTTCCAAACACAGTTTTTGAAACATCTCTGAAAGGATATTTGGAAGCACTTTAGGGAACATGGTGAAAAAGGAAATATCTTCAGATTAAAAGTAGAAAGAAGCTTTCTGAGATACTGCTTTGTGATGTGTGCGTTCATCTCACAGAGTTAAATGTTTCATTTGATTGAACAGCTTGGAAACCCTTTTTTTCTAAAATATGTGAAGGGATATTTGGGAGCGAATTGAAGCCTATGGTGAAAAAGGAAATATCCTCAGATAAATACTTGAAAGCAGCTTTCTGAGAAACTGCTTTTTGATGTGCTCATTCTTCTCACAGAGTTAATACTTTCTTTTGATAGGGCAGTTTGGAGACACTGTTTTTGTAGAAACTGAGAAAGGATATTTCAAATTGCATTGTAGCATATGGTGAAAAAGCAAATATCTTCAGAATAAACTAGAAAGAAGCACTGTGAGACACTGCTGTGTGATATGTGCATTCCCAAAACTATAAACATCTGCTTCTCTGGGATAGGGATATTGATGATGATAAACCTCCTTGACTGCACGTGTGTTTATCAGGCCTCTGCAGGGGGAAGTACATCATGTGCTTTTGGCTCATTCTTGCACCCCAACCTGGCATTGTCTTTACAAAATCCTGCATGCAATTTTGTATTTACAATAATCAGGAGCATTTCATATTTTATTCTGCAGCAATAGTTTCAGGGGGTCCTCCTACCCATTTGGAAGCCAATAAAGGTGTAGGTGAGAAACTGAATATCCCCAGATAAAAACTAGAAAGAATCTATCTGGAAAGTGCTTTGTGTTGCATGGATTCATCTCACAGAGCGAAACATTTCTTTTCATGTAGCAGTTTTGAAGCACTCTTTAGGTAGAATCAGTGAAGAAACATTTGGGGCCATGGAAGCCTATAATGAAAAACTGAATATACCCAGATAAAAACTAGAATGAAGCTGCCTGTGAAACTTCTTAGTGATGTGTGAATTCATCTCACAGACTTAAGCCTTTCTTTTCATACAGCAGGTTTGAAACACTCATAGGATAGAATCTGCAAAGGGACATTTGGAAACCCATGGAGGCCTATGTTGAATAACTAAATAACCCCAGATAAAAACTAGAAATAAGCCATGAGAAACTGCACTGTGATGTGTGGATTCACCTCACACAGTTAAACATTTCTTTTGATTTAGGATGTTAAAAACACTCTTCTCTAGGATTTTTGAAGGAAAGTTTTGGAGCCCATTGAGGCCTATGGGGAAAAAATGAATATTCCCAGATAAAAACTATAAAGAAGCTATCTGTGAAACTGCTTTGAGTTGTGTGGATTCATCTCACAGAGTTAAAGATTTTTTTAACTCAGCAGGTTGGAAACACTCATTTTGCAATATCTGCGAAGGGACAACATCAAGGCCTATGGTGAAAAACCCAATATATTTAGATAAAAACTAGAAAGAAGCTATCTGTGAAACTGCTTTGTGATGTGTGGATTCTTCTCACAGAGTTAAAACTTTCTTTTGATGCAGTTGGTTGGAAACACTTTTTTGTTAGAATCTGTGAAGGAACATTTGCAAACCCATTGAGGACTATGGTGGAAAACTGAATATCCCAACATAAAAATTAGAAAGAAACTGTTAGTGAAACTACTTTGTGATGGGTGGATTCACCTCATAGATGTTAACCTTCCTTTTGATTCAGCAGGTTGGAAGCACTCTTTTTGTAGAACCTGCAAAGGGACATTTGGGAGTCCATTGAGGTCTACATTGAAAAACCAAATATTAGCAGATAAAAACTAGTAAGAGGTTATATGTGAAACTTCATTGTGATGTGTGGATTCATCTCACAAAGTTAAACATTTCTTTTGATTCAGCAGCTTGGAAACACTCTTTTTGTAGAATTTGCAATGGGAAATTTGGGAGCCTTTTGAGGCTTATGGTAATAAAAAACGAATATAACCAGATAAAAACTAAAAAGAAGCTATCTGTGAAACTCATTTGTGATGTGTGGATTTAATTCACAGAGTCAAACCCTTGTTTTCATTCAACAAGTTGGAAAACACTCTTTTTGTAGAAGCTGCGAAGTGACATTTGAGAGCCCATAGACTCCTATGGTGAATAACCAAATATCTTGAGGTTAAAAACTAGAAAGATGCTATCTGTGAAACTACTTTGTGATATGTGGATTCATCTCACAAAGTTAAACCTTTCTTCTGATTCAGCAGGTTGCAATCACTTTTTTTGTAAAATCAGCAAAGAGACATTTGGAAGCCCTTTGAGGCCTACAGTAATAAACCAAATATTTCTAGAAAAAAAACAAGAGAGAAGTTATCTGTAAAACTGTTTTGTGATGTGTGTATTCATCTCACAGAGTTACACCTTTCTTTTGATACTGCAGTATTGAAACACTCTTTTGCTAGAATCTGCGAATGGACATTTTGGAACTCTTAGATGCCTATGGTGAATAACCAAATATATCCAGATAAAAATTTCAAAGAAGCTATCTGTGAAACTTCTTTGTGATGTGGAGATTCATCTCAAAGAGCCAAACCTTTCTTTTTTATTCAGCAGGTTGGATATATTATTTTGGTAGAATCCATGAAGGGACACTTCGGAGCTCATGGAGTCTTATGCTGAAAATCAGAATATCCCCAGATAAAAACTAGAAAAACATCTGTCTTTGAAAATGCTTTGGATTCATCTCACAAAGATAAACCTTTCTTTTGATTCAGCAGGCGGGAAATGCTCTTCGGATAGAATTACCAAGGGAAAATTGGGAGCACATAGAGGCCTGTGGTGAAAAACTGAATATCCCCAGATAAAAACTAGAAAGAAGCTATCTGTGAAAGTGCTTTGTTATGTGTGGATTCATCTCACAAAGTTATACCTTTCTTTTTGATTCAAGAGTTTGCAAATACTTCCTTTGCAGAATCTGCAAAGGGACATTTGAGATCCTATTGAGGTGTATGGTGAGAAACAGAATATCAACAGATACAAACTAGAAAGAAGTGATCCGTAAAACTGCTTTGTAAGATGTGTTTTCATCTTACAGTGTTAAACATACGTTTTGATTCCAGAGGTTGGAAAGATGCTTTAGGTACAATCTGCAAAGGGACATTTGAGAGCCCATTGATGATGATGGTTTAAAACCAAATATTCCAAGATAAAACTAGAAAAAACTATCTGTGAAACTGCATTGGGATGCATGCATTCATCTCACAGAGTTAAAGTTCTCCTTTGATTTAGGAGGCTGGATACACTTTTTCGGTATAATCTGTGTAGGGAATTTTGGGAGCCGTCTCACACCTGTCAAGAAAAAACAAATATCCCCAGATAAAAACTAGACAGAAACTATCTATAAAACTTAATTTTGATGTGTGGATTCATCTCATTGATTTAAACCTTTCTTTTGATTCTGCAGATTGAAAAACTCTTTTGGAAGAATCTGCGAAGGGACATTTGGAAGCCCATAGAAGCTGATTGTGAAAAAACAAATATTCCAAGATGAAAACTAGTAAGAAGCTATATTTGAAACTGTATTGTGATGTGTAGATTTATCTCACAGAGTTAAACTTTTCTTTGGATTCAGCAGGTTGGAAACACTTGTTTGGTAGAATCTGTAAACGGATATTTGGGAGCCTATAGAGGCCTATGTTGAAAAACCAAGTATCCATAAATAAAAACTAGAAGGAAGCTACCTGTGAAACTGCTTTGTGATGTGTGTATCCATCTCACTGAGTTAAAACTGTCTTTTATTCAGTAGGTTGTAAACCCTCTTTTGGTAGAATCTGCAAAGGGACCTATCACAGCCTGTTGAGGCCTATGGTGAAAAAACGGATATCCCCAGATAAAAACTAGAAAGAAGCTATTTCTGAAACTGCATTGTGATTTGTGCATTTATCTCACAGAGTTAAATGTTTTTATTGATTCAGCAGGATGAAAACACTCTTTTTGTAGAATCTGCAAAGGGACATTTGGGAGTTCTTTTAGGCTTATGGTGAAAAACTGAATACCTCCAGAAAAAAAACTAGAAACAAGCTATCTGTGAAATTGATTTGTGATGTGTGCATTCACCTCACAGATTTTAATCTTTCTTTTCATTCAGTGAGCTGAAAACACTCTTTTTTTAGAATCTGCAAAGGGACACATGGGAACCCATAAAGGCCTATGGTGAAAAATTGAATATCCCCAGATAAAAAGTAGGAACAAGCTGTCTGTGATACTGCATTGTGATGTGTGATTTATCTCACATAGGTAAATATTTCTTTTGATTCAGCAGATTGCAAACACTGTTTTAGTAGAATCTGTGGAGGTACATTTGGGAACCTATTCAGGCCTATGGTGAAAAACAGTATACATTCAGAAAAAAACCTGAAAGAACATATCTGTGAAACTGATTTTTGATGTGTGGATTCATCTCACAGAGATAAACATTTCTTTAGATACAGCAGTGTTGAAATATTCTTTAAATAGAATCTGTGAAGAGACATTTGTAAGACCATGGAGGCCTAAGTTGAAAAACAGAATATCACCAGATAAAAACTACAAAGAAACTATCTGGGACATTTCTTTGTGATGTGTGGTTTCCCCCACAGAGTTAAACCTTCTTTCGATTTAGCACGTTATAAACACTCTTTTACTAGGATCTGTGAAGGGAAATTTGTGAGCCCATTTTAGCCTATGTTGAAAAACTGAATATCCCAAGATAAAAAGATAAAAACCAGAAAGAAGCTATTAGTGAAATTGTTTTGGATGTGTGGATTCATCTCACAGACTTAAATCTTTCTTTTGTTTAAGCAGGTTTTAAACACTTTTGGTAGAATCTGTGGAGGGACATTTGGGAGCCTATTAAGTCCTATAGTGAAAAACCGAATATCCCCAGATTAAAACTAGAAAGAAGCCATCTGTAAAACTGCTTTCTTATGTGTGGATTCATCTCACAGAGTTAAAACTTTCTGTCAATTCAGCAGGTTTGAAATAATCTTTTTGTAGAAGCTGTGAAAGGACATTTGGGAGCCCTTTGTGAATAACCAAATGTCCCCAGATAAAAACTAGGAAGAAGTTATTGGTGAAACCGCTTTGAGATGTGTGGATTCATCTCAAAGTTACATTTTTCTTTTCCCAGCAGGTGCAAAACAATTTTTGGTAGAATCTGCGAAGGGACATTTCAGAGCCCATAAAGTCCTATGATGAAAAACAAATTATCCCCAGATAAAAACTAGAATCAAGCTATCTGTGAAATAACTTTGTGACATGTAGATTCATCTCAGAGTTAAACTTATTTTTTGATTCAGCAGGTGGGAAAAACTCTTTTGGTAGGATTTGCAGAGGGACATTTTGGAGCCCATTGAGACCTATGTTGTAAAACAAAATATCCCTAGATATAAACTAGAAAGAAGATCTCATGAAACAGCATTGTGATTTGTGGATTCATCTGACACAGTTAAAAATTTCTTTTGATTCAGCAGTTTGGAAACACTGTTTTGGTAGATCCTGTGAAGGGACATTTTGGAGCCCTTTGAGGAATATGGTAAAAAACATAATTTCCCCAGATATATTAAGAGGAAGCTAACTGTGAAAGTGCTCTGGGATGTGCGTATTCACCCAAGACTTAGACCTTTCTTTTGATTCAGGATGTTGGAAACACTCTTTTGGTAGAATCTGCAAAGACATATTTGGGAACCCATTGAGGCTTATAATGAAAAAATGAACATTCAAAGACAAAAACTACAAAGAAGCTATATGTGAAACTGCTTTTTGATGTATGGATTCATCTCACAGAATTAAACCTTTGTTTTGATTCAGCAGGTTGGAAACACTATTTTGGCATAAATTGCCAAGGTACATATGGGAGCCCTTTGAAGCCTACAGTGAAGTGCTGAATATCTCCAGATAAAAATTCGAATGAAGCTATCTGTAAAAGTAGTTTCTGACGTGTGGATTCTTTGCACAGAGTTAAAAGTTTCTTTGATTCAGCAGGTTGCAAACACTCCTTTGCTAGAATCTGTGAAGGGACATTCCGAGCCCACTGTAGCCTATGGAGAAAAATGGAATATCCCAGGATAAAAACTAGAAAGAAGCTATATGTTAAACTGCTTTGTGTTGTGTGGATTCATCTCTCAGAGTTAAAGGTATCTTTTGATTACGTAGCTTGCAAACATTCCTTTTGTAGAATCTGTGAAGGGACATTTGGTAGCACTTTGAGGGGTGTAGTAAAAACAGAGTATCCCCAGATAAAAACTAGAAAGCAGCTATAGTTATAACTGCTTTGTGATGTGTGGATTCATCTCAGAGAGTTAAACCTTTTTTTGATTCAGCAATTTGCATACAATTCTTTTGTAGGATCTGTGAAGGAATATTTTGGAGTCCATTTTGGCCTATGGTGAAAGATCAAATATCCCCAGATAAAAACTGAAAGAAGTTAACTGTGAGACTGCTTTGTGATATGGGGATTCATGTCACAGAGTTAAACATTTGTTTTGACTGAGCAGGTTGGAAATATTCTTTTGGAAAACTCTGTTGAGTTACGTTAGGGAGCCCTTTACAGCTTATGGTGAAAAACCAAATGTTCCCAGATAAAAAGTTGAAAGAAGCTATCTGTGAAACTGCTTTGTGAAAGAGTATGAAAACACTCTTTTGGTAGAATCTGTGAAAAGACATTTGAAAGCCGATTGAGGTATATGGTGTAAAACTGAATATCCCCAGATAAAAACTAGAAAAGAGCAATCTGTGAAACTGCTTTGTGAAGGGTTGATGCATCTCACAGAGTTATACCATTTCTTTGATTGGGCAGGTTGCAAATACTTCTTATGTAGAATCTGCAAGGGACATTCAGGAGCCCATTGAGGCCTATGGTGAAAAACAAATCTCCCCAGATAAAAACTCGAAAGAAGGTATCTGTGAAACTACATTGCGATGTGTGGATTCACCTCACAGAGCTAAACCATTCTTTTGTTTCAGCAGGTTGGAAACACTCGTTTTGTAGAATCTGCAAAGGGACATTTGTGAGCCCATTGAGCCTTATGATGAAAAACTGAATATACCCAGATAAAAACTGGAAAGAAGCTATCTGTGAAACTGCTTTATGATGTGTGGATTTAATTCACAGTGTTAAACCTTTCTTTTGATGCAGCAGCTTGCAAATACTCTTTTTTGTAGAATCTGATAAGGGACACTTAGGAGCCCTTTGAGGACTGTAGTGAAAAACTGAATATCTTCACATAAAAACTAGAAAGAGCTATCTGTGAAACTGCTTTTTTGATGAGTGGATTCATCTCACAGTGTTAAACCTTTCCTTTGATTCAGCAGGTTGAAAGAACTCGTTTTGTGGAATCTGCAAAAAGATACGTTGAGGTCCCCTGTGGCATACAGTGGAAAACACAGTATTCCCAGATAAAAACTGGAAAGAATTTCTTTGTGAACTGCTTTGTGATGTGTAAATTCATCTCACAGAGTTAAACGTTTCTTCAATTTAACATGTAGGAAACACTCTTTTGGTAGAATCTGTGAAGGGACATTTGGGAGCCCATTGAAGCCTATGGTGAAAGACAGAATATCACCAGGTATCTGTGAACTGCTTTGTGAGGTCTGAATTCATCTCAAAGAGCTAAAACATTCCTTAATACAGCATGTTGGACACACTCTTTTTGTAGAACCTGCAAAGGGACATTTGTAAGCCCTTTGAGGCCTATGGTGAAAAATTGAATGTGCACAAATAAAAACTAGAAATGAGCTGTTTGTGAAATTGCTTTGTGATCTGTGAATTCATCTCACTGAGTTAAACCTTTCTTTTGATACAGCAGGATTGAAACCCTCTTTAGTTAGAATCTGCGAAGGGACATTTGAAAACCCATAGAGGCCTATGTTGAAAAACAAAATATCCCCAGATAAAAACTATAAATAAGCTATCTGTGATCCTGCTTTGCTATGTGTGGAATCATCTCAGAGAGTTAATCCTCTCTTTTGATTCAGCAGGTTGCAAACATTCCTTTACTAGTATCTGAGAAAGGACATTTGTGAGGCCAATGTAGCCTACTCTGAAAAATTGAATATCCAAAGGTGAAAACAAGAAAGAAGCTATCAGTGAATATGCTTTGTGATGTGTGGATTCTTCTCATAGAGTTAAACTTTTCTTTTGATTCAAAAGTTTGGAAATATTCTTTTGGTAAATCAGGGAAGGGATATGTGGGACGCCATTAAGGCTTATGGTAAAAAAAATATTCCCAGATAAACACTAGAAAGAAGCTATCTGTGAAACTGCTTCCTGATGTGTGGATTCATCTGACAGTGTTAAACTTTTCTTTTGATTCAGCAAGTTGGAAACCCTCTTTTGGTACAATCTGTGAAGGGACATTTTGAAGCCCTTTGAGGCCTATGGTAAGACATCGAATATCCCCAGATAATAACTACAAAGAAGCTATCTCTGAAAATTATTTCTGATGTCAGGATTCATCTCACAGAGTTAAACCTTTATTTTGATTCACCAGGTTGGAAACACTCGTTTTGTGAAAACTGCAAAGGGACATTTCAGTGCCCACAGAGGTCTATGCTTAAAAAAAAAAAAAAAAACCAATATCCCTAGATAAAAACTAGAATTAAGCTATCTGTGAAACTGCTCCGTAATGTGTGGATTCATCTCACAGAATTAAACCTTTCTTTTGATTCAGCAGGATGGAAACACTCTTTTGGTACAATCTGCAAAGAAAAATTTGGGAACCCTTTGAGGCCTGTGGTGAAAAAAAATCCCAGATAAAAACTAGAAATAAGGTGTTTGTGAAACTGCTGTGTGATATGTGGATTCATCTCACAGGGTTAAACCTTTGTTTTGACTCAGGAGTTGTGAAACACTTTTTGGTAGAATCTGCGAAGGGATATTTTGAAGCCCATTGAGGTCTATGGTGAAATACAAATTATCCCCAGATTAAAAAAAAAAAGAAGAAGCTATCTGTGAAACTGATTTGTGATGTGTGGATTCATCTCACAGTGGTAAACCTTTCTTTTGATTCAGCATGTTGGAGACACTTCTTTGCTAGAATCTGAGAAGGGACATTTTTGAGCCCCCTGTAATATGGTGAAAAATGGAATATAGCAAAATAAAAACTAGAAAGAAGCTGTCTGTGAAACTTCTTTATGATGTGTGGATTCATCCCCCAAGGGTTATCTTTTCTGTTGATTTAGCAGGATGCCAACACTCCTTTTGTAAAATCTGCAAAGGAACATTTGGGGGTCCATTGTGGCTTATGTTGCAAAACCAAATATCCCAAGATAAAAACTAGAAAGAAGCTATCTGTGAAACTACTTTGTGATGTGTGAATTCATCACATAGAGTTGAAACTTTCTTATGATAGAGCAGTTTGTGAACACTTTAGGTAGATAGAATCTGTGAAAAGACATTTGATAGCCAATAGAGGCCTACACTGAAAAACAGAATATGCCCAGATAAAAACTAGAAAGATGATATCTGTGAAAATTATTTGTGATGTGTGGATTTATCTTACAAAGTTAAACCTTTCTTTTGATTCAGCAGGTATGAAACGCTATTTTGGTAGAATCTGCCGAGGGACTCTTGGGAGACAATTGAGGCTTATTGTGAAAATCAGTATGTTCCCAGATGAAAACTACAAAGAAGGCATCTGTGAAACTGAGTTGTGATGTTTGGATTCATCTCACAGATGAATCCAATCCTTTGATTCAGCAGGTTGGAAACAAACACTCTTTGGATAGAATCTGTGAAAGGACATTTGGGATCCTATTGAGGCCTATGGTAAATAACCTAATATCCCCAGATAAAAACTAGAAAGAAACTATCAGTGAATCTTCTTTGTGATGCATGGATTCATTTCACAGAGTTAAAACTTTCTTTTGATTCAGCAGGCTGGAAACACCTTTTTCTAGAATCTGCGAAGGGGTATTTGTGAGACATTTTAGGCGTATAATGAAAAACTGAAAATCCACAGAAAAAACCATAAGGAAGCTCTTTGTGAAACTGTTTGGGATGTGTTTATTCATCTAACATAGTTCAACCTTTCTGTCAATATAGCGTGTTTGAAAAATGTTTTAGATAGCATCTATGAAGGGATATTTAAGAGCCCATAGAGGCCTATGGTGGAAAACAGAATATCCCCAGATAAAAAGTAGAAAAAAGCTAAGCATATAACTCCCTTCTGTTGTATGGATTCATCTCACAAAATTAAACCTTTGTTATGACACAGCATGTATGAAACACTCTTTAGTTAGTATCGGTGAAGGGACATTTACAAGCCCATAAGGGTCTATAGTTAAAAACTCAGTAACTCCAGATTAAAAACTAGAAAGAAGCTATCTGTTTAACTTACTTGTAATGTCAGGATTTTTCTTAAAGAGATAAACATTTATATTGAATCAACAAGTTGGAATCACTCTTTTTGTAGAATCTGCCAACAGACATTATGATCCCTTAGAGGCCTATTGTGAAAAACTGAATATACCTTGATAAAAACTAGAAAGAAGCTATCTTTGAAACTGTATTGTAAAGTGTGGATTCATCTCACCTGGTTAAACATTTCCCTGAATTCATCAGGTTGGAAACGCATTTTTGTAGACTCTGTGATGAGACATTGTGGAGCCCATTGAGTCCTATGGTGAACAACCCAATATTTCCAGATAAAAACCTGAAGGAAACTATCTGTGAAACTGCTTTGTGATGTGCAATTCATCTAACAGATTTCAACTTTTTTTTTATTCAGTAGGTTGGAGACACTCATTTGTAGAATCAGCAACAGGATATTTCAGAACCCATTGAGGCCTATGGATGAAAACCAAATATCCCAAGATCAAAACTAAAAAGGAGCTGTCAGTGAAACTGCTTTGGATGTTTTGATTTAGCTCACAGAATCAAAACTTTGTTTTGATTCATCAGGCTGTAAACAGTCTTTTGGTAGAATCTGCATAGGAACTTATCACATCCCATTGAAGCCTAAGCAGAAATAATGGATATCCCCAGATAAAAACTAGAAAGAAGTGATTTCTGAAACTGCATTGTGATTTGTGCATTTATCTCACAGGATTAAATCTTTCTATTCATTCAGCAGGATGGAAACACTTGTTGTAGAATCTGCAAAGGGACATTTGGGAGCCCTTTTAGGCCTATGGTGAAAAACCGAATATCCCCAGATAAAAACTATAAAGAAGTGATCAGTGAAACTGCTTTTTTGCTGTGTGTATTTATCTTACAGACTTAAACCTTTCCTTTCATTCCACAGGTTTGAAACACTCATTTTGCAGAATCTGTGAAGGGACATTCCGGAGCCCCTAGAGGCCTATTGTGAAAAAGAAAATATTCCCAGATGAAAACTAGAAAGAAGCTATCTGTGAAGTGCTCTGTGATGTGTGGAGTCATTGCACAGAGTTAAACCCTTCTATTGATACAGCAAGATGGAAACAATCTTTAGATAGAATCTGCAAAGGAACATTTATAAGCCCTTAGAGGACTATGGTGAAAAACAGGATATCCCCCCATAAAAACTATCAAGAAGCTATCTGTGAAACTGCTTTGTTAAGTGTGGAATCAGCTCAAAGGCTTAAAACTTTCTTTTGAATCTGCAAGTTGCAAACATTCTTTTGCTGGAATCTGTGAAGGAACATTTGCAAGCCCATTGTAGCACACTGTGAAAAATGGCATATTCAAAGATAAAAACTAGAAAGAAGATTTTAGTGAAACTACTTTGTGATGTGCAGATTCTACTCACAGAGTTTAACTTTTCTATTGATTCAGCAGGTTGGAAACACTCTTTTAGTAGAATCAGGAAAGGGATATGTGGGAGCTCTTTGAGACCTAAGGTGAAAAATTGAATATTCCCAGATAAAAATAGAAAGATGTTATTTGTGAAACTGCTATATGATGTGTGGATTCATATCACAGAGTTAAACCTTGTGTGGGCTGGTAGAGTCTCCTATTAGAATATCTGGGGTTGCCCTGTTGTCTTTATCATTAGACTGCTTGGGGTCAGCCAGGAGTCTCTCCCACTAGAATGCATAGGGTTGCCAAGGTATCTCTATCATTACACTTCCTGGGGTCAGACAGGAGTTTCTTCCTTTAGAATCCCTGCAAACCCCCACTTTTCTCATCGTTAGACTTCCAGGGGTTGGCTGAGAGTCTCTCCCACTAGGATGCCTAAAGTCAACCAGGTATACCAACCTTAGACTGCCTAGGGTCAGCCAGGAGACTCTTCCACTAGAATGCATGGGTTTGCTAAGGTGTCTCCATCATTACATTGCCTGGTGTTGGCAAGAAGTCTCTCCCATTAAAATACCAAAGGCCAGCCAAGAGTCTCTCCCATTAGAATGCCTAGAGTCACCCAGTTGTCTCTATCAGTAGAATGCCTGAGTTCAGCTGTGAATCTCTTTCATTAAAATGCCTGAGATCGTCCAGCTGTCTCTAACATTACGCTGCTTATAGTCGGCTGGGAGTCTCTCCCTTTAGAATACCTGGGGTCAGCCAGGTGTCTGTATCATTAGACTGCCTGGGGTTGGTGAGAATCTCTCCCATTAAAGTGCCTGAGATCACCCAAGTGTCTTTATCATTACACTCTCTGCAGTTGGCCAGCAGTCTCTCCCATAAGAATGCCACAGGCCACCCACGTGATTCTAACATTAGACTATCTGGGGTCGGCCAGGAGTCTCTCCCATTGGAATGCATGTGGTCACCCAGGTGTCTCTATCATTAGACTGCCTGAAGTCGGCCAAAGGACTTTTCCATTATAATGTCTGGGGTCACCCAAGTATCTCTCTAATTAAACTGCCTGTGGTCAGAAAGAAGTCTCTCCCATTAAAATCCCTGGGGTCACCCAGGTTTCTCTCTCCTTAGGCTGCCTAGGGTGGGACAGGAGTCTCTGCATTAGAATGCCTGGGGTTGGTGGGGAGCCTCTCCCATTAGAATGCCTACAGTCGCCCAGTTGTCTCTATCATTAGACTGCCTGGGGTCGCCTGAAACTCTCTCCCATTAGAAAGTCTGGGTGCGGGCCGGGCGCGGTGGCTCACGCCTGTAATCCCAGCACTTTGGGAGGCCGAGGTGGGCGGATCACGAGGTCAGGAGATCGAGACCATCCCAGCTAACACGGTGAAACCCCGTCTCTACTAAAAATACAAAAAATTAGCCGGGCGTAGTGGCGGGCGCCTGTAGTCCCAGCTACTTGGGAGGCTGAGGCGGGAGAATGGCGTGAACCCGGGAGGCGGAGCTTGCAGTGAGCCGAGATCCCGCCACTGCACTCCAGCCTGGGCGACAGAGCGAGACTCCGTCTCAAAAAAAAAAAAAAAAAAAAAAAAAAAAAAAAAAGAAAGTCTGGGTGCGTGCAGGTGTCTTTATTGTAAGACTGCCTGGGGTTGACCAGGAGTCTCTCCTATTAGAATGCCTGGGATTGTTCAGATGTCTCTATCATTAGAATGCCTGGGGCCAGCAAGCAGTCTTTCCTGTTAGAATGCCTGTGGTGGCCCAACTGTCTCTATTATTAGACTGACTGAGGTCAGCCAGGAGTCTCTCCAAAAAGAATGCCTGGGGTCATCAGGGAGTCTTCCTCATTAGAATGACTTTGGTCTCACATATTTCTCTACCATCAGACTCCCTAAGAGTGGCTGGGAATCTCTTTCATCAGAATGCCTGGGACACCCAGGTGTCTTTATAGTTAGACTGCATAGGGTAAGCAAAAACTCTCTCCCATTAGAATGCCTGGTTTCTTCTGAGAGTCTCTCCCATTAGAATGACTGTGGTGACCCAGGTTTCTCTATAATTAAACTGCCTGGGGTCGGCCAGGAGTCTTTCCCATTACAATGCCTGGGGTCTCCAAGGTGTCTTTATTATTTGACTGACTGTGCTAGGCTGGGAGTCTCTCCCATATGAATGCCTGTGGTGGCCAAGTTGTCTCTATAGTTAGACCACCTAAGGTCAAACAAAAGTCTCTCATTAGCATGCCAGGAGTCACAGAGGTGTCTATCATTAGACTGCCTGGGGTTGGCTGGGAGTTTTTCTCATTAGAATGCTGAAGGTCGCCCAGGTGTTTCTGTCATTAGGCTACCTGGGGTTGGCCAGGATTTTCTCTCATTGGAATGCCTGGAGGGTCGCCCAGGTGTCTCTATCATTAAACTGCATAGGGTCAGCAAGGAGTCTTTCCCATTAGAATGCCTGGGGTCAGCCAAGTGTTTTCATTCTTAGACTGCCTGGTGTTGGCTAAAAGGCTATCCCATTAGAATGCCTGGGGTCCCCCGGGAGTCCCTCCCATCAGAATGCCTGGAGCCACCCAGGTGTGTCTGTCATTAAACTGCCTGGGTTTGGCCCGGTGTCTCTCACATTAGAATGCTTGGGTTTGCACAGGTGTCTCGATATTTAGACTGCCTGGGCTCAGCCAGGAGTCTCTCCAATTAGAATATCTGGGTTTGTCCAGAGTCTATCCCATTAGAATGACTGGGATCTCCCAGGTCTCTATAATTAGACTTCCTGAGTCAGCCAGGAGTTTCTCCCATTAGAATGCCTAGAATTGACGAGGTGTCTCTAACATTAGACTGCCTGGGGTTGGCTGGGTGTCTCTCCCATTAGAATTCTTGAGGTTGGCTGGATGTTACTATTTTTAGAATGCCTGAGGTCGCCCAGGTGACTCTATTATTAAAATCCCCAGGTTCGGATGGAAGTCTCTCCCATTAGCATGCCCAGGGTCACTCAGGTGTCTCTACCATGAGACTTCTTGGGGTTGGCTGGGAGTGCCTCCCATTATAATGCCTGGGGTCGCCCAGGTGTCTCTATAATTAGAGTGCCTGGAGTCAGCCAGGAGTCTCTCCCATTAAAATGCCTTGGGTTGCCCAGGTGTCTCTATTATTAGACTGCCAGGGGTCCGACAGGAGTTACTCCTGTAAGTTTGCCTGTGATCGCTTGGGTATCTCTATAATTAGACTGCCTGAGAACAGCCAGGAGTCTCTCTCTCCAATTAAATTGCCTGGAGTCAAGTGGGAGTCCTTCCCATTAGAATGCCTGTGGTTGCCCAGGTGTCTCTGTCATTAGACAGCCTGTAGTCAGCCGAGAGTCTCTCCCATCAGAATGCCTAAGTTCACCTAGGTGTCTTTATTATTACACTGCATTGGGTCAGCCAAGAGTCTCTCCTACTAGAAAGCCTGGAATCTGCCAAGAGTCTGTCCCATTAGAATGCCTGGGTTGGTAAAGGTGTCTCTATTATATAATGTCTGGGATTGGCCGGGAGTCTCTCTTATTACAATGTCTGGGGTCAACCAAGTATCTCTATAATTACACTACCTGGGGTCGACCAGGAGACTCTCCCATTAAAATGCCTGGGGTCACTTAATTTTCTCTATAATTTGATTGCCTGGGGTCAGCCAGGAGACTCTTCCAAGAAAATGCCAGAGGTTGGCTGGGAGTCTCTTTTATTAGAATGACTGGGGTCCACCAGGTGTCTCTATTATTATGCAACCTGGGGCTGGTCAGGAGCCTTTTTCATTAAAATACCTTGTAGGGGTGGGTTGCCCCTACACACCTGTGGGTGTTTCTCGTAAGGTGGGACGAGAGATTTGGAAAAGAAAAAGACACAGAGACAAAGTATAGAGAAAGAAATAAGGGGACCCGGGGAACCAGCGTTCAGCATATGGAGGATCCCGCCAGCCTCTGAGTTCCCTTAGTATTTATTCATCATTTGTGGGTGTTTCTCGAAGAGGGGGATGTGTCAGGGTCACAAGACAATTGTGGGGAGAGGGTCAGCAGACAAACACGTGAACAAAGGTCTTTGCATCATAGACAATGTAAAGGATTAAGTGCTGTGCTTTTAGATATGCATACACATAAACATCTCAATGCTTTACAAAGCAGTATTGCTGCCCGCAGGTCCCACCTCCAGCCCTAAGGCGGTTTTTCCCTATCTCAGTAGATGGAGCATACAATCGGATTTTATACCTAGACATTCCATTGCCCAGGGACAGGCAGGAGACAGATGCCTTCCTCTTGTCTCAACTGCAAGAGGCATTCCTTCCTCTTTTACTAATCCTCCTCAGCACAGACCCTTTACGGGTGTCGGGCTGGGGGACGGTCAGGTCTTTCCCTTCCCACGAGGCCATATTTCAGACTATCACATGGGGAGAAACCTTGGACAATACCTGGCTTTCCTAGGCAGAGGTCCCTGCGGCCTTCCCCAGTTTTTGTGTCCCTGGGTACTTGAGATTAGGGAGTGGTGATGACTCTTAAGGAGCATGCTGCCTTCAAGCATCTGTTTAACAAAGCACATCTTGCACCGCCCTTAATCCATTTAACTCTGAGTTGACACAGCACATGTTTCAGAGAGCACGGGGTTGGGGGTAAGGTCACAGATTAACAGAATCTCAAGGCAGAAGAATTTTTCTTAGTACATAACGCAGAAGAATTTTTCTTAGTACATAACAAAATGGAGTCTCCTATGTCTACTTCTTTCTACACAGACACAGTAACAATCTGATCTCTCTTGCTTTTCCCCACATTTCCCCCTTTTCTTTTCGACAAAACCGCCATCGTCATCATGGCCCGTTCTCGATGGTCGCTGTCTCTTCGGAGCTGTTGGGTACACCTGCAGACTAACAACAGACAAAACAGGCACACAAGGATTAATATGAGATTTATAATCGTAGTACTTCCAATGGTCTTAACCCAAGTGACAGGGTTAAGATTTGCGAGGCCATCAGCAACTCCTGCAATTGCCTCAGTTCCTGGCACCAAATTTAAATGGGCTTTTGATGCTTCGAAAATTTGTTCTTTTAATTTGGAAATGTCTAAAGTGAGATTATCTTCTCTTCCCTGTAGATGGCGTCTAACCATGTCCCAGTGATGCTCAGACTCATTATAAATTTGGGGTGTAATAGAAAAATCTGACGTATTCCAGTCACATTGTAACTGGAAACGATGTTCTAAGCTCATGAGCCTGTCTCCCATCCAAATGACAGTTTGTCTAAGATCATTAATTTGATTTGCCAATTTTTGATCAATACTAGATTGTGAATTCCACAATCTTGTAGAATTTTTTTGCCAATCATTAACAAAGTTTACTGACTGAACAGAAGAGTGCAATGCAACTCCTGCTACAGCAGCCGTAGCTGTGACTGCAATTAATCCCATAATCACTGCTATTAAAGTAAAAATGAATCTTTTGGATCTATTTAAAACACCTTTTAATACTTCAGTCAAAGTATGGATGGATGGTGAGGCCTCCCACGGTCGGTCCATGGACACAGGGATCCACACGCCCTCTCTTGCTCTCACCAGCAGAATACGGTGTTGCCAATTAAAAGTTGAATCAATGCAAGTAAGCAATCTACAATTTTCACAGGTTATAGTCTGGGAGTCTGGTTTAATAACTATATTTCCTACAACTAGCATATAAGGGGGCTTTATGCAACTTTGTAAAGGAACTGTTAGACTGGAATTTAGGTCGACAGTATAAAATGGCTTACGATCTCTTGTTTCTAAAGTTTGATTTCCAGACCAAATTCTAATGTGGTGTGAGGCCACAGTAAGCCTCCATAATTCTGGATGTTCAGGACCAGAAACAGGACTTATTATTTTTGGTCTTGGGGTAGAGATTCCTTTTTCTCCCCATTCCCAAGGGTAGAAAGACTGCAATTTTTTATGCTTATGTTTGTCTAAACTTTCTGTTAAGTCGCTATCAACAGCTGGACTCACTTGTGCACTTGGACACGACTGAGTTTGTCCTGAGCAATTGTGGTAGAATTGACCTCGAGGTGCCCAATCTATAATAGTTCCAAATTCATTGTTTTGTAATATCACCGCACTATTGGCCACACATTCTTCCCAAACTAAAACTTCTGTATTTTTTGATTCTTTGGGAATTTCCTTGGGGCAAGGTTTCCCTTTAGGTCTAAATTTAAATGATCTTTGATAAGAAAAGTCTTGTAAATAATTTACCCGTGGCCTGAGTGACATCCCGCTTACCATGTGATAAGTGAATCTACTGATGGGACTGACAGTAGGTACTTCTACCAACCAATTTTGGACTGCAGGCATTAAACATCCTGGTGCTCTCCCTAGGCAAATAGGAGGATAACGATACCCAATGGAAATATTTATCATCATCCCTTCTTCCTCAGGTTTGGCAGGGCAGTGATCATCTGTGGGGCCAGGTACCCATACACTATCATTAACATATACTTCTATAGGATTATCCATCCATGTGACTGCCCGAATTAAGGGCGGGAAAGGCACATAGGCCCAGTAGGTATAGTTAGCTGCAGCTGCTCCTGCAGGCATAGGGAGACTTACCACCATTGATACAATCATCAAGGCTGCAAGCAGCATACTCTCTGGGGTTTGTGTCACCTTTGTGTTCTCTAGATATTTTGTAGCTAACTGCGTCAGCTTCTTTAGTTGTGCCCAAGTCGGCGGCTCTGCTTTCTTGGTGGATGGCAACTTCATCTGTTCTTCTGACGTCACCATTTTGTTCATCTTGTGAGTCAACGGTGCTCGATTGCGGTGTCTCCGTCTCCGCGGAGGTGCTTTTCTTTGCATCTCCGATGGGTTCATTGTAGAACTTCAAATGTCTAGTGGGTATCCAAACAGGAAGCTGATTTTCTCCTGGTGAAACACAAGCAAAACCTCTCCCCCACGTTATCACCTTCCCTATTTCCCATGTCTTATTTTTATTATCTTTCCACCAAATTAGTTTTCCTTCATGTGGGCTGTTCTTTTTACCAGTAAGATGTTGTTCTGCAGAAGTAGTAGTCTGATTTCTATAAATGTTTAAAAAATTTAAAGTATAGAGTGCTAGATTAAGTTGCATCTGAGGAGTGGTACACTCCTTACTGTCTCCCCCTTCTTTTTGTTTAACTAATTGAGTTTTGAGTGTTCTATTTGTTCTTTCAACTATGGCCTGTCCTTGGGAATTATAAGGAATTCCTGTTGTATGTGAAATTTTCCACTGACTTAAGAATTTTTGGAAAGCTTTACTACAATATCCTGGTCCATTGTCAGTTTTGATTTTTTCTGGAACTCCCATTACAGCAAAACAAGACAATAAATGTTTTTTAACATGGGAAGTACTTTCTCCTGTTTGGCAAGTTGCCCATATGAAATGTGAATAAGTATCAACTGTTACATGAATATATGATAATCTTCCAAATGAAGATACATGCGTGACATCCATTTGCCATAATGCATTAGGACACAGACCTCTGGGATTAACTCCTGCCTCTTGAGTGGGCAGGTGTAAGACTTGACACTGGGTGCAATGTTGTACAATATCTTTTGCCTGTTTCCATGTGACATCAAATTTGTTTTTTAATCCTGCTACATTTACATGAGTCAAAGCATGAAGTTCTTGTGCTTTTATGAGTGCAGATGATACCAGTAAGTCAGCTTGTTCATTTGCTTTAGTCAAAGGCCCTGGTAAATTAGTGTGTGCTCGAATATGAGTAATATAAAATGGAAAATTTCTTTTTCTTTTTTTTTTTTTTTTTTTTTTTTTTGAGACGGAGTCTCGCTCTGTCGCCCAGGCTGGAGTGCAGTGGCGGGATCTCGGCTCACTGCAAGCTCCGCCTCCCGGGTTCACGCCATTCTCCTGCCTCAGCCTCCCGAGTAGCTGGGACTACAGGCGCCCGCCACTACGCCCGGCTAATTTTTTGTATTTTTAGTAGAGACGGGGTTTCACCGTTTTAGCCGGGATGGTCTCGATCTCCTGACCTCGTGATCCGCCCGCCTCGGCCTCCCAAAGTGCTGGGATTACAGGCGTGAGCCACCGCGCCCGGCCGGAAAATTTCTTTTTCTTACAGTTTGTTGTAATAAATTGAATAGCTGGTTTAACTGATCATCCATGCTATATTTAATTAGAGCTGTCTCAACATCCCTTGTAGCTTGTACTACATATGCAGAATCTGATATAATATTGATAGGTTGGTCAAAATCTTGCAACACTGTAATGACTGCAACCAATTCTGCTCTTTGAGCCGATTGATATTGAGTTTTGATTACTCGTTCTTTCGGCCCTGTGTAAGCTGCTTTTCCATTGCTGGAACCATCAGTAAATACTGTTAGAGCATTTTCTAAAGGTTCACGTCTGGTAATTTTAGGTAGAATCCAAGTAGTCATTTTTAAGAACTGGAAGATCTTTGTTTTTGGGTAATGATTATCAATAATTCCCACAAAATTAGCAAGACCAATCTGCCATGCACCAGAATTGATAAAGGCTTGTCTAACTTGTTCCTTGGTTAAAGGGACAACTATTTTGTCTGGGTCATTTCCACATAATTTTATTATTCGTAATCTTGTCTGACCAATTAATGTAGCCATTTGATCCAAGTACAATGTAAAAGTCTTAACTGTACTGTGAGGAAGGAATGACCACTCCACAAGATCAGTATTTTGAATAATGATGCCTGTTGGAGAATGTGCAGTGGCAAAAATCAAAAGTTGGAGTGTGGCTAAGGGATCTATTCTATTTATTTGCGCTGACTGAATTTTTTCTTCCACTAATTTAATTTCTTTTGTTGCCTCTGGGGTTAACATTCTTTTACTATTTAAGTCTGAGTCTCCTCTTAAGATAGAGAACAAATTTGACATGGCATAAGTAGGAATGCCTAGAGTTGGCCGAATCCAATTAATATCTCCCAGCAATTTTTGAAAATCATTTAGTGTTTTTAATGTGTCTTTTCTTATTTCTATTTTTGGTGGCTTAATTTTTCTATTTTCTATCTGCATCCCTAAATAATGAAAAGGAGTAGAGGTTTGGATCTTATCAGATGCTATTGCCAGTCCTGCGTTGGCAACCTCTGCTTGCAGAAATGTATAACAGTCAATTAATTTATCTTTCGTTTCTGCAGCACATAAAATATCATCAATATAATGAATGATATAACAGTCTGAAAACTTTTCTCTAACTGGTTGAAGAGCTCGACCTACAAAAGTCTGACAAATAGTTGGACTATTAAGCATTCCCTGAGGTAACACTTTCCACTGAAACCTGGTGGCTGGCTCTTTATTATTTATGGCTGGTATAGTAAAGGCAAATTTTTCACAATCCTGCTCTGCCAGAGGGATGGTAAAAAAGCAATCCTTTAGATCAATTATAATTAAAGGCCAATCTTTTGGGATCATGGCCAGAGAGGGCAACCCGGGTTGGAGAGGCCCCATGGGTTGAATTACGGCGTTTACGGCATTTACGGCCCTTAAGTCAGTTAACATACGCCATTTGCCTGATTTCTTCTGAATTACAAACACAGGAGAATTCCAAGGTGAGAATGAAGGCTCAATATGACCCTTTTCTAACTGTTCATTTGCTAATAAATGTAAAGCCTCCAGTTTTTGTTTTGGTAGCGGCCACTGATTTACCCACACTGGTTTTTCTGTTTTCCAAGTTAATGGTATGGGTTTAGGAGGCTCTACAGTGGCCACCCCTAAAAAGGATACCCTATTCCTTCTCTTTTTTGATTTATTTTAGCCTCAACTGGAATTTTAATGCCATCTTCATTTTTCCCTAGTCCCTTTCCTGGTATATATCCCATCTTGGTCATGATTTTTTGACTCGTGGGGCTATATAATGGAGCAGGCATGGTGATTTCCGCACCCCATTGTTGTAATAAATCTCGACCCCACAGATTAAGAGGAATTGAAGTAATCATTGGCTGAACAGTACTTTCTTGATTATCTGGCCCTAAGCAATGTAAAATCTCAGTACTTTGATACACTTCTGAGGCTGTGCCTATGCCGACAAGTCCTGTAACAGCCTTTTGTTTAGGCCAATTTTTTGGCCACTGATTTAAAGCAATGATAGAGACATCTGCTCCAGTGTCTACCAACCCTTCAAACTGTTTTCCTTGAATAATGGCCTTACACACAGGTCTGTTCTCTGAGACCTGACTTGCCCAATATGCAGCCTTTCCTGTTGGATCAGTGCTTCCAAGCCCTCCTATTCTTTTTATTTCACTATTTCCACCCTTTAATATATGGCAGGAGTAATAATTGAGCAATCCTGTCTCCTGGACTGGCACTCCAAGGAATTGAAGAGCTAATAACCAACTGAATTTCGCCTTTATAGCCTGAATCAACCACACCAGTATGAATTTGAACTCCTTTTAGATTTAGACTTGATCTTCCCAAGATTAGTCCTACAGTCCCCTCAGGCAGGGGGCCATATACCCCTGTGGGGATTTTTTGTGGGGGCTCCCCTGGAAGCAGAGAGACTGCTTGTATAGTACATAAATCTACTGCTGCACTGCCGCTTGTGGCGGGGGACAATTGTTGTATTGTGGTAACTGGCTTATTCCCTGAAACACTTGGGACAGTGGGGGTTGTTGTCCCTGAAAACCATGAGGAACAAATGGCTGAATTGGGAATGCCCCAGTTTGTTGTGGGGCCTGAGGCTGGCCCCTTTGCTCGTTTCCCGACAATGGTTGCCCATTTTTATCAAATTTAGAACGACATTGACTAGCCCAATGTTTTCCTTTTTTACATCTTGGACATAAGTCAGGTGGCTCTCTACCTGTTGTAGTTGCTTGAATAGTTATATTCTGTTTGTTTAAGACTGGGCAATTCTTTTTTAAGTGACCAATTTGACCACAATTGTAACATTTTCCTCCAAATGTTCTGACTTGTCCTCCTAAAACAACTCCTGTTATTGCTTGAGCCATAAGCATAGCTTTATGCATAGCTCCTCCCATTCCATCACAGGCTTTTACATATTCTGAGATTACATCTGATCCTGCAGGAACCTTTCCTTTTAATGGCTTAATGGCTGATTGACACTCAGGATTGGGGTTTTCATATGCCATCAACTCCACTATGACCTTACGGGCTTTTTCAATGGCAATTGACTTTTGAGCAACATCTTGGAGCCTTGCCACAAAATCAGGATAGGGCTCTTTTGAACCTTGTCTTACTGTATTAAATGAGGGGCAGGTACTTCCTGGGTCTTGGATTTTTTCCCAGGCTCTAAGGCAGATAGCTCTAACTTGCTCAATGGCCTCATTTTGCATTAATGCTTGTTGACTAATAGTACTCCAATTTTGACCTATTCCTAATAGTTGATCTGCATCTATGTTAACTGGAGGATTGGCAGCCCTATTTCTTCGGACCTGTTCTTGTACCCCATCAATCCACCAAGTCTTAAATTGTAAAAATTGAGAGGGTGAGAGAGACGATTTTGCCAGAATCTCCCAATCATAAGGAATGAGTCTATGTCCATGAGCAATGGAATCTAATAATGTCCTCATATAAGGGGAGTTGGGTCCATACTGTTTTACTCCCTCTTTCATATCTTTTAGCATTTTTATCGAAAAAGACTTGTATCTGGCCTCAACTGTGGGAGGCTCTCCCTCTTGGGCTCCTTCTCCAGGTGGCATCGGTTCTAACGTTACTGGGAATTGCCATGCCTCAGTATCTCCTTCCTTTCTTGATTTATCAATAATTTCATGTAATTCACTACCCCGTCTACTAGGTGGTGCCGTAGGATTAAGTCTCCTAGTGGGCGGCTGAGGGTATGGCGCCCTGCCCTGTGGTGCTGGGGGCATTCCTGGATATCCATACTGACTTTCTAGGGGTGGCCGATACTGAAGTTCAGCCGGCGGCCAGTATTGATAGGCTACTGGCGGTTGGGTCTTATTTTCTTTAACCTGCGTTTGAGGTTGTAATGTTACGGGCACCTGACCTGCTGGAAGACGACTTGTGCCTCGTGGTTTAGACTCTGATGGCCCCACTAATTCTGGAACTTTTCCTTCTAATTTTAACGTTTCAGGATATATCACCTCCTGTAATTGATTATAGTCAACATTTTGCGTTGACTGAGCCATTACCGGCTCTGCTACATATTCGCAATGTAAACTTTCCGTTTCTTTCTGGGATTTTTTCCTTGTGTTTTCATTACAATCTATTATACAGCTTCCAGGGGCATCAGAAACTGAAACGCTATCTTCTTCTGTTTGAAATGGTTCTAAAGCTGCTTTAATAATGGCCCAATCATTCCATACTGTAAGTGGAATGATATTACCCTTCCTACCTGCTTGTTTTAGTTCCTTACCAATTCTTTTCCAATCTTTTAGATCTAAAGTTCCTTGTTCTGGAAACCATGGGCAAAATTGTTCTATTATTTGAAATAGCTTGATTAGATTTTTTGTAGATACTTTAACTCCCCCTCTTTTTAGAAGAATTTTAATAAAGCTGAGATAAGAGGCATATTTACTTTTAATTTTACTTTTAGTTTGCCCCATTATCACCCTAGCTTCTTCTGAGCGCACAAGCTTACTGTAAGGCTGACTGTAGACGTACTCAGGATCTCTCGTCGACTTGTCCTCAATGACCACGCTCGAGCGTACCTTCACCCTAGAGAAAAGCCTCCACGTTGGGCACCAGATGTAGGGGTGGGTTGCCCCTACAATACCTGATTTTGTCCGAAAATCTATTCCATTAGAATGACTAGGGTCACCCAGGTGTTTCTATAATTAGACTGTCTGGGTCTGCCAGTAGTTTCTCCCATTAAAATGCCTAGGGTCGCCCAGGTGTTTCTATAATTAGACTGTCTGGGTCCACCAGTAGTTTCTCCCATTATAATGCCTAGGGTCAACAAGGTGTCTCTATAATTAGACTTCCTGGGGTCAGCCAGGAGTCTCCCATAAAAATGCCTAGGGTTGCCCAGGTGTTTCTATCATTAGACTGCCTGGCATCAGCCAGAAGTCTCTCCAATTAAAATGCTTGGGTCACTCAGGTGTATCTATCACTAGACTGCCTGGGGTCAGGTGGGAGTTTCTCCCGTTGGAATGCTCGGGGATGAAAAGGTGTCTCTATCATTAGACTGCCTGAGGTCAACCAGGAGTCTCTCCCATTCAAATGCCTGCATTTGCCCAGGAGTCCCTATTCTTAGACTGCCTGGGGTTGGCCAGGAGACTCTCCAATTAGAATACCTGGATTCCTCTGGGAGTCTTTCCTATTAGAATGACTGTGGTGGCTCAGGTGTCTCTATAATTACACTACCTTGGGTTGGCCAGGAGTCTCTCCATTAAAATGCCTGGGGTCGACCATGTGTCTCTATCATTAGACTACCTGAGGTCAGCCAGAAGTCTCTCCCATTGGATTGCCTGGGGTCGGATAAGAGTCTCATTTTTTAAGAATTTCTGGGGTCACCAAGTTGCCTCTATCATTAAAATGCCTGGGGTCTACTGGGAGTTTCTCCCATTAGAATGTCAGTGGTCGCAAAGGGGTCTCTGAAATTAGACTGTCTGCAGTTGGTCAAGAGTCTCTCCCATTAGAATGACAGTGGTCTTCAGGTGTCTCTATAATTAGAATGCCTGGAGTCAGCCAGGATTCTCTGTCAGTACAATGCCTGGGATCTCTCAGGTGTCTCTATAAATAGACCACCTGGGTTCGGACAAAAGTCTCTCCCATTAGAATGCCAAGGGTCTCCAAGGTGTCTCTATTATTAGACTTCCAGGGGTGGGCTGGGAGCCTCTTCCATTAGAATTCTGGGGATCACCTAGGTGTTTCTGTCATTAGACTACCTGGGGTCAGCCAAGAGTCTCTCCCATTGAAATGGCTGGGGTCGCCCAGGTATATTTATCACTAGACTGCCTGGGGTTGGCCAGGAGCCTCTACCATGGAAATGCCTGGGAGTCTTTCCCATTGAAATGCCTGGGTTGGCCTAATTGTCTTTATCATTAGGCTTCCTCACTTCGGACAGATGACTCTCCAATTAGCATGGCTGCAGTCGCCCAGGAGTCTCTCCCATTAGAATGCCTGGGGTCAGCTGAAAGTCTCTTCCATTAGAATGTCTGGACTCTCCTAGGTGTCTCTACCTTTAAAATGCTTGGGTTTAGACAAAAGTCTCTCCCATTAAAATGCCATGGCTCTTGAAGCTGTCTCTATCATTAGAAAGTATTGGGTCAGACAGCAGACTCTCCGATTAGAAATCCTAGTGTCACTCAGATGTCTCTATAATGAGACTGCCCTGGGTTGGCCAGGAGACTCTACCATTATAATACGTGGGGTGGCCCAAGTGTCCCTATAATTAGACTGCCTGTGGTCAACAAGTTGTCTCTCACATTAGAATGCCTGGTCTCGCCCAGGTGTCTTCATTCTTAGACTGTCTTGGGTCAGCCAGGCGCCTCTCCCACTAGAATGCCTGGGGTCTGCCCAAAGTCTCTCCCATTAGAATGCCTGGGGTCTGCCCAAAGTCTCTCCCATTAGAATGCCTGGAGTCACCCAGGTGTCTCTATCATTAGACTGGATGGGGTTGGGCCAGAGTCTCTCCCGTTAGAATGTCTGGGGTCGCTGAGGTGTCTCTATAATTAGACTGCCTGGATAAGGTCAAAGTCTCTCCCTTTAGAATATCTGTTGTCGCCCAGATGTCTCTATCCTTAGACTGCCTTGGATAGGCCAGAAGTCTCTTCTATTAGAATGCCTATGGTCATCGGGGATTCTCTTCCATTATAATGACTGGGGTCGTCTAGGTGTCTTTTTTATTAGACTGCCTGGGGTTGCCCAGGTGTCTCTAATAATGAAACTGCCTGGGGCCAAACAGGAGTCTCTCTAATCTGAATACCTGGAATCAACCAGGTGTCTCTATCATTAGACTGCATTGTGTCAGCTGGGAGTCTCTCCCTTTAGAATGCTGGAGGTCACCCAGGTGTTTCTGTAATTAGACTACCTAATCTGCCCAATGGAATGTCTGATGTTTCCCATGTGTCTCTATCATTAGACTGCCTTGGGTCGGCCAGGAGCTTCTCTTATTAGAATGTCTGGGGTCACCCAGGTGTCTCTATAATTAGAATGCTTGGGGTCAGCAAGGCCCTGTTGAATATCTGGGGTGGGTCAGTTGTCTCCATCCTTAGACTTCCTGGGGTTAGCCTGGAGTCTTTCATTAGAATGCTCGGGGTCAGCCTAGATTATCTCCTATTAGAATGCCTGGAGTTGCCCAGGTTTCTCTATCATTAGACTGCCTGGGGTTGGCCGAGAGTCTCTCTCATTAGAATGCCTGGGGCCTACTGAGAATCTCTCCCTTTAGAATGCCCAAGGTCACCTAAATGTCTGTATCACTAGGCTGTCTGGGGTCTGCCAATTGTCTCTCCAATTAGAATGTCTGTGGTCGACCATGTGTCTCTATCATTAGACTGACTGGTGTTGGCCAAGAGTCTCCCATTAGAATACCTTCAGTTGGCCGTGAGTCTCTTCCATTAGAATGCCTTGGGTAGTCCAGAGTCTTTCGTATTAAAATGCTTGGGGTTTCCTTCTTGTCTCTATCATTAGACTCTCTCGGATTGGACAGGAAACTCTCCCATTAGAAAGTCTGTGGGCTCCCAGGTGTCTCTATCATTCGATGTCCTGGGAATGTCCAAGAGTCTCTCCCATTAGAATGCCCGAAGTTGGCCGGAAGTCTCTCCCGTTAGAATGCCTGCAGTCACCCAGGTGTCTCTATCAATCATTAGAATGCTTGGGGTTGGCTGGGAGTCTCTCCCATTAAAATGCCTTGGGTGGTTCAGGTGTCTCTATCATTAAAATGAATGGGGTCGGCTGGCAGTGTCTCCCATTAGAACACCTGATGTCACCAAGGTGTCTCTATAAAGACTGGTTTTGCTCGGCCAGGTGTCCTTATTCTTAGACTGCCTGTGGTCAGCCAGAAGTCTCTTTCATTAGAATGCGTGGGGTCAACCAAAAATCTCTCCATTATAAAGACTGTGGATGCCCAATTCTCTCTATAATTAGACTGCCTGGGGTCAACCAGGAGTCTCTCCTATTAAAACGCCTGTGGCAAACCAGGTGTCTTCATCATTAGACTGCCTGGTGTCAGCGAGGAGTCTCTGCCATTAGAATGCTTGTGGTCAGTTGAGAGTCTTTTCTGTTAGAATCCCTGGGCTCTCCAATGTGTCTCTGTTATTAGAAAGCCTGGGGCCATCCGGGAGTCTCTCCAATTAGAATGCCTGGAGTTGCCCAGGTGTCTCTATTATTAGACTGCCAGAAGTCAGCCAGAAATCTCTCCCATTAGAATGCTTGGGGTCGCCCAGTAGGCTTTATTTTTAGAATGCCCATGGTGGGGCAAGAGCCCCTTCCATGAAAATGGCTGGTGTCTCCCAGGTGTCTCCATCATTAGAGTGCCTGCGGTCGGCTGAAATTCTCTCCCGTTAGAATCCCTGAGATCACTCAGGTGTCTTTATCGTTAGACTGCCTGCGGTTGGCCGGGAGTGTTTTCCAGTAGAATGTCTGGTGTCAACCAGGAGTCTTACTCTTTAGATTGCCTGAGGTCGGCCAGGAGTTTCTTCATTAGAATTCCTGGGGTCGGCTGAAAGTCTCTCTTATTAGAATGACTGGGGTTGTCCAGGTGTCTGTATCATTATAGTGTCGTGGGTCACCCAGAGTGTGTCCTATTAGAATGCCTGGGGTCACCTAGGTGTCTTTATAATTAGACTGCTTGGGCTCAGTCAGTGATCTCTCCCATTAGAATGCCTGGTGTGGCACAGGTTTCTCTATTATTAGACTGCATGCAGTCTGCTGGGAGCCTCTCCCATTAGAATGCCTGGAGTCATCCAGGGCTCTCTAGCATTAGACTTGCTGCGGTCGGCCGGAAGTCTCCACATTAGAATGCTTGGGGTCGGAGGGAGTATCTCCCATTAGAATAATTGGTGTCGTCCAGGTGTCTCTAATATTAGAATGCCTGGAGTAGGCCAGGAGTCTTTCACTTTAGAATGCCTAATGTCGTGAAGTTTCTCTATAATTAGACTGGGGTCAGCCAGGAGTCTCTCCCAAAGGAATACCTGGTGTCTGCTGAAAATTTCTCCCATTAAAATGCCATCAAAATGCTTGTGGTCAGTTGGAAGTTTTTTCTATTAGAATGCCTGTCATCTCCAAGGTGTCTCTATTATTAGAAAGCCAGGGGCTAGCTGGGAGTCTCTTCAATTAGAATGCCTGGAGTCATCCATTTGTCTCTATCATTAGAATTCCTGAAGTCATCCAGGAGTCTCTCCCATTACAATGACATGGGTCGGCCAAATGTTTCCATCATTAGAATGCCTGCCATTGGCCTTGAGTCTCTCCCATTAGAATGCCTGGGATCACCCAGATGTCTCTATCATTAGACTGCCTTGGATCAGCCAGGAGTCTCTCCCATTATAATGCCTGGGTTTACTTAAATGTCTCTATAATTAGGCTGCCAGGCTCTTCCATGAGTCTCTCCCATTAAAATGTCTGGAGTCGCCCAGGTGTCTCCATCTCTAGGCTGCCTGGAATTGGCCAGGAGTCTCTCCCAGTAGAATACCTGGGGTTGTCCAGGTTTCTCTATCACTAGTCTGCCTGGGTTCGACTGGGAGTCTCTTCCATTAGAATGCCTGGGGTTGCTCAGGTAGCTCTTTCATTAGACTGCTTGAGGTCATCCAGAAGTCTCTCCCATTAAAATTCCTAAAATCGCCCAGGTGTCTCCATAATTAGACTGCCAGGGATTGGTTAGGAGTCTCTCCCATTAGAATGCCTGTGGTCGCCCAGGTGTCTGTATACTTTGACTGCCTGCTGTTGTCCAGGAGTCTCTCATTAGAATGCTTGAGGTCGTCCCCGAGTTCCTCCCATTAGAATGCCTGGGGTCACCCAGGTGCCTCTACCATTAGACCACCTGGGTTCCATCGGATATCTCTCCCATTACAACTCCTGAAGTTGCCCAAGTGTCTTTATTATTATACTGCCAGGGTTTGGCCAGAAGTCTCCTTCATTAGAATGCCTGGGGATGCCCAGGAGCCTCTAACCTTAAATTGCCAGGGGTTGGCCTAAATCCCTCCCAAGAGAATGCTTGGGGTCGGCCAAAAACCTCTTCAATTAGAATGCTGTTTGTTGCCCAGGTGGCCCATCATTAGAAAGCCTGTGTTCAGCTGAGAGTCTCGCCCATTAGAATGCCTGGGGTAATTTAGATGTCTGTATAATTAGACTGCCTGGAGTCAGCCAGGAATAATACCTGCATTTGACTGGGAGTCTTTCCCATTAGAATGCCTATGGTTGCTCATGTTTCTCTATCATTAGAATGTCTGGGTTCGGCCAGGAGACTCTCCCATTAGAATGTCTGTAGCCACCCAGGTGTCTCTATCATTTAACTGCCTGGCATCAACTGGGAGTCTCTACATTAGAATGCCTTGGGTCGACCAGGTGTCTCTATTGTTTGACTGCCTGGTGTCAGCCAAAAGCCTCTCCATTAGAATGCATGGGTCTGGCCAAGAATCCCTACCATTAGAATTACTGGGATTGTCCGGGTGTCTGTATCATTAGACTGTCTGGGGTCGGCTGGGAATCTCTCCCATTAAAATGCCTAGGGTAGCCCAGGTGTCTCTATCATTGGAATGTCTGGGGCTGGCCGGGTGTATTTCCCATTAGAATGACTGGGATTCTCCAGGTGTCTCTATCATTAGACTGCCTGAGGTCGGCCGGGAGTCTCTCCAATTAGAATGACTGGAGTCGCCCAGGGGTCTCTATCACTGGGCTGCCTGGGGTCGGCCAGGAGTTTCTCCCATTAGAATGCTTTGGGCTGACTGGGAGTCTCTCCCATTAGAACATGTAGGGTTGCCCAGGTGCCTCTAACATTAGACTGCCTGGAGTCGGCTAGGAATCTCTCTCATTAGAATACCTGGGGTCGCCTAGGTGTCTCTTTAATTATTCTACCAGGAATCCACCAGGAGTCTCTCGCATGAGAATCCCTGTTGTTGCCCATTTGCCTCCATCATTGGACAGCCTGGGGTCAGCTGAGAGTCTCTCTCATTAAAATGCCTGGGGTTGCCTAGGTGTCTCTAACATTAGACTGCCTGTGTTCATCCAAAACTTCTCCCGTTAGAATGCCTGAAGATGCCAATGTGTGTCTATAATTACAATACCTTGGGTCTGCCAGGAGCTTCTCCCATTAGAATGCCAGAGGTCGCCCAGGTGTCTATTCTTAGACAGCCTGCATTCAGCCAGGAGTCTCTCATTAGAATGCCTGGTGTTGGCAGAAATTATCTTTCATTAGAATGCCTGGGGTCACCCAGGTGTCTCTATTATTAGGCTGTCTGAGTTTGGCAGTGAGTCTCTTTCATTACAATGCCTGAGGTCGCCCAGGTGTCTCTATCATTAGACTGCTTAGGGTTGGCCAGGAATCTCTCCCATTCGAATTCCTAGTGTTGCCCAGGTGTCTGTAATTAGACTTCCTGGGTTCAACCAGGAGACTCTCCCATTACAATGCCTGGGGTTGCTCAGGTGTGTCTATCATTAGACTGCTTAGGGTTGGCTAGCAATTCTCTCCCATTCGAATTCCTAGTGTTGCCTAGATGTCTCTATAATTAGACTCCCTGGGTTCAACCAGGTGTCTCTCCCATTAGAATGCCTAGGGTCGCTCAGGTGTCTCTATCTTTAAACTGCCTAGGGTCAGCCAGGAGTCTCCCATTAGAATACCTGGGGTCGCCAAGGTGTCTCTATTATTAGAATGACTGGAGTCAGTGGGGACTTTCACCTCCATTAGAATGCCTAAGGTCATCTAGATGTCTCTATAATTAGACTTTCTGTGGTCAGCCAAACCTCTCTTCCAAAAGAATGCCTGCATTCTTCCAGAAGTCTCTCCCATTAGAATGCCTGAAGCTGCTCATGTCTGTCTGTAAGTAGACTGCCTGGGTCAGTCAGGAGTCTCTCCCATTAGAATGCCTGAGGACCCCAAGCTGTCACTATCATGAGACTGCATGGTGTAGCCCAGGTGTCTTTATCATTAAACTTCCTGGGGCCAGCCAGGAGTCTATTTCATTAGAATGCCTGCAGTAGCCCAGGTGTCTCTATTGTGAGACTTCCTAGGGTAGGAAGGGAGTCTCTCCCATTAAAATGCCTGGCGTCTCCCAGGTGTCTCTACAATTAGTCTGCCTGGGGTCAGCCAGTATCCTCTACCATTAGAATGCCTGGTGTCTCCCAGGTGTCTCTATAATTATATTGTCTGAGTAAGCTAAGATTCTCTCCCATTTAAATTCATGGGGTCACCCAGGTTTAATTATTCTTAGACTGCCCAGTGTCAGCCAAGAGTCTCTGGTATTAGGATGACTGATGTCGCCCTGGTGTCTCTATAATTACCTGGGTTTGGCCAAGAGTCTCTCTCATTAAAATGCCTAAAATCGACCAGGTGTTTTTATCATTAGACTGCCTGCGGTCGGCCAGGGGTCTCTCCCATTAGAATGCCTGGCGTCGGCCAGGAGTCTTTTGGATTAGAATTACTGGGGTGGCCCAGGTGTCTTTATTATAATGCCTAGGGTCTTCTGGGAGTCTCTCCCATTAGAATGCATGCTGTCGCCCATGCGTCTCTATCATTAGACTCACTGGGGTCGGCTGGGAGTCTCTTTTATTAGAATGCTTGGAGTGGGCTGGAAGTCTTTCCCATTAGAATTCCTGTGGTTGGCAGGGAGTCTTTCCCATTAGAATTCCTGTGGTTGGCAGGGAGTCTTTCCCATTATAATTCCTGGGATCAACCAGTTGTCTTTATCATTAGAATGCCTGGGATAGGCCAGGAGTCTCTCCCAGTAGAACTCCTACTGTCACCCAGGTGTCTCTACCATTAGAATGCCTAGGGTCAGCCAGGAGTCTTTCCAATTAGAATTACTAAAATCGCCCAGGGGTCTTTATTATTAGACAGCCTGGGTTCGGCTGGGAGTCTCTCCCATTAGAATGACTGGCATTGCCCAAGTGTTTCTATCATTAGACTGTCTAGGTTTGGCCAGGAGTCATTCACATTAGAATACCTGTGGTCGCCCAGTTGTCTCTACAATTAGAATGCCTAGGTTCTTCCAGGAGTCTCTCCCATTTGAATGCCTTGGGTCACCCAAGTGTTTCTATCATTAGACTGCCTTAGTTCTGCCAGAAATCTCTTATTTTAGAATGCCTGTGGTCGACCTCGAGTCTCTCCCATTAGAATGACTTGGGTTGCCTAGGGGTCTCTATCATTGAACTGCCTAGCATCTCCTGTGTGCCTCTTCTATTAGAATGCCTGTGTCACCCTGTTGTTCCTATCTTTAGACTGCCTGGGGTCAGACGGGAATCTCTCCCATTAGAAAGCCAGGAGTTGCCCAGTTGTCTCTATCATTAGACTGCCTTGTGTTATCCAGGAGTCTCTCCTACTAAAATGCCTGGTGTCACCCAGGTGTCTTCATTATTAGACTACAGGGTGTTGGCCAAGAGTTGCTACCATTAGAATGCCTGGGGTGGGCCAGGAGTTTCTCCCATTTGAATGCCTGAGGTCGTTTAGCTGTCTCTGTTATTAGACTGCCTGGAATCGACGGGAATATCTTCTATCAGAATGCCTGGAGATGCCCAGGTGTCTCTCTTGTTAGACTGCCTGTGGTCAGCCAGGTGTCTCTCCCATGAGAATGCCAGGAATCGCCAAGTTGTCTCTATCATTAGACTGCTTGGAGTCAGCCAGGAGTCTCTCCCATTAGAATGCCTTGTGTCACCCAGGTGTCTATCTTTAGAATGCCTGAGGTCAGCCAGGAGTCTCTCCCATTAGAATGCCTGGGGTCACCCAGGTGTTTCCATCATTAGACTGCCTGTGGTTGGCTGTAAATCTCTATCATTAGAATGCCTGGGGTCACCCAGGTGGTTCTATTATACTGCTCTGGGTCCACCAGGAGTCTCTTCCATTATAATGCCTGGGCTTTTTCAGGTGTACCTATAATTAGGCTTCCTGGGCTTGACCAGAAGTCTCTCCATAGAATGCCTGGGGTCGCCCAGTTGTCTCTATCATTAGCCTGCCTGTATTCGGCTGGGAGCCTTTCTAATTAGAATGCCTGGGGTCGCCCAGGTTTCTCTATTATTAGAATGACTGTAATAACCCCGTGTGTCTATAATTAGACCCTCAGGGGTCGGCCAGGAGTCTCTCCCATTAGAATGCCTGTGGCCACTCAGGTGTCTTTATCCTAACATTGTCTGTGGTCAGCCACAAGTCTCCCATTAAAATGCCTGGGGTTCACCGGGAGTCTCTCCGATTAGAATGCCTGGGGTGGATATTGTGTCTCTATCATTAGACTGCCTGGGTTCAACTGGGTGGGTCTCTCTTTAATTTGCCTGAGGTCCTTAAAGTGTCTCTATCATTAGATTGCCTGGGGTCACCTGGGAGTCTCTCCCATTAGAATGCCTGTGGTCGACCAGGTGTCTTTATTCTTAGACGGCCTGGGGTCGACCACGAGTCTTTCCCATTAGAATGACTGGAGTCATCCAGAATTCTCTCCCATTAGAATGACTGTAATCGCCTGGTGTCTCTATAATTAAACTGCCTGGCATTGGCCAGGATTGTCTTCCTTTAAAATGCCTGGTTGTGACCAGGTGTCTCTATCATTAGACTGCTTGGGCTTAACCAGGAGTCTCTCCTATTAGAATGTCTTACATCACCCAGGTGTTTCTATAATTAATTGCCTGGGGTTGGCCAAGTATTTCCTTCATTAGAATGCCTGCTGTCACCCAGATGTCTCTGTCAATTGGCCCTGTGGGGTCAGCCGAGAGTCTTTTTCAGTATAATGCTTTGGGTCACACAGGTGCCTCTCTCATTAGACTGCCTGGGGTTGTCCAGGTGTCTCTCAAATTAGAATGTCTGGGATCTCCCAGGTGTCTCTATCATTAGACTTCCTGAAGTCTGCTGGAAATCTCTACCATTAAAATGACTTGGGTCACCCAGGTGTCTCTATCATTAAGCTGCCTGGATTTGGCAGTGAATCCCTGCCATTAGAATACCCGGGGTCTCCCGGGTGTCTCTATCAATCGACTGCCAGGGTCAGCTAGAAGTCTCTCCCATTGTAATGACTTGGGTACCTCAGAGTCTCTCCCACTAAAATGCTTGGGGTGGTCCAGGTATCTTTAGCATAGAATGCCTGTGGCTGGCTGGGAGTTTCTCTTATTGGAATGCCAAAAGTCGACCAGATGTCTCTATCATTAGGCAGCCTGCGGTCGGCCAGGAGTTTCTTTCATTAGAATGCCTGGGCTCTGCCGTTAGATTGCCTGGCATTGCAAAGGTATCTTTACCATTAGAATGCCTGGTGTCAACCTACAGTCTCTTTCCTTGGAATGCCTGAAGTGGCTCAGTTGTCTCTATCATTAGACAGCCTGTGGTCAGATGGGAATCTCTCCAATTAGAATGCCTGAGGTCGTTCGGGTGTATCTATAATTAGACTGCCTGGAATCAGCCAAAAGTGGGTCCCAAGAAAATGGGGTAGGCTGGGAGTCTCTCCAATCAAAGTGCCTGGGGTGCCTCAGGTGCCTGTATCATTAAAATACTTGGGTTAGTTCGGGAATCTCTCCTATTAGAATGCCTAGGATCACCCAGTTGTCTCTATCATTAGACTGCCTGTGGTCGGCCGGCTGTCTCTCCCACTCAAATGTCTGGGGTCACCCAGTTGTCTCTATCAATAGACTGCCTGTGGTCGGCCGGCTGTTTCTCCCACTCAAATGTCTGGGGTCACCCAGTTGTCTCTATCATTAGACTGCCTGTGGTCGGCTGGCTGTCTCTCCCATTCAAATGTCTGGGCTCACCCAGGTGTCTCTATCATTAGACGGCCTGGGGTCAGCTTGGAGTCTCTTAAATTAGAATGCCTGTGGTAGCCTTGGTGTCTTATAAGGACTTATCATTAGACTGCCTGGGCTCTGTCAGGAGTCTTTCTTGTTAGAATGAATGAGGTTGTCCAGGTGTCTTTATTATTAGACTGGCTGGCGTTGACCAGGAGTCTCTCCCTTTAGAATGCCTGGGATCCCGCAAGTGTATGTAACATTAGACTGCCTGTGGTCAGCTGGGAGTCTCTCCCATTAGAATGCCTGAGATCTCCAAGATGCCTCTATCATTAGACTGTATGCGGCCTTTCAGGAATCTCCCATTACAATGCCTGGGGTCAGCCAGGAGCTCTCCCATTAGAATGACTAGGGTTGTTCAGGTGTCTGTATCATTAGACTGCCTGGGCTTGGCCAGGAGTTTCTCCCATTAGAATGCCTGGGGTTGCCCAATTGTGTCTATTATTAGAGTGTCCAGGGTCAACCAGAAGTTTCTCCCATTACAATGCCTTGGCTTGCCCTGGTTTCTGTTTCATTAGAATGCCTGGGGTCAGCCAGAAGTCTCTCTCTTTAGAATGCCTGACGTGGCCCAGGTGTCTCTATCATTAGTCAGCTTGGTCAGGGCTAGGAGTCTTTCTCATTAGAATGCCTGGGGTCTCACAGGTTTTGCTAATATTAGACTGCATGGTGTCAGGCAAGAATCTTTTCCATTAGAATGCCTGGGGCTGGCCAATAGACTTTCACATTAGAATGCCTGGAGGCACTCAGGTGTCTCTATCATTAGATTGCCTGAGGTTGGATGCAAGTTTCTCCAATTAAAATGCCTGGATTCGCCCAGGTGTCTCTATAATTGGACTGTCTGGGTTTGGCCAGAATTCTTTCCCATTAGAATACCTGGGGTGGGCTGGGCACGGTGGCTCACACCTGTAATCCCAGAACTTTGGGAGGCCAAGAGGGGTGGATCATGAGTTCAGGAGATGGAGACCCTCCTGGCTAACACAGTGAAACTCCGTCTCTACTAAAAACACAGAAACATTAGCTGGGCATGGTGGCAAGCACCTGTAGTCCCAGTTACTCAGGAGGCTGAGGCAGGAGAATGGAGTGAACCCAGGAAGCAGGGCCTGTAGTGAGCCAAGATCACACCACTGCCCTCCAGCCTGGGGAACAGAACGAAACTCAAAAGAAAAAGAAAAAAAGAAAAAGTAAAAGAAAAAGAACACCTGGTGTCACCTAGGTGTCTGTATCCTTAAACTGCCTGGAATAGGCCAGGAGTCTTTCCCATTAAAATGCCTAGGTTCGGCCAGGAGTTTCTCCAATTAAAATGCCTGGAATCAATAATGTATCTCTATCATTAGACTGCCTGAGGTCGGCCAGGAGTTTCTCCTATTAGAATGCCTAGTGTCAGCTGGCAGTCTCTTCCATGACTGGGATAGCCAAGGTGTCTCTATCATTAGAACGTCTGAGTTGGCTCAGCTGTCTCTATCATTAGAATGCCTGAGGTCAGCCTAAGGTCTCTCCCATTATAGTCTCTGGGGTCGCCCATGTGACTGTATCATTAGATTGCCTGCAGTCAGCCAGTGGTCTCTCCCATTAGAATGTCTGGGGTTGCACTTGGGTTCAGCCAGGTGTCTCTACTTTTAGACTGCCTGGGATAGGCCAGGATTTGTTCCCATTAGAATGCTTGAGTATGCCCAAATGTCTCTATCATTAGAATGCCTGGGTGTTAGAAATGCTCATTCCTTTGTGCTGAAAAGAAGAACTAGTGCTCAAAGAATGTTCTCAGCAAAGCAATTTTACTTTCTGCAGAAAGGGTGCTGTCCATCAGCAATCCTGCCACGAGAGCACAATGAACAAAGAAGGACAAGAATATGTATCCCTTATGCATTGGGTCCTTACTACTGTGTCCTATCTCCATTGGTGGGAGCTGGACCTCACAGTCTAAACTAAACCCGATTGACTAACAACTTAAACTTTCCTAAATAGGTAAAGGTAATGGAGAACAAAAGGAAAAGAGGAAGTTGCTTGCAAAAGAACTTAGAAAAGTAATATTTCCAAATAAGGAAGGGGCATAAGCTGTGAGATGGAACATGCTTGAGCGTGTCTAGAACAAATATCTTGGTTAAAGTACGAAGACATAGAATGTACTTATTCCCTCATGTCCAACAGCTACATAGGATAGGGTTTAATAAAGAGTTCTTAGTATTAAAGCAAGGAGGCTTGAAGGAAGTTAGTTTTTAAAAGAAACTATTATTTCTAACATTTGTTATTTAACAAGAAGGGAAACTTTGAAGAGGAACTTTCCACTTTCCACACTGGGGTTGGTGGAAAGTCTCTTCCATTGGAATGCATGGGGTTTCCCAGGTGTATCTATCATTAGACTGCCTTTGGTCTGCCTTGAGTCTCATCTGTTTGAATGCTTGGGGTCACCGAGGTGTCTCCATCATTAGAGTGCCTGGCCTTGGTCAGGAGTCTCTCCCATTAGAACGCCTGGTGTCAGCTGTGAGTCTCCTATTATGATGCCTGCAATTTCCCAGTGTCTCTATCATTAGACTGCCCAGGGTCAAGCAGAAGTTCCTTCCATTAGAATGCCTGGGTTCTCCCAGGTGTCTCTGTCATTAGGCCACTTGGGGTTGGCTAGGAGTCTCTCCTATGAATATGCCTGAAGCTGCCCATGTGTCTCTATCATTAGTCTGCCTGCGGTCAGACAGGAGTCTCCATATTAGAATTACTGGAGTCAGCCATGTGTCTGTATCATTAGAGTGCCTGCATTCGGCAAGAAATCTTTCTATTTAGAATGCCTGGGGTCAGCCTATTTAGAAATCTTTCTATTTAGAATGCCTGGTCTCTGCCATAATGATGCCTTGGGTCACCCAGGTGTCTCTATCATTAAAATGCCTGTGATCAGCTGGGAGTCTCTCCCGTTAGAATGCCTGGGGTTCCCAGGAAGCAGAGCTTGCAGTGAGCCAAGATCACACCACTGCACTCCAGTCTGGGTGACAGAGCAAGGCTCCATCTCAAAAAAAAAAAAAAAAAAAAAAAAAAAAAAAGAATGCCTGGAGTTGCCAAGGCATTTCTATTCTTAGACTGCCCAGGGTCTGCCAGGAGTCTCTTTAATTAGAATGCCTGAAGTCAGCCAGGAGTATTTTCACAGATAGCTTGTTTCTAGTTTTTATTGTTTGATATTCTGTTTTTCACTATAGGCCTCAATTGGCTCACAAATATCCCTTTGTAGATTCTACAAAAAAAGTGTTTTCAACCTGGTGAATTGAAAAATAGGTTACATTCTTTGATATGAATCCATAACTTAGCATTTTCACAGATAACTTTTTCTAGTTACTATCATGAAATATTCGGTTTTTCACTGTAGTCCTCAATGGGAAAGAAATGTTGATTAACAGATTCTTAAAAAAGGGTGTTTCCAACCTGTTGAATCAAAACAAAAGTTGAAGTCTGTGAGATGACTCCACATATCTTCAAAACATCATGACAGATAGCCTGTTTTTCATTCTTATCTCTAGATATGACTCCACACATCACAAAACATCCTCACAGATAGCCTGTTTTTCTTTCTTATCACTAGATATTTTGTCTTTCACCATAGGCCTCAATAACCTCGGAAATGTCCCATTGTAGATTCTACAAAAGATTGTTTGAAACCTGGTGAATCAAAACACAGATGTAATACCATGAGCTGTATCCACATATCACAAACCATTTTCACAGATAGTTTGTTTCTACATTTTACCACAGAATATTCGATTTTTCTCTATAGACCTCATTAGGCTAAGAAATGTCTCCTCATAGATTGTGCAAAAACAGCATTTACAAGCTGAAGAATCAAAACAAAGATTGAACTCTGTGAGATAAATCCACACATCCCAAAGTATTTTCAAAGATAGTTTGTTTTAAATTTTTATTGCAGGATATCTGGTTTTTCACTATAGGCCTCAGTGGGCTCAAAACTGTCCCTTTGCAAATTCTACAAAAAGAGTGTTACCAACCTGGTGAATCAAAACACCGGTTGTTTCAGTGAGATGAATCCACAAATCATTAAGGATTTTCACACATAGCTTGTTTCTAGTTTTTACCTTGGGATATTTGGCTTTTTACTATAGGATTTGCTGGGCTCAGAAATGTACCTTCATAGATTCTACAAAACGATTGTTTCCAACTCGTGAATCAAAACACAGGTTCTGTTCATGAGATAAATTCACAGATCATAAAGCATTTTCACAGATATCTTGTTTCAAATTTTTATGGTGAAATGTTTGTTTATTCACTATAGGACTCAATGGGCTCAGAAATGTTTCCTCGTTGAGTCTACAAAAAGATTGTCTTCAACCTGTTGAATCAAAGCAAAGGTTTAACACTTTGAGATGAATCTGCATGTCAAAAGCTTTTTCAAAGATAGATTTTTTTATAGTTTTTATCCCAGGATATTTGGTTTTCCACAATGGGTCTCAATGGGCTCAGAAATGTCCCTTTGCAGATTCTACAAAAAGAGTGTTTCCAAAGTGGCCAATCAAAACATAGGTTTAAATAAGTTAGATAAATCTATATATCACAAAGCATTCTCATAGATAGCTTGTTTATACTTTTATCATGAAATATTTCTTTTTTTACTGTAGGGCTCAATGGGCTGTTTAACAACAGGTCTCTAAGGCCTCAAAAATTTCCCTTAGTAGATTTCACTAAAATCTACTCCCAGCTGTCCCTTAGTAGATTTTACTAAAAAAGCATTTTCAACCTTTTGAATTATAACAAAGGTTTAATCCTGTGAAATGAATCCACACATCGAAAAGCATTTTCACAGATAGCTAGTTCCTAGTTTCATTGTGGGATAGGTAGTTCCTAGTTTCATTTGTCTTTCAGTATAGGCCTCAATGGGTTCAGAAATTTGCCTTCATAGATTCCACAAAAAGAATGTTTTTAACTTGGTGAATTAAAACACAGGTTATAATTGGTGAGATGAATCCACACATGACTAAGGATTTTTGAAGATGGCTTGTTTCTGGTTTCTACCTTGGGATATTTGGTTTTTCAATATCAGCCTCACCGGGCTCAAAAATATCCATTAATAGATCAAAAAAAAAAAAAGAAATTTCCCTTCGTAGATTCCACAAAAAGAGTGTTTTAACCTGGTGAATTAAAACACATGTTCTAATTTGTAAGATGAATCCACACATGACTAAGGATTTTTGCAGATAGCTTGATAGCTTGTTTGTGGTTTCTACCTTGGGATATTTGATTTTTCAATATCAGCCTCACTGGGCTCAAAGATATACATTCGTAGATCAAAAAAAAAAAAAAAAAAAAAAGAGTGTTTCCAACCTGGTGCCTCAAAACAAAGCTTTATCTTTGTGAGATAAATACACATATCAAAAACATTTTCACAGACAGCTTGCTTCAAGTATTTGTTGCGGGATATATGGTTTTTCAATATAGGCCTCAGTGGGCTCAGAAATGTACCTTTCTAGATTCTACAATAAGAGTATTTAAAACCTGTTGAATCAAAACACAGGTTTAAATTTGTTAGGCAAATGCCCATATTAAAAAGCACTTTCACAGACAGCTTGCTTTAAGTTTTTATCACATGATATTTGGTTTTTTATTATTGGCTTCAATATGCTCAAAAATATTCCTTCATAGATTGTACAAAAAAAGTGTTTCCAACCAGGTGTATCAAAACAGAGGTTCCATTGGGTGATATGAATCCACACTTTGCAAAGTGTTTTTCCTGATAGCTTGTTTCCATGTTCCTTCATAGTTTCCACAAAAAGAGTGATTACAAACTTTTGAATCAAAACAAAGTTTTAGCCCTGTGACATGAATCCACACATGGCAAAGCATTTTCAAAGATAGTTTCTTTCAAATTTTTATTGCAAAATATTCGGTTCTTCACTATTTGACTCAATGGACTGAGAAATGTCCCTTCATAGATTCTACAAAGAGAATGTTTCCAACCTTTTGAATCAAAACAAAAGTTTAACTGTGTGAGATGAATCCACATATTGAAAAGCATTTTCACAGCATGTTTCTAGCTTTTATCACAAAATATTCGTGTTTTTACTATAGGCCTCAATGGGCTCAGAAATCTCCCTTCGTATAGTAAAAAAAAAGTTTTTCCAACCTGGTGATTCAAACACATGTTTCCTTGGGTGAGATGAATCCACACATCACAAAGCACTTTCACAGATAGCTTGTTTCTAGTATTTCTCAGAGTGTATTCAGTTTTACACCACAGACCTCAATAGGCTCAGAAATACCCCTTCAGAGATTCTACAAAAAGAGGGTTTCCAACCTGCTGAATTCAAAGAAAGGTTTCACTCTGTGAGATGAATCCACACATCACAAAGCAGTTTCACAGATAGCTTCTTTCTAGTTTTTAATCACAGGATATTTGGTTTTTCACTATAGGCCTCAATGGGCTCTGAAATGTCCGTTCATAGTTTCTACAAAAACAGTGTTTCAAACCTGTAGAATCAAAACAAAGTTTTGATGATGTGAGATGAATCCACACATCACAAAGCCTTTTCACAGATAGCTTGTTTCTATTTTTTATCACCAGATATTCCCTCTAGGCCTTAATCAGCTCAGAAAGGTTTTCTCAGAGATTCTATAAAAGGAGTGTTTCCTACCTGTTGAATTAAAACAAAGTTTTAACTATGTGAGATAAATCCACATATTGTAAAGCATTATTACAGATAGCTTGTTTCTAGCTTTTATCTCAGGATATTTGGTTTTTCACAATAAGCCTCAGTGGGCTCATAAATCTTCCTTTGTAGATTCTACAAAAAACAGTTTCCAACCTAGTGAACTAAAACAAAGGTTTAACTTTGTGAAATGGATCTATATATCATGAAGCATTTTCATAGATATCTTTCTCCTAGTTTTTATCATGGGATATTTGGTTTTTCACTAAAAGCCTCAATGGGCTCAGAAATGTCCTTTTGTAGATTGTACAAAAAGAGTTTTTCCAACCTGTTGAATCAAAACACAGGTTTAAGTCTGTGAGATAAATCCACACATTGCAAAATATTTTCACAGACAGGTTGTTTGTAGTTTTTATTTGCGGACTTTTTTTTTTAACTGTAGGCCTAAATGGGCTTAGAAATGTTTTTTTTTCATAGATTCTGCAAAAAGAGTTTTTGCAGCCTGTTGAATGAAAAAAGTTTTAAATCTGTGACATAAATCCACACATTTCAAAGCATTTTACAGGTAGCTTGTTACTGGTTTTTATCATGGGAAATTCAGTTTTTCACTACATGCCTTTATGGGCTAAGAAATGTTTCTTCTTCATTTCCACAGAAATAGTGTTAACGACCTGGTGAATCAAAATACAGTTTCCACTCGATGAGATGAATCTACACATAACAAATCATTTTCACAGATAGCTTGTTTCTAGTTTTTTTTTTTTTTTATCAGATATTCGGTTTTTCACTATAAGCCTCAATGGGCTCAGAAATGTCTCTTCATAGATTCTACAAAAAGAGTGTTTCCAACCTGGTGAATCAAAACACAGGTCTCATTCAGTGAGATGAATTCATACATCACAAAGCATTTTCACACATAGCTTATTTTTGGTTTTCATCACAAAATATTTTGTCTTTCACTATATACTTTAAAGTGTTCAGAAATGTCCCATTTTAGATTCTACCAAAGAAGTGTTTCCAACATTTTGAACCAAAACAAACATTTATCTTCCTGAGATGAATCCACATATTGCAAAACATTTTCACAGATAGTTTAATAACAGTTTTCATCTCGGGATATTCTGTTTTTCACTCTAAGCTTCAATGGGTTCAGAAATGTCCCTTTGTAAATTCTACAAAAAGAGTATTTTCAAGGTTTTCAGTAAACACAAAGGTTTAACTCTGTGAGATGAATCCCAACTTTGCATAGCATTTTCACAAATAGCTTATTTCTTGTTTTTATCACAAGACTTTCAGTTTTTTACTATTGGCATCAATGGGCTCAGAAATGTCCCTTTGTAGCTTCTATAAAGAGGGCTTCCAACCTGTTGAAAAAAAAGTTTAACTCTGTGAAATAAATCCACACATCAATAAGCGTTTTCATGGATATTTTGTTTCTAGTTTCTATCATGGGATATTTGATTTATCACAATAGACCTCAATCAGCTGAGAAATGTCCCCGCCTAGTTTCGACAATAAGAGTATTTTTAACAGGTTGAATTAAAACAAAGGTTTAACGCTGTGAGATGAATTTACACATCACAAAGCATTTTCACAGATAGCTTCTTCCTAGTTTCTATTTTGTGATATTCAGTTTCTCACTACAGGCCTCAGTGGGTTAAGGAATGTCACTTTGTTGTTTCCAGAGAAAGAGTGTTTTTAACCCCTTGAATCAAAGCGAAGGTTTAACTCTGTGAGATGAATCTACAAATCAGAAAGGGTTTTCACACGTAGCTTGTTTCTAGTTTTTATCCGGGGATATTTGGTTTTTCACAATAGGCCTCAACGAACTCAGAAATGTCCCTTTGTAGATTCTACAAGAAGAGGACTTCTAATTTGGTAAATCCAAACTCAGGTTCCATTTGGTGAGATGCATTTACACATCACAAAACATTTTCACAGATATCTTGTTTCTAGTTTTTATCATGGCATATTCGGTTTTATATTGTAGGCCTCAATAGACTCAGAAATATTTTTTCACAGATTCTACAGAAAAAGTGTTTACTAACTGTTGAATTAAAACAAAGGTTCAACACTGTGAGATGGATCTGCACATGGCAAAACATTTTTACAGTTAGCTTGTTTCTAATTTTTAATGAGGAATATTCAGTTTTTCACTGTAGGCCTCAAAGGACTCAGAAATATCCCTTCGTGAATTCTACAAAAAAAGGGTTTCCAATCTGGTGAATAAAAATAACAGTGTGACTTGGTGAGGTAAATGCACACATCAAAAAGTATTTTTGCAGATAGCTTGTTCCCACTTTTCATCACAGGATATTTGGATTTTCCTGTAGGCCTCATTGCGCTCAGAAATGTCCCTTTATAGAGTGTACAATAAAAGTGTTTCCAGCCTGATGAATCAAAACACAGGTTCCATTCAGTGACATGAATCTACACATCAGAAAGTATTTTCACCAATAATTTGTTTCTAGTTTTCATTGCAAAATATTCTGTTTTTCAGTACTGGCATCAATGGTCTCAAAAATGTCCCTTCATTGATCCTACAAAAAAAGTGTTTCCAATCTGGTGAATCAAAACCATGGTTTAACTCTTTTAGATAAATCCATGCATCACAAAGCATTTTTACAAATAGCTTGTTTCTCTTTTTTATTGTGTGATATTCAGTTTTTTACTCTTGGCCTCAATCTTCTTAGAAATTCTCCTTTGTGTTTTCTATAAAAAACTGGTTCCAATGTCGTTATTCAAAACACAGGAGCCAATCTGTGAGATGAATGCTCACATCATGAAACATTTTCACAGAGAGAGTTTCTTCCTAGTTTTCCATATGGAGTATTAAGATTTTCACTCTTGTCCTTAGTGGGCTCAGAAATGTCCCTTCCTATATTCTACAAAAAAAAGTGTAGCCAACATGTTGAATCAAAAAAGAGCTTAAGCTCTGTGAGATGAATATGCACACCACAAAGCATATTCAGAGGTAGTATATTTTTAGTTTTTGCCATGGGTATTCAGGTTTTCACTATAGGCCTTCATGGGTTCAGAAATGTCCCTTCATAGATTCTACAAGAAGAGTGTTTCCAACCTAGTGAATCCAAAAGTGGCTTAAATCTGTGAGAATAATATATATATGGAAAAGCATTTTCACAGACAGCTTGTTTCTAGTTTTTATCATGGGATATTCAGTTTTTCTGTATAGGCCTCAATGGGTTCAGAAATATTTCCTCATGGATTCTATAGGAAGAATGTTTCCAAACTGTTGAATTAAAAGAAAGGTTTAAGTCTGTGAGATTAATTGATGCATCAGAATTCATTTTCACAGATAGCTTGTTTCCACTTTTTATCATAAGAAATTCAGTTTTTCAATATTGGCCTCAATTGGCTCAGAAATATTTTCTCTTACATTCCACAGGAAGCATGTTTCCAACCTGATGAATAAAAATACAAGTTCCATTCCTTGAAATAAATCCACACTTCAGAAAGCATTTTCACAGAGGGCTTGTTTCTAGTGTTTATCACAAGACATTCAGTTTTTCACTATAGGCCAAAATGGGCTCAGAAATGTTTCTTCATAGAGTCTACAAAAAGAGTGCTTCTAATCTGTTGAATTAAAACACCGGTTCCATTCGGTGTGATGAACTTGCACATCACAAAGCAGTTTGGCAGATATCTTGTTTCTAGTTTTTATTGCAGGACATTTGGGTTTTTTAATAGGCTTCAATGTGCTTAGAAATGTCCCTTTGTAGATTCTACAAAAAGAGTGTTTCAAGCCTGGTGAATCAAAACATGAGTTCCATTCGGTGAGATGAATGCACATCAGAAAGTATTTTCCCAGATACCTTGTTTTTAGTTTTCATCGTGGTTCCAACTGGTTGAATCAAGAAAGAGGTTTAACTCTGTGAGATTAATCCACACGTCACCAAGCATTTTCACAGATAGCTTGTTTAGAGATTGTGTAGCAGAATATTTGATTTTTTTCCTATAGTCCTCAATGCGGTAAGAAATTGTCCCTTTGTAGATTCTACAAAAAGAGTGTTTCCAACCAGATAAGTCAAAACACAGGTTTTATTCATTGAGATGAATCCACACGTCTGAAAGCATATTCACAGATATTTTGTTTCTAGTTTTTATCACAAAATATTTTGTTTTTTACTATAGGCATTTATGACCTCAATAATGTCCCTTCATGGGTTCTACAAAAAGTGTTTCTAACTTGTTGAATCAAAACGAAGGTTTAACTCTGTGAAATGAATCTACACACAAATCCTTTTCACAGATAGCTTGTTTCTAGTTTATATCATGGGATATTTGGTTTTTCACTATAGCCCTCCACGGGCTCAGGATTGTCCCTTAGTAGAATCCACAAAAAAGTGTTTCCAACTTTTTGAATCAAAAAAAGGTTTGACTCTGTGAGATGATTTCACACATCGTAAAGCATTTTCACAGGTAGCTTATTTCTAGTTTTTATCGCAGGTATTCTGTTTTTCACTATGGGCCTCAATGGGCTCAGAAATATTCCTTCATAGATTCTACAAAAAGAGCATTTCCAACCAGGTGAATCAAAACAATGGTTTAAGTCTTTTAGATGAATCCACATATCCCAAATAATTTTCACTAATAGCTCATTACTGGTTTTTAATCATGAAATATTCATATTCATTTTTTCACTATAGGCCTGAATTTGCTCAGAAATTTTTTTTTGTGGATTTGATTGCAAAGTGTTTCCAACCTCATGAATCAAAACACAAAATCCTATGGGCCTCAATGAGCTCAGAAATGTCCCTTTGTAGATTCTACAAAAAGAGTGTTTCCAACCAGGTGAATCAAAACAATGGTTTAAGACTTTTAGATGAATCCATACATGGCAAAGCATTTTTACAGATAGCTTGTTTCTAGTTTTTATCAGGGGATATTCAGTTTTTTACTAAAGGACTCAATGGGTTCAGAAATGTGCCTTCATAGATCCTACAAGAACAGTATTTCCAATCTGGTGAATTAAAACACACGTTCCCCTCCGTGAGTTGAATCTACGTATCTCAAATCATATTCACTGATAACTTGTCTCTAGTTTTTATCACAGGAGATTTTATTTTTTACTGTAGGCCTCCATGACCTGAGTAATGACCCCTCATAGAGTCTACAGAAGAGTCTTTCCCACCTGTGAATCAAAACGAAGGTTTAACTCTAATTCACACATGGCAAAGCATTTTCACAGATTGCTTGTTTCTAGTTATTAGCACAAGAAATTTTGTTTTTCACTATTGGCCTCCATGCACTCAGAAATGTTTTTTCATAGATTCTTCAAAAAGAGTGTTAACCTTTTAAATTAAAAAAAAAAGTTTTGTCTCTGTGAGATTATTCCACACATCACAAAGCATTTTCACAGTTAGCTTTTTTAACCATAGGCCTCAAAGAACCCAGAAATGTTGCCCAGGTGTCTCTATCATTAGACTGCCTGGGGCCAACCAGGGAGGGGTCTCTCCCATTAGAATGTCTGGGGTTGCACAGGTGTTTCTATCATTAGATTGTCTAGGGTTGCCCAGGAGTCTCTCCAATTAGAATGCATGTGTTTGGCTGGGTGTCTCTCACATTAGCATGCCTGGGGTTTGCTGAGAGTCTCTCTCATTAGAATGCCTGTGGTTGAGTGGAGCCTCTTTCATTAAAATGCCTGAGGTCAGATGGAAGTCTCACTTATTAGAGTGTTTGAGATCACCTGGGTGTCTCTATTATAATGCCTGTGGTTGCCTTGGAGTCTTTCCGATTAAAATGCCTGGGGTCGCCCTGGTGTCTCTACCATTAGACAGCCTGGGTTCAACCAGGAACCTCTCTCATTAGAATGCCTGGTGTCACCAAGATGTCTTTATCATTAGACTGCCTGGGTTCAGCCAGTAGTCTCTCCCTTTAGAATGCCTGGGTTCCGCAATGAGTTTCTTCCATTAAAATGCCTGTAGTTGATAGGTGTCCCGATTATTAGACGGCCTGAATTCGGCCAGGAGTCTCTTCCATTAAAATGTCTGGGGTCACCCAGGTGTCTCCAGAATTAGACTACTTGTGCTTGGCCAGAAATCTCTCCCATTAGAATGCATAGTGTTGCCCTGGTGTCTCTATCAGTAGACTGCCAGGGGTTGGCCAGTTGTCTCTTTAATTAGAACGTCTGATGTTGCCCAGGTGACTCTATTATTAGACTGCCTGTGGTCAGCTGGGAGTCTCTCCCATTAGTACACCTGGGATCTCCCGAGTGTCTCTGTCATTAGACTGCCTGGGTTCAGTGGTTGTCTCTTTCATTAGAATGCCAGGGGTTGCCCAGTTTTCTCTATTATCAGAATACCTGTGATCAGCCAGAAGTCTCTCCCATTAAAACGTCTGAGTTCGCCCAGGTGTCTCTATTATTAGAATGCCTGGAGTCAGCCAGGTGCCTATTCCATTAGAATGCTTGGTGTTGCCCATGGGTTTGTATCTTTAGAAAACCTGGGTTCAGCCAAGTGTTTGCCCCATAAGAATGACTGCAGTTGGCTGGATATGGTGACTCATGCCTGTAATCCCAGCACTTTTGGAGACCAAGCCAGGAGGATCCCGAGGTCAAGAGATGGAGACCATCCTGGCCAACATGGTGAAACCCCATCTCTACTAAAAATACAAAAATTACCTGGGTGTTGTGGTGCATGCCTGTAGTCCCAGCTACTAGGGAGGCTGAGGTAAGAGAATCACTTGAACCTGGGAGGCAGAGGTTGCAATGAGCTGAGATCATGCCACTGCACTCCAGCCTGGTGACAGAGCCAGAATCAAAAAAACGAAAAGACAAAGAAAAAAACAAAACAATGGCTGCAATCACATAGGTGTCACTATCATTAGACTTCCTGGAGACAGTCAAGAGTATCTCCCATTAGAATGCCTGGGGTCAGCAGGGATTGTCTCCTATTAGAATGCCTGTGGTTGCCCAGGTGCCTCTATCATTAGACTGCCTGGGGTCGGCTGGGGCACTCTCTTGTAATAATGTGTGGGGTCGTGCAGTTGTCTCTATCATTAAAATGCCTGGGTCCCCCAGTTGTCTCTATCATTAGAATGCCTGCTGTCTGCCAGGAGTCTCATTCATTAGAATGCCTGGGATCACCCAGGTTTTTCCTTTATTAGACAGAATTGGCCAGGAGTTTCTCCAATTAAAATGTCTGGCATTGCCCATATGTCTCTATCATTATACTACCTGGGGTCATCCAGGATTCTCTGCCATTAGAATGTCTGCGTTTGGCCAGGAGTCTCTCACATTAGAATGCCTTTGGTTGCCCTGGTGTCTCTATCATTAGAATGTCTTTGGAGGGACAGGAGTCTCTGCCATTAGAATGCCTGTGGTTGTTCAGATGACTCTAACTTTAGACAGCCTGCCGTTGGCCAGGAGTCTCTCCCATTAGAATGCCTAGGCTGGATCCAAGTCTTTCCCATTTGAATGTGGGGTTGCCCTGATATTTTTATTATTAGACTGCCTGGTGTCAACCGGGAGTCTCTCCCATCAGAATCCCTAAGGTCTCCCAGATGTCCTTATTATTAGAATGCCTGGAAGTGACAAAAAGTCTCACACATTAGAATGCCTGAAGTCGCCCAGGTGTCTGTATTATAAGACTGCATGAGGTTGACGCAGAGTCTCTCCCATTAGAATGCTTGGGGTGGCCCAGGTGTCTCTATCATTAGTATACCTGGGGTCAGCCAGGAGTCTTTCCCATGAGAATGTCTGGGGTTGCCTAGATGTCGTTATCATAAGACTACAGTGCCTGTGGTTGTTGAGGTGTCTCTATTATTAGAAAGCCTGGCATCAGCCGGGAGTCTCTCCCTGTAGAATGCCTGAGGTTACTCAGGTGTCTCTATTATTAGACTGTCTGGGGTTAGCCAGGAGTCTCTCCCATCAGAATGCCTAGGTCACCCAGATGTCTCTATCATAAGACTCCCTGAGGTCAGCCAAGAGTCTCTTCCATTATAATGCCTGTGGTTGCCCAAGTGTCTCCATCTTTATACTACCTGCAATCAGCTGGGAGTCTCTCCAGTTAAAATGTGTGGGGTCTCCCAGGGTATCCATCATTAGAATGCCTGGGGCTGGCCAGAAGTCTCTCCCATTAAAATGCCTGGGGTCCACCAGGTGTCTCTATTATTTGACTGCCTGTGGTCGGCCCAGAGTCCTCCATGTGCAAAGCCTGGGATCACCCAGGTGTTTCTATCATTACATTACCTGGATTTGGTTGCCAGTCTCTCCCATTAGAATGCTTGTGGTCACCCAGGTGCCTCTAACATTAGACTGCCTGGTGTTGGCTAAGAGTCTGTTCCATTAAAATGCCTTATGTTGCCCATGTGTCTCTATAATTAGATGGCCTGAAAGCAGTGGGAGTCTCTCCCATTAGAATGTCTGGGGTCGCCTAGGAGTCTTTTTCATTAGACTGCCTGGGGTCAACTAGGAGTGTCTCTCATCAAAATGCCTGGGGTGGCCCTGATGTCTCTATAGAGTGCATTTTGTCGGCGAGGAGTCTCTGCCATTAAAATGCCTGTGGTCGGTCAGGTGACTCTAACCTGAGAGTTCCTGCGGTTCACCAAAAGTCTCTATTATTAGAATGCCTGGGGTGGATCAGCAGTCTCGTCCATTAGAACGAGGGGTTGCCCTGGTGTCTCTATTATTAGACTGCCTGGCATCTGACAGGAGTCTCTCTCACTAGAATGCCTGGGGCCGCCTAGGGCTCTCTATAATTAGGCTGCCTGGAGTCGGCAGAAAGTCTCTCTTAGTAGAATGTCTGGAGTAGGCCTAGAGTCTCTCCCATTAGAATGCCTGTGGTCGCTCAGGTGTCTCTATCATTTGAATGCCTAGGGTAGACTGGGATTTTGTCACATTAGAATGCCTACAGTCGCTCAGCTGTCTCTATCATTAGACTGCCTGCAGTCTGCCAGAATTCTCTTGTATTATAAAGCCTGAGGTCACTGAAGTTTGTCTATCATTAGACTGCCTGGTGCAGGCCATGAATCTCTCCCATTAGAATGCCTGGGGTTGCCCTGTTGCCTCTAACCTTGGACTGCCTGGGGTCGGCCATGAGTCTCTCCCATTAAAATTCCTGGAGTCTATTGGAGTTTCTTCCATTAGAATGCCTGGGGTTGCCAAGGTGTCTCTATGATTACACTTTCTGGGATTTGCCTGGTATCTCTCCACTTAGAATGTTTGAGGTCACCCAGGTGTCTCTATAATTATACTGCCTAGAGTCAGCCAAGGGTCTCTCCCAAGAGAATGCCTGGGGTCGCCCGGTAGTCTCTTTCATTAGAATGGCTGTGATCACCAAGGTGCCTTTATTTTTTACAATGCCTGGGGTTGGCCACGAATCTCCCCAATTAGAATGCCTGAGTTTGGCTGAGAGTCTCCCCTATTAGGATGCATCACGTTGCCCAGATGTCTCTATAATTTTATTGCCTGGGGTTGGCCAGGAGTATCTCCCATTAGAATGCCTGGGATCGCCCAGTTGTCTTTATCATTAGACTGACTGAGGTTGGCCGAAAGTCACTCCTGTTAAAATGGCTGGATTCGCCCAGGTGTCTCTATCATTTGACTGCCTGGTGTTGGCCAGGAGCCTCTCCCACTAGAATGCCTTGGGTCACTTAGGTGTTTCTATAATTAGAATGCCATTGGTCTGGCAGAAGTCTCTGCCATTAGAATGCCTGTGGTCGCCCAGGAGAACCTAACCTTTGACTGCCTACATAAACCAGGAGTCTCTTCAATCAAAATGTGTGGGGTAGGTCTGGAGTCTCTTCCATTAGAATGCAGGGACACCCTTGTGTCTCTATCATTGGATTGCCTGTGGTTGGGCGGGAGTCTCTCCCATTAGAATGCCTGGGGTCACCCAGGTGTGTCTATCATTAGACAGCCTTGGGTTGGCAAGAAGTCTCTCTCATTACAATGTCTGGGGTCGCCCCAGTATCTCTATCATTAGACTGCGTGGGGTCAGCAGGGTGTCTCCCCCATTAGAATGCCTGATGTCACCAAGGTGTCTCTATCATTAGACTGCCTGGGGTCAGATGAAGGCTTCACTAGAATGCCTGGGGTTTGGCTGGGAGTATCTCCCATTAGAATGCCTGCTGTCACCCAGGTGTTTCTATGATTAGAATGCCTGGAATCGGTGGGGAGTCTCTTTTATTAGAATGCCTGGGGTCACCTAGGTGTCTCTATCATTAAGCTGCCTGCAGTCGGCAGGCAGTCTCTTTTGTTGGAACACCTGGAATCGCCCTGTTGTCTCCATCATTAGACTGTCTGGGGTTGGCCAGGAGTCTCTCCCATTGGAATGTTTCAGGTCAGCCAGGAGTCTTTTTCATTAGAATGCCTAGGGTGGCCCAGTTGTCTCTATCATTAGACTGCCTGGATTCGGCCGTGAGTCTCTCTCATTAGAATGCCTGGCATCACCCAGGTGCCTCTATCATTAGACTGCCTGCGTTTGGCCAGGATTTGCTCCCGTTAGAATGCCCGGGATATCAAAATTGTCTCTTTCATTAGACTGCCTTGGGTTGGCTGGGAGTTCCTCCCATTAAAATTCCCGGGGTCGCCAAAGTGTCTTTATCATTAGGCTGCCTGGCGTAAGCCAGGAGTCTCTCCCATGAGAATACCTGGTGTCGCCGGGTGTCTCTACCCTTAGACTGCCTGAATTCGGACACTTGTTTCTATCCTTAGACTGCCTGGGGTCTGCAAGGAGTCTCTCCCCTTAGAATGCCTGGGTTCGCCCATGTGTCTCTATAATTAGAATGCCTGGTTCCTGTGGGAGTCTCTCCCATTAGAATGCCTTGGGCCGCCCAGGTGCCTTTATCAGTAGACTGTGTGGGGTTGACCAGGTGTCTCTCCCATTAGATTTCCTAAGGCTGTTCAGTTTTCTCTAACATTAGACATCCTGGAGTCCACCAGGGGTCTCTGCCATTAGAATGCCAGTGGTCGCCCAGGAGACTTTATCCTTTGACTGCCTGTGGTCGGCCAGGGGGTGTCTCTGATTAGAGTGCCTGCTGTGGGTCAGGAATCTCTTATTAGTATGTTCTTTCACCCAGTTGCCTCTGCCATTAGACTGCCTGGGGTCAGTCAGCAGTCTCTCCCATTAGAATGCCTGCAGTTGTCCATAAGTCTCTATCAGTAGAATGTCTGGGGTCAGCCGTGAGTCTCTCCCATTACAATGCTTGTGGTCACCCAGGTACCTCTATCATTAGACTGCCTGTGATCAGCCAGGAGTCTCTCCAATTAAAATGCATGGGGTCTCCTAGGATCTCCATTATTAGAATGCCTGAGGTCGCCCAGGTATTTCTATCATTAGAATACCTCATGTCTGCCAGGAGTCTTTCTGATTAGAATTCCTCGGGTGGCTCAGGTATCTTTCTCATTAAAATGCCTGGGGTCAGCCAAATGTCTCTCACATTAGAATGCCTGGGGTCGATAACGTGTATCTATCATTAGAATGTCTGGGGTCGGCTGGGAGTCTTGCCCAGTAAAAAGCCTGGGGTCACCCAGGTGTTTCTATTATTAGACTGCCTGGGTTCAGCTGCAAGTCTCTCCCATTAAAATGCTTGGGGTCGCTCAGGTGTCTCTTCATTAGACTGCCTGGTGTTGACCAGAAATCTGTATCATTAAAATGTCTCAGGTCGTCCATGTGTCTTTATAATTAGACTGACAGAAGTTGGCAAGAGTTCCTCCCGTTAGAATGCCTGGCATCACCAAGGATTCTCTATTATTAGACTTCCTGGGGTAGGCCAGGACTGTCTCCTAATAGAATGCCTGAGGTTACCCAGGTGTCTTTATAATTAGAGTGCATTTCATCAGCAAGGACTCTCTGCCATTATAATACCTGTGTTTACCCAGGTGACTCTCACTTGAGAGTGCCTGGAGTTGGCCAAAAGTCTGTCTCATTAGAATGCCTAGGGTGGGTCAGTAGTCTCTTTCATTAGAATGTGGGGTCGCCCAGGTATCTCTATCATTAAACTGCCTGGGGTTGGCTGGGAATCTCTTCCATTAGAATGCCTGGGGTCACCCAGGTGTCTCTATAATTAGACTGCCTGGGGTCAGCCAGGAGTCTCTCCCAAAAGAGTGCCTTGGGTCAGCCGAGAGTCTCTCATATTAGAATGCCTGGGTTTGCCAAGATGTCTCTATTATTAGAATGCCTGGGTTTGGCCAGAATTCTCTCCTATTAAGATACCTGGGGTCACCCAGGTGCCTCTATCATCATTAGACTGCCAGGAGTCAGCCAAAAGTCTGTCTTATTAGAGTGCTTGGGGTCACCCAAGTGCCTCTATAATTAGACGACATGGTGTCAGCTAGGTGCCTTTCCCATTAAAATGCCTGGTGTTGCCCGACTGTCTCTATTTTTTGACTGCCTGGGGTAGGCTGGGAGTCTCCACAGTAGAAAGCCTGTGGTTGACAGGGAGTCTTCTTAGAATGCCTGAGTTCCTGTAGGTGTCTTTATCATTAGACTGCCTTGGGTCAGCCGAAATTATCTCCAATTAAAACGCCTGGGTTCGCCCAGGCGTCTCTATAATTAGACTGCCTGGGATCATCCAGGAGTCTCTAAGAGAATGCCTGGAGCGGCCCAGGTGTCTCTATCTTTAAAGTGCCTGGTGTCAGCCAGGAGTGTCTCTCATGAGATTGCCTAGTGTCCATTGGAAGTTTCTCTTATCAAAATGCCTTATGTCGTCCAGGTGTCTCTATCATTAGAATGCCTATGGTTGGCATGGAGTCTCTCCCCTTAAAATGTCTGTGGTTGGCCAGGTTTCTCTATTATTAGTCTGGCTAAAACCGGCCATGTGTATCTTACATTAGCATGCCTGGGTCACCCAGATGTCGCTATTTTTAGACTCCCTCGGTTCAGCTGGGAATGTCTCCCAATACAATGCCTGCAGTCGCCCAGGTTTCTCTATAATTAGAATGACTTTGGTCAGCCAAGAGTCTCTACCATTAGAATGTCTGTGGTCCCCCGGGTGACTCTAACCTTAGACTGCCTGCAGTCAGCCAGGGTCTCTTCCATTAGAATGCCCAAAGTGGGTCAGGAGTCTCTCCTATTAGAATGCGGGGTTGCCCTGGTGTCCCTATCATTAGACTTTATGGAATCGGCTGGAAAGTCTCTCTCTTTAGAATTCCTGGGTTCATCCAGGTGTCTCTATCATTAGATGGCCTGGCATCAGCCGGGAATCTCTCCTATTAGAATGTCTGAAGTTGCCCAAGTATCTATTTTTAGACTGCCTGTGTTCAGCCAGGAGTCTTTCCCATTAAAATGTCTGGAGTCGCCCAGGTGTCTCTATCATTAGACTGTCCGGGTTTGGCCACCAGTCTCTCCCATTAGAATGCTTGGGATCACCCATGTGTCTCTATTATTGAACTATCTGGTGTCAGCTGGAATTCTTTCCATTAAAATGCCTTGGGTCTCCCATGTGTCTCTATAATTAAACTGGCAGAAGTCAGTGGGAGTTTCTCCCGTTAGAATGCCTGGGGTCGCCCAGGAGTCTCTATTATTAGACTGCCTGAGGTAGGCCAGGACTGTCTCCCAGTAGAATGCCTGGGGTCACCCAGGTGTCTTTATAATTAGAGTGTATTTGGTCATCGAGGAGTCTCTGCCAGTAGAATGCTTGTTTGCCCAGGTGACTCTAACCTGAGAGTGCCTGCAGTAGGCAAAAGTTATCTCTCATTAGAATGCTGGGGTGGATCAGGAGTCTCTTCCATTAGAATGTGGGGTTGCCCAAGTGTCTCTATCATTAAACCACCTGGGGTTGGCCAGGAGTCTTTCCCATTAGAATGCCTGGGGTCACCCAGTTGTCTCTATAATTAGACTGCCTGGGATCAGGCAGGATTCTCTCCTGAGAGGATGCCTTGTGTCTGCCGGGAATCTCTCATATTAGAATGTATGGATTCGCCAAAATGTATCTATTGTTAGAATGCCTGGAGTCGTCTGGGATTCTATCCTATTAAGACGTCTGGGTCGCCCAGGTGTCTCTATCATTAGACTGCCATGGTTCAGCTGAGAGTCTCTCTTATTAGAATGTCTGGGGCAACCCAAGAGTCTCTAAAATTAGCCTGCCTGTTGTCGGCCAGATGTCTTTCCCATTAAAATGCCTGGTGTTACCTGAGTGTCTCTATTTTTAGACTGCCTGGGGTCAGCTGGGTCTCTCCCATTAGAATGCCTGGGGTCAACAAGGTGTCTTCATCATTAGACTGCCGGGGGCAAGCTGGGAGTCTCCTTTATTAAAATGCCTGAGTTGCCCAGATGTCTCTACAATTAAACTGCTCAATTTTGTCCCTGGGTGCTCGAGACTGGAGAATGGCGATGACTTTTACCAAGCATACTTCCTGCAAACACATTTTTAACAAAGCACATCCTGCACAGCCCTAAATCCATTAAACCTTGAGTCAACACAGCACATGTTTCTGTGAGCACATGGTTGGGGCTAGGGTTACAGATTAACAGCATCTCAAGAAAGAAGAATTTTTCTTAGTACAGAACAAAATGGAGTTTCTTACGCCTTCTTCTTTCTACATAGACACAGTAACAGTCTGATCTCTCTTTCTTTCCCCCACAGTGTCTTCCATTAGAATGCCTAAAGTCACGCAACTGTCTCTATCCTTAGACTGCCTGGGTTCAGTCAGGAGTCTCTCACATTAAAATGCTTCCCTTTAGAATGCTCAAAATTGGCCAGGAGAATCTCCCATTAAAATGCCTGGAGTCACCCTGGTGTCTCTATCATTAGAATGCCTGGGTTCAGCCAGGAATCTCTCCCATTAGAATTCCTGGGGTCACCCATGTGTCTCTATAATTAGACTGCCTGGGTAGGCAAGGAGTCTCTCCTGTTAGAATGCCTTGGGTCAGCCTAAAGTCTCTTTCATTAGAATGACTGTGATCGTTCAGGTGTCTCTATAATTTGACCACCTGTGGTTGGTCAGGGACTTTCCCTATTAAAATGCCTGAAGTCAACTAGGTGTCTCCATTATTAGACAGCCCGAGGTCGGCCAGGAATCTCTCCCATTAGAATGCCTGAAGTCAGCCAGGAGGTTTTGTTTGTTTTTATTTTTGCTTTTATGGAGTCTCACTGTCTTCAGTCTGGAATGCAATGGCATGATCTCGGCTCACTGCAAACTCCACCTCCAGGGTTCACTCTCCCGAGTAGCTGGGACTACAGGCACAGGCCACCACACCCAGCTAATTTTTGTATTTCTAGTAGAGACAGGTTTTCACCATGTTGGCCAGGATGGTATCAATCTCTTGCACTCGTGATCCACCCCTCTCAGCCTCCAAAAGTGCTGAGATTACAGGCATGGGCCACTGCGCCCAGCCAGGAGTCTGTTTGTTTAGATTGCCTTGGGTTGCCCAGTTGTCTCTGTCACTAGCCTGCTGGTCTCGGCCGAGAGTCTCTCCCATTATAGAGACGTTAATGTGTCTCTATAATTAGACTGCCTTGGGCCCGCTTGGTGTCTCTCACATTAGAATGCCTCGGGTCTCCCAGGTGTCTCTGTCATTAGCCTCCCTGGGGTCGGTGAGGAATCTCTCATATTAGAATGCTTGGGCTCCCAAAGGTGTCTCTGTAAGACTACTGTCAGCCAGGAGTCTCTCCCATTAGAATGCCTGGGGTCACTTGGGATTCTCTCCCATTAAATTACCTGTGGTGGCTCAGGTGTCTCTATCATTAGAATGCCTCGGGTTGGCTGGAAGTCTCTACCATTTTAAGGCCTGGGGTCGCCAAGGTGTCTCCATCATTAGAATACCTGGAGTCGATAAGGAGTCTCTCCCATTAGAATGCCTAGAGTGTGCCAGGAGTCTCTCCCATTAAAATGCCTGAGGTCGCCCAGGTGTCTCTATCATTAGACTGCCTGGGGTCAACCAGGAGTCTCTCCCATTAGAATGCCTGTGGTCCATCAGGTGTCGCTATCATTAGAGTGCCTTTGTTCAGCAGGAAGTCTCTCTCCTTAGAATTCCTGGGGTTGTAATCCAAGCACTTTGGGAGGCCGAGGGCAGTGGATCACCTGACGTCAGGAGATCAAGAGCAGCCTGGCTAACATGGTGAAACCCTGTCTCTACTAAAAATACAAAAATTAGTTGGATGCAGTGGCACACATCATTAATCCCAGCTACTTGGGGGGCTGAGGCAAAAGAATCACTTGAACCCAGAAAATGGAAGTTGCAGTGAGTTGAGATTGTGTCACTCTATTTTAGCTTCTGTGACAAAATGAGACTCTGTCTCAAAAAAAAAAAATGCCTGAGGTCGGCCTGGAGTCTCTCCAATAATGATGCCTGGGGTCGCCCAGGTGTCTCTATCACAATAAAGCCTGGGGTCGACCGGGAGTCTCTCGTGTTAGAATGTCTGGAGTTGCGGAGGTGTCTCTATCATTACAATGCCTGGGCTCAGCCAGGAGTCTCTCCCATTAGAATGCCTGAAGTCACCCAAGTGTCTCTATCCTTAGACTGCCTGAGGTGGGCCAAAGGTCTCTCCCATTAGAATGCCTGGATTGGCCTGGAGTATTTTCACAGATAGATTGTTTCTAGTTTTTCTTGAGGAATATTCAGTTTCTCACAATAGACCTCAATGTGCTCAGAAATGTCCCTTCACAGATTCTACAAAGCAGTGCTTTTAGCCCATTGAATCAAAACACAGGTTCCATTCGGTGAGATGAATCCACACATTACAAAGCATTTTCACGTGTAGCTTGTTTCTAATTTTCATCGTGGGAAATTTGGTTTTTCACTAAAGGCTGCAATGGGCTCAGAAATGTCTTTTCATAGGTTCTACAAAAAGAGTGTTTACAATGTGTTGAATGAAAACATAGGTTTAACTCTATGAGATGAATCCACACATCACAAAGCATTTTCACAGAAAATTTCTTTTTAGTTTTTATCGTGAGATATTTGTTTCTTTACTATAGGATTCAAAGGGCTCAGAAATGTCTTTTTGTATATTCTACAAAAAAAGTGTTTTCAAACTGTTGAATCAAAACAAAGGATTAACTCTGTGACATGAATCCACACATCATAAAACGTTTCCACAGATAGCTTGTTTCCAGTTTGTATTGTGAGATACCCATTTTTCCAAATATGCCTCAGTGAGCTCAGAAATGTTTCTTCATAGATTCTACAAAAAAAGTTTCCAACCTGTTGAATTAAAACAAAGTTTTAAGCCTTTGATATGAATCCACACATTGCAAAACGTTTTCACAGATAGCTGCTTTCTAGTTTTTATCACGGGATATTAGCTTTTTCACAATAGGTTTCAATGGGCTCAGAAATGTCCCTTCGTAGATTCTACAAAAAAAGTTTCCAATCTGTGGAATTAAAACAGTTTTAACTCTGTGCATTAAATCTACACATCGGAAATTATTTTCACAGATATCTTGTTTCTAAATTTTAGGTGGGATATTTTGTTATTCACTATAAGCCTTAATGAGCTCAGAAACGTCCCTTTGTAAATTCTACAAAAAAAAAAGCTTTTCCAAGGTGTTGAATAAAAACAAAAGTTTAATTTTGAGAGCTGAATTAACATATTACAAAACGTTTTCACGGATAGTTTGTTTCTAGTTTATATTGTAGAAAATTTAATTTTTTACTATAAGCATCAACGGGTTCAGAAATATCCATTTCTAGATACTACAAAAAGAGTGATTTCAACGTTTTAAATCAAAACAAAGGTTTTACTCTGTGATATGAAACCACACATCACAAACATTTTCCCAGATAGTTTGTTTCTAGTTTTTATCATGGGATATTCCGTTTTTTACTAAAGACCTCAATGGGCTCAGGACTGTCCCTAAGTAGATTTTACAGGAAGAGTGTTTTGAACCTGTTGAAACAAAACAAAGGTTAACGTCTGTGAGATGAATCCACACATCACAAAGCATTTTCACAGAAACCCTGTTTCTGGTTTTTATCACAGGAAATTTGGTTTTTCATGATAGGTTTAAAAGGACAAAGAAACGTACTGTCATAGATTCTGCTAAAAAAGTCGTTCCAACCTGTTGAATCAAAACATAGGTTAAATGCTGTGAGATAAATCCACATATACCAAAGCATTTTCAAAGATAGCTTGTTTCTAATTTTTATCACAGAATATTTGGTTTTTCACAGTAGGCCTCAATGGGCTCAGAAATGTACCTCTGTAGATTCTACAAAAAGTGTTTCCAACCTTGTGAATCAAAACACAGGTGCCATTCAGTTAGATGAATGCACACATCACAAAACATTTTCACATACAGCTTGTCTCTAGTTTTTATTGTGGGATATTAGTTTCTTACTATAGGTCTCAAAAAGCTAAGAAATTTCTATTTGTAGATTCTAAAAAATAGTGTTTCCAATGTGTTGAATAAAAACAATGGTTTAACTTTGTGAGATGAATCTATACATCACAAAGTATTTTCACAGATAGGTTGTTTCAAGTTTTTACCATGGGATAATTGATTTTTCACAATAGGCCTCAATGGGCTCTGAAATGTCCCTTCGTAGATTCTACAAAAAGTGTGTTTCCAACTGGGTGAATCAAAATACAGGTTCCATTTGGTGAGATGAATCCACACATCACAAACATTCCACACGTATCTTGTTTCTAGTTTCTATTTCAGGATATGTGGTTTTTCACTATACTTCTCAATGAGCTCAGAAATGTTTTTTCATAGATTCTACAGAGAGAGTGTTTCCAACATGTTGAATCAAAACAATGGTTTAACTTTGTGAGATAAACCCACACATCACAAAGCATTTTCACACATAGCTGGTTTCCAGCGTTTGTTCAAGAAATTCAGTTTTTCACTGTAGGCCACAATGGGCTCAGATATGTCTCTTTTTAGACCTTTTATTTTCCACAAAAAGAGAGTTTCCAACCTGATGAATCAATACAAAGATTCATCTCTGTGAGATGAATCACATTTCTCAAAGCATTTCCATATTTAGGTTGTTTCTAGTTTTTACCACAGGATCCTTTGTTTTTCAATACAGGCCTCGATGGGCTCATAAATGTTCCTTCATAGATTCTACAAATAGAAGGTTTCAGTCCTGATGATTTACAATGCAGGTTTAATTCAGTGAGAAGAATCCACACATCATAAAACTTTTTCACAGCGTATTTCTAGTTTTTATCATTGGATAGTCGGTTTGTCACTGTAGACTTCAATGAGTTCAGAAATATCCCTTCATAGATTCTACAAAAATAGTGTTTCCAGCATCTTGAATCAAAATGCATTTTTCATTCAGTGAGATAAATACAGACATCAAAAAACATTTTCACAGAAAGCTTGTTTCTAATTTTTGTCAGGGGATATTCTGTTTTTCACTAAGTCTCAACGGGCTTCGATATGTCCCATCATAGATACTTCAAAAATTGTGTTTTCAACCTGTTGAATCAAAACAAATGTTGAACTCTCTGACATGAAACCTCACATGGCAAAGCATGTTTACACATACCATGTTTCTAGCTTTTATCATACAATTTTTTATTTTTTCACTGTATGCACCATGGGCTCAGAAATGTCTTTTTGTAGTTTCTACAAAAAGAGTGTTTCCAATCTGTTGATAAAAGCAAAAGTTTAACTATGTGAGATGAATCCACACATCACAGAGCATTGTCACAGATAGCTTGTTTCTAGTTATTATGGGTTATCCAGTTTTTCACTCTAGGCTACAATAAGTTAAGAAGTGTTTTTTCATAGATTTTACAAGGAATATGATTCCAACATTTTGAATCAAAACAAAGGTTTCATTCTGTGAGATAAATCCGTATACCACAAAGTATTTTTATAAATAGCTTCTTTCTAGTTTTAGTTGTGTGATATTTGGGTTTTCACACTAGGCCTCAATGGGCTAAGAAATGTTCCTTCATAGATTTTACAAAGAACCTGGTTTTAACCTGTTGAATCAAAATAAAGGTTTAACTCTGTGAGAAATATCCACCCTTCACGAAGCATTTTCATGTATAGTTTCTTTCTAGTTTCATGGTGGAATATTCAGTTTTTCAGTATAGGTTTCAAAGGCTCAGAAATTTCTCTTTGTAGTTCTATAAAAAGAGTATTTTCAATTTGTTGAATCAAAACATAGGTTTAACTCTGTGAGATAAATCCACTCATCACAAAACATTTTCACGTATAGCTTGTTTCTAGTTTATATTGCAGTATATTTGTTTTTTCACTATAGGCCTTAATGGTCTTTGAAATTGTCCCTTCATATATTCTACACTAAGAGTATTTCCAACCTGTTGAATCAAAACAAAGATTTTACTCTGAGATAACTCCACCCATCACAAAGCATTTTCATACATACCTAGTTTCCAGTTTTTATTTCAGGATATTCGGTTTTACTCTATAAACCAGAATAAGCTCAGAAATGTCTTTTCATAGATTCTACAAAAAGAATGCTTTCAACCTGTTGAATAAAACAAAGGTTTAACTTCATGAGATGAATCCACCTAATGCAAAGCATTTTCACAGATAGCTTGTTTCTAGTTCTTACCATGAGATAATCAATTTAATATAGGCCTCAACGGGCTTAGAAATATCCTTTGGTAGATTCCACAAAAAGAGTTTTTCCAACCAGCTGAATCAAAACACAGGTTCCATGTGGTGAGATGAATCCAAAGATCACAAATCGTTTTCACAGGTAGGTTGTTTCTAGTTTTTATCACAGAATATTCTGTTGTTCACTATAGGCCTCGATGGCCTCGGAAATGTCCCTTCATAGATTCTAAAAAAAAGTGTTTCCAACCCAGTGAATCACAACACAAGATCCATTCAGTGAGAAGAATCCCCATATAACAAAGCATTTTCACAGAGAGCTTGTTTGTACTTTGCATAGCGGGATATTCAGTTTCTCACCTTACATCTCGATAAGCTCAAAAACGTCTCTTCATAGATTCTACATAAAGAATGTTTTCAACCAGTTGAATCAAATCAAAAATTTAACACTGTGAGATAAATCCACAAATCAAAAAGCATTTTCATAGGTAGTTTGTTTCTACTACCTATTTATCAGGGGATGCTTGGTTTTTCACTACAAGTCTCAATGGGCTCAGAAATGATGTCCCTTCATAGATTCTAAAAAAAAAAAAAAAAAAAAAAAAAAAAGAGTGTTTACCACCTGTTGAATCAAAATTAAAATTTTACTCTATGAGATAAATCTACACCTTGCAATGCATTTTCATTGATAGATTCTTTTTAGTTTATATCATGAGATATTTGATTTTTTACTACAGGCCTCAATGGTCTCGGAAACATCCCTTTGTAGATTCTACAAAGAAAGGATTTCCAACCTGTTAAGTCAAAACAAAGATTTAACTCTGTGAGATAAAACCATGCATCGCAAAGCATTTCACAGATAGCTTGTTCCTAGTTCTTTTCGTGGAATATTCATTTTTTCACTATAGCCCTCAATAAGCTTAGAAATGTTCCTTTGTAGATTTTACAAAAAAGTGATTTCAGTCTAACGAATTAGAACAAGGCTTTAACTCAGTGAGACAAATCCAGATGTTAAAAAGCATTTTCTCAGATAGCTTGTTTCTAGTTTTATAATGGGATATTTCATTTTTCACTATAGGCCTCAATGGTCTCATAAATATCCCTTTGTAGATTCTACAATAAGAGTGTTTCCAACTTGTTGAACCAAAACACAGGTTTGATTCGGTGAGACAAATTCACAGCTTTCAAAGTATTTTCACAGAAAGCTTGTTTCTAGTTTCTATAGTGCAATATTCGAGTTTTCACAGTAAGCCTCAATGGGCTCAGAAATGACTCTTCATTGATCCTACAAAAAGAGTCTATCCAACTTGAATCAAAACGCAGGTTTCATTCAGTGGGATAAATCCACACATCACAAAACATATTCGCAGATAACTTGTTTCTACTTTTTATCGTGGGATATTCAGATCTTCACTATAGGCCTTCATGCACTCAGTAATGTCTCTTCTAGATTCTAAAAAAGAATGTTTCCAACTTGCTTAATCAAAACCAAGGTTTAACTCTGTGTGATGAATCCACACATCACAAAGCGTTTTAATTGATAACTTGTTTTTAGTTTAAATATTTGAATTTTCACTATAGGCCTCAATAGACTCAGAAATGTCTCTTTGTAGATTCTATATAGAGTGTTTTCAACCTGTTGAATAAAAAAAAAGTTTAACTCTGTGAGATAAATCCACACATTGCAAAGCATTTTCACAGAGAGCTTGTTTTTAGTTTGTGTCACAGAATATTCACTTTTTCACTATAGACCTCAAAGGGCTCAAAAATGTTTCTTCATAGATTGTAAATAAAAGTGTTTCAAACCTAGTGAATCAAAACACAGGTTTTATTTAGTCAAATGAATTAATACATTACAAAGCATTTTCACAGATAGCTTCTTTCTTGTTTTTAACATGGGATATTTTGTTTTTCACTAAAGGCCTCAATGGTCTCAGAAATGTCCCTTTCTAGATTCTACAAAAGGAGTGTTTCCAACCTCTTGAATGAAAATAAAGGTTTCACTCTGTGAGATAAATCCACACATTGCAAAGCATTTTCACGTATACCTAGTTTCTAGTTTTTATCACAAAATATTTGGTTATTCTCTATAAACATGAATAAGCTCAGAAATGTCTTTTTGTAGATTCTACAAAAAGAACGTTTTCAATCTGTTGAATTAAAACAATGGCTTACCTCTGTAAGATGAATCCACACAAGGCAAAGCATTTTCACAGATAGCTTACTTCTAGTGTTTATCACAGGATAATAGATTTTTTTACTATAGATCCTCAATGGGCTCAGAAATATCCTTTCATAGATTCTACAAAAAGAGTGTTTTCCACACTAAATCAAAACTCATCTTTAATTTGGTGAGGTGAATCCAAATAACACAATGCATTTTCACAGATGGCTTGTTTCTAGTTTTTATCATGGAATACTCAGTTTTTCACTATAGGCTTCAGTGGCCTCAGACATGTCCCTTTATAGGTTCTAGAAAAAGAGTGTTTCCAGTCTGGTGTATCACAACTCAGGTGCCACTCAGTGAGAAGAGTCCACATATCACAAAGCATTTTCACAGATAGCCTGTTTCTACTTTTCAGAGCAGGATATTCAGCTGCTTACTATAGGCCTGAAGAACTGCAGAAATGTCCCTCTGTAGATTTTACTAAAAGAGTGTTTCCAACCAGCTTAATGCAAACAAAAATTTAACACTGTAATATAAATCCTCAAATTACCGAGCATCTTCTCTGATAGCTCGTTTCTAGTATTTATCGTGGAATATTTGGTTTTTTACTATAGGGCTTAATTGGCTCGGAAAAGTTCCTTCATAGATTCTGAAAGAAGTGTATTTCTAACTGTTGAATCAAAACCAAGGTTTAACTCTATGAGATGAATCAACACATCACAAAGCATTTTCACATAGTTTGCTTCTAGTTTTTATCAAGGGATATTCATTTTTTTGCTATAAGCCTAGATAGCATCAGAAATGTTCCTTTGTAGATTCTACAAAAAGCCTGTTTCAAACTGTTGAATCAAAATAAAAGTTTAACTCTGTGAGATGTATCCACAGGTTGCAAAGCATGTTAACAGATGCTTCTTTCTATTTTTTATCACAGGATATTCAGTTTATTACTATAGGCCTCAATGGGCTCAAAAATGTCACTTCGTAGATTCTACAAAATAAGTGTTTCCAATCTGTTATATCAAAACAAAGTTTTATCTCTATGAGATGAATCCACACTTAGCAATGCATTTTCATAGATAGCTTCTTTTTAGTTTATATCGTGAGATATTCAATTTTTTAATATAGTCCTCAATGGGCTCAGATACATCCCTTTGTAGATTCTACAAAAAAGTGTTTTCAACCTGTTGAATCAAAACAAAGCTTTAACCCTGTAAGATGAATCCACACATCACAAATAGCTCAGATCACATCACAGATAGCTTGTTTCTAGTTTTTATTGCAGAATATTTGTTATTTTACTATAGGCCTCAACAGGCTCAGAAATGGTTTTTTGTAGATTCTACAAAAATCCTGTTTCCAACCTGATGATTGAAAAGAAAGGTTTACTTCTGTGAGATAAATCCAGACATTGGAAAGTATTTTCACAGGTAGCTTGTTTCTTGTTTTTATTGTGGGATATTCAGGTTTTCACTATAGACCTCATTGGGCTCAGAAATGTCCCTTCATAGATTCTACAAAAAGAGTGTTTCTAACTTTTTGAGTCAAAACACAGGTTTGATTTGGTGAGATGAATCCACAAATAGCAAAGTATTTTCATATAAAACTTGTTTCTAGTTTTTATCGCAGGATTTTTTTATTACAGGCCTTAATGGGCTCAGAAATGTCTCTTTGTAGATTCTATAAAAAAGTGTTTCCCATCTGTTGAATCAAAACAGAGGTTTAACACTGTGAGGTTAATCCACACATCACAAAGCATTTTCACAGATAGCTTGTTTCTAGTTTTTATAGGGCAATGTTCAATTTTTTACTGTAGTCCTCAATGGGCTCAGAAATGTCCCTTTGTAGATTTTACAAAAAGAGTGTTTCTAACTTGGTGAGTCAAAACACAGTTTCCATTCTGTGAGATAAATCCACACATCACAAAGCATATTCCCAGATTTTTTTCCTTCTTTTTATCACAGGATATTAGGTTTTTCACTATATGGGCTCAGTGATGTCCCTTCTCAATTATACAAAATTGAGTGTTTCCAATCAGTTGAATAAAAACAAAGGTTTAAACCTGTGAGATGAATCCTCACATCTCAAAGCATTTTAACTGAGAGGCTGTTTTTAGTTTTTATCGTGGCATACTCTGTTTTTCACTATGCACCTCAATGGGCTCAGAAATCCCTTTATAGATTTTATAAAAAGTATATTACCAATCTTTTGAATCAAAATAGAGGTTCTACTCTGTGAGATGAATCCACACATGGCAAAAAATTTTCACAGATTGCTTGTTTCTAGTTTTTGTCATGGGATATTCCATTTTTCAGTATAGGTCTTAATGAGTTTAGAAATGTAACCTTGTAGATTCTACAAAAAAAGTGTTTCCATAATGTTAAATGAACAAGGAAGTTTAACTTTGTCAGATAAATCTACACATCTCAAACCATTTTCACAGATAGTTTGTTTGTAGTTTTTATCATAAGATATTTGTTTTTTTACTATAGGCCTCAATAGGTTCCAAAATGTCCATTTGTAGGTTCTACAAAACTAGTGTGTCCTGTTGAATCAAAACAGAGGTTTAACTCTGTGATATGAATCTACATATCACAAAGCATTTTCTCAGTTAGCTTTTTTTCTAGTTTTTATAACACGTCTATTTCATTAGAATTCCTGGGATCACCCAGGTGTTTCTTTCATTAGACATGCTGGGGTGGGCCAGGGGTCTCTCTCATTAGAATGTCTGGGGTGGCCCTGGTTTCTCTATCATTAGAGTGCCTGGGGTCAGCCAAGTATCTCTCCCATTAGAATGCCTAGGCTTAACAAAATGTTTTTATCATTAGACTGCCTGCAGTTGGGTGAGAGTCTCTCCCATTAAAATACCTGTGTTTGATCAAGTGTCTCTATCATTAGAATTCCTGTGTTCGGCTGGAAATCTCTCTTAATAGAATGCCTGGGGTCAGCCAGTTGTCTCCATCATTAGACTGCCTGGGTTTGGCTAAGAGTGCCTCTCATTGGAATGCCTGGGATTGCCCAAGTGGCTCTACGATTAGACTGCCTGTGGTCCCCCAGATGTCTCTTTCATTTGAATGCCTGGGGTCGTACAGGTGTCTCTATAATTAGACTGCCAGTAGTCAGCAAGTAGTCTTTTCCATTAGAATACCTGTGGTTGCCAAGTAGTCTCTATTTTTAGACTGCCTGCAGTCACCCAATAGTCTCCCATTAGAATGTGTGTTGTCAACTGGAAGTCTCTTGCATTAGAATGCCTGTGTTGCTCAGGAGTCTCTTCCAGTAGAATGCCTGGGGTTGGCTAGTTGCCTCTATAATTAGAAAGCCTGGGGTCTTCCTTGAGCCTCTCCCATTACATGTCTTTCAGTCGACCAGGTAGGTGTTTCTATCATTAGACTGCCTGGGGACGGCCAGGAATCTCTTTCATTGGAATGCCCACTTTTGCCCAGATGTCTTTATCATTAGACTCCTGGTGTCAGCCGGGAGCCTCTCCCATTAAAATGCCTAAGGCAGCTCAGTTGTCTTTATCATTGGACTGCCTGGGGTTGGCCAGGAGTCTTTCCAACTAGACTGCCTGGGGTCTGCCGGGAGTCTCTCAGATTAAAATGTTTTTGATCACCCAGGTGTCTCTATTATTAGACTGCCTGGGGTCGGCAGAAAATCCCTGCCATTAGAATGCCTTTGGTCGCCCAGGTGTCTCCATCATTCAACTTCTGGAGTCAGCTAGGAGTCCCTCCCATTACAATGCCTAGAATCGCTGGGAGTCTCTCCCATTATAATGCCTGGGGATGCTTAGGTATCTTTAGCATTAGAATGCCTGTGGTCAGCCAGGAGTCTTTCCCAATAAAATGCAAAGTGTTGCCCCATGTCAATATTATTAGAAGGCCTGGGGTCAGCTGGGAGTCTCTCCCATTAGAAAACCTGGGGTCTGCCAAAAGTATTTTTCATTAGAATGCCTGGCATCTCACAGATTTCTCTATTATTAGAATACCTGGAGTTGGCATGGAGCCTCTCCAATTAAAATGCCCGTGTCACCCAGATGTCTCTATAATTTGACTGCTTCGGGTCAGCCAAGAGACTCTTTCAAGAGAATGCCTGGGGTTCTCTAGAAATCTCTCTTATTAGAATGCCAGGTGTCTGTATTATTAAAATACCTGGGGTAGTTCTGGAGTTTCACCCATTCAAATGCCTGTGGTTGCCCAGGTGTCTCTATCATTAGACTGCCTGTGGTTGGCTGGGTGTCTCTCCCATTAGAATGTGTGGGGTCGATTTGGTGTCGCTATTATTAGGTTGCCTTGGGTCAACCAGGAGTCTCTTTCATTAGAATGCCTGGGGTTGGCCATGAGTCTCTCCCATTAGAATGTCTGGGGTCGCCCAGGTGTCTCTATCATTAGACTTGCCTGGGGTCAGCTTGGAGTCGCTTACATTAGAATGCCTGGGGTCACCCTGGTGTCTTTATAGTTAGACTGTCTGGGCTCAGTGTGAGGTTTCTCTCATTAGAATGCCTGAGTTTGCCCAGTTGTCTCTTTCATTAGACTGCCTGGGATCGGCCAGGAGTCTCTCCCATTAGAATCCCTGAGGCAGCCCAGCTGTCTCTATCATTAGATTGCCTGAGTTTGGTGAAAGTTTCTCCCATTAGAATGCCTCAGGTTGCCCAGGTGTCTCTATTATTAGACTGCCCATGGTTGGCCAGGTGTATCTCCCATTAGAATGCCTCAGGTCCCTCAGGTGTCTCTACTATTAGACTGCCCATGGTTGGCCAGGTGCCTTTCCCGTTCGAATGCCTGGGATTGCCCAGGTGTCTCTATAATTAGACTACTTGGGATCGGTCAGAAGTGTCTCCCATTCGAATGCCTGTTTTTACCCAGGTGTCTGTATCATTATACTACCTGTCATCAGCCAGTCATTTCCCGTTAGAGTGCCTAGGTTGCACCAAAAATCCCTTGCATTAGAATGTTTGGGGTCTCCCAGGTGTCTCTATTGTTAGACTGCTTGGGTTCAGTCAGTAGTCTTTCCCATTACAATGCATGAGGTCGCCCAGGTGTCTTTATCACTAGACAGCCTGGGGTTGGCTGGGAGTCTCTCCCATTAGAATGCCTGGGGTCATTCAGATGTCTTCATAATTAGACTGCCTTGGGTCACCCAGGAGTCTCTCCAGTTAGAATGCTTGCTGTTGCCCAAGTGTCCTTATCCTTAAACTGTCTGGTGTCTGCCAGGGGTCTGTCCAATTAGAATGCCTGGGGTTGGACGGGAGAAAGCCTGTGGTTGCTCAGCTGTCTCTATCATTAGAATGCCTGGGGTCAGCCGAAAGTCTCTCCCATTCGAATGCCTGGAGTCACCCATGTGTCTCTCTTATTAGCCTTCCTGGCATCAGCCAGGAGTTTCTTCCATTAAAATGCCTGAGATCACCAAGATATCTCTTTCGTTAGACTTCCTGGGGTCAGCCAGGAAGCTCTCTCATTACAATGCCTTGTGTGAGGTGAAAGTCTTTCCCAGAAGTATGCCTGGTTTCTCTATCATTAGACTTCCTGGGGTCAACCAGGAATCTCACACACAAGAATGCCTGTGGTTGCCCACGTTTCTTTATAATTAGACTGTTTGGCCAGAACTCTCTTCCATTAGAATGTCTGGTGTTGCCCAGGTGACTCTACCATTAGAATGCCTAGAATTGGCCAGAAGTCTCTCCCATGAAAATGCCTGGGTCACCCAGGTGACTCTATCACTAGACTGCCTGGGATTGGGTGGGAGTCTCTCCCATTATAATCTCTGTGGTCAATCAGGTGTCTCTATCATTAGAATCCCTGAGGTCTGCTGGCAATCTTTTCTATTAGAATTTCTGTTTGCCCAGGTTTCTCTATCATTAGACTGCCTGAGGTCAGCCGGCACGTTTTCCCATTATTATACCTGGGATAATAATTTCCCATTATTATACCTGGGATAATATTGCTCATGCACCTCTATCATTAAACAACCTAAGTTTGGAAGGGGTCTCTCTCATTAGAATGATTGGGGTTGCCCAGGTATCTCTTTCATTACACTACCTGGGGTCAGCTGGGAATCTCTCCCATTAGGATTCACACCAAGTGTCTGTATAATTAAACTGCCTGGGGTTGCCCAGTTATCTCTTTCATTACACCACCTGGGGTCAGCTGGGAATCTCTCCCATTAGGATTCACACCAAGTGTCTCTATAATTAAACTGGCTGGGCTCAGCCAGGAGTCTTTCCCATTAGAATGGTTATGGTCACTCAGGTGTCTTTACCTTAGACTGCTTGAGGTAAGCCAAGAGTCTCTCCCATTAGAATTCCTGGCATCGTCTGAGAGTCTTTAACATTAGAATGCCTGGGGTCATGCAGGTGTCTCTATAATTAGACTGCTTGAGGTCAGCAAAGAGTCTCTCCCAAGAGAATACCTGGGGTTGGCTGAAAGTTTTGCCCATTACAACGCCTGGGGTTGCCGAGGTGTCTCTATCATTAGAATGCCTGGGGTTGTCCAGGAGTCTCTCCCATTAGAATGCCTAGGGTTGCCTAGGTGTCTCCATCATTAGACTGACTGCAGTCAGCTGTAAATCTCTCCCATTAGAATGCATGGGATCACCCAGGTGTCTCTATCACTAGACTGCCTTGGGTCCGCCGGGAGTCTTTTCCATTTCAATGTTTCAGATTGCCCCCATGTCTCTACAATTAGGCTGCCTAAGCTCGTCCAGGAGTCTCTCCTAATAAAATGCCTGTGGTTGGCCAGGTGTCTCTATCATTAGTCTGTCTAAGTTCAGCTGGGAGTATCTCCCATTAGAATGCCTGGGGTCATTCAGGTGTCTGTATCATCACATTGCCTGGGGTCGCCAAGGAATCTCTTTTGTTAGAATGTCTGGGGTAGCCCAGGTGTCTCTATAATTAGACTGCTGGGGGTCAGCCAGGAGTCTCTCCCATTAGAATACCTGTGGTCTCCCAGGTGTCTTCTTTCTAAGACTGCCTGTGATCGACCTCAAGTCTTCCATTAAAATTCCTGGGATCTGCTGGGAGTCTTTTTCCTTAGAATGCCTGGGGTCACCAAAATGTCTTTATCATTAGACTGCTGGGGTTTGACCAGGAGTCTCTCCCATTAAAATGTCTGAGGTCTCCAAAGTGTCTCTATCATTAGACTGCCTGGGATCAGCTGGGAGTCTCTCCCATTAGAATGCCTGGGGTCGACCAGGTGTTGTTATCTTTAGTCTACCTGGGTTGGCCAGGAGTTTCTTCCATTAGAATGCCTGATGTCAGATGGAAATATCTCCTATTAGAATGACTGAGGTAGCCCAGTTTTCTCTGTCACTAGAATGCCTGGGATCACCCAGGTTTCCCTATCATTATAATGCCAGAGATTGGCCTAAATTCTCCTTCATTAGTGTTCCTTGCATCACCAAGGTGACTCTCTCCTTAGACTGACTTGGTTTGGTGGGTAGTCTCTCTCATTAGAATGCCTGGGGTTGCCCTGTTGTCTGTAACATTAGACTGCCTGAAATTGGCCGGAAGTCTCTTCCACTGGAAGGTCTGGGTTCGCCAAAATGACTCTATCATTAGACTGTCTGGTGTCAGTTGGAAGCCTCTCCCATTAGAATGCCTGGGGTAAGATGGAATTCTCTACCATTAGAATGCCTAGGGTTGGCTGGGAGTCTCTCCCATTAGAGTGCCTGTGGTGTCCCAAATGTCTCTATCATTAGAATGCCTGGGGTTGACCAAGAACCTCTTTCATTAGAATGTGTGGGTTTGCCCAAGTGTATCTATCATTAGACTGCCTGTGGTCAATGGAGTCTCTCTGGATTGAATGCCTGGGGTCGCTCTGGTGTCTCCAACATTAGACTGCTTGGGGTTGCTCAGAAGTCACCCCCAATGCCTGGAGTCAGCATGGAATCTCTCCTTTTAAAATGCCTTGTGTCTCCCAGATGTCTCTATCATTAGACTACTTGGAGTCATCCGGGAGTCTCTCCAATGAGAAGACCTGGGGCTGCCCATGTGTCTCTATTATTAGACTGCCTTGTGGTCAGCCTTACATTAGAATGCATGGGGTAGCCCAGGTGTCTCTATCATTAAATTGCCTGAATTTGGCTAGAAGTCTATCTGTTTAGAGTGACTAGAGTGAACCTGGAGTGTCTCCCATAACAATGCCTGGTGTTGCCCAGGTGTCTTCACCATTGGAATGCCTGGTATCAGCCAGGAGTCTGTCTCATTAGAATGCCTGGAGTGACGCAGGTGTCTCTATCATTAGACTGGCTGGGGTCGGCTAGGAATGTCTCCCATTAGAATGCATGGGGTAACCCAGATGACTATCCTTTGACTGCCTGGGGTTGGTGAGGAGTCTCTCCCATTATAATGCTTGAAATCAACCAGTATTTTCACAAATAGCTTGTTTCGAGTTTTTATTGAGGGATATTCATTTTTTCACTACAGGCCTCAATGGGCTCAGAAATGTCCCTTTTGTAAACTCTACAAAAAGAGTGTTTCCAACATGGTGAATCAACAGGTTAGATTCGTCTAGATTAATCCACACATTAGAAAGAATTTTCACAGATAGCTCTGGTTATTATTACAAGATATTTGGTTTTTCTTTTTTCTATTTTTTATTATACTTTAAGTTTTAGGGTACATGTGCACAATGTGCAGGTTAGTTACATATGTATACATGTGCCATGTTGGTGTGCTGCACCCATTAACTCGTCATTTAACATTAGGTATATCTCCTAATGCTATCCCTCCCCCCTCCCCCTACCCCACAACAGGCCCCGGTGTGTGATGCTCCCCCTCCTGTGTCCATCTGTTCTCATTGTTCAATTCCCACCTATGAGTGAGAACATACAGTGTTTGGTTTTTTGTCCTTGCGATAGTTTGCTGAGAATGATGGCTTCCAGCTTCATCCATGTCCCTACAAAGGACATGAACTCATCATTTTTTATGGCTGTATAGTATTCCATGGTGTATATGTGCCACGTTTTCTTAATCCGGTCTATCATTGTTGGACATTTGGCTTGGTTGCAAGTCTTTGCTATTGTGAATAGTGCTGCAATAAACATACCTATGCAAGTGTCTTTATAGCAGCATGATTTATAATCCTTCAGGTATATACCCAGTAATGGGATGGCTGGGTCAAATGGTATTTCTAGCTCTACATCCCTGAGGAATCACCACACTGACTTCCACAAGGGTTGGACTGGTTTACAGTCCCACCAACAGTGTAAAAGTGTTTGTCTTTCTCCACATCCTCTCCAGCACCTATGGTTTCCTGAATTTTTAATGATTGCCATTCTAACTGGTGTGAGATGGTATCTCATTGTGGTTTTGATTTGCATTTCTCTGATGGCAAGTGATGATGAGTGTTTTTTCATGTGTGTTTTGGCTGCATAAATGTCTTCTTTTGAGAAGCGTCTGTTCATATCCTTTGCCCACTTGTTGATGGGGTTGTTTGTTTTTTTCTTGTAAATTTGTTTGAGTTCATTGAAGATTCTGGATATTAGCCCTTTGTCAGATGAGTAGATTGTAAAAATTTTCTCCCATTTTGTAGTTTGTCTGTTCACTCTGATGGTAGTTTCTTGTGCTGTGCAGAAGCTCTTTAGTTTAATTAGATCTTATTTGTCAATTTTGGCTTTTGTTTCCATTGCTTTTGGTGTTTTAGACATGAAGTCCTCGCCTATGCCTATGTCCTGAATGGTATTGCTTAGGTTTTCTTCCTGGGTTTTTATGGTTTTAGGTCTAACATGTAAGTCTTTAATCCATCTTGAGTTAATTTTTGTATAAAGTGTAAGGAAGGGATCTCATTTCAGCTTTCTACATATGGCTAGCCAGTTTTTCAAGCACCATTTATTAAATAGGGAATCCTTTCCCCATTTCTTGTTTTTGTCAGGTTTGTCAAAGATCAGATGGTTGTAGATGTGCAGCATTATTTCTGAGGGCTCTGTTCTGTTCTATTGGTCTAAATCTCTGTTTTGATACCAGTACTATGCTGTTTTGGTTACTGTAGCCTTGTAGTATAGTTTGAAGTCGGGTAGCGTGATGCCTCCAGCTTTGTTCTTTTGGCTTAGGATTGACTTGGCGATGTGGGCTCTTTTTTGGTTCCATATGAACTTTAAAGTAGTTTTTTCCAATTCTTTGAAGAAAGTCATTGGTAGCTTGATGGGGATGGCATTGAATCTATAAATTACCTTGGGCAGTATGGCCATTTTCACGATATTGATTTTTCCTATCCATGAGCATGGAATATTCTTCCATTTGTTTGTGTCCTCTTTTATTTCATTGAGCATTGGTTTGTAGTTCTCATTGAAGAAGTCCTTCATATCCCTTGTAAGTTGGATTCCTAGGTATTTTATTCTCTTTGAAGCAATTGTGAATGGGAGTTCACTCATGATTTGGCTCTCCGTTTGTCTGTTACTGGTGTATAAGAATGCTTCTGATTTTTGCACATTTATTTTGTATCCTGAGACTTTTCTGAAGTTGCCTATCAGCTTAAGGAGATTTTGGGTTGAGACAATGGGGTTTTCTAGATATACAATCATCTCATTGGCAAACAGGGAAAATTTGACTTCCTCTTTTCCTAATTGAATACACTTTCTTTCTCCTGCCTGATTGCCCTGGCCAGAACTTCCAACACTATGTTGAATAGGAGTGGTGAGAGAGGACATCCCTGTCTTGTGCCAGTTTTCAAAGGGAATGCTTCCAGTTTTCGCACATTCAATATGATATTGGCTGTGGGTTTGTCATAGATAGCTCTTATTATTTTGAGGTACATCCCATCAATACCTACTTTATTGAGAGTTTTTAGCATGAAGGGCTGTTGAATTTTGTCGAAGGCTTTTTCTGCATCTATTGAGATAATCATATGGTTTTGTCATTGGTTCTGTTTATATGCTGGATTACGTTTATTGATTTGCCTATGTTGAACCAGCGTTGCATCCCTGGGATGAAGCCCACTTGATCATGGTGGATAAGCTTTTTGATGTGCTGCTGGATTCGGTTTGCCAGTATTTATTGAGGATTTTTATATCAATGTTCATCAGGGATATTGTTCTAAAATTCTCTTTTTTTTTGTTGTGTCTCTGCCAGGCTTTGGTAACAGGATGATGCTGGCCTCATAAAATGAGTTAGGGAGGACTCCCTCTTTTTCTATTGATTGGAGTAGTTTCAGAAGGAATGGTACCAGCTCCTCCTTTTTCCTCTGGTAGAATTCAGCTATGAATCCATGTGGTCCTTGACTTTTTTTGCTTGGCAAGCTATTAATTATTGCCTCAATTTCAGAGCCTGTTATTAGTCTATTCAAAGATTCAACTTCTTCCTGGTTTAGTCTTGGGAGGTGTATGTGTCGAGGAATTTATCCATTTCTTCTATATTGTCTAGTTTATTTGTGTAGAGGTGTTTATAGTATTCTCTGATGGTAGTTTGTATTTCTATGGGATCGGTGGTGATATCCCCTTTATCATTTTTTATTGAGTCTATTTGATTCCTCTCTCTTTTCTTCTTTATTAGTCTTGCTAGTGGTCTATCAATTTTGTTGATCTTTTAAAAAAACCAGCTCCTGGATTCATTGATTTTTTGAAGGGTTTTTTGCGTGTCTATTTCCTTCAGCTCTACTCTGATCTTAGTTGTTCTTGCCTTCTGCTAGATTTTGAATGTGTTTGCTCTTGCTTCTCTAGTTCTTTTAATTGTGATGTTAGGGTGTCAATTTTAGATCTTTCCTACTTTCTCTTGTGGGCGTTTAGTGCTATAAATTTCCCTCTACACACTGCTTTGAATGCGTCCCAGAGATTCTGGTATGTTGTGTCTTTGTTCTCCTTGGTTTCAAAGAACATCTTTATTTCTGCCTCCATTTCGTTATGTACCCAGTAGTCACTCAGGAGCAGGTTGTTCAGTTTCCATGTCATTGAGCGGTTTTCAGTGAGTTTCTTAATCCTGCGTTCTAGTTTGATTGCACTGTGGTCTGAGAGACATTTTGTTATAATTTCTGTCCTTTTACATTTGCGGAAGAGTGCTTTACTTCCAACTATGTGGTCAATTTTGGAATAAGTGTGGTGTGGTGCTGAAAAGAATTTATATTCTGTTGATTTGGGGTGGAGAGTTCTGTAGATATCTATTAGGTCCACTTGGTGCAGAGCTGAGTTCAGTTCCTGGATATCCTTGCTAACTTTCTGTCTCGTTGATCTGTCTAATGTTGACAGTGGGGTGTTAAAGTCTCCCATTATTACTGTGTGGGAGTCTAAGTCTCTTTGTAGGTCTCTAAGGACTTGCTTTATGAATCTGGGTGCTCCTGTATTGGGTGCATATATATTTAGGATAGTTAGCTCTTCTTGTTGAATTGATCCCTTTACCATTATATAATGGCCTTCTTTGTCTCTTTTGATCTTTGTTGGTTTAAATTCTGTTTTATCAGAGACTAGGATTGCAATTCCTGCCTTTTTATGTTTTCCATTTTCTTGGTAGATCTTCCTCCATCCCTTTATTTTAAGCCTATGTGTGTCTCTGTATGTGAGATGTGTTTCCTGAATACAGCATACTGATAGCTCCTGACCTTTTATCCAATTTGCCAGTCTGTGTCTTTTAATTGGAGCATTTAGCCCATTTGCATTTAAGGTTAATATTGTTACGTGTGAGTTTGATCCTGTCATTATGATGTTAGCTGGCTATTTTGCTCATTAGGTGATGCAGTTTCTTCCTAGCCTCAATGGTCTTTACAATTTGGCCTGTTTTTGCAGTGGCTGGTATCAGTTGTTCCTTTCCATGTTTAGTGCTTCCTTCAGGAGCTCTTTTAGGGAAGGCCTGGTGGTGACGAAATCTCTCAGCATTTGCTTGTCTGTAAAGCATTTTATTTCTCCTTCACTTATGAAGCTTAGTTTGACTGTATATGAAATTCTGCGTTGAAAATTCTGTTCTTTAAGAATGTTGAATATTGGCCCCCACTCTCTTCCGGCTTGTAGAGTTTCTACTGACATATCTGCTGTTTGTCCGATGGGCTTCCCTTTGTGGGTAACCCGACCTTTCTCTCTGGCTATCCTTAACATTTTTTCCTTCATTTGAAATTTGGCGAATCTGACAATTATGTGTCTTGGAGTTGCTCTTCTCGAGGAGTATCTTTGTAGCATTCTCTGTTATTTCCTGAATTTGAATGTTGGCCTGCCTTGCTAGATTGGGGAAATTCTCCTGGATATTATCCCGCAGAGTGTTTTCCAACTTGGTTCCATTCTCCCTGTCACTTTCGGATACAACAATCCGATGTAGATTTGGGGTTTTTACATAGTCCCATATTTCTTGAAGGCTTTGTTCATTTCTTTTTATTCTTTTTTCTATAAGCTTCTCTTCTCACTTCATTTCATTCATTTGATCTTCCATCACTGATACCCTTTCTTCCAGTTGATCGAATTGGTTACTGAGGCTTGTGCATTCATCATGTATTTCTCGTGCCTTGGTTTTCAGCTCCATCAAGTCCTTTAAGGACTTCTCTGCATTGGCTATTCTAGTTAGCTATTCATCTAACTTTTTTTCAAGGTTTTTAACTTCTTTGCCATGGGTTCGAACTTTCTCTTTTAGCTCAGAATAGTTTGATCATCTGAAGCCTTCTTCTCTCAAGTCGTCAAAGTCATTCTCCATCCAGCTTTGTTTCATTGCTGGTGAGGAGCTGCATTCCTTTGGAGGAGGAGAGGCACTCTAATTTTTAGAGTTTCCAGTTTTTCTTTTCTGTTTTATTCCCCATTTTTGTGGTTTTTTCTACCTTTGGTCTTCAATGATGGTGACGTACAGATGGGGTTTTTGTGTGGATGTCCTTTCTGTTTGTTAGTTTTCCTTCTAACAGTCAGGACCCTCAGCTGCAGGTCTGTTGGAGTTTGCTGGAGGTCCACTCCAGACCCTATTTGCCTAGGTATCAGCAGCAAAGGCTGCAGAACAGCGGATATTGGTGAACAGCAAATGTTGATGCCTGATTGTTCCTCTGGAAGTTTTGTCTCAGAGGAGTACCCGGCCTTGTGAGGTGTCAGTCTGCCCCTACTGGGGGGTGCTTCCCAGTTATGCTACTTGGGGTTCAGGGACCCACTTGAGGAGGCAATCTCTCCATTCTCAGATCTCCAGCTGCGTGCTGGGAGAACCACTACTCTCTTCAAAGCTGTCAGACAGGGACAATTAAATCTGCAAAGGTTTCTGTTGCCTTTTGTTTGGCTATGTCCTGCCCCCGGAGGTGGAGTCTACAGAGGCAGGCAGGCCTCCTTGAGCTGTGGTGGGCTCCACCAAGTTCGAGCTTCCTAGCCACTTTGTTTACCTATTCAAGCCTCGGCAATGGTGGGTGCCCCTCCCCAAGCCTCTCTGCCACCTTGCAGTTTGATCTTATACTGCTGTGCTAGCAATAAGCAAGGCTCCATGGGTGTAGAACCCTCCAAGCCATGCAAGGGATATAATCTCCTGGTGTGCCATTTGCTAAGACCATTGGAAAAGTGCAGTATTATGGTGGGAGTGACCTGATTTTCCAGGTGCCATCTGTCACCACTTTCTTTGACTAGGAAAGTGAATTCCCTGACCCCTTGTGCTTCCCAGGTGAGGTGATGCCTCACCCTCTTTTGGCTCATGCTCGGTGTCCTGCACCCACTGTCCTGAACCCACTTTCCAACACTCCCCAGTGAGATGAACCTGGTACCTCAGTTGGAAATGCAGAAATCATCCATCTTCTGTGTGGCTCATGCTGGGAGCTGTAGACTGGAGCTGTTCCTATTTGGCTTTTTTGGCTCCACCCCTGATGTTTGGTTTTTCACAGTAGGCCTCAATGAGCACAAAAATGTCCCTGCATAGATTCTACAAAAGAAAAAGAAAGGTTTTTTAACCTGTTGAATCAAAAGAAAGGTTTAACTCTGTGAGATGAATCCACTTGTCACAAAGCATCTTCACAGATAGCTTGTTTTTAGTTCTTATCGCATGATATATCATTTCTCACTATAGGCCTCAAGAGGCTCAGAAATTTTCCTTTGTAGATTCTACAAACACAGTGTTCCCAACCTGGTGAATAAAAACACATGGTTTAGTCAATGAGATGAATCACCGACTAAACTGAAGATCTTCACAGGTAGCCTGTTTACAGTTTTTGCCTTGGGACATTCGGTTTTTCACTATAGGCCTCATGGAACTCAGGCCTAATTTTGAACAATGCCTTCGTAGATTCTACAAATAGAGTGTTCCCAAACTGGTAAGTCAAAATGCAGGTTCTATTCAGTGAGATAAATCTATATATCACAAAGCATTTTCACAGATTTCTTGTTTCAAATTTTTATGGCAGGATATTTGTTTTTTCACTATAGGCCCCAATGGGCTCAGAAATGTCCCTTCATAGATTCTAGAATAAGAGTGTTTCCAGCCTCTTAAATCAAAAGAAAGTTTCCATTTCGTGAGATAAATCCACACATCATAAATTATTTTTACAGATGGCTTGTTTCTATTTTTTATCTTGTGATATTCTGTTTTTCACTGTAGGCCTCAAGTGGCTCATAATGTATTGTTGTAAATTGTAAAAAAAAAAAAAAAAAAAAAAAAAAAAAAAGAGTGTTTTTAACTCTTGGGATGAATCCACACATTGAGAAGCATTTTCACAGAGAGCTTGTGTCTAGTGTTTATCATGGGATATTTGGTTTTTGACTATCAGCCTCAATGTGTGCTAAAATGTCCCTTCACATATTCTAAAAAAAAGGGTATTTCCAACCTGGTCAATCAAAACGCAGGTTACATTACAGAAGATGAATCCACACATCACAAAGCATTTTTACAGAGAGGTTGTTTCTAGTTTTTAATCATGGGATATTCAGTTTTTCACTATTGGCTTCAATGGGCTCAGAAATGTTCCTTTGTAGATCCTACAAAAATAAAGTTTCCCATTTGGTGAGTTAAAAAGCAGGTTCCATTAGGTGAGATGAATTCACATATTGTAATGCATTTTCACAGAGAGCTTATTTCTCATAAAAAATTGCAGGATAGTCAGTTTTTCACAATGGGCCACAATAATGTCATAAATATCCCTTCGTAGATACTACAAAAGGAGTGTTTACAACCTGCTGAATCAAAACACAACTTTTATTAAGTACAATAAATTCACACACTACAAAGCCATTTTCAACAGATAGCTTGTTTCTCGTTTTTAAGGTGGGATATTCAGTTTTTCACTATAGGTCCCAGTGGGCTCAGAAATGTCACTTCATAGATTCTACAAAAACAGTGTTTCCAATCTGGTGACTCAAAACACTGGTTCCATTCAGTAAGATTAATCCATATATCACAAAAGATTTTAACAGAGAGCTTGTTTCTAGTTGTTATCACAAAATATTCGGTTTTTCAATATAGGCTTCAAAGAGTTCAAAAATGTACGTTCTTAGATTCTACAAGAAGAGGGTTTCCTACCTGGTGAATCATTACATAGACTCAATTCAGTGAGATGAATCCACATATCACAAATCATTTTCACAGATAGATTGTTTCTAGTTTGTATCCAGGGTTTTTTGTTTTTTGTTTTTTTTTTACTGTAGGCCCCAATAGACTCAGAAATGTCTCTTCATAGGTTCTGCAGATGTTCCCAACCTATTCAATCAAAATGAAGCTTTAACTCTGTGAGGTGAATCTATTGGGGAACCTGCCCTGATAGGCACATAGGTTCTTTTCTATTTTCCCTAAGCTTCAGCCAGCTTGAGAAATAAAGGGACAAAGTACAAAAGAGAGAAACTTTAAACCTGGGCATCCAGGGGAGACAACACATGTGGGTAGGTTCCAGGATGCCCCACAAGCCGTAAAACCAGCAAATTTTTGTTAGGGAGTTTCAAAACGGGAGGGAGTATATGAATAGGTGTGGGTCACAGACACCAAGTACTTCACAAGGTAATAGAATATTACAAGGCAAATAAAGGCAGGGTGAGATCACAGGACCACAGGACCAGGGTGAAATTAAAATTGCTGATGAAGTTTCTGGCACCACTGTCATTGATAAGATCTTGTCAGGAGACAGGTTTTGAGAGCAACCGTTCTGACTAAAATTTATTAGGCAGGAATTTCCTCTTCCTAATAAGCCTGGGAGTGCTATGGGAGACTGGGTCTATTTCACCCCTGCAGTCTACAGACCATAAAAGACAGGCATTCCTGGGGGTCCGTCTATAGACCTATACCACCAGGCATGTATTCTCTTTCCCAGGGATGTTCTTTGCTGAGAAAAAGAATTCAGCAATATTTCTCCCATTTGCTTTTGAAAGAAGAGAAATGTGGCTCTGTTCCACCTGGCTCACCAGTGGTCAGATTTTAAGGTTATCTCTCTTATTCTCTGAACAATTGCTGTTATCCTGTTCTTTTTTCAAGGTGCCCAGATTTCATATTTGTTCAAACACACATGCTCTACAATTTGTGCAGTTAACGCAATTATCACATTGTTCTGAGGCAACATACATCTTCCTCAGCTGACAGGATTAAGAGATTAAAGTAAAGACAGGCATAGGAAATCACAAGGGTATTGATTGGGGAAATGATAAGTGTCCATGAAATCTTCACAATTTATGTTTAGAGATTGCAGTAAAGACAGGCATAAGAAATTTTAAAAGTATTAATTAGGTGAAATAATAAATGTCCATGAAATCTTCACAATCCACATTCTTCAGCCATGGCTTCAGCTGGTTCCTCCATTTGGGGTCCCTGACTTCCCACAACATCTCTCCCTTTCTTTTTATATAAATGTGCCATGGTGATGAAGGCTTGTTCGTTCTCTCAATTTTGATGCAGGATTCTTTGACTGGTCTGGCACACTAAAAACAAGCCGATTAAACAGAGAAACATAATTCCAAAATTTACTACAGTGGAGCCCCCAATAAACTTAATCCAAGTTGTGGGCTTTAATCCATAAAGATTTTCTGCCACCTGATCTAACACCTCAGCTCCAGGCAGAATGGATAAGTGAGCTTGAGAGGATTCAAAAATTTGTTTCTTTAATTTAGTTGTGTCCAATGATAAATTATCTTCCCTACCTAGAAGGTGTCCTTTGACCGTTTCCCATGAATGATCAGTCTCATTATAGGAATATGGGGTGATGCAGAAATCCAAAGTATTCCACTGGCACTGCATTTGCATGCAATGTTCGAAACTCACTACCCAATCTCCAAGCCAAATAACAGACTGTTTTAAATCATTAATTTGATTTGCCAATTTTTGATCAATGCCTTGTTAAGAATTCCACATTTGGGTGGAATTGGCTTGCCAATCATTAACAAAATAAGCCGTTTGAATGGATTGGTGTAATGCCATTCCGGCAGTGGTGGTCATTGCAGTGACTGTAATTAGGCCCATGATAACAGTGATCAAAGTGAAAACAAATCTCTTGGACCTTTTTAGAATTCGCTGTCGCACTTCATTAATTAAATGTATTGAGGGGGAGGATTCCCAAGGTCTAGGTAAAGTTACTGGAATCCAGATTCCTTCTTAAGATCGAACCAATATTATGCTTCTCTTGGAGTCAAAATGGGAGTTAATACAAAGGTATAGATGACAATTAATGCATTGGACAGTTTGATTATTCGTCCAAATTTTGATATTTCCTACTAACAGCATGTAAGGGGGCTTAACACAACTCTGTATGGGAATAGTCAGGTTGGAGGTAAGTAAAGCAGAATGTCTCGTTCTACGTTGATAAGGAGAGAGTGGGACAGTAGTGGGAAAAACAGTCAGAAGAGTTTTCCTTTCCCATACTTGCAGTCCAGACATGGCAATAGCCAATTTCCAAAGTTCTGGGTGTTCAGGCTCAGAATGGGGAGTATCATACGAGGCCTGGGTGGGGGATAATGCCTTTATCTTCCCATTTTAAGGGAAAGCATAAGCTGATCCTCCTATGCAAAGTAGAATGATGATTCTTGTTCTCCCAATAAGAAAAAAAATAAGTAGCCTCCAGGCATTCCCTTCCACCAGAGGAGCAATTGTTTTTTAAATAGCCCTTTGGTGCCCAGCCTATTATTAAACCATATGAGTCATTTTTTAATATTACTGCATGTGAGTTAACACAATCTTCCCAAATTAAAGTTTTAGATGGGCCCTCAAAATTTTTAGGGCACGATTTTCCTGCAGGTTTATATTGAAAGTATGGGGTATCTCCCATTATTCTTCCTTTCATTTGTTTTAAAGGAGAAAGAGAGAGGCCAGAGACCAAATGTCCTGTTTTATCTGTAGTTGATCTTTCCGGAAGATAAGCAGCCTAGACTTGAGTTTCCAGATGGATGCAACCAGGTGCATGTCTGAGGCACAGAGACGGGTATTTACAACCCATGGTAACATTAAATGCAGTGCCTTCTTCTCCTGGTTGAGCAGGGCAACGGTCATCTGTGGCTCCAGGCAGTCACACACTATCGTTAGTGTAGATTTGTGCAGGAGCATCTACCCTGGTGAGAGGTCGAATAAGTGGAGGAAGAGGCACATAAGCCCAATAAGAATAATTATGTGTAGCAGGTAAATCAGTGTGAGAGGAAACTGGTGAGACAGAAAGTATAAGGAGGAGAATCATTAAATAAAACCTAGTGTAAATGAGATTGAAGGCTGAAGGAGGAAGAGAAGAACAGAGGGATGTTATTTTCAGGCTAATAGAAATGGTGAGATTTTTAGGTTTGTAAGGAGAAAAAGAAAGGTAATCAGGAGAAGTGGGATTAGTTAGATGGGTCTCCATTGCCATCAGGGAGGATTGATTTAAATCCATTGTGATTTGGTGTGCCTTTTTCTGAGCAGTTGGCACAGATCTTACCACTTCTGAAGGTAGTCTCTGACACAGACGTCTTTTCTCTGTGGTTTTCATTGTCAGTGTTCACCCGAAGCTTGAATCTTCTGGTGGGTTCCCAGACAGGGGATTGATGATCTCCTGGTGAAACCAGGCATATCCTCTTCCCTACGTTATAATTGTGCCAGATTCCCAGGTATTGGCTTGGGAGTTTTTCCATAACACTGGTTTGCCTTCGTTTAAGGAAAATTTTTTGCCTGTATAATGGCGTTCAGCTGCAGTTAGAGTATTATCTTTAGAAACATTTAAAAAAATTAAAGTAAACAATGCCAAATGTAATTGGGAGTGGGGAGTAGTTAAATCATGTTTAGGTTGTTCAGACTGTTTGGACAATTGGGTTTTTAAAGTGTGATTGGCCCGTTCCACCACAGCCTGTCCCTGAGGATTGTAAGGGATTCCAGTAATATGGGAAATTCCCCACTGTTGCATAAATGAATCAAAAGCCTTACTAACATATCCAGGGACATTGTGTCTTTATTTGATATGGAAGCCCCATAACTGCAAAGCAAGAATACAGATTTTTTTTAACATAGGCCCTGCCTTCCCCTGTTTGGCAAGTAGCCCAGATAAAACCTGAGAAGGTATCTGCAGAGACATGCACATATGACAGTATGCCAAAGGAGCTAACATGAGTCACATCCATTTTCCATAAAGCATTAGGAGTTAGGCCTCTAGGATTAACACAAGGTTCCTGATTTGGAAGTACGAAGACCTGGCACTGAGAGCAGCCGTGAACAATAAACTTAGCCTGTTTCCAGGTAAGAGCAAATTTATCTTTTAATCCAGCGGCATTGACATGAGTGAGATTATGGAACTCCTGAGCTTCTTGGGTTGTAAAAGAGACCAAACAGTTGACTTTATGGTTACCAGCAGACATGGGTCCTGGTAAAGTGGTATGAGACCCAATATGTGTAATATAGAAAGGGTGTCTACGTTGGTGAACCACCTGTTGTAACCTTGAAAATAAAGAAGCCAATTCAGAATTATCAATGTGTTTGATAGCAGCAGTTTCTATATTTTTAGTGGCATGTACAACATAAGCAGAATCTGAGACAATATTTAAAGGTTTGAGGAAATCCTGTAAGGCAGTAATCACAGCAATTAACTCCACCTTTTGAGCAGAAGCATAAGAGGTAGAAATAAGTTTGTCTGTAGGACCTATGTAACCAGCATTGCCATTACTGGAGCCATCAGTGAACACTGTAATGGCCTCAGGAATGGGTTGATCTTTGGTTAATTGAGGAACCACCCAAGACGTCATTTATATAAAAATCAAACAATTTGTTTTTTGAATAATGATTGTCAATAACGCCAATAAAATCAGCCAAGTGAATTTGCCACAGTACAGAATGTTGAAAGGCAGATTGAACTTCAAGCCAATTTAAAGGAAGTACAATTACATTTGGATCAAATCTAGAAATTTGAAGTATTCTACACTGAGCCTGCCCAATTAATATGGCTATTTGGTCTACATAAACAAAGTTTTGGACATAGAATGAGGAAGGAAACGCCACTCCATTAAATCATTATGTTGAACTATTAGTCCAGTAGGGGAGTGTGATGAAGCAAAAAACAGAAACTGAAAAGGCTGAAACGGCTGTACTCTAGATAACTGGGAGGTCTGAATTCTTTCCTCTATGAATTCCAGTTCTAGTAAAGCCTCAGGGGTCAAAGTCCCGGGGCTGTGGAGATCGGAATCTCCCCACAGCATAGAGAACAAGTTACACAGCGCATAAGTTGGAATGCCTAAAGTAGGTTTTAAATAATTTACGTTACCCAAAAGGTTTTGAAAGTCATTTAAAGTGTTTAAAGAATCTCTCCTAATTTGAAATTTTTGAGGTTGAATACATTGTTTATCGATCACCATTCCTAAATATTGAACAGGAGTGATCTGTTGAATTTTATCCTGAGCGACGTGTAATCTAGCCTCTGTAACACAGTGGCTTAAAATGTGGTAACAGTCAATTAATTCTTTATCATTGGGGGCAGCAATTAAAATGTCATCAATATAATGAAGAATATACACCTCAGGAAATTGGGCTTGAACTGGTGAAAGCTCTTGTCCAACATAAAGCTGGCAGATTGTAGGGCTATTTAGCATTCCCTGAAGAAGTACTTTCCAACAATTATGAGCTGCAGGCTCCTGATTATTGATAGATGGTACAGTAAAAGCAAATTTTTCACAATCCGATTTATGTAAAGCAATATGAAAAAAAGCAATCTTTAAGATCAATAACTATGAGAGGCCAATTTTTAGGTATTAGAGCAGGGGCAGGCAAGCCAGGTTGGACGGCCCCCATAGGTTTAATTACAGTGTTAATGGCCCTTAAATCAGTTACCATCCGCCATTTGCCTGATTTCTTTTTTACTAGAAACACAGGAGAATTCCAAGGGGAAAGAGAAGGTTCCACATTTCCAAGTTGCAACTGCTCAGAAACCAATTGATTTAAATCTCCCAGTTTTTCTTTAGAAAGCGGCCACTGCTGAACCCAAACAGGTGTGTCAGATTTCCATTGCAAAGGAATAGGATCAGGAGGCGTGGCAGCAGCTGCCACTAAAAAGGATAACCTAAACCAGCCCTGTTTTCTTTTATAGTAACTGGGAGGGGTTTACTAATCCCCTCGTGCTGTGGTCTGAGACCGAGTCCAGGAACAAACCCCATATTTTCCATCATATGCTGACTGGGAGCATTATAAGAGTTACGTGGAATATTAATTTCAGCCCGCCATTGTGCCAGTAAATCTCTACCCCAAAGATCAATGGGAATTGGCATGATATAGGGCTGAATTTTACCCTTTTGACCATCAGGGCCAGTGCAAGGCAAAATAAATGTGCTCTCATAAACTTCCTTGGCCTTTCCAACACCTACTAGTCCCATGTTAGTGGGATGTTTAAGCCAAGAGGAAGGCCATAAACTAGAGGAAATAAGAGAAACATCACCACCAGTATCTACTAAGCCCTCAAACTTTCTTCCTTCAATGTGTATGGTGCAGGTGGGCTGTTGTTTAGCAATTACATTAATCCAATAAGCGGCCTTTTCACTGCCAGAGCCCATCCCAGGGCCATGTGTCTTATCTCTTTTGTTTAAAATGATATTAGGTAGTAAAAGCAATTGAGCAATTGACTCACCAGCCAGAATGGAAACAGGAACCTTGGCAGACACAATTAATTTAATCTCGTCAACGGAATCAGATTTAATGAGACCAGTTTGAATGGTGACTCCCTTAGCAGAGGTGGATGCTCTACCTAACACCCGGCCCACCGAACCTTGAGATAAAGGGCCAGTGACCCCCGTGGGGACAATCAAGGGCAAAGAATCAAGAAGTAAATTCAGAGGAATAGTACTACAGATATCAACCATCCCACCTCCTACTGTGGAGGTTGACAAGCATTGTAGTGAGACAGAAGAAGCTGGGACCCATTTGGTTTTGCTGTAGGTAGATTTGTTTGTGCTAGGGGTTGCATTGGGACTGCCTGAAGTGGAAACACAATGTTGGTCTTAGTTGGAAGTGTCCCGTTTGATGCTGGGACCTGGGACTAGCCCCACTCCCTATTTCCCTGTCACTGTGGTAGGGGGTTTCCATCTATATCATACTTAGAGTGGCAAATATTTGCCCAAAGTTTACCTTTGCGACAACGTGGGCAAACAGTAGGAGCAACATTTGGCCATGTTTGTTGAACTGGCTTGGCCTCTTGTAAGTTTTTAACAGTGCAATTTTTTCAAATATGACCAAGTTGGCCACAATTATAGCAGGCTCCAAGAGAAGAATTAATGGGACCAGTTTGGTTGGTGTCCTTCATGGCCCGTGCCCACAGAATAGCTTTGTGGGTGTCTGATCCAATGCCTTCACAAACTTTAATATATGCAGGCAACACGTGATCAGGTAAATTTTGTTGTTGGACAGAACGCATGGCCAATTTACATTCAGGGATTGCATTTTCAAAAGCTAATATACGAAGGAGAATGCCTTGAGCGTGCTTCATCAGAGACAGATTTTTTCAACAGCATCTTGTAATTTAGCTAAAAAATCAGGGAATAATTCAGAGTGACCTTGTTTAACTATGGTAAAAGAAACAGGAGCTTGGCCTGGAGTGCGTAATTTATTCCAAGCTCTCATACACACCTTTGTTACTTGTTCTGTGGTAAAGGCATCAAAGTTTAATTGGGCATAAGCATCAGAGAAATTATCGGAGCCTGTGAGCTGAGCCTGAGTAATTAGAATGCCATTACTCATATTTAGCTGAGCCTGCAAACAGGCCTCCTCTGACCACCAGGTACAGAATTGTAAATGCTGACATGGGGTTAGAACAGCTTTTGCCAAAAGGTCCCAATCTAAAGGAAGTAAAGTGACCTCAGTACAAAAAGTTTGTAAAACTATCTTAACGTAAGGAGAAGTAGGACCATACTGAGTACAAGCATCCTTAAATTCTTTTAAAAAGGTAAGATTAAGAGGTACATAAAGATGCATTTGTAACCCTTGGAAGTTAGGTGGATCTAGCACAACCAGAGAAGTCCATTCATCTAATCCACTTATTTCTTTGTTTTGGCATAATAAGCATTGCATTGAAGTTTCAAGAGTAGGCATCTGAGATGGAGTCGGCATGGAAGTGACAGGAAAAGCATGTGCAGTTAAGGGAAACTGAGGGTGAGAGGGTCGGACCAGGATGAGAATGTGAGAAAGAGGCATTGGGGGAGCAGAACGAGCAGAAGTATACTGGTGATTACTGTTGTTCAAGTGTGAAGAAGGGTATAGAGAAGCAATCTGAGTGGATGGTAAAGTGACTGGTTGAGGAAACGAAACGACAGGAGGGTGAGGGGCTGAAGTGTATGGTGGGAGGGCCTGGAGAATGATAGGTAAATTGTAGTTTGGTCCTGGAGCCATTAGCTGACTTCAGAGATTTGAAGAGAGAAGAATTAGCATACCTGTGGTACTGGGCTGTGTGCTTTGCAGCCGTGGGAGTTTCAAGTACTGGCTCTTCATGAAATTCGTGAAAAGAAGATAAGTAGGGGGTAACTTTAAACCAAAGTCACCATAGTTAGACATAGAATTTTCAGCATCATTAGGTGGGGGAGGAGTAGCCAAAGGGAGAGTCTGATCAGATGGGGGCCCTGTGGGAGAGGAAGGCTGAGGGAAAGGTGGAGGATCTGAGGAAAAGGCAGAAAACTGTGGCAACTGCAGGGGGTCACGAGATCCACACACCACTAAGACAGCAGGTACCAACCACCCCAAACAGTGACAGGAACATAATACCCTGCTGAGACCAGCTACCAGAATGCTGTACCAACACAATCCCACACTTTTACATCTATGGTTCCTTTTTCAGGAAACCAAGGACAGAACCACTGCCCTGAATAGAGTGACCATATTTTCCATGGTTACTCGGACACTGCCCTGTTTTAACAGGAGTTTAATATAGCAGATATAAGTATGATGCTTAGACTCTGCATGACCCATAGTTAACCCAGACCATACATAGACTACTCATCACTCATCAGGGATTCTAACAAGTGTATCTGTGGACCAAGCCGATGACGTTTCACCACACCTACCAAAGGGAATCGGGTTCCCTCATGCACTTAGGAAAAAAGAAAGACAATGTGTGTGCTAGATATTGGGGAACCTGCCCCAATAGTCACGTATGTTCTTTCCTATATTCCCTAAGCATTGGCCAGTTTGAGAAATAAAGTGACAGAGTACAAAAGAGAGAAATTTTAAAGCTGGGCGTCCGGGGTAGACATCACGTATTGGTAGGTTCCATGATGCCCCACAAGCTGTAAAACCAGCAAGGTTTTATTAAGGCGTTTCAAAAGGAGAGGGAGTATACGAATAGGTGTGGGTCACGAACATCAAGTACTTCACAAGGTAATAGAATATCACAAGGCAAATGGAGGCAGGGCGAGATCACAGGACCACAGGACCGTGGTGAAATTAAAATTGCTAATGAAGTTTTGGGCACCATTGTCATTGATAACATCTTATTAGGAGAAAGGGTTTTGAGAGCAACCGGTCTGACTAAAATTTATTAGACAGGAATTTCCTCTTCCCAATAAGCCTGGGAGCACTATGGGAGACTGGGGTCTATTTCACCCCTGTAGTCTACAGACCATAAAAGAGGGGCACGCACAGGGGGGCCATCTATAGACTTATACCCCTGGGTGCATATTCTCTTTCCCAGGGATGTTCCTTGCTGAGAAAAAGAATTCAGCAATATTTCTCCTATTTGCTTTTGAAAGAAGAGAAATATGGCTCTGTTCCATCTGGCTCACCAGCAGTCAGAGTTTAAGGTTATCTCTCTTATTCTCTGAACAATTGCTCTTATCGTGTTCTTTTTTCAAGGTGCCCAGATTTCATATTTGTTCAAACACACATGCTCTACAGTTTGTGCAGGTAACACAATTATCACATTGTCCTGAGGCAACATACATCTGCCTCAGCTGACAGGACTAAGAGATTAAAGTAAAGACAGGCATAGGAAATCACAAGGGTATTGATTGGGGAAATGATAAGCGTCCATGAAATCTTCACAATTTATGTTTAGAGATTGCAGTAAAGACACGCATAAGAAATTATAAAAGTATTAATTTGGTGAACTAATAAATGTCCATGAAATCTTCACAATCCACATTCTTCTGCCATGGCTTCAGCCAGTCCCTCCATTTGGGGTCCCTGACTTCCCACAACATGAATCCACACATTGCAAAACATTTTTACTAATAGCGTGTTTCTCATTTTTAAGGTGGGATATTCAGTTTTTCACTATAGGTTTCAAAGGGCTCAGAAATGTGCCTTCATTAATTTTACAAAAACAGAGTTTCCAACCTGTTGAATCAAAGAAAAAGTTTTGCACTGTGAGATGAATGCACATATCACAAAGAATTTTCATAGATGCCTTGTTTCTGGTTTTTATTGCGGGATATTTGGTTTTTCACTATAGGTCTCAATGAGCTCAGAAATTACAATTTCTAGATTCTACAAGGAGAGTGTTTCCAAGCTGTTCAATCAAAATAATAATTTAACTCTGAGATGAATCAACATATCACAAGCATTTTTCACAGATAGCTTCTTTCTAGTTTTTATCACAAGATAGTCTGTTTTATATTATAGGCCTCAATGGGCTCAGAAATGTCCCTTTGGAGATTTTACAAAAAGAGTATTTCCAATCAGGTGATTCAAAACACAAGTTATATTTGGTGAGATGAATGTACACATTGCAAAGCATTTTTTCAAATAGCTTGCTTCTAATTTTTATCACGAAATATTTGGTTTCTTACTGTAGGTCTCAATTGACTCATAAATGTCCCTTCATAGATTCTACAACAACAGTGTTTTTAACCTAGTGAATCAAACAAAGGGTTTCATTCAGTGAGATAAGTCCACGCATTACAAAGCACTTTCAGAGCAAGCTTGTTTCTAGTTTTTATCATGGGCTATTCAGTGTGTAACAATAGGAGTCGAAGGCCTCAGAAATGTCCCTTCGTAGATTCTACAACAACAGTGTTTCCAACCTATTTAATTAAAGCAAAGGTTTAACTTTCTAAGATGAATCCAGACACCACAAAGCATTTTTATACTTGCCTTGTTTCTAGTTTTTATTGTGGGATATTCGATTTTTCAACATAGGCCTGAGTGGGCTCAGAAATGTCTTTTCATTGATTCTACAAAAAGAGTGTTTCCAACCCGTTTAATTAAAACAAAGATTTAACTCTGTGAGATGAATCCAAACATCACAAAGCATTTCCACAGATAGCTTGCTTCTGGTTTTTATCACTGGATATTCCGTTTTTCACTATAGGCCTCAATGAGCTCAGAAATGTTCCTTCATAGATTCTACAAAAAGCAAGTTTCCAAGGTGATGAATCAAAACAAAAGTTTAAATCTGTGATGTAAATCCAGAAAACCCAAAGCATTTTAACTTATAGCTTGTTTCTACTTTTTAACATGGAATATTCAGTTTTTCATTATAGGCCTCAGTGAGCTCTGAAATGTTCCTTAGTAGATGCTACAAAAAGAGTGTTTCAACCTATTGAATCAAAACAAATGTGTAACTTTGTAAGAGGAATTCCCACATGGCAAAGCATTTGCACAGATAGGTTGTTTGTACTTTTCATTGCGGGATACTCTGTATTTTATTATAAGCATCAATGCTCCCAGAAATCTCCCTTCATAGATTCTACAACAAGAGTGTTTCCAACCTGTTGAATCAAAACAAAGGTTTAACTCTGTTAGATGAATCCACATATTACAATCCATTTTCAGAGATAACTTTTCTCTGGTTTTATTTTGGGATATTCTATTTTTCAGTATAGGTTTCAATTGGGTCAGAAATGTTTCTTCATAGATTCTAAGAAAAGCGTGTTTCCAAATTGATGAATTAAAAGAGAGGTTTAACTCTGTCAGATGAATTCAGACCTTGCAAAGCATTTCAACGGATAGCTTGTTTCTACTTTTTATCACAGGATATTCTGTTTTTCACTATAAACTTCAATGGGATCAGAGATGTTTTTTGTAGATTCTGTAAAAAAGGGTTTTTCACCTGTTGAATCCAAACAAAGCTTTAACTCTGTGAGATGAATCCATGCATCACAAAGCATTTTTACAGATAGCATTTTTCTACTTCTTATAGCAGGATATTGGGTTTCTCAGTATAGGCCTAAATGGACTCAGAAATGTCTCATTGTACATTCTACAAAAACATTGTTTCCAACCTGGTGAATCAAAACAGAGATTCCATTCGGGGAGACGAATCCACACATCACAAAGCAACTTCACATATTGCGTTTTTCTAGTTTTTATCACAGGATCCTCGGTTTTTCACTATGTGCCTCAATGGGCTCAGAAATTTCCCTTCCTAGATTTTACAAAAAAAGTGTTTCCAACCTGGTGACTCAAAACCCAGGTTTGATTCAGTGAGAAGAATCCAGATATCACAAAGCATTTTCACATACAGCTTGTTTCTATATGTTTCTTGTTTTATTGTGGGATATTTGTTTCTTTATTATAGGCCTCAATGGCCTCTGAAAGGTCCCTTCATAGATTCTACAAAGAAACTGTTTCCAAACTGATGAATCAAAACAATGGTTTAACTCTGTGAGATAAATACACACATTGCAAAGCATTTTCACAGTTAGCTTCTTTAGAATGTTTAATGCAGTATATTCAGTTTTTCAGTGTAGGACTTAATGGCCTCAAAAACGTTTCTTCATAGATAATACAGTAAAAGTGTTTCCAACCTGTTGAATCAAAACAAAGTTTTAACTGTTGGAGATGAACTCACATATGGCAAAGCATTTTCACACATAGCGTTTTTATACTTTTTATCACAGGATATTAGATTTTTCACTACCAGTCTCAATGAGCTCAGAAATTTCTTTTCGTAGATACTACAAAACGAGGCTTTCCAGCCTATTGAATCAAAACAAAGTTTTAACTCATTGAAATAAATCCACATTTCATGAAGCATTTTCACAGATAGCTTGTTTCTATTTTTTATTGCAAAATATACGGTCTGTCACTATAGGCCTACATTGTCTTAGAAATATCCCTTTATAGATTCTACAGCAAGAGTGTTTTCAACCTGGTGAATCAATACACAGGTTCCATTTGGTGAGACTAATCCACACATCCTAAAGCATTTTCACAGATAGCATGCCCAGGGGTCTCTATCATTATACTGCCTTGGGTCAGCCAGCAGTCTCTCCCATTATTATGCCTGGAGTCGCCCAGGTTTCTCTATCATTAGACTGCCTGGGGTCAGCCTGAAGTCTCTCCCGTTAGAATGCCTGGGGTTGCCCAGGTGTCTCTATAATTAGACTTCCTGGTCTCAGCCAGGAGTCTCTCACATTAAAATGCTTAGTGTGACATTGGTGTCTCTATCATTAGACTGCCTGAATTGGGCCAGGAGTCTCTTTCATTGGAATGTCTGGGGTTGACCAGGTGTCTCTAACCTTAGGCAGTCTAGGGTTGGACCAGAGTCTCTCCCATTAGAACGTCTAAGGTCATCCAGGTGTCTTTTTCATTAGACTGCATGAGGTCTCCCAGAGCCCCTCCCATTAGAATGCCTGGGTTCGTGGATGCATTTTCATCATTAGTCTGGTGCAGGTCGGTCGCTGATATCTCCAATGAGAATGCCTGGCATCTCCCAAATTCTCTCAAATTAGAATGTCTGGAATCGACTGGGAGTCTCTCCCATTAGAATGCCTGTGGTGCCCAGTTGTCTATCATTAGACTGCTTCATGTCAGTTGGGATTCTTTTTTTTTAGAATGCCTGGGGTGGCCCAGGTGTCTCTGCCATTAGACTGCTTGGTGTCAGCCAGGAGTCTCTCTTATTCGACTGCCTGGTGTCGCCCAGGTGTCTATTTTAAGACTGCATGGGGTTGGCCAGGAGATCTTTCATTAGAATGCATGGAATTGGCTGGGAATCTCTCCCATTAGAATGTTTGGGTTTGCTCATGTGTCTCTATCATTAGACTGCTGGGTTCAGCCAGCAGTCTCTCCCATAAGAATGTCTGGGATTGCCCAGGTTTCTCTATTATTAGACTGCCTGGTGTCAGTCAGGAGTCTCTTCCATTAGAATTGCCTGTGGTTGGCCAGGAGTCTTACCCATTAGAATTACCAAGGTAGCCCAGATGTCTTTATAATTAGACAGCCTGGGGTCAGCTCGAAGTCTCTTCTATTAGAATGCTTGGGGTCCATCAGGTGTCTCTATTATTAGACTGCCTGGGGTCAGCCAGAAGTGTCTCCCATTAAAATACTTGCAGTCGTTCAGATTTCTCTGTCATTATACTGCCTGCGATTGGCCGGGAGTCTCTTTCATTAGATTGCCTGTGGTTACACAGATGTCTCTATCATTAGACTGCCTGGGCTGGCTTGGTGTCTTTCCCATTAGAATGCCAGGGTTCAGATGGAAGTCTCTCCCATTAGAATGCCTTAGGTCACCCAGGTTTCTGTATTATTAGAATGCCTGGGGTCAGATGATAGTCTTTTCCATTAGAATGTCTAGGATCACCTAAGTGTCTCTACTATTAGACTGCCTGTGTTCGACCATTAGTCTCTCCCATTACAATCACTGGGCTCAATCAGTGTCTCTAGCATTAGACTGCCTGGGGTTGACCACGAGTATCTCCCATTAGAATGCTTTCTGTCATCTGTGAGTCTCTCCCATTGGAGTGACTGGGGTCACCCACGTGTCTCTAACATTAGACTGTTTGTGGTTGCACAGCTCTCTCTAACATTAGATTGCTTGGGGTCATCTGAGAGTTTCCCCCATTAGAATGCCTGGAGTGGAGTCCCCCAGGTGTCTCTATTATGAGAATGCCTGGTGTCAGCCAGCAGTCTCTCCCATTAGAATGCCTGTGGTATCCCAGGTGTCACTATTATTAGAATTCCTGGGGTCAGTGGAGGGTATCTCCCATAAGAATGCCTGGTGTCACCCAGGTGTCTCTAACATTAGATTGGCTGGGGTCCTTTGGAAGTCTCCACTATTAGGATGCCTGGGGTCACCCAAGTGCCTCTACCATTAGACTGCCTGTGGTCAGTTGGGAATCTCCCCCATTAGAATGGCTGGGGTCACCTAGGTGTCTCTATGCATGGATTGCCTGGGTTTGTACAGAAGTCTCTCTAATTAGAATGCCTGAGGTCATCCAGGTGTCTGTATTATTAGACTGCCTGGGGTCAGGCAGGAGTCTCTCCCATTAGAATATCTGGTGTCAGTTGGAATTCTCTCTCATTAGAATGCTTGGGGTCGCATACGTGTATCTATTATTTGCATGCCTGGGCTTGTCCTGTAGTCTCTCCCATTAGGATGCCTGTGGTTGCCCAGTTGTGAACATTAGACTGCCTGGGGTCCGCCAAGATTGTCTCTTATTAAAATGCCTTGAGTTATCTGGGAGTTTCTCCCATTAGTATGCCTGGGTTCGCCCAGGTGTCTCTATCATTAGACTGCCTGGGGTCAGCTGGTAGGCTCTCCTATTAAAATGCCTTGGGTGGCTTAGATTCCTCTACAGTTTGACTGCCTGTGTTCAGCCAGCAATCTCTCCCATTAGAATACCTGGGCTCTCCCAGGTGTCTCTATTGTTAGACTGCCTGAAGTCAGCCAGGAGTGTCTCTCATTAGAATACCTGTATTCATCCCTATTTCTTTATTAAACTGCCTGCGGTTTGGCGGGAGTCTCTCCCATTAAAATGCCTGTCCTCGATAAGGTGTCTATCATTTGAATGCCTGGGTTCAACCAGGAATCTCTCTTATTAGAACGTCTCCGGTCATCGAAGTGTCTCTATCATAAGACTGCCTGCATCAGCTAGGTGTCTCTACCATTAGGGTCCCTGAGGTCAGCCGGGAGTCTCTATTATTAGAATGCCAAGGGTCGTTCAGATGTCTCTATCATTAGAGAGTCTATGGTCAGCCAGGAGTCTTTTTTATTAGAATGCCTGGTGTCGGCCCAGAGTCTCTCCCGTTAGAATGCCTGGAGTCACAGAGGTGTCTCTATTATTAGAATGTCTGATGTCGGTCTGGAGTCTCTCCCATTAGAATGTCTTAAGTCACATAGATGACTTTATCATTAGACTGCCTGTGATCAGCCGGGAATCTCTCCAATTAAAATTCCTGAGGTCACCCAGGTGTCTCTATAATCAGACTGCCTGGGGTCAGCCAGACATCTCTTTCAAAAGAATGCCTGGGTTTGGCTGGAAGTCTCTCCTATTAGAATGCCTCGGGATGCCCAGGTGTCTCTATCATTAAAACGTCAAGTCATCTGAGAGTCTCTTCCATTAAAATGCCTGCAGTCACCCAGTTGTCTCTATCATTAGATTTCCTGCAGTTGGTCGGGTGTCTCTCCCACTAGAATTCCTGGGGTTTTTCAGGTGTCTCTATCATTAGACTGCCTGGGGTAGGCCACGAGTCTCTCCCATTAGAATGCCCAGGGTCGGCGGTGAGTCCCTCCCATTAGAATGCCTAGGGTCACCCAGGTGTCTCTATCATTAGACGGCCTGGAGTCGGCTGGGAGTCACTCCCCTTAAAATGCCTGGGGTCGATTTGGCATATATAATTATACTGCCTAGGTTTGGCCAGAAGTTTCTCCCATTAGAATGCCTGGGTTTGCCCAGGAGTTCTATCATTAGACTGCCTGGGGTCAGCTGGGAGTCTCTTCCGTTAGAATGCCTGGGGTTGCTCAGGTGTCTTTATTATTAGACTGCCTGGGATCCACCAGGAGTCTCTTTCCTTAGAATGCCTTGGGTCACCGAAATGTCTTTATAATTAGACTGCTTGGGTTCGGCAGGAGTCTATCTCATTAGAATGACTGAGGTTCCCCAGGTGACTCTATCGTTAGACTAACAGGGGTCAGCAATGAATCTCTCCCATTAGAATGCCTGAGGTTGCCTAGGTGTCTCTAACCTAAGACTGCCTTTTGTCGGCTAGAAGTCTCTTACTAGAATGCCTGGGGTTGGCTAGGAGTCTCTTCTATTAGAATATTTGGGGTCGCCCAGGTGTATCATTTGATTGCCTGGGCTCTGCTGGGAGTCTCTCCCATTAGAATGCCTGTGGTTGCCCAGGTGTCTCTATCATTAGACTGCCTGGGGTCCACCGGGAGTCTCTTCCATTAGAATACCTGGGGTCACCCGGTGTTTCTGTAATTAGGCTGCCTTGGGTCAGCATGGAGTCTTTCCATTAAAATGCCTGTGGTCGCCCAGGTGTTTCTATCCTTAAACTGCCTGTAGTCGGCCAAGAGTCTCTCCCATTAGAATGCCTGGAATTTCCCGGGAGCCTGTACCATTAGAATGCCTGGGGTCACCCAGATGTCTCTGTTATTAGCCTGCCTAAGTTCAGCCAGGAATCACTTTCATTAGAATGCCTGGGGTTGCCCAGGGGTTTCTATCAGACTGCCTGGTGTCAGCCAGCAGTCTCTCCCATTAGAATCACTGGGGTTGGCAGGGAGTCTCTCCCAGTAGATTACCTTGGGTCGCCACAGTGTCTCTATCATTGGAATGCCTGGGGTCGACCAGGAGTCTTTTGTATTAAAATGCCTGGGGTTGGCTGGGTATCTCCAACATTAGACTGCCTGCGTTTGGCATTCAGTTTCTCCCATTATAATGCCTGTGATCATCCAGGCGTCTCTAACATTAGACTGCCTGTGGTTGGCTGGGTGTCTCTCCAGTTTGAATGCCTGGTTTTGGCTGGCAGTCTCTCCTATTAAAATGCTAGGGGTCGAAAAACTGTCTTTATCATTGAAGTGCCCGTGGTAGACCAGAAGTCCCTCTCATTAGAATGTTGGAGGTTGCCCCAGTGTCTCTATCGTTACAGTATCTGAATTCTGCAAGAAGTCTCTCTCCTTAGAATGCCTGGGGTCAGCCTGGAGTCTCTCTCATAAAAATGTCTTAAGACGCACAGTTGCCCCTATCACAAGAATGCCTAAGGTCGGCATAAAGTCTCTTTCATTAAGATGCCTGGAGTTGCACAGGTGTCTCTGTCATTAGAATGCCTGCAGTCTGCCAGGAGTCTCTATCCTTAGACTGCCTGGGGTCAGCCAGGAGTCTCTCATATTAGAATACCCAGGGTCAGTTGGGAGTATGTTCACAGACAGAATGTTTGTAGTTTTTACAGTGGGATATTCGGTTTTTCACTACACTCCTCAATTTGTTCAGAAATGTCCCTCATAGATTCTAAAAAAAAGTGTTTCAAACCTGTTGAATCAAAAAAATGGTGTAACTCTTTGACATGAATCTAAACATCAGAAAGCATTTTCACAAATAGCTTCTTTCTAGTTTTCATCATGAGATATTTGGTTTTTCACTATATGCCTCATACAGTGAAATGTCCCTTCGTGGATTCTATCAAAAGAGTGTTTCAAACGTGGTGAATCAAAACACAGGTTTCATTCAATGAGATGAATCCACATACCATAAAGCATTTTCGCAAATAGCTTGTTTCTAGCTTTTAACATGGGAAGTTTGGTTTTTCTTTATAGGCCTCAATGGGCTCAGAAATGTCCCCTCATAGATTCTACAAAAAGTGTGCATTTATAGTGTTGCATGGAAACAATAGTTTGACACTGTGAGATAAGTCCACACAACACAAAGCATTTTCCCAGATAACTTCTTTCTAATTTTTATTGCAGGATATTCTGTTCATTACTATAGGCCTCAAGGGACTCAAAAATGTCCCTTCGTTCAACTACAAAAAGAGTGTTTCCAACCTGTTGAAACAAAACAAAGGTTTAAATCTGTGAGGTGAATCCACACATTGCAAAGCATTTTCACACATAGCTTGTTTCTAGTTTTTATAGCAGGATATTCGTTTTTTCACTATAGGCCTCAATGTGCTCAGAAATGTCCCTTCACAGATTTTACCAACAGAGCATCTTTAACCTGGTGAAGTAAAACACAGGTTGCATTCAGTGAGATTAATATACATTTTCGTAGATAACTTGTTTCTCATTTATATCACAGGATATTCAATTTTTTACTATAGGCTTCAATGGTCTCAGAAATGTTTCTTCATAGATTCTACAAAAAAAGTGTTTCCAACCCGTTGAATCAAACACAGGTTTAACTTTGTGAGACAAATCCACACATTGCAAAGCATTTTCACAGATAGCTTGTATCTAGTTTTTATCATGGGATATTCAGTTTTTCACTAGAGACCTCAATGGTCTCAGAAATTTTTTTTTGTAGATTCTACAATAAGAGTGTTTCCAATGTAGTGGATCAAAACCAGGTTTAACTCTATGAGATGAACCACACGTCACAAAGCATTTTCACATATCGCTTGTTTTGAGTTTTTATCATGGGATATTCGGTTTTTCACTACAGGCCTCAATGGGCTCAGAAATATGTCATTGTAGATTCTACAAAGTATGTTTCCAAACTGTTGAATCAAAACAAAAGTTTAACTCTGTGAGGCCAATACCCACACATCTCAAAGCATTTTCACAGATACCTCCTGCCTAGTTTTTATCACGAGATATTCGATTTTTCAACATATGACTCAATGCACTCAGAAATGTTTCTTTATAGACTGTACAAAAAGAGTGTTCCCAACCAGGCAAATCAAAATACACGCTTATATCTGTTAGATGAATGCACATATTACAAAGCTTCTTCACAGATAGCTTGTTTATAGTTTTAATTCTGGGATATTCAGTTTTTTCACTAGAGGCCTCAATGGGCTCAGAAATGTTCCTACGTAGATTCTACAAAAAGGGTTTTCCAACCTGTTGAATCAAAGCACAAGTTTCATTCTTTGAGATGAATAGACGAATCACAAAGCATTTTCACAGAAGGTTGTTTCCAGTTTCTATTGCAGGACATTCGGTTTTTCACTAGAGGCCTCAAAATGCTAAAAAGTATCTCTGTAGATTCTACAAAAAGAGTGTTCTGAACAATGTTGAATCAGAACAAAGGTTTAACTCTGTGAGAAGAATCCACACATTACAAAGCATTTTCACAGATAGCTGCTTTCCATTTCTTATCACAGGAATTTCGGGGGTTTTTTTCCCCCATAGGTTTCAATGGTTTCAGAAATGTTTCTTCGTAGAGTCTACAAAAATAGTGTTTTTAACCTGTTGAATTAAAACAAAGGCTTAATTCTGTGAGATGAATCTACAATTCACAAAGCATTTTTGCAGATAGCTTGTTTCTACTATGTATCACGGGATATTCGGTTTACCTTTATAGGCCTAACTGGGCTAAGAAATGTCCCTTTGTCTGTTCAACAAAAAGAGTGTTTCGAACCTGGTGAATAAAAACAAATGTTTAACCCTGAGACACTCATCCACACTACACAAAGTATTTTCGCAGATAGATTTTTTCTAGGTTTATTGCAGGATATTTAGTTTTTCACTATTGGCCTCAATGGGTTCAGAAATGACCCTTCGTAGCTTCTATAACAAGAGTGTTTCCAGCCTGTTGAATCAAAATAAAGTTTGAAATCTGTGAGATGGATCCATGCATCACACAGCATTTTCACAAATAGATTGTTTCTAGATATTAATGCAGGAGATTCATTTTTTCACTATAGTCCTCAAGGGGCTCATAAATGTTTCTTTGTAGATTCTACCAAAAGAGTGTTTCACCCTTGTTGAATCAAAACGAAGGTTTAACTGAGTGAGATGAATTCACCCATTGCAAAGCATTTTCACAGCTAGCTTGTTTCTAGTTTTTGTCATGAAGTATTCAGTTGTCCACTATAGTGTACAATAGGGACAAAGATATTTCTTCATAGATTCTTAAAATAGAGTGGTTCCAACCTGTTAAATCAAAACAAAGGTTTAATTCTGTGAAATAAATCTACACATCTCAAAGCATTTCCACGGATATCTTGTTTCTAGTTTTTATTGCAGGATATTCAGTTTTTTGCTATAATCTCCATAGGCTCAGAATTGTCCCTTCGAAGATACTACAAAAACAAGTTTTTTAACTTGTTGAATCAAAACATAGGTTTAACTCAGTGAGACGAATCCACATATTGCAAAGCATTTACACAGCTGTTTTGTTTCTAGTTTTTATTGTGGGATATTCATTTTTTTGCTATTGGCCTCAATGGGCTCAGAAATGTCTCTTTGCAGATTCTACAAAAAGAAGGTTTCAACTTGTTGAATTAAAACAAAGTTTTAACTCTGCAAGATAAATTTGTACATCACAAAATTATTTCACAGAGAGCTGGTTTCTGCTTTTTATTGCAAGAGATTCACTTCGCAATAGGCCTCAACGGGCTCAGAAATGTTTTTTCATAGATTCTACAAAAAGAGTGTTCTTAACCTGTTGATTTAGAACAAAGGTCTAACTCTCGATGAATCCACACATCAAAACTCATTTTCATAGTTTGTTTTATATTTTAAAATGGGATATTAGCTTTTTCACTACAGACTTCAATTGGCTCAGAAATTTTTTTCATAGACTCTACAAAAAGAATGTTTCCAAGGTGTTGAATAAAAACAAAGGTTATCCCTGTGAGATGAATGAACGTATCACACAGCATTTTCCCACAGAGGTTGTTTCTATTTTTGCTCACGGGATTTTTGATTTTTCACTATAGGCTTCAATGGGCTTTGAAATGTCCCTTTATATAATCTACTAAAACAGTGTTTCCAATTTGTTCAATCAAAACAAAGGTTTAAATCTGTGACATGAATCCACATATTGCAAAGCATTTTCACAGATAGCTTTGTTTCTAGATTTTAAGGTGCATTATACCTTTTTTTACTGTAGTTTTTAATGGTCTCAGAAATGTCCCTTTGTAGATTCTACAAAAAAAGTGTTTCCAACATGTTGAATCAAAACAAAGCTTCATCTCTGTGAGATAAATCCACACATCACAGAGCATTTTTGCAGATAACTTGTTTCTAGTTTCTATCCCGGGATATTTGGTATATCACTATACACCTCAATTGGCTAAGAAATGTCCCTTCATGCATTCCACAAAAGAGTGTTTCCAAACTGGTGAATCAAAACACAGGTTCCATTTGGTGAGATAAATGCATACATCACAAAAAATGTTCACAGATAGCTTGTTTCCAGTTTTTATTGACGGATATATGGCTTCTTGCTATAGGCCTCAATGGGCTCAGAAATATTCCTTCGTAGATTCTACAAAAAGAACGTTTCTAACCTGTTAAATAAAAACAAATGTTTAACTCTGTGAGATTAACCCACACATCGGGAACCATTTACACGGAGAGCTTTTCTTCTAGCTTTTATTGCAGGATATACAGTTTTTCTCTACAGGCCTCAGTGGGCTCAGAAACGTCTTTTCATAGATTCTACAAAAAGAGTGATTTCAACCTGTTGGTTAAAAACATAGTTTTAACTTTTTGAGATAAATCCATACATCACAAAGCATTTTCACAGATGGCTTGTTTCTAGATTTTATCACCAGAAATTAGTTTTTTAACTATAGGCTTCAATGGGCTCAGAAATGTCCCTACATTTTTTACTGTAGGCCTCAATGGGTCAGAAATGTCCCTTCGTAGATTCTACCAAAAAAGTGTTTTCAAGGTGTTGAATTGAAACAAAGATTTAACTCTGTGAGGAGAAGCCACACATTGAAAAGGATTTTCAGAGATAGCTTGTTTCTAGTTCTTATCGTGGAATATTCAAATTTTACAATATGCCTCAATGGGCTCAGAAATGTCGCTTCATAGATTTCACAAAAAGTGTTTCCAACCTGGAGAATCAAAACACAGGTTCCATTGGGAGAGATGAATCCACACATCACAAAACATTTTTACATATAGCTTGTTTCTAGTTTTTAATGCTGGATATTCAGTTTTTCACTATAGGTCTCCGTGGGCTCAGAAGTGTCCTTTCATAGATTCTACAAAAAGACTTTTTCCTACCTGTTGAATTAAAACATAGTTTTAAATCTGTGAGATAAATGCTCACATCATAAATCATCTTCACAGATAGATTGTTTCTAGATTTTAAGGAAGGATATTCTGCTTTTCACTATAGGCCTCAATGGCCTCAGAATGTCCCTTCATAGATGCTACAAAAAGAGTGTTTCCAAGGTGTTGAATAAAAATATAAGTTTAACTCTGTGAGATGAATCCACACATCACAAAGCATTTTCACACAGGGCTCACTTCTAGTTTTTATCATGGGATATTCAGTTTTTCACTATAGGCCTCAACGGACTTTGAAATATCTTTTTGTAGATTCAACTAAAAGAGTGTTTTTATCTTGTTGAATCAAAAAAAAGGTTGAAATCTGTGACATGAATGAAAATATTCTAAAGCATTTTAACAGATAGCTTGTTTCTAAATATTAAGGCAGGTTGTTTGATTTTTTTACTATAGTTCTTGATGGTCTCAGAAATGTCCCTCTGTACTTTCTACAAAAAAAAGTGTTTGCAGACTGTCAAATCAAAATAAAGGTTTAATTCTGTAAGATAAATCCACACATTGCAAAGCATTTTTGGAAATAGCTTTTTTCTAGCTTCTATTATGGGATATTTTGTTCATCACTATAGGCCTCAATGGGCTGAGAAATGTCCCTTCATAGACTCTACAAAAAAGTGTTTCCAACCTGGTGAATCAAAACACAGGTTCCATTTGGTAAGAAGAATCCACACACCAATAAGCATTTTGACAGATAGTGTTTTTCTGTTTTTCTTCATGGGATCCTTGATTTTTCACTACAGGCTCAAAGGGGCTCAGAAATATCCTTTGTAGATTCTACAAAATGAGTATTTCCAACCTACTAAATCAAAGCATAGGTTCCATCCAGTGAGATGAATCCACACATTGCAAAGCATTTTCACAGATATCTTTTCTCTAGTTTATATCACAGAATGTTCAGTTTTCCACTATAGGCCAAAATTGGTTCAGAAATGTTCCTTCATAGATTCTGCAAAAAGAGTGTTTGCAACCTGTTGAATCAAAACAAAGCTGTAACTTTGTGATAGGAATACACACACAGCAAAGCATTTTTACAGATAGCTTGTTTCTAGTTTTTATAGCAGAATCCTCAAATTTTTACTATAGGCCTCAATAAGCTCAATTATGTCCCCTCATAGATTCTACAAAAAGAGTGTTTCCAACTTGTTAAATCAAAATAAATGTTTAACTCTGTGAGATAAATGCACACAACCCAAAGCATTTTCACACAAGCCTGTTTCTAGATTTTATCACTAGTTTTCTGATTTTTCACCACAGGCCTAAATAGGCCCAGAAATGTTCCTTTGTAATTTTTACAAAAAGTGTGCTTTCAACCTAATGAATCAAAAGAAAGGTTTCACTCTGTGAGATGAATCCAGACATCACAAAGCATTTCCACAGATAGCTTGTTTGTAATTTTTATTGAGGGATATTCAATTTTTCACTGTAGGCCTCAATGAGGCCTACAATTTTTCACTGTAGGCCTCAGAAATGTGCCTGCACAGATTCTACAAAAAAAGTGATTCCACCTGTAATACCAACACTTTGGGAGGCCAAGGCAGGCAGATCAGGAGGTCAGCAAATCGAGACCATCCTGGTTAACATGCTGAAACCCCATCTTTTATAAAAATACAAAAAAACTGCCAGTTGTGGTGGCTGGCACCTGTATTCTCAGCTACTTGTGAGGCTGACGCAGGAGAATTGCTTGAACCAGTGAGCCGAGATTGTGCCATTGCATTTCAGCCTGGGTGACAGAGCAAGACCCTGTCCAAAAAAAAAAAAAAAAAAAGAAGAAGAAGAAGAAAAGAAAAGTTATTCCAACCTTTTGAATCAAAACGAAGGTTTAATTTTGTGAGATGAATTCACCCATCATAAAGCATTTTCTCAGATAACTTGTTTCCAGTTTTTCTTGTGGAAACCTCAGTTTTTCACAACAGGCCTCAGAAATATCTCTTCATACATTCTACAAAAAGAGTGTTTCCAACCTGTTAAATCAAAACAATGGTTTAATTCTGTGAAATGAATCCACACATTGCAAAGCATTTTCACAGATAGGTTGTTTCTAGTTTTTATCATGGGATATTTCGTTTTCACCATAACCCAGAGAGGGCTCAGAAATGTCAACTCGTAGATTCTACAAAAAGCATGTTTCCAACCTGTTGAATCACAACAATGGTTTAACTCTGTGAGATGAATCCACACATCACAAGGCATTTTCATAAGTAGTTCTTTTTTGTTTATTTGTTTTTATTGCAAGATATTTGGTTTTTCACTATAGGTTTCAAAGGGCTGAAAAAGTCCCTTTAGAGACACTAAAAAATGGTGTTTCCAACGTATTGAATAAAAAAAGGTTTAACTATGAAAGAAATTCACCAACTGCAAAGCATTTTCACAGATAGCTTGTTTCTAGTTTTATCACAGGATCCTTGGTTTATCACTGTAAGACTCAGTGGGCTCCCCAATGTCTTTTTGTAGGTTCTACGAAAACAGTGTTTCCAGCCTGTTGAATCAAAATAAAGTTTAATTCTTTGAGATGAATCCACATATCACAAAGCATTTTCACAGATAGCTTGTTTCTAGTTTTTATCATCAGATATTTTGTTTTTCACTATAGGCTTCAATGCACTCAGAAATGTTGATTCTTAGATTCTACAAAAAAGCGTGTTTTCAAACAGATGAATCAAAACAAAGGTTTAACTCTGTGAGATGAATCCACACATGACAAAACATTTTCATAGATAGCTTGTTTGTAGTTTTTATCATGGGATATTCGAATTTTCAGCATATGCCTCAATGGGATCAGAAATATTCCTGCATAGATTCTATAAAAATAGTGTTTCCAAACTGGTGAATCAAAGCACAGGTTTCATTTGGTGAGATGAATCCAGCCACCATAAATGATTTTCACAGATAGCTTGTTTCTACTTATTACAGTGGGATATTCTGTTTCTCACTATAGGCCTAAATGGGCTCAGAAATTTCCCTTCATAGATTTTACAAAAAGAGTGTTTCCAATCAGTTGAATCAAAACAAAGGTTTAACTTTGTGAGATGAATTCACACATCATAAAGTATTTTCAGAGATAACTTCTTTCTAGATTATAAGACAGGATATTTGTTGTTGTTGCTTTGCTATAGACCTCAATAGGCTCAGAAATCGCCCTATGTAGGTTATAGAAAAAAAAGTGTGTCCAACCTGGTGAATCAAGACACAGGTTTTATTTGGTGAGATAAACCCACACATCACAAAGCATTTTCACTGATACCTTGTTTCTAGTTTTTATCACGTAATATTCGGATTTTGCCAATAGGCCTCAAAAAGTTCAGAAATATCCCTTCATAGATTCTACAAAAAGAGTATTTCCAACCTGTTGAATCTAAACAAACGTTTAACTCTGTAAGATGGATGCACACATGGAAAAGCATTTTCACAGAGAGCTTGTTTCTGGTTTATATCGCAGAATATTCAATTTTTCACCATAGGCCTCAATAGGTTCAGAAATATCCCTTCATAGATTCTACAAGAAAAGTGTTTCCAACCTGTTGAATATAAGCAAGGGCATAACTCTGAAAGATGCATCCACAGTCTCAAAGCAATTTCACAGAGAGCTTATTTATAGTTTTTATCACAGGATATTCTGTTTTTCACTCTAGAACTCAATTGGCTCAGAAATATTCCTTTGTAGATTCTACAAAAAGATTGTTTCCAACCTGTTGAATCAAAACATAGGTGTAACTCTGTGACATGAATCCATACGCTGCAAGGCATTTTCACAGATAGCTTGTTTCTAGTTTGCATCACGTGATATTTGGTTAATCACTATAGGCATCAATGTTCTTCCACAAAGAATGTTCTTCGTGCATTCCACAAAAAGAGTGTTTCAAACATGGTGAATCAAAACACTATTTCCATTCTGTTAAATGAATCCACACATCCAAAACAGTTTCCTAGATAGCTTGTTTTCTAGATTGTATTATGGGATTCTTGGTTTTTCACTGTAGGCCTCAATGGGCTCAGAAATGTCTTTTTGTAGGTTCTACAAAAAGAGCGTTTTTAACCTGTTGAATAAAAACAAAGGTGGAACTCTGTGAGATGAATCCACACATCACAAAGCATTTTCACAGACAGCTTGTTTCTAGTTTTTTTTATATATATAGTCCTTAATAGGCTAAAAACATCCCTTCATAGGTTCTACAATAATGTTTCCAACCTGTTGAATCCATGCAAAGATTTATCTTTGTGAAACAAATTCACACACTAAAAAACATTTTAACAGATCACTTGTTTCCAGTTTTTATTATAAAATATTTGGTTTCACATGATAGGCCTCAATGGGCTGAGAAATGTTCATTCATATATTCTACAAATAGGGTGTCAAAACTGTGGAATCAAAATAAAAGTTTAACACTGAATCCACACATCACAAAGCATTTTTACAAATAGCTTCTGTCTACTTTTTATTGCAGGGTATTCAGTTTCTCACTGTAGGCATAAATGGGCTCAGATATGTTTCTTCCTAGATTCTACTAAAATAGTGTTTCACCCTTGTGAGTCAAAACAGAGGTTCCATTCGATGAGAAAAATCCACACATCACAAAGCATTTTCACAGATAGGGTGTTTCTAGTTTTATCACAGAATATTCAGTTTTCCACTGTAGGCCTCAATGGGCTCAGAAATATTTCTTTGCAGATTCTGCAGAAAGAGTTTCCAACCTGGTGAATCAAAACACAGGGTCTATTCAGTGAGATGAATCCGGACATTGCTAAGCATTTTCACAGATAGCTTGTAATTCGTTTTTATTGTGAGACCCTTGGTTTTTCACGTCAGGCTTCAATGGGCTCAGAAATGTCTCTTTTTAGATTGTACAAAAACAGTGTTTTCAATCTGTTCTATCAAACCAAAGGTTTAATTCTGTGAGGTGAATCCACACATCACAAACCATTTTCACAGATGGTTCTTTCCAGTTTCCATCATGAAATCCTCGTTGTTTCCTGCCCCCCCACCCCCCCCACACACAAACACACACACAGAGTCCTCATTGGGTTCACAAAGATTTTCTCATAGATTCTACTAAAAAAGTGTTTCCAACCTGTTGAACCAAAACAAAGGTTTAACTCTATGAGATGCTTCCACACATCACAAAGCATTTTCACAGACAGAAAGTTTTTAGTTTTAATCACTGGATATTCTGTTTTTCACTGTAGGCCTCAAAGGGCTCAGAAATGTCAATTCGTAGTTTCTACAAAGAGAGTGTTTCCAACCTGTTTAATTACAACAATGGTTTAACTCTCTAAGATGAATGAAAACATCACAAGGCATTTTCCCAGATAGCTTGTTTCTAGTTTTTATTGTGGGATATTCTGTTTGGCACTATACACATCAATAGACTCAGAAATGTCTTATCATAGATTCTACAAAAAAAAGTATTTCCATCTTGGTGAGTCAAAAATAAGGTTTAACTCTGTGAGATGAATCCACACATCAGAAAGCATATTCAAAGATAGCTCGTTTCTAGTTTTTTATTGCAAGATATTCCATTTTTTACTATAGGCCTCAATGGGCTCAGATACATCCCATCGTATATTCTACAAAAAAGTGTTTCCAATCTGGTGAACCAAAACACAGGCTCCTTTTAATGAGATGCATCCACACATCACAAGGCATTTTCAAAGAGATTGTTTCTAGTTTCAACTGCAGAATATTTGTTTTTTTACTATAGGCTTCAATGGGCTCAGAAATGTTTCTTTGTAGATTCTACAAAAAGAGTATTTCCAATATGGTGAATAAAAAAAAAAAAAGATTTAACTCTGTGAGATGAAAGAACACATTGCTAAATATTTTCACAGATAGCTTCTTTCTAGTTTTCATCATGGGATATTCAGTTTTTCACGATAGGCCTCAATGAGCTCAGAAATGTCCCTTCATAGATTCTACAAAAAGAGTTCTAATTTGTTGAGTCAAAAAAAGGGTTTAACTGTGTGAGATAAATTTACACATGGCCAACTATTTTCACAGATCACTTGTTTCTAGTTTATTTTGTGGGATATTCAGTTTTTCAATATAAGCCTCAATAAGCTCAGTAATGTCCCTTCGTATATTCTTCAAAAAGATTGTTTTCAACCTACTAAATCAAAACACGAGTTTCATTTGGTGAGATGAATTCACACATCAGAAAGCACCTTCACATGTAGCTTGTTTCTAGTTTTGTTTGCAGGATATTAGATTTTTTTGCTATAGACCTAAAGGAGCTCAGAAATTTCTACAAAAAAGTTCTTCCCATTTATTCAATCAAAGCAGAGGTTTATTTTCATGAGATGAATTTGCACATCACAAATCACTTTCACAGATAACCTGTTTTCGGTTTTTATTGCAGGAAACTCAGTTTTTCACTACAAGCCTCAATGAGCTCAGAAATGTCCCACTGTAGGTTTTACAAAAAGAAGGTTTCCAACCTGGTGAATCAAAACACAGATTCAATTCACTGAGATAAATCTCCACTCCAGAAAGCATTTTCACAGATAGCATCTTTTTACTTTTTATCATGAGACATTTGATTTTTTACTATTGGCCTCAATGAGGTCAGAAATGTCTCTTGGTAGATCCTATAAAAAGAGTGTCTCCAACCTGTTCAATCAAAACAAAGGTTTAACTCTGTGAAATGAATTCAAACATTGAAAAGCATTTTCACAGATAGCTTGTTACTAGTTTTTATCGTGTGATATTTGATTTTTTACTCTTAGCCTCAATTTGCTCAGAAATGTCCCTTTGTAGATTCTATTAAAAAAAAAAGTGTTTCTTACCTGGTGAATCAAAACTCAGGTTTCAGTCAGTGAGATGAATCCATACACCACAAAGCATTATCACAGATAGCTTCCTTCTAGTTTTCATTGTGGGATATTTGATTTTTCATTATAGGCCTCAATGTGCTTAGAAATGTCCATTTGTATGTTCTACAAAAAGAGTGTTTCCAGCCTGTTGAATCAAAAGATTGATTTAGCTCTGTGAGATGAATGTTCACATTGCAAACCACTTTCACAGATAGCTTGTTTGTTGTTTTTATCATGGGATATTCAGTTTTTCACTAGAGGCCTCAATGGACTCAGAAATGCCCCTTCATAGATTCTACAAAAAAAGTGTTTCTAACCCTTTGAATGAAAATAGAGTTCTAACTCTGTGAGGTGAACCCACAATTTACAAAGCATTTAATCAGAGAGCTTGTTTCTTGTTTTTATAGTGGGATATTCAGTTTTTTACTATAGGTTTCAAAAGACTCAGAAATGTCACCCAGATGTTTCTATCATTAGACTGTCTGGGGTCAGTCAGGAGTCTCTCCCATTAGAATGCCTGCTGTTGCTCAGGAGTCTGTATAATTAGATTGCCTGTTGTCGGCCAAGAGTCTCTTTCATCAGAATGCTTGGGATCATCCAGGTGTCTCTATTCATAGGACACCTGTGTTCACCAGCAGTCTCTCTATTAGAATGCTTGGTGTTGGCCAATAGTTTCTTGAATTAGAAGGCCTGGGGTCACCTAGGTGTCTCTATTATTAAAATGCTTTGCCTCACCCACTTTTCTTCATCATTAGAATGCTGGGGTTGGGCCAAGAATCTCTCCCATTAGAATTCCTATGGTTTCCCAGGTGTCTCTATCACTAGACTGTTTGTGGTTACTAGGAGTCTCTTTTTAGAATGCCTGGGGTTTGCCAGGAGTCTCTAAAATTAGAATGCCTGGAGTCTCCCAGGTATTTCAATCGTAAGACTGCCTGGGGTCAGCCAAAACTCTCTCCCATTAAAATTCCTGTGCTCTTCCAGGTGTTTCTATCATTAGACTGCCTGTGGTTGGCCAGGAGTCTCTCCCATTAGAATACCTTGGGTCACCAAGGTGTCTATATAGGCTGCCTGATTTCAGCTGGAAGTCTTTCTGATTAGAATCTCTGGTGTCAGCTGGGGTTCTCCGCTATTAGAATGCCTGGGGCCACCCTGGTATCTCTTTAATTAGACTGCTTGTTGTCAGCCAGGAGTCTCTTTAATTAGAATGCTTGGAATTGCCCAAGCGTCTGTATCATTAGATGGCCTGGGGCCAGCCAGGAATCTCTCCCATCAGAATGCATGAGGTTTGCTGGGAATATCTAAAGTTAGAATGCCTGAGGTCACTTAGGTGACTCTATCATTAGAATGCCTGGGGTCAGCCGGGAGCCTCTCCCATTAGAATGCCTGGGGTTGTTCAAGTTTCACTATCACTAAAATGCCTGGGGCTGACTGGGGTCTCTCCCATAAAAATACCTGTGGACAGCCAGATATCTCTATCATTAGACTGCCTGAGGTCACTCAGGAGTCTCTATCATTTGATTGCCAGGGGTCAGCCAGGAATCTCTCCCATTAAAATGCCTTGGGTCGTTCAGGTGTCTTTATCATTAGAATGCCAGGATTGGGGGGCCTCTCTAATAAAAATACCTGGGGTCGCTGAGGTGTCTTTATCATTAGGCTGCCTAGGGTTGCCAAGATGTCTTTATCATTAGAATTCCTGAGTTCAGCCAAAATTCTCTCCCATTAGAATGCCTGTGGTTGCCCAAATGTCTTTATCATTAAAATGCTTGGGGTTGGCCAGGAGTCTCTCCCATTAGAATGCCTATGATCACCCGGGTGGCTCTATCATTAGACTATCTGAAGTCGGCCAGTAGTCTCTTTCATCAGAATGTTTGGGTGGCCCAGGTGTCTCTATCATTAGACTGCCTGGAGTTGGTCTGGATTCTCTCCAGTTAGAATGCCTGGGTTCGCTCAGCTGTCTCTATCACTAGAATGCCTGGGGTCATGCAGGAGTCTCTTCTATTAGAAAGTTTGGGGTAGCCCAACTGTCTTTATCATTAGACTGCCTGGGGTTGGCCAGGAGTCTCTCTCATTAGAATGCCTGGAGTCACCCAAAAATCTGTATAATTAGACTGCCTGGGGTTGGCCAGGAGCCTTTTCCTTTGGAATGCTTGGGGTCACCCAGGTGTCTCTATCATTAGACTGCCTGGGTTTGGCAGAACGTCTCTCCCATTAGAATGCCTGTGGTCATGAAGGAGTCTCTATCTTTAGACTGCCTGGGGTCAGACAAGATTCTCTCCCATAAGAATCACTGGGTTTGGCCAGGACCCTCTCCTATCAGAATGCCTGAAGCTGCCTAGATGTCTCCATCATTAGACTGCTTCGGGTTAAATGGGAAATTCTCCCATTAGAATGCCTGGGTTCACCCAGGTGTTTCTATCATTAGACTGCCTGGGTTTGGCCAGGTGTCTCTTTCATCAGAATGCCTGGTGCTGGCCAGGAGTCTCTCTTATTTGAGTGCCTGGTGTCGTGGAGGTGTCTATATCATTACAATGCCTGGGGCCACTCAGGTGTCTCTATCATTAAAAAGCCTCAAGTTGACCAGGAGTTTCTCTCATTAGAATGTCTGTGTTCACCCAGTTGTCTCTATCATTAGACTGCCTGGGGTCGGCCGGGAGTGTCTGTCATTAGAATGCCTGCAGTCGCCCAAATGTCTCCGTCATCAGACTTCCTGGAGTCAGCAGGGAGTCTCTACCATTAGAATGCCTGAGGTCTCTCAGGTGTCTCTATAATTAGATTACCTGGGGTCAGCCAGGAATCTCTCCCATTAGAATGCCTGGAGTTTCCCAGGTGTCTCTATGCATAGACTGCCTCTTTCAGCCAGAAGTCTCTCCCAGTAGAATGCCTGGGTTCTGCTGGGAGTCTCCCCTTTTAGAACGCCTGAAGACACCCAGGTGTCTCTTTAATTAGACTGCCTGGGGTCAGCCAGGGGTCTCTTCCATTAGAATGCCTGTGCTCGTCAAGGTGTCTCTATCAATAAACTGCCTGCAGTTTGCCAAAAGTCTCTCACATTAGAATGCCTGGGGTCAAGCAGGTGTCTCTGTTATTAGCAAGCTTTGGGTTGGCCAGGAGCCTCTCCTATTAAAATGCCTGGAGTTGAGCAGAAGTGTCTCCCATTAGAATGCATGTGGTCGCCCATTTGTCTCTATCAATAGACTGCCTGAAATTAGACATGGGTCTCTCCCACTAGAATGCCTGGGGTCGCACAGGTATCTCAATCATTAGATTTTTGGGGTTGGCTGAGAGTCTCTCCCATTAGAACACCTTCGGTCACCCAGGTGTTTGTTTCATTAGACTGCCTGGTATTGGCTGGGAGTCTCTCCCATTAAAATGTCTGGGGTCTCCCAGGTGTCTCTATCAATAGACTGCTTGGGTCCGTCAGAAGTCTCTCCCATTAAAATGCCTTGGGTTGGATGGGAGTCTCTATTATTAGAATACCTTTGATTGCCCAGGTGTCTCTTATCAGATTGCCTTAGGTCAGCTAGGAGTCTCTCTCATTAGAATGCCTGTGGTAGCCCAAGTTTCACTTTCATTAGACTGCCTATGGCCGGCCAAACTTCTTTCACATTAGAATGCCTGGGATCGCCAGCTGTCTCTATCATTAGACTGCCTGTGGTCAGCCAAAAGTCTCCCATTAAAATGCCTGGGGTCCCCTAAGTGTCTCTATCATTAAACTGCCTGGGTTCGTTATGGAGTCTCTCTTATTAGAATGCCTGGAGTTACCCAGGTTTCTCTATCCTTAGACTGCCTGAAGTTTGACAAGAGTCTCTCCCATTAGAATCACTGGGGTTCACCAGGAGTCTCTCACATTAGAATCCTTTGCATTGCCCAGATGTCTCTATCATTACAATGATTGGGGTGGCCCACTTGTCTTCATCATTAGAATGCTGGGGTTCAGCCAGGAGTCTCTCTGATTAGAATGCCTAGGTTTGCCTGGGGTCACTTAGTTGTCCCTTATCTTGACTGCCTTGGTTGCCCAGGTGTCTCTATCATTAGACTGCCTGGAGTTGCACAGGTATCTCTATCATTAGAATGCCTGGGGTGGTCCAAGATTCTTTCCCATTAGAATGCCTGGGGTCACCCAAGTGTCTCTAACATCATAGTATCTGGTGTCAACTGGGAATCTCTTTCATTAGAATATTTGGGGTCGCCCAGGTGTCTCTATCATTAGACTGCCTTGGGTAGCCAGGAGTCTCTCCCATTAGAAGGCCTGAGTTTGCCCAGGTGTCTCTATCATTAGACTGCCTGGGATCATCCTAATATCTACCTCATTAGAATGCCTGGTGTCAGCCAAGATTCTCTCCCATTTGAGTGCTTAGAGTAGCATAAATGTCTCTATCATGACAATGCCTGGGGCATCCAGGTTTCTTTCTCATTACAATGACTTGAGACGACCAGTATTCTATCCCATTAGAATGCCTGTGGTCTCCAGGTGTCTCTATTGTAATACTGCCTGGGGTCAGATGAAAGTGTCTCCCATTAAAATGTCTGGGGTTGCTCAGGTGTCTCTATTATTAGACAGCCTGGGGTAGGCCAGAAGTCTCCTCCATTTGAATTTCTGTGGTTGTCCAGTGTCTCTATCATTAGACAGCCTGTGGTCTCCCAGGAGTCTCTCCATCAGAATGCCTGGTAATGACCAAAAGTCTTTCACATTAGAGTGCCTGGGGTTGCCCAGGTGTGTCTACCATTAAAATACTTGAGGTTGCCCAGTTGTCTCTATCATTAGAACACCAAGATTCTGTGGGAAGTCTCTCCCATTAGAATGCCTAGGTTTGCCCAGGTGTTTCTATCATTAGACTGCCTTGTGTCATCCGGGAGTCTCTCCCATTAGAATGACTGGGGTCGCCAATGTGTCTCTATCATTAGAATTCCTGGGGTTGGCTGGGGGTCTCTCCTGTAAGAATGGCTGGGGTCACCCAGGTCTCTCTAACATTAGACTGCCTGGTTTTGCACAGGTGTCCCTAAGATTAGAATGCCTAGGATCGTCAGGGAGTCTCAACCAATAGAATGCCCATGGTCACCCAAGTGTCTCTATCATTAGACTGCCTAGGGTCAGCTTAGAGTCTCTCCCATTAGAATGTGTGGGGTCACCCAGGAGTCTATATAATTGAACTGCCTGAGTTTGACCAGGAGTCTGTCTCATTAGAATGCCTGGGATCACTAAGGAGTCTCTATTTCTAGATTGCCAGGGGTCGGACGAAAGTCTCTCATTAGAATTAATGGGGTTGCCCAGGTGTCTCTATAATTAGACTATCTGGGTTAGGCCAGGAATCTTTCCCATTAGAATGCCTGGGGTCGTTTAGGTGTCTCTATGCGTAGACTGCCTGGAGTTGGCCAGGATTCACTCCCATTAGAATGCCTTCTGTCACCTGAAAGTCTCTCCTATTAGAATGCTTGGGGGCACCCAGGGGTCTTTTTAATTAGACTGCCTGGGGTCGTCCAGGACTCCTTCTCATTACAATGCCTCTGGTCGCCCAGTTGTCCCTATCAATAGACTGCCTGGGGTTGGCCTGGAGTCTCTTCCATTAAAATGCCTGGGGTCACCCAGGTACCTCTATAATTAGATTGCTTGGGGCCATCCAGGTTTCTCTTTCATTGGGATGCCTGTGATTGCCCATGTTTCTCTAAAATTAGACTGCCTGGGGTCGGCCAGTAGTCTCTCCCATTAGAATGCCTGGGGTCACCCAGGTTTCTCTATAATTAGACTGTGTGGGGTCCACCAGGAATCTCTCCCATTAGAATGCCTGTGGTCACCCAGGTGTCTCATCAACAGACTGCATGGGTCAGCCACGAGTCTCTCCCATTAGAAAGTCTGGTGTCAGCTAGGAGTCTCTTTTATTTGAATGCCTGGGGTCATTCACCTGTCTTTTTAATTCGACTGCCTGAGGTCACTTAGGAATCTCTTCCATTACAATGCCTGAGGTCGCCCAGGTTGCACTTTAATTAGACTGTCTGGGGTTGGCCAGGAGTCTCTTTTATTAGAATGCCTGTGGTCACCGAGGTGTCTCTATCATTAGACTGCCTGTGGTCAGCCAGGTGTCTCTCCATTAGAATGCCTGAGTTTAGCCAGGAGTCTCTCACATTAGAATGCCCGTGGTCACCCAAGTGTCTCTATTATTAAAATGCTTGGGGCCACCCACGTGCCCCTATCATTAGCATGCCAGGGTTCAGCCTGGAGTGTCTCCCATTAGAATGCCTGAGGTCGCCCAGGTGTCTCTATCATTATTCTGTCTGGTGTTGGCTTGGGTGTCTCTCCCATTAAAATACCTAGTTTCATCCAGGTGCCTCTATCATTAGAATGCCTGTGGTTGGCTGGAGGTCTCTCCCATAAGAATGACTGTGGTTGCCCAGTTCTCTCTATCATTAGACTGCCTGGGGTCACAGAGGTGTCTCTATTATTAGAATGCCTAAAGTCTTTTGGGAGTCTCTCTCATTAGAATGCCTAGAGTAGCCCAAGTGTCTTTATCATCACACTGCCTGGGGTTGGTTGGGAGTCTCTTTCATTAGAATGCCTGGGGTGTCCCAGGAGTCTGTATAATTAGACTGACTGGGGTCAGGAAGGAGTCTCTCCCATTAAAATGCCTGGGGTAGACCAAGTGTCTCTATCATTAGACTGCCTAGGTACTGCCAGGAGTATCTCACATTAGAATGCCTGGATTGGACCAGGAGTCTATCCCTAGACTGCCTGAAGTCGAATAATAGTCTCTCACCTTAGAATGACTGAGGTAGCCAGAAGTCTCTCCAATTAGAATGGCTGGGTTCGCCCAGGTATATTTATCATTAGACTGCCTGGATCTTCCTGGAGTCTCTCTCATTAGAATGCCTGGTGTCAGTCAAGAGTCTCTCCCATTTGAATACCTGGGGTCACACAGATGTCTCTATCATTACAATGCCTGGGGTCACCCAGGTGTCTCTATAATTACAATACCTCGGGACGATCGGTAGTCTCTCTTATTAGAATGCCTTCGGTCACCAGGTGTCTCTATCATAATACTGCCTGGGGTCACACAGGAGTATCTCTTATTAGAATGCCTGGGGTTGCCCAGGTGTTTCTATCATTAGACTGCCTGGAGTCAGCTAGAAATCTTCCCCATTAGAGTGCTTGGGGTCACCCATGTGTCTCTACCCATAGACTGCTTGGGTCAGCCAAGAGTCTCTCCCAGGTTTCTCTCTCATTAGACTGCCTGGTGTCAGACAGGAGTCTCTCTCAATCGAATGCCTGGTGTCAACGGAAAGTTTCTCCCATTAGAGTGCCTGGGTTCTCACAGGTGTCTCTATCATTGCAATGCCTGGGTTGCCCATGTGTCCCTATCATTAGAAAGCCTCATGTCTGCCAAGAGTCTCCCGCATTAGAATGCCTGCAATCGCCCAGGTGTCTCTATTATTAGATTTCCTAGGGCTGGCCAGGAATCTATCCCATTAGAATGCCTGGGGTCCCTTAGGTGTCTCTATGCATAGATTGCCTGGTGTAGGCCACGAGTCACTTCCATTAGAATGCCTTGGGCCGGCTAAGTCTCTCCTACTAGAATGCCTCAGGTCACCCAGTGGTCATTTTAATTAGACTGCCTGGGGTCGTCCAAGAGTCGTTATTATTAGAGTGTGTGTGGTCACCCAGAGGTCCCTATCAATGGACTCCCTGGGTTCAGCCAGGAGTCTCTCCCATTAGCATGCCTGGGGCCACCCACCTTTCACTTCAATTAGACTGCCTGTGGTTGGCCAAAAGTCTCTCACATTAGAATGCCTGGGGCCACCCAGGGTTTTCTATCATTAGACTGCATGTGGTCAGCCAAAAGTTTCTCCCATTAAAATTCCTGAGGTCCCCCAAGTGTCTCTATTATTAGACTGCCTGGGTTCGGCTGGGAGTCTCATATTAGAATGCCTACAGTCACCCAAATTTCCCTATCCTTAGACTGCCTGAAGCCAGACAAGAGTTTCTCCCATTAGAATCGCTGGAGCTTGCCAGGAGTCTCTCACATTAGAATGTCTGGGGTCACTCAGGTGTCTCTATCATTAAAATGATTGGGGTGGCCCACTTGTCCCCATCATTAGATTGTCAGGGTTTGGCCAGGAGTCTGATTAAAATGCCTTGGGTCGCCTGGGAGTCTCTTTTATTAGAAAGCGTGGGGTCGCTTAGGTGTCTCTTATTTAGACTGCCTGGGGTTTCCCAGGTGTCTCTATCATTAGACTGCCTGGGGTTGCACAGGTATCCCTATCACTAGAATGCCTGCGGTGGTCTGAGAGTCTTTCCCATAAGAACACCTGGGGTCACCCAAGTGTCTCTTTCATCACACTGACTGGTGTTGTCTGGGAGTATCTTTCATTAGTGTCTCTAACATTAGATTGCCTGGGGTCGTTGGGGAGTCTCCTCCATTAGAATGACTTGGGTGGCCCAAGTACCTCTATTTTTAGACTGCCTGGGGTGGGCTGAGAGTCTCTCCTATTAGAATGCTTGTGGTCGCCCAGGAGTCTGTATAATTGAGCTTCCTGGGTTCGACCAGGGCTCTCTCCCATTAGAATGCCTGGGGTCGCCCAGGAGTCTCTATCCTTAGACTTTCAGATGTCAGATGAAAGTCTCTTTCATTAGAATGCCTGGGGTCGCCAAAGTGTCTCTATAATTAGACTGTCTGGGTTCGGCCAGGTATGTATTTCATTAGAATGCCTGGGGTCGCTTAGGTGGTCTGTATGCATAGACTGCTTGGAGTCAAACAGGAGTCACTCCCAATAGAATGCTTTCGGTCAGCCGAAAGACTCTCCTATTAGAATGCCTGGTGGCACCCAGGGGTCTTTAATTATACTGCCTGAGGTCGTCCAGGCGTCTTTCTCATTACAATGCCTAGGGTCACCCAGATGCCTCTATCATTAGACTGTCTGTGGTCATCCAGGAGTCTCTTTCACTGAAATGCCTGCGGTTGCCTATTTGTCTCTATCATTAGACTGCCTGGGGTCAGCCTAGCAATAAATGAAAGTTTAAGCTATACTAAACCCAGGGTTGGTTAATTTCATGCCAGCCACTGCGGCCATTAGTCTCTCCCATTAGAATGCCTGGGGTCACCCAAGTTTCTCTATAATTAGACTGTGTGAGGTCAGCCAGGAATCTCTCCCATTAGAATGCCTCCAGTCACCCAGGTGTCTCTATCAACAGACTGCTTGGGTCAGCCAGGAGTGTCTCCCATTAGAATGCCTTGGGTCAGCTAGGATTCTCTCTTATTTGAATGCCTGGGGTCGCCCAGGTGTCTTTTTAATAAAACTGCATGCAGTTGGCCAGGAGTCTCTCCCATTAGAATGCCAGGAGTTGCCCATTTGTCACTTTAATTAGACTGCGTTTAGTCGGCCAGGAGTCTCTCCTATTAAAATGCCTGTGGTAGTCCAGGTATGTCTATCATTAGACTGCCTGTGCTTAGCCAGGAATCTCTCCATTAGAATGTCTGAGGTTAGCCCTGAGTCTGTAACATTAGAATACCTGTGGTTGCCCAGGTGTCTCTATCATTGAAATGCTTGGGGTTGCCCACTTGTCTCTATCATTAGAATGCCTGGGGTGGGCCAGAAATCTCTCTCATTAGAATGCCTGTTGTCACCCAAGTCTCTATCCATAGACTGCTTGGGTTGGCCAGGAGTCTCTCCCATTAAAATGTCTGGGTCTCCCAGTTTCTCTATCATTAGACTGTCTAGGGATGACTGGAAGTCTCTCCCATTAGAATACCTGGGTTGCCCACGTGTCTCTATTGTTAGACTGCCTGGCATCAGACAGGAGTCTCTCATTAGAATGTCTGATGTCAACCAAAATTCTCTCCCATTAGAATGCCTGGGGTCTCACTGGTGCCTAAATAATTACAATGCCTGGGGTCTCCCAGGTTTCTCTATCATTAGAATGCCTCGGGTTGGCAGAGAGTCTCTTGCATTAGAATGCCTGCAATCGCCCAGTTGTCTCTATCCATAGACTGCCTGGGGTCAACCGTAAGACTCTCCCATTATAATGCCTGGAATCGCCCAGGTGTCCCTATGCATAGACCGTCTGGGGTCGGCCAGGAATCTCTCTTATTAGAATGCCTGAGGTCGCCCAGGTGTCTCTATCAATAAACTGCCAGAAGTCTCCCCCATTAGAATGTCTGAGATTGGGTAGGAGTCTCTCTTATTTTAATGCCTGGGGTCACCCAGGTGTCTATTTAATTAGACTGACTGGGGTCGGCCAGGGGTCTCTCCCATTAGAATGCCTGGGATCACCCAGGTATCTCTATCATTAGACTGCCTATGCTTAGCCAGTTGTCTCTCCATTAGAATGCCAGAGGTTGGCCAGGAGCCTCTCACATTAGAATTCCTATGGTCACTCAGGTGTCTTTATCCTGAAAATGATTGGAGCCACCCACTTGTCTCTATCATTTGAATGCCAAGGTTTGGCCTCGAGTCTCTCCTATTAGAATGCCTGGGGCTGCCTAGGTGAGTCTGTCATTATACTGTCTGGGGTTGTTTGGGAGTCTCTTCCATTAAAATGCCTGGTGTCACCCAGGTGTCTCTATCTTTAGGATGCCTGTGGTCGGCTGGGGGTCTCTCTCATTAGAATGCCTGGTGTCAGCCAAGAATAACTCCCATCTGAGTGCCTGGGGTCCACAGGAGTCTCTATCATTGAAATGCCTGGGGTCACCCAGGTGTCTCTGTCATTACAATACCTTGGGACGACCAGTAGTAGTCTCTTCCATTAAAATGCATGGGGTCACCAACTTGTCACTTTAATTAGACTGCATGGGGTTGGCAAGCAGTCGCTCCCATTAGAATGCCTGCGGTCACCGGTCACCAAGGTGTCTCTATCATTAGACTGCCTTGGGTTGGTTGGGAGTCTCTCCCATTATAATGCCTGGTGTTGCCCAGGTGTCTCTATCATTAGACTGCCTGGGGTTAGATAATATTCTCTTCATTAGAATGCTTGGGTTTGCCCAACTGTCTTTAATATTTGACCACCTGGGGTCGGCCAAAAGTCTCCCTTATTAGAATGCCTGGTGTCAGCTGGGAGTCTTTCTCATTTGAGTGCCTGGGGTCGCACAGGTGTTTCTATCATTAAAATGCCTCAGGTCGCCCAGGTGTCTCTATTATTAAAATGCCTCGGGATGACTGAGAGTCTCTCCCATTAGAATGCCTGTGGTTGCCCAGGTGTCTCAATCATAAGACTGCCTGAGGTCAGATGGGAGTCTCTCCCATTAGAATGCCTGGGGTCACTTAGGTGTCTCTATCATTAGACTGCCTGAGTTCGGCCAGGAGGCTTTTCCATTAGAATATCTGGGATCCGCCGGCAATCTTTCCCATTAGAATGTCTGGGTTTTGCCAAAAGTTTATCCCATTAGATTGTCTGGAATCACCCAGGTGTCTATATCACCAGACTACCTGGTCGACTGGAAGTTTCTCACATTAGAATGCCTTGGGTCGCCCAGGTGTCTCTATCATTAGACTGCCTGGGGTCAGCTGGGAGTGTCTCCCATTAGAATGGCTGAGGTCTCCCATGTGTCTCTATAATTAGACAGCCTGCCTGGGGTCAGCCATGAGTCTCAAAAAAAAAAAAAAAACCCATGGCTACCCCAGGTTTCTTTATCCTTAGACTGCCTAGATTCAGCCAGGAGTCTCTTTCATTAGAATGTCTGTTGTTGCCCAGATGTCTCTACTCTTAGACTGCCTAGGTTCCATCAGGGGTATCTCCCATTAGAATGTCTTGGGTCAGCCAGGGTCTCTCCCTTTAAAATGCCTGGGGTTCATCAGGGGTCCCTCCCAATAGAATGTGTTGGGTAACCTGGGAGTTTCTCCTTTTAAAATGCGTGGAGTCCCCCAGGTGTCTCTATCATTAGAATGCCTGGGCTCAACCACGGGTGTTTCCAATAAGAATGCCTGTGGCCTCCCAGTGTCTCCATCATTAGATTGCCTGCAGTCAGCCAGGGTTCTCTCCCATTAGAATGCCTGGGGTTGCCCATGTGTCTCAATAATTAGACTGCTTGCAATCAGCAAGAAGTCTCTCCCAAGAGAATGCCTGGGGTTGAGTTGGAGTCTCTCCCAATAGGAAGGCTGTGTTCTCCCAGGTGTCACTATTATTAGAATGCCTGGGGTCAGCTAGAAGACTCTCACATTAGAATGTCTGGTCTCACCGAGGTGTCTCTATCATTAGACGGCCTCTGGTTGGCTGGTAGTTTCTCCTATTAGAATGCCTGGGATCATCTGGATGTCTTTACCATTAGACTGCCTGGGGTTGGCCAGGAGTCTCTCCCATTTGAATGCCTGGGGTCGGCTGGGAGTCTCTCCCATTAGAATACCTGGGGTTGTCCAGGTGTCTCTATCATTAGACTGCCGGGGTTGGCCTGGAGTCTTTCCCATTAGAATGCCTGGAGTCGCCCAAGTTTCTCTGAGACTGCCTGGGGTTGGCCAGGAGTCTCTCCCACTAGAATGTTCAGCCAGGAGTCTCTTTCATTAGAATGCCTGGGGTTGCCCAGGTGCCTCTATCATTAGACTGCCTGGATTCAGCCAGGAGTCTCTCCCATTAGAATGCCTGCTGTCACTCGTGTGGCTCTATTATTAGACTGCTGGGGTTGGCCTGGAATCTCTCCCATTTGAATGCCTGGGGTTGCCAAGATGTCTCTATCCATAGACTGCTTGGGTCGGCAAGGAGTCTCTCCCGTTAGAATGCCTTTAGTCGGCTGGGAGTCTCTCCCATTAGAATGTTTAGTTAAGCCCATGTTTCACTTTATTAGACTGCCTGGGGTCACCCAGGAGTCTCTCCCATTAGAATGCCTGGGTTGCCCAGGTTTCTCTATCATTAGACTGCCTGTGGTCAGCCAGGAGTCTCTCCATTAGAATGCCTGGGGTTGGCCAGGAGTCTCTCACATTAGAATGCCTGTGGTCGCCCAGTTGTCTCTATCATTAAAATGCTTGGGTTTGCCCAGTTGTTTCTACCAACAGAATGCCAGGGTTTGTCCCAGAGCCTCTCCCATTAGTGTAGGGGTTCAGTCAAGATGCTGGGGAAAACTATAAAACACAAACATTCTTGGAAGGCCAGGGGGTTTTGTATAGCTTCAAATACTTTGTCTGAAGGTGGCCTAATCCTCTTTGAACTATAGCAAGGGTAATTAATATAGGAACATAGAGTAGTTAACCTAAATAGCTTGTTTACTTATGTGGTCCTAAAACTAACCTCTGATCATCCACTGGTGCATGATTGCTCTCTACTCGGGGGTTCAGCAACAATAATTACCTTCTAGTGGTGTTTACCTGAGACTTCTGTCATTAAATGTGTGCTAAATAAATGCCGGGAGGGCCAACAAGTCAGAGCCGTGGCTGACAGGACTCTTCTTGGAGTCTGTAAGTGGCCTGGATGCTCAGCAGGACTGACAAGCATAAGATCTGTGTCAGTGTACATTATTCATCCGTCGTTGAGTCAGGGTCTGCAGGACAAACCCCCGCAGGTGGTGACCCCGACATGATCAAGGCAGTGAAGGAAGCGCGATGGACACCCTGAAAACGAAGGTGAAAAAGGAACCTTGTCATCAGCGAGCAATCAGTAAGTCATTGGTGCCCACTCAGGATCTCCAAGTTCAGGGGAGATTGTTCAGGCTGAGGTTTCATCATGAGACAACAGTTATCAGCTCAACAGAAACAGTACATAAAAGTGTTGAAACAGCTGCTTAAGGCTAGTGGAGCCTCAGTTTTGCAGGCTCAATTAAATGACCTAATGCAAACTGTTATAAGCCAAAGCCTATGGTTCCCAGAAAAAGGCACGCTAGACATAAAGCTCTCGGAACAAGTGGGGAGAAATCTTAAACAGCATTATGCACAAGGGCAATGAGTCCCAGTAACACCTCTAGCGCTATGGGCTGTAATTAGGCTGGACCAGGCTCCATTATACACAGAAGAGCCTAAAAAGGGGAAGGAGGAACCGTAACCTGCGTTACCACCTCCTTTTCCTTCAGCCCGGATATATCACCGGGCCAGAATAACAAAAAGGAAACGGGGTTTTTCCTGAGCCACCTCCTCCAAGAGATAGGAAAAAGGACAGGAGACACGCTACACCTATGAGACCCTGTCTAATCAAGCGGCATTAGAAGGGGAGCTTTTAGCCTGCCTGGTAATGCAAGGTCAGCAAGGCAATCAGGTACCTAAAGGGTTAAGAAAAAGCATTAGAGGCCAGAGTGCTGCGGTCAAGCATGCAGTAAATAGAAAGCAAACACTGCCAGCAAATGCTCCCCAAAACTTGGCCTGCGTAGCAGCTGTGTTGACGAAAAGCCAGGTCCAGTGCACCAGAGCGGCCTGCTACTGAGGGGCAGAAGGTGTGCGCGGGAAGGCTCACCCAACCTGCAGCAGCCACCCGGTGGCGGGAGGAGGGAGCGGCACACGCAGAAAGAAGCGGTGCAGACAAGAAGCGGCAGGGCCTGAGCAAGCACATCGCAGCCGCTGCCCCCGGACCTGCCCGCTCAGCTCTACAGCTCCGCAGGCGGCCCACGACAAAATTTCATGTGTTTATTGTATACAGAGACGTCCCAAATTATAATTCTCTGCTAAGATTTAAGTAAAATTTAAGAATTTAAAAGACCTCTTTCTGATAATAGCCACTGTTATCTCTTGCTTGCCCCTAGCGTGACTCTCTCCACATCTAATTAAAATAAAACTGTAACCTCTGAATGAGAGAAATTACAGAGGGCCCATGAATTAGTTGGAGAGCAATTGAAAGCTGGGCATGTTGAATTATCTAGCAGCCCTTAGAATTCACCCATTTTCATCATTCCCCAAAAGTCTGGGAAATGGTAACTTTTTCATGACCTACGTGCTATTAATGCCAATTTGCAACCTGTGGGACCCCTTCAGCAGGGGCTCCTTTCGCCCAGGGCAATTCCTCAAGATTGCCTATAATTGTTATTGACATAAGACATTCTTTTATATGATTCCCCTAGCAGGACAGAGAAAAAATTGCGTTTACAATACCAGCTATCAATAACGAAAAGTCAGCTTGTTGATTTCATTGGAAAATCCTTCCTCAAGGAATGCTAAACAGTCCCACCACGTGTCAGTATCATGTAAATCAAGCTTTGCTCCCAAGTAGAAAAGAATTTCCTGATTGCACAAATATTCATTTTGTGGATGATATTCTACTAGAAGCTCCAAAGGAGCCAATATTTTAAATTTATATTCCTCTGTCATAAAGAATACACAGCTAAGAGGTCTAATCATTGCACCTGGGAAAGTACAGATTTCTTCTCCTTGGAAATATGTTGGGTACATACTAACTGCCTGGTGAGTAAAACCTCAGAAGTTTAAATTAAATACCAGCAACTTACATACCTTAAATGATTATCAAAAATTACTGAGAGATATTAAATGGCTTCAACCCACTTCGGGAATTCCTACTGATAAGCTATACAACCTGTTTTCTATCTTAAAGGGCAATCCAGCCCTGGATTCTCCCAGATATTTAACCCCTGCAGCAGAAAGGGAAATCGAGGAAATAGAGCAAGCCACCTCTCAGAGGCAGCTAAATCGCATTGATTCACCTTATTCAATTAAATTGTTTATCTTTCCCACCAAACACTCCCCTACAGGGTTAATAGGGCAAATAGCCCCCAGGCCACACTTCCTAGAATGGGTTTTTTGCTCACATACCGGGACTAAAACGCTATCTCCCTATATTCAGTTCATTACTAAAGTCATCTATTCAGGCTGCAAACGATGCAATCAGCTGCTAGGTTATGATCCTGATATCATCAGGATTCCTTTAAGTAAAAAGCAATTTGAAGCAGTATTGCGCTTATCAATATATCTGCAAATAGCTTTCTCTGATTACACAGGACAAATAGAGCATGAACTTCCTGCTAATAAACTTCTTCATTTCTTATCTCATATGCCAGTAATCTTGCCCACAAAAATAGTTTACTCCCCCATACCTAATGCTTTAACACTATTTACTGATGGTTCCTGTAAACATGGAAAAGTGACAGTCTGGTGGAGACCACATCATTCAGTCACTCAATCTGGGCTTACTAGCACTCAGAGAGCTGAAATGGGGCCCTGATACTGGTCTTGGAAACTTTTTCCACTCAGCCTATCAATATAGTGAGTGACTCAGCTTACTTTGTTTATTTATTGCAGAACCTTAAAACAGCCTTAATTAAATCCAATCTTGAGCCCATCCTGTGTGCTCTTTTTCTTCAACTTCAGCAATTACTAGATCTAAGTACACATCCTATTTTTATCACATGCATTGGAGCCCACAGCTCTCTTCCTGGCCCATTGACTTATGAAAATGAACAAGTTGGCCAGGCGTGGTGAATCACGCCTGTAATCCCAGCACTTTGGGAGGCCGAAGCAGGCGGATCACGAGGTCAGGAGATCGAGACCATGGTGAAACCCCATCTCTACTAAGAAAAAAATAATAATAATAATACAAAAAAAATTAGCTGGGCACGGTGGCGGATGCCTGTAGTCCCAGCTACTCGGGAGGCTGAGGCAGGAGAATGGCATGAACCCGGGAGGTGGGGCTTGCAGTGAGCTGGGATAGTGCCACTGCACTCCAGCGTGGGTGACAGAGCAAGACTCTGTCTCAAAAAAAAAAAAAAAAGAAAAAGAAAATTAACAAGTTGATCCAGAAGTCATGACATCACTGCTTGACCAAGCCACCAAATCGCATCAATTTTTCCACCAAAATTGGAGAAATTTATCTAAACAATTTCAACTTACCCAGAGACTGGCTAAACAAATTATCCTGCAATGCCTGGATTGTCAGCTCACAAGCACATCCCCTCCTTCCACAGGTATTAACTTTTGAGGACTAGAACCCCAACACTCACTTAATTAGTGCACATGCTCTGCCTGGAAAGTCAACTCGATATGTCATTAAACATATTTTAACTTTTGCATTTATGGGACTGCCCACCAAAATTAAAACTGATAATGGTCCAGCTTATGCCAGCTCACAATTTCAACAATTTTGTCACACATGGAATATCCAATATTCCACACGCATCCCATATATGGACAAGCCATAGTAGAACGTGCCCACTCCATCATTAAAAATATGCTCAAAAAACAGAAAAGAGGGAGTATGGGTAAAGTTCTTGTAATGTTATTGGCACAAGTCTTATTTACTCTTAAGTTTTAAAATTTAGATGACAAAGTTCAATCAGCTGCAGAAAAGCACTTTGCAATAACCTCAGAAGACATAAAACCTGCAGTTTTATGGGAAGATGTAAACAGAAACGAATGGTATGGTCCAAATGAATTGTTAACGTGGGGAAGAGGGTATGCTTGTTTTTCCACACCCTCAGGTCCTCTTTGGATTCCAGCACAATGCATTAAACCATACCATGGTGTGGCTAGGACACAACCCAGTACCAGAAATGGAGAAAATTGCCTGGCTTAGCTTCTGAGATCAGACAGAAACATATTGGCTAAAGTTAAAAAAGGTATCGTCCAGTTTTTTTGTAAACCAGACTTCAAAATAAAGCACAACAGGTTTTTCTTAAAGCACTAACCTGCTCTTTAACAAAGATTATAAAAGGTCTCTTAGCACAGGCACCACCCCTAGAATTTCCAGTACACTAGCACGAGCCTGGAGACTACGTCCTCATCAAATGATGGAAAGAAGAAAAAACCCGAGCCAGTCTAAAAAAGACCCTACAGGACCTGCAGCCCCAGACGATGCAGCTTCCATGGATGATGCAGGCCCCAGACATTATGCTGAAGAGGCATAAGGCTAAGCCAAATAATTTATTCCTTTTTAATTCTCTCACTCTGCCTGCAACCAGTACTTGCTACACTCTATTAAGCTCATCTCTGAAATCCACCCTTTTTTATGCCCTGTTACTTAACAAACACCCCCTTCAGAGCTTCTAACAGTGAGACTGCTTGGCTAAAAGAAATTAACATTCTCCCGGTGGGGTTCCTCATTGATGGCATAGAGTGAACTGAGATGCCAAGTAACACTATGGGTCACTCTTTGACTGGAAAATAATGTTGCTAATTATAATCATGATTACATTATGTGATTTGCTAATTCTAGGATGCAAAGCCGGAATAAAAGCAATGGCTGCCATGCCTTACAAACCTGTTGCTGCATACATCTGCATTCTCCAATCAAAAAGACCTAATGCAGAAAACAGAAAAGGGGGAGATGCAGGGTTTCAGTCAGGATAGGTGGGAAAATTATAAAACATAAACCTTCTTGGAAGGCCAGGGGGGTTTGCATAGCTTCAGATAGCTTTGCTGAAGATGGCCTAATCCTCTTTGAACTATAGCAAGGGTAACTAACATAGGAATGTAGAGTAGTTTATCTAAATAGCTTGTTTACTCATATGGTTCTAAAACTAACCTCTGACCATCCGCGGGTGCATGATTGCTCTCTACTCTGTGGCTCAGCAACAGTAATTACCTTCTAGTGGTGTTTACTTGGGACTTCTGTCATTGAATGTGTGCTAAATAAATGCTGGGAGGGCCAATGAGTCGGGGCTGTGGCTGACAGGACTCTCCTTGGAGTCCGTAAATGGCCCAGACATTTGGCAGGACTGACAAGCATAAGATCTGTGTCAGTGTATGTTATTTATTCGTTGTTGAGTCAGGGTCTGCAGGACAGACCCCAGCATATTAGAATGCCTGGGGTCACCCAAGTTTCTTTATCATTAGACTGCCTGGGTTCGGGCAGGAGTCTTTTATTAAAATGCCTCAGTTGGCCAGGTGTCTCTATCATTAGACTGCCTGGGGTAGCACAGGTGTCTCTATCATTAGGATGCCTGGGGTTGTCCAGGAGTCTTTCCTATTAGAATGCCTGGGGTTGCCCAGGTGTCTCTATCATCACACTGCCTAGGGTTGGCCACAAGTCTCTTCTATTAGAATGCCTAAGGTCGCCCAGGAGTCTATATAATTAGACTCCCTGGCGTTGGCCAGAAGTCTCTCTCATTAGAATGCCTGAGATCACCCAGATGTCTCTATCCTTAGACTGCCTGGACTTGGCCAGGAGTCTTTCTTAATAAAATGCCTGGAGTCATCCAGGAGTATTTATCCTTAGACTGCATGGGGTCAGAGAAAAGTCTCTCTCGCTAGATTCACTGGAGTTTGCCGGGAGTCCCTCCTATTATAATGCCTGTTGTTGCTCCCAGCTGTTTTTAACATTTGACCACGTGGGGTAGGCCAGGAGTCTCTCTCATTAGAATTCCTAGTGTCAGCTGGGAGTCTCTCCCATTTGAGTGTCTGGGGTCGCCCAGGTGTCCCTTTCATTACAATGCCTCAGGGGGACCAGGAGTCTCTCCCATTAGAATGCATGTGGTCGCCCAGGTGTCTCTATTATAAGACTGCCTGGGGTCGGATGAGAGACTCTCCCATTAGAATGCCAGGGGTTGCTTAGGTGTCCCTATTATTAGACTGTCTGGTGTTGGCTGGGAGTCTCTCATATTAGAATGCCTGGGATTACCCAGGAGTCTCTACCCTTAAAGTAATGGAAATTGATGAGGGGTATCTCATTAGAATGCCTGGGATCAGCGAGAAGTCTCTCCCATTAGAATACCTGAAGTCACCCAGGTTTTTTATAATTAGACTTCCAGGGGTCAGCCAGGAATCTCACCCATTACTATGCCTGGGGTCCCCCAGGTGTCTCTATGCATGCTTGTTTCAGCCAGAAGTCTCTCCCAGTACAATGCCTTTGGTCGGCTGAAAGTCTCTCCTATTAGAATGCCTTTGGTCTCCCAGATGTCTCTTTAATTAGGCAGCCTTTGGTCAGCCAGGAGACTTTCCCATTAGGATGCCTGCAGTCTCCCAGGTATCACTGTCATTAGAATGCTAGGGGTTGGCCAGGAGTCTCTCCCATTAGTATGTCTTGGGTCACTCAGCTGTCTCTCTCATTAGACTGTCTGTGGTCAGCCAGGAATCTCTATTAGAATGCCTTGGGTCACCCAGGTGTATTTATCAATAGACTGCCTGGGGTTGGACCGGAGTCTCTCCCATTGAAATGCCTGAGGTCAGAGGGGAATATCTTCCTTTAGAATGCCTGTGTTTGCCCAGTAGTCTCTATCAATAGACTGCCTGTGGTCAGCCGGGTGTCTCTCCCATTAGAATTCCTGCAGTCACCCAGGTGTCTCTGTCATTACACTCCCCGGGGTCAGCCGGAAATCTCTCCCATTAGAATGCCTGGGGTCACCCAGGTGTCTCTATAGTTAGACTGCCTGGCATCGGCCAAAATTCTCTCTCACTAAAATGCCTGTGGACACCCAGTTGTCTCTATCCCTAGACTGCTTTCTTCAGCCAGGAGTCTCTTACATTTGAATGCCTGTGGTCGACTGGGAGTCTCTGCTGTTAGAATGCCTGGGGTCTCCCAGCTGTCTCTCATTAGACTGCCTGGGGTCAGCCAGGATTCTCTCCATTAGAATGCCTGCTGTTGTGAAGTGTCTCTATCACTAGATTGCCTGGAATCGCCCAGGTGTCTCTATCATTAGAATGCCTAGAGTCAGCCAGCAGTCTCTTTCATTAGAATTCCTGGGTTGGCCAGGAGTCTCTCACATTAGAAGGCCTGGGGTCACTAAGGTGTCTCTATCATTAAAATGCTTGGGGTCACCCACTTTTCTCTATCATTAGAATGGCTGGGCTAGGCCAGGAGTCTCTCCCATTAGAATGCCTGGCATTGCCCAGGTGTCTTTATCATTTGACTGCCTCGGTTGGACCAGGTTTATCTATCATTGGAATCCTTGGGTTCATCCAGGAGTCTCTCCCATGAGAATGCCTGGGGTCAGCCGGGACTCTCTACTACTAGAATGCCTGAGGTCGCCCATAAGTCTCTATCATTAAATGGCCTAGAGTCGACCAGGAATCTTTCTCATTAGAATGGCTGCAGTTGCCCTGGTGACTCTATCATTAGACTGACTGGGGTTGGCCAGGAATCTCTCCCATTAAAATGCCTGGGGTTGCCCAAGTGTCTTTATTGTTAGACTCCCTGTGATTGTCCCGGAGTCTCTGCCATTATAATGCCATGGGTTGGCCAGGTTTCTCTCCCATTAGAACACCTGGTGTTGCCCAGGTGTCTCTATCATTAGAATGCCTGGGCTCACCCTGGAGTCTCTTTCATTAGAATGTCTGGGATCAGCCGGCAGAATTTTTCAATAGAATGTCTGGGTTTTGCCAAAAGTCTCTCCCATTAGATTGTCTGGAATTGCACAGGTGTCTAGATCATAAGACTACCTGGGTCACCCAGAAGTCTCTCACATTAGAATGCCTTGGGTTCCCCATGTGTCTCTATCATTAGACTGCCTGGGGTCAGCCAGGAATCTCTCCCATCAGAATGCCTGGGGTCTCCCATGTGTCTATATAATTAGACAGCATGAGGTCAAGAAGGAGTCCCTCTCAAAAGAAATGCCTTGGGTCACCCAGGTTTCTTTCTCCCTAGACTGCCTGGATCCAGCCAGTAGTCTCTTTCATTAGAATGCCTGTTTTTACCCAGGTGTCTCTATTTTTAGACTCCATGGGGCCGGTCAGCTGTCTCTCCCATTAGAATGTCTTAGGTCGGCCAAGAGTCTCTCCCTTTAAAATGCCTGGGGTCGCTCAAGTTTTTCTATCATTAGAATGCCTAAGGTCGGCTGACAGTCTCTCCCATTAAAATGCCTGGATTTGCCCAACTAAGTTTGGCATCGGATCTCTCTTACAAGAATGCCTGTGGTCGCCCAGGTGTTTCTATCATTAGACTGCCTGTGGTCAGCCAGGGGTCTCTCCCATTAGAATGCCTGGGATTGCCCATATGTCTCAATAATTAGACTGCCTGCGATCAGCAAGGAGTCTCTTTCAAGAGAATGCCTTGTGTTGAGTGGGAGTCTTTCCTATTAGAATGACTGGGATCTCCCAGGTGTCTCTATCATTAGAATGCCTGGGGTCAGCTGGGAGTCTCTCCTATTAGAATACCTGGGCTCGCGAAGGTGTCTCTATCATTAGACAGCCTGAGGTTGGCTGGTAGTTTGTTTCATTAGAATGCCTGGGGTGGTCCGGATTTCTTTACAATTAGACTGCCTGGGGTCAGCCAGGAGCCTCTCCCATTTGAATGCCTGGGGTCAGCAGGGAGTCTCTCCCATTAAAATGCCTGGAGTCACCCAGGCGTCTCTCTCATTAGACTGCCTGGGGTTAGCCTGGAGTCTTTCCCGTTAGAATGCCTGGGGTCTCCCAGGTATCTCTATCATTAAACTGCTTGGGGTCGGCCAGGAATCTCCCTCATTAGAATGCCTGAAGTTGACCAAGTGTCTCCCCCATTAGAATGCCTGTTGTCACCCAGGTGTCTCTATCATCAAACTGCCTGGGTTCAGCCAGGAGTCTCTCTTATTAGAATGCATGGGGTCGCCTACATGGAGCCATTGAAAGGAACAACACCCTTGATGCAGAAGATTTAGCACCACTATCTCTGTTCCATCTGGGCTTATATGTACTTTTACTTTTTGGTGGTGAAATTGGCTGATGATTTTCCTTTTTCTTCCCTGGACTATTGTGCCAACTGCCAGGCTGCCTCCTGCCCTTACAGCCCTAAATGGCTGCCTTCTTTCCATCAACTCCCAACTTCTTCCAGTGAAATTTAATTGTCTCAATGCCTCCCCCTCCCCCATTCTCTCCATTTTCTCCCAAGAAGCATGACTCGATTATTTGCATATTTTGAGAAACTGCTGCAGATTAGTTCTTTTTGCCAGTTCTCCCTGGAACTCCTGGCCTTTTGTGGAGGGAAGGATGGACAGAATGGGAATCTTCACTAGAAGCCGTGGGAAGAATTGCAAGTTACATGCTCTATATGCAATGTCCAGCAGTCTGATAAACTGATGATTCTTAATCAAGATTGTTTTCCTGGTGGGGAAGGGGCTTTTATTTTCTTTTAGAGAGGGGAAAGTGTGAGCTCTTCCCTTATTCCTAATGGCTATTTTTGAAGCAAAGAAGGCTAGCAACGTTGGCACATGCCACCTGGCAAAGGACCCTTGAGTAAGTGAAGGTCTCCTAGAACTGGGATTAAGAAACCTTGCTGTCCTCACCTCCAAGGCAGGGACCATCAAGAACCTACAGACTCCATCTCTTCTGCAAGCCTCATGCCAAGCCTGGGCTATTGCTGCTGCCCCTTAAACAGAGGCTGTCCTTAACCCACCTCTCCTGCCCTGTGATATGTCTGTTGAGTTGGCCTGGCCATGTCCAAGAGGCTGTAGAAAGGGGAGAATGTCAAGGAAGACTTTTGGTTGAGAAGGAGCAGAAAGATGTGTTTTTGCAAAGAAGAAGACCTCTAGGAAGAGCTAGTAGGAATGTACATGAAGAAATTAAGTCTGAAACTGGCTTCCTCACTCCCCTGTTTCTCCTTTTCCTATCCTTATAGGCCTGTCCCTTGCCTCTGCCCTGGATTGGCTGGCACACTAAAGGACTTGATGTACATAACTCCTGTCCCTTTTACCCTTACAAGGTGCGGATTGCCCCTGGCTTTGCCTCTTCTTTGTGCCTTTGGCCTGGGGTGCATTTCCACCCACCCTTCCATGTGCCTTTCTTTGCCTCTGCAGTCTCATTTCTCATAATTTTGCAAATTACATTTTGTTGCTTTCTTACCTACTATTGGCCCTAAATAGCAGAAAGAAGAGAAGTGACCTAGAGAACCTCAGATTCTTCATTGAGGATTGGTATAGCCATGATTTCAGCCATAGCAAGTTTTGCTCAACAGCATATGCGTGGGATTTTGCAAAACTCCTATTCTGATGAATCACAAAGTAAGGTTGGTAAGAGAAGTGAGTGGTGTGACTCTTACTCCTTAGGTGCCCAGAACTTACCATCATCTCTGAAGGCGTTACAGGGAAGTGGTCTCTCCAATCCTTCCCTCCCTCCAGTATTGCCCCCTCTCACTTTAGCATATATTAATTAGCAGGTTGGGCTAGAGAAATCAGCTGCTATGCGGGTTGATTATTATTATTATTTTTGATCCTTTTCCTTATTTGCCTTCTACTCCCCTTAATCTAATCTAAAAGCTCTGTTCCATGTAACTGGAGTTCTTTATCCCTCTCTTCCCCTTCCCTTATATATTGAGGCTATGGGGTAGGAGAAAAGTGCACAACCCACCACCCCCTTTACTGGTGCATTAAAATTTCTTATTTACCCTTTTCTCCCTTCCCATTTCTCCCCACTTTCATCTACCTTTTCTGGCAAAAAGGAGCCTTGTGCTCTCTGTGACCCTAAGGGCACACTGCACAGGTGAAATTGCCCCATCCAGACCTGGCTCCACTCTTGATTTCTCTTGCCCTCTTCTGCTCTTTTCCTGGTGCTCTTTTTTCTTTTTTTCTTTTTTTTTTTTTTTTGTCTTCCAGAACTGCTATATATATATATACACACATATATATTTAATTTTATTATTATTATACTTTAAGTTTTAGGGTACATGTGCACAACGTGCAGGTTTGTTACATACGTATACATGTGCCATGTTGGTGTGCTGCACCCATTAACTCGTCATTTAGCATTAGGTATATCTCCTAATGCTATCCCTGCCCCCTCCCTTCTCAGTGGGGTATGGGTAATAGGATAGCCATGGGCTTTTGGGGACCTTTAACTTTTTTTTCCTCTTTTGTTTATAAAAACACTAAACATTCAATTCCAGAGAACCAAAAATCCCACCTTCCCACCGAACACTGCTAACGGGCTTGTGTTCTGCTCCATACTTTTTCTCTTTTCTTTCTGTCTTGTTAATGCTTTTAAAAACAAATGAGTTTTTATATAAATAAAGTATTTAAAGTGTGAAAAAAAAAGAATGCATGGGGTCATCTACATGTCTTTTTTATTAGACTGTCTGGTGTTGGCCAGTAGTCCCTCCCATAAGAATGCCTGGGGTCGAACAAGTGTCTCTCCCATGAAAATGGCTGGGATCACTCAGGCTTTTCTTTTATTACAATGCCTGGGGTCAGCCGGGAGTTTTTCCCGCTAGAATGCTTGTCGCCCAATTGTCTCTAGCATTAGACTGCCTGAGTTTGGCAAAGTGTGTCTCTCATAATAATGCCTGTGGTCGTCAAGGTGTCTCTATCATTAGACTGCCTGGGGACACTGGGGAGGTATCTCCCATTAGAATGCCTAGGCTTGCCCAGGTGTCTTTATAATTAGACTGTCTGGGTTCAGCCAGGATTATCTCCCAAGACAATGCCTGGGTTCAGAAGAGAGTCTTTCCTATTAGAATGACTGGAATCGCCAAGGTGTCTCTATTATTAGAATGTCTGTGGTCACCAAGAGTCTCTCCTTTTAAAATGCTTAGGCTCACGCAGGTGTCTGTATCATTAAAAAATCTGGGGACTGTCAATAGTCTCTCCCTTTAGAATACGGGGGTGGCCAAGGTGTCTCTATCATTAGACTGCCTGGGGTCGGCCAGCAGTCTCTCCCATTAGAATGTCTGGGGCCAGCCAAAAGTTTCTCCCATTAGAATACATGAGGTTTCCCAGGTGTCTCTATCATTAGATTGCTCGGGGCCGGCTGGGAGTCTCTCCCACTGAAATGTCTAAAGTCACCCAGGTGTCTCTATTATTAGATTGTCTGTGCCTGTGGTTGCCCGGTAGTCTCTTTTATTAAAATCCTTTTGGTCACTCCAGTGTCTCTATCATTAGACTGCCTGAGATCGGCTGAGAGTCTCTCTCATTAGAATGCCTGGGTCCGCAGGGAGTCTCTTTCATTAGAATGCCTGAAATCGCCCACATGTCTGTATCATTACAATGCCTGGGGTTGCCCAGGTGTCTCTGTCATTAGAATGCCTGGAATAGGCAAGGAGCATCTCTCATTAGAATGCCTGGGTTCACTCAGATGTCTCTATCATTAGGCAGCATGGGGTCGGCCAAGAATCTTTCCCATTAGAATGCCTGGGGTCGTCCAAGTGTCTCTATCATTAGGTGGCATGGGGCCCGCCAGGAGTTTCTCCCATTAGAATGAGTTTGGTCGCTCACGTGTCCTATAATTAGACTGCCTGGGTTTGGCCCAGACTCTCTCCCATTAGAATGTGTGGGGTTGCCCCGCAGTCTCTATACTTAGACTGCCTGAAGTCGGACAAGTGTCTCTTTTACTAGAATGACTGGGGTTCGCTGGGAGTCTCTTTGATTAGAATGAATCAGGTCTCCACGTTGTCTCTCTCATTAGACTGCCTGTGGTTAGCCGATACTCTATTAGAACGCCTGGGGTCGCCCAGCTGTCTCTATCATTAGACTGCCTGGGATTGGATGGGGGTCTCTCCCATTACAATGCCTGAAGTCAACCAGGTATTTCTATCATTAGACTGCCTGGAGTCAAACGGGAGTCACTTTCAGTAGAATGCCTGGGATAGCCCAAGTGTCTCTGTAATTAGACTGTCTGGTGTCGGTCAGGAGTCTCTCCCGTTAGAATGTCTGGGATCACCCGGGTGTCTCTATCCTTAAATTTCCTTGGGTCAGTCAGGATTCTCTCCAATTAAAATGCCTGTGGTCAGCCATTAGCCTCTCCCATTAGAATGCCTGTAGTTGCCCAGTTGTCACTATCAGACTGCCTAGAATCTCTCCAATCAGAATACTGGGTTCGCCCAAGTTTCTCTATCATTAGACTGTCTGTTGTCAGCCAGGAGTCTCTCCCATTAGAATGCCTGGGGTGGCCCAGGTATCTCTATCATTAGAATGCCTGTGGTAGGACGGGAATCTCTTCCATTAGAATGTCTTGGGACTTCCAGGTGTCAATACCATTAGACTGCTTGTGGTCAGCTGGGAGTCTCCTCCATTGGAACGCCTGGGATTGCCCAAGTGTCTTTATAATTAAACAGCCAGTGTTCGGCTGGCAATCTCTTTCATTAGACTGTCTGGCTTAGCCCAGCTGTCTTTATGATTAGACTGCCTGGGGTCGGTCAGAAGTCTCCCCATTAAAACACCTGGGGTAGACCGGGAGTCTCTGCCATTAAAATGACTGGAGTCATCCAGGTGTTTTTTATGATTAGACTGTTGGGGATCAGCCAGGTGTCTCCCCATTAGAAAGCCTGGTTTCAGCCTTGTTGTCTCCCATTAGAATGCTTAGGGTCGCTCAGGTGTCTCTATCATTAAAATAACTGGGGGCTCCCAAATGTCTCTATCATTAGAATGCCTGGGGTTGGCCGAGAGTCTCTCACATTAGAATGCTTGCCGTCACCAAGAAGCCTCTATCATCAGACTGCTTAGGGTCAGCCTGGGGTTTCTCCTATTAGAAAGCCTGGAGTCACCCAGGTGTCTATAATTAGACTGCTTGGGTCAGCCAGGAATCTCTCCTATTAGAATGCCTGTGTCCACTCACGTGTCTCTATTATTAGACTGCCTGGGGTCGGCCGGGAGTCTCTTTCATTAGAATGCCTGGGTTTGCTCAGGTGTCTCTATCCATTGGCTGCCTGGGTTCGGCCAGGATTCTCTCCCATTAGAATGCCTGGGGTCAGCCAGGAGTCTCTTCCATTAGAGTGCCTGTGGTGGCCCAGGTTATCACTTTAAATAGACTGTCTGGGGTCCGCCAGGAGTCTCTTTCATTAGAATGCCTGGAGTAACCCTGGTATCTCTATCACTAGACAGCCTGTGGTCAGACAGAAGTCTCTTTATTAGAATGCCTGGGGTTGGCCAGGAGTCTCTCACATTAGAATTCCTGGGATCACCCAGGTGTCTTTACCATTACAATGCTTGGGGTTGCCCACTTGTCTTTATCATTAGAATGCCAAAGTTTTGTCAGGAGTCTCTCCCATTAGAATGCCTGGGGTCGCCAAGATGTTTCTACCATTAGACTACATTGTGTCAGCCAGGAGTTTCTCCCATCAGAATGACAGGGGTCAACCAGGGGTCTCTATCATCAGAATTACTGGGGTCAGCTGGAGGTCTCTCCCGTAAGAATGCCTAAAGTCGCCCAGGTGTTTCTATCATTAGGCTGGCTGGGGTTGCACAAGTGTCTCTATCATTAGGATGTCTGGGTCATCCGGAAGTGTCTTCCATTAGAATGTGTGGTGTCATTCAATTGTCTCTATAATTAGACTGCCTGGGGTCCATGGGTAGTGTCTCCCATTAAAATGCTGGGGATTGCCCAGGAGTCTGTATAATTGAACTGCCTATTGTCGGCCAAAAATCTCACCCATTAGAATGTCTGGGGTCACCCTGGTGTCTCTATCATTAGATTCCCTGGGTTCTGCCAGGAGTCTCTCCCATTAGAATGCTGGGATCACCCAGGAGTCTCTATCCTTAGACTGCCTCGAGTAGGACACAAGTCTCTTCTATTAGAATCACTGTGTTTAAGCAAGAGTCTCTCTTATTAGAATCCCTGGGGTCGCCAATGTATCTCTATCATTAGACTGCCTGGGGTGGCAAAGGTGTCTCTATCATTATATTATAATGCCTGGGGTCGCCCAAGTGTCTCTAACATTAGAATGCCTCGGATCAGCCAGGAGTCTGTCTCATTAGAAAGCCTGCAGTCACCCAAGTTTCTCTATCACTTTGCCTGGGTTTGGCTGGGAGTCTTTTTCATTAGAATGCCTGGGGTCTCCCAGGACTCTGCATAATTAGACTGCCTGGGTTTGGCCAGGAGTTTCTTCTGTTCATTAGACTGCCTGGGGTCAGCCAGGAGTCTCTTTCATTAGAATGCTTGTGGTCGCCTATATGTCTCTATCATTAGACTGCCTGGGGTGGGCCAGGAGCCTATCCCATTAGAATGCCTGGGGTAGCCCTGCTGTCTGTATAATTAGACTGACTGTGGTCAACTAGGAATCTCTCCCATTAGAATGCCTGGGGTCTCCCAGGTGTGTCTATCATTACATTGCCTTAGGTCAGCAAGCAGTCGCTCTCATTACAATGCCTGGGGTCGCCCTGGTATCTCTATCATTAAACTGCCTGAGGTTGGCAGGGAGTCTCCCCCATTAGAATGTGTGGGTTTGACTGCAGTCACTCCCATTAGACTGTCTGGAGTCACAGAGGTGTCTCTATCATTAGAATGCCTAAGGTTGTCTGGGAGCCTCTCCCATTAGAATGCCTGGAGTAGCCCAATTGTCTCTATCATCACACTGCCTGGGGTTGGCCGGGGGTCTTTTTCATTACAATGTCTGGGGTCTCCCAGAAGTGTGTAAAATTAAACTGCCTGGGGCAGGTCAGGAGTCTCTCCTATTAAAATGCCTGGGGTCACCCAAGTGTCTCTATCATTAGACTGCCTGGATTTGGCTGGGAGTCCCTCTCATTAGAATGCCTGGAGGTACCAAGGAGCTTTTATCCTTAGATAGCCTGAAGGCGGACAAGAGTCTTTTCCATTACAATCACTGAGGTTGGCCAGGAGTCTCTCCCATTAGAATGCCTTGGGTCGCCCAGGTGCCTCTATCATTAGATTGCCTGGGGTTGGCCAGGAGTCTCTTTCATTAGAATGCCCGGGGTCTCCCATGTGTCTCTATAATTAGACTGCCAGTGGTCAACTAGAAATCTTTCCCATTAGAATGCCTGGGGTCACCCAGGTGTCTCTATCCACAGACTGCCTTGGTCAGCCAGGAGTCTCTCCCATTAGAATGCCTGTGTTCACTCAGTTGTCACTTAAATTAGACTGCAAGATGTCGGCCAGGAGTCTCTTCCATTATAATGTCTGGGGTCACTCAAGTGTCTCTATCATTAGACTGCCTGTGGTCAGCCAGGAGTCTCTCCATTAGAATGCCTGGGGTTGCCAGGAGTCTCTCACATAAAAAAATGCCTGTTGTAGCCCAGGTGTCTCTATTACTAAAATGCTCACTTGTCTCTATCATTAGAATGCCAGGGTTTGGCCAGGAGTTTCTTTCAGTAGAATGCCTGGGGTCGACCAGGTGTTTGTATCACTAGACTGCCTTGGGCTGGTTGGTTGTCTCTCTCATTAAAATGTCTAGTGTCGCCCAGTGTCTCTATCATTAGAATACCTGGGGTTGGCCCTGGGCCTCTCCCATAAGAATGCCTCAGGTTCCCCAGCTGTCTCTATCATTAGACAGCCTGGGGTCGCACAGGTGTCTCTATCATTAGAATGGGGTCATCCAGGAGTCTCTCCCATTAGAATGTCTGGGGTCACCTAAGTGTCTCTATAATCACACTGCCTGGGTTCAGCTGGGAGTCTCTTTCATTAGAATGCCTGCAGTCACCCAGGAGTCTGTATAATTAGACTGTCTGGATTCAGCCAGGAGTCTCTCCCATTAAAATGCCTGATGTTGCTCAGCTGTGTATCCTTAGACTGTCTTGCTTGGGCTGGGAATTTGTCTTATTAGAATGCCTGGAGTCGCCCAGGAATCTCACCTGCCTAGGGTCAGACAAGAGTCTCTTCCATTAGAATCACTGAGGGTGGCTGGGAGTCTCTCCCATTAGAATGACTGGGGTTGCCCACGTGTCTCTATTATTAGACTGCCTGGGGTTAGCCAGGAGTCTCTCTCATTAGAATGCCTGGTTTCGCTTACGTGTCTTTATCATTTGACCACCTGGGGTCAGCCAGGAATCTCTCTTATTAGAATGCCTGGTGTTGGCTGGGAGTTTCTCCCATTTGTGTGCCTGGGGTCACACAGGTGTCCCTATCATTACAATGCTTGCCATCTTCCAGATGTCTCCATCATTACAATGCCTCTGGATGACCGGGAGTCTCTCCCATTAAAATGCCTGCGATTGCCTAGGTGTCTCTATCATAAGACTGCCTGGGATCGCATGAGAGTCTCTCCCATTAGAATGCCTCTGGTTGCTCAGGTGTCTCTATCTTTAGACTTCCTTATGTCAGCCGGGAGTCTCTCATATTAGAATGCCTGGGTGTTGCTCAGGAGTCTCTAACCTTAAACTGCCTGGGATCAGACAAGTCTCTCCCATTAGAATCACTGGGGTGGGCTGAGCCTCTCCCATTAGAATGACTGAGGTCGCCCAGGTGTCTACTGTTAGACTGCCTGGGGTTAGCCAGGAGTCTCTCCCTTTAGAATGCCTGGTTTTGCCCAGATGTCTTTATCATTTGACTGCCTGGGTTCAGCCAGGAATCTCTCTCATTAGACTGCCTGGTGTCTGCTGGGAGTCTCTCCCATTTGAGTGCCTGGGGTCGCACAGGTGTCTCTATCATGACAATACCTGAGATCGTTCAGGTGCCTCCATCATTACAATGAGTGTGGACGATGGGGAACCTCTCCCATTACAATACCTGTGGTCGCCCAGGTGTCTCTATCATTAGAATGCCTGCCATTCTAATGTCAGTTGGGAATCTCTCCCATGAATACCTGAGCTCGAGGAGCTGTCTCTATCATTAGACAGCCTGCAGTCGGCCAGTAGTTTCTCCCTTTAGAATGCCTGGGGTCGTCCAGATGTCTTTATCATTAGACTGCCCAGGGTCAGCCAGGTGTCTGTCTTATTAGAATGACTGGGGTCAGCTGGCAGTATCTCCCATTAGAATGTCTGTGGTTGCCCAGGTGTCTCTATCTTTAGACAGCCTGGGGTCTACCTGGAGTCTTTCCTGTTAGAATGCCTGTGGTCACCCATGTGTCTTTATCATTAGACTGCTTGGGTTCGGCCAGGAGTCTCTCCCATTAGAATGGCTGAAGTTGGCCGGGAGTCTCCCCCATTAGAATGCCTGTGGTTGCCCAGGTGTTTCTATCATTAGAATGCCTGAGGTCGGTTAGGGGTCTCTCCCATTAGAATTCCTGTGGTTACCCAGGTGTCCCTATTAGACTAACTTGGTTGGGCCAGGAGTCTCTCCCACTGGAATGCATGGGGTTGCCCAGGTGTCTTTTTCATTAGACTACCTTGTGTTGGCCAGTAGTCTCTCCCATAAAAATCCCTGGGGTTGACCGAGAGTCTCTCCCATTAAAATGCCTGGGGTCAAACATGTTGCTCTATAATTACAATGTCTGGGGTTGGTCAGGGGTCTCTGCCATAAGAATGCCTAGTGTGGCCCAGCTGTCTCTATCACTAGACTGCCTAAGTTCGGCAAAAAGTCTCTCCCATAATAAGGCCTGTGGTCACCCAGGTGTCTCTATCATAAGACTGCCTGCTGTTGGTCAAGGATCTCTTCCCTTAGAATGCTTCGGTTCACCCAGGTGTCTCTATAATTAGGCTGCCTGAATTCAGTCAGGAGTCTCTCTTAAGACAATGCCTGGGTTCACCCAGGAATCTCTCTTATTAAAATGATGAGGGTCACCAACGCGTCTCTATTATTAGAATGCCTGGGCTCACGCAGGTGTCTCTATCATCAGACAGCCTGTGGTCGACCGGTAGTCTCTCCCTTTAGAATGCCTGTGGTCGCCCAGGTGTCTTTATCATTAGGTGGCCTGAGGTTGGCCAGCAATTTCTCCCATTAGAATGCCTGGGGTCAGCCAGGAGTCTCTTTCATTAGAATGCCTGAGGTCTCCAAGGTTCCTCTATCATTAGAATGTTCAGGGACAGCTGGGAGTGTTTCCCATTGAAATGCCTAGGGTTGTCCAGGGGTCTCTATTATTGTACTGCCTGGGGTCAGCCAGGGTTCTCTGCCATTAGAATGCCTAGGGTCACCCAAGTGTCTGTATCATTGGACTGCCTGGAGTCGCCTAGTAGTCTCTCCCATTAGAATTTCTGCGGTAGCCTAGATGCCTCTATGATAGGGCTGCCTAATATCAGCCAGGAATCTGTTTCATTAGAATGCCTGGGGTAAGCAGGGTGTCTTTTCCATTAGAATGCCTGAAGTCGCCCATGTGTCTCTATCATTAGAATGCCTGGGGTCACCCAGGTGTTTCTATAATTAGACCGTCTGGGGTCGACCAGGAGTCTCTCCCATTAGAATGACGGGGGTCGCCCAGGTGTTTCTATCATTAGACTACCTGGAGTTGGCAGGGGGTCCCTTTCATTAGAATGCCTGAGGTCACCCAGTTGTCTCTATTTTTAGACTACCTTGGGCTGGCGCAATCCTCTCTCATTGGAATGCCTGTGGATGCCCAGGTGTCTCTAAGCTCATACTGCTTAGGTAGGCCAGCAGTTTCTCCTATTAGATTTCCTGGGGTCGGCCAGGAATCTCTCCCATTAAAATGTCTGGGGTTGCCCAGGGGTCTCTATCAGTAGAAATCCTGGGGTCGGTGGTGACTCTTTTTTATTAGAATGCATAGGGTTGCACAGGTGTCTCTATCATTAGACTGCCTGGGCTCAACCAGGAGTCTCTTCCATTAAAATTCTGGGGGTCACTCGTGTTTCTGTCACTAGGCCACCTGGTGTTGGCTGAAAGTATCTTTCGTTAGAATGCCTTGGGTCGCCCAGTTTTTACTTTCATTAGATTACCTGGGGTTGACCAGGAGTCTCTCTCATTTCAATGCCTTCAGTTGCCCAGGTGTCCCTATTGTTAGATTGCTTGCTGTCTGCAAGGAATCTCTCCCATTAGAATGCCTTGTGTTGGCCGAGAGTCTCTCCCATTAGAATGTCTGGAATTGCCCAGGTTTTTATATGATGAGACTGCCTGGGGTCGGCCAGGGGTATCTTTCTCTCGAATGCCTGGGTTCATGCAGCTGTCTCTATAATTAGACAGCTTTGAGTCAGCCAGGAGTCTTTCACATTAGAATGCCTGTTGTCGCCCAAGTGTCTCTATCATTAGACTGCCTGGTGTCAGCTGGGAGTCTCTCCCGTTAGAATGGCTAGGTTCACCCCAGTGTCTTTATCATTAGTCTGCCAGTGGTCAGCTAGAAGTCTCTCTCATTAGAACGCCTGGGGTCGGTCGGGAGTCTCTCCCATTAGAACACCTGGGATTGCCCAGGTGTCTCTATCATTAGACTGCCTTGGCTCAGTGGGGAGTCTCTCTCATTTGAATGTGTGGTGTCACCAGATGTCTCTATCATTAGACTGTCTGGGGTCAGCCAGGAGTCTCTCCCTTTGTAATGTCTGGGACCAACCAGGTTTCTCTATTATTAGACTGCCTGGTTTGTATGAAAGTCTCTCCCATTGGAAAGCCTGGGGTCGACCAGGTGTCTCTGTCATTAAAATGCCTGGGTTAGGCTGGCAGCCTTCCCATTAGAATGTTTGGGGTCTCCCAGGTGTCTCTATCATTAGACACACTGGGTTTAGCCAGGAGTGTCACCCATTAGAAAGCCTGTGGTCGCTCAAATGTCTCCATCATTAGAATGCCACTGGTCGCTCAGGTGTCTCTATCATTAGAATGCCTGGGGTCAGCTGGTACCTCTTCCATTTGAATGCTTTCCAGGTGTCTCTATCATTAGACTCCCTGGGTTTGGATGGGAGTCTCTCCCATTAGAAAGCCTGGGGTTGACAAGATGTTCCTATCATTAGAATGCCTGGTGTCGGCCAAGAACCTATCCCCTTACAATGCCTGGGTTCACCCAGTTGTCTCTACCATTAAAATGCTTGAGTTTGGCCAGGATTCTCTCCCATCAAAATGCCTGGGGTAGACAATGTATCTCCATAATTTGACAGCCTGGGGTCAGCCAGGAGTGTTTCCTGTTAGAATGCCGGGGGTCACTCAGGTGTCTTTTTAATTAGACTGACTGGGGTCGGACCGGAGTCTTTTTCATTAAAATGCCAGGGGTCTCCCAGGTGTTTCTATATTTAGACTGCCTGGGGTTGGCCGTGAGTCTCTCACGTTAGAATACCTGGGTTTGTCCAAGTGTCTTTGTTATTAGACTGTCTGGATAGGCCAGGAGTCTCTCTAATTAGAATTCCTCGTGTTGCCCAGGTGTCTGTATCATTAGACTGCCTGGGATTAACCAGGAGTCTCTCCCATAAGAATTTCTGGAGTCGCCCAGGCGTTTCTATCCTTAGACTGCCTTGGGTCAACCAGGAGACTCTCATTAGAATGCCTGGGTTCGGCCAAGAGTCTTTCCCATTAGAATGCCTGGGCTTACCCAGGTGTCTCTATAATTAGAATGCCTTGGTTTGGCCAAGATTCTCTCCCATGAGAATGCCCGGAGTTGTCCAGGTGTCTCTATCATTAGACTGCCTGTGGTCAGCAAGAAGTTCTTCTCGTTAGAATGTCTGGGGACGTTAAGGTCTCTCTATCATTAGACTGTCTGGGTTCGGCTGGAAGTCTTTATTATTAGAATGCCTGGGGTTGCACAGAGGTCTGTATCATTAGACTGCCTGAGATTGGCCGGGAGTCTCTTTCAGTAGCATTCCTGGGTTCACCCAGGTTCTCTATTATTAGACTGCCTGGGGTCAGCCAGGTGTTTCTCTCATTAGAATGCCTGGGATTGGACCGGAGTCTCTCCCATTACAATGCCTGGGGTTGCCCAGGTGTCTCTATCATTAGACTGCCTGGCATCCGCTGGGAGTTTCTTTCATTGTCTGGTGTTGGCTGGGAGTCTCTGCTATAATATCGCCTGGAGTCGCCTAGGTGTCTCTTTAGAATGCCTGGGGTCGCCCAGGTGTCTTATTAGACTGTCTTGGGTTGGATGGGATTCTCTTCCATTAGAAAGACTGGGCTCAACAAGGTGTCTCTATCATTAGAATGCCTGGGGTTGGCCGGTAGTCTTTCCCATTAGAATGCCTGGGTTCTCTCAGGTGTCTCTTTAGTTAGACCACCTGGGGTCAGCCAGGAGTCTCTCCCATTAAAATGCTGGGGTTTGGACCAGAGTTTTTCCCATTAGAATGCATTGGGCCGCCCAGGTTTATCATTAGACCGCCTGGGGTCGGCCAGGAGTCTCTTCCATTAGAATGCCAGATGTGGCCCAGGTTCTTCTATCATTAGAGTACCTGGGGTCGGCCGGGAGTCTCTCACATTTATTAAACTGCCTGACGTCAACTGGGAGTCTCTCACATTAGAATTTTTGGGGTCACCCAAGTATGTCTATTATTAGACTGCCTAGGGTCGGCCATGAGTCTCTTTCATTAGAATGCCTGTGATCGCCAAGGTGTCTTGGCGAATGCTAACGTGTTTCTATCCTTAGACTGCCTGTGGTCAGCAAGGAGTCTCTCCCATTAGAATGTCTGTGGTCACCCAGGTGTCTCTAATCTTAGACTGCCTGTGATCGCCCAGGAGTTCGATTTATTAGAATGCCTAGGGTCTCCCAACTGTCTCTATCATAAGAATGCCTGAGGTCGTTCAGGAGTCTCTTCCATTAAAATGCATCTGGTCGCCCAGGTGTCTCTATCATTAGAATGAATGGGGTCACCTGGAAGTTTCTCCCATTGGATTTCCTGGGGTCCCCGAGGTGTCTCTATCATTAGACTGCCTGGCGGTCCACACAAGTCTCTCCCATTAGAAAGCCAGGGGTCGACCAGGTGTCTCTATTATTAGAAACCCTGGAATCAGCCAAAGGTCTGTCCCATTAGAATGCCTGGATTGCCCAGGTGTCTCTATCATTACAATGCCTGGCTTCAGCCAGCAGTCTCTCCCATTATAATACCTGGTTTTGCCCAGGTGTTTCCATCATTAGACTGCCCCAGGTCAGCCAGAAGTGTCTCCCATTAAAATGCATGTGTCTCTATCATGATACAGCCTGTGATCAACTGGTAGTTTCTCCCATTAGAATGCCGGGAATCACTCATGTGTTTTTATCATTAGACTACTTGGTGTCGGCTGGGAGTCTTTCCCATTGGAATGCCTTGGGTCGTCCAGGTGAATTTATTATTAGACTGTCTGGTGTCTGCGGGAGTCTCTTCCATTACAATGCTTTGAGTTGCACTGGTGTCTCAATCGTTAGACTGTTGGGTTCTGCCAGGAGTGTCTCCCATTACAATGCCTTGGGTCACCCTGGTGTTTTTATAATTAGATTTCCTGGTGTCATCTAGGACTCTTTCCTATTAGAATGCCTGGAGTCGCCCAGGTGTTACTATTCTTTGATTGCCTGGGGTCAACCAAGGCTCTCTTCCATTAGAATGTCTCAGGTCGGCTGGGAGTCTTTCCCATTAAAATGCCTGGAGTCGCTTAGGTGTCTCTATCATTAGAATGCTTTGGATTGGCCAGTAGTCTTCCCCATTAAAATGCCTGGGTTTGGCCAGGTGTGTTTATAACTAGACTACCTAAGGTAGTCTAGGGTCAGCCAGGAGTCTCTCCCATTAGAATACCTGGGTTCAGCTGATAGTCTCTGCCATTAGAATGACTGGGGTCACCTAGGTTTTTTTTTTTTTATAATTAGACCACCTGGGGTCGGCCAGGAGTCTCTCCCATTTGAATGCGTGGGGTCACCCAGGTGTCTCTATAATTAGACCACCTGGTGTTGGCCAGGAGTCTCTCCCATTGGAATGCCTGTGGTCGCCCAGGTGTCTCTATTATTAGAATGTCTGTGGTTGATCGGGAGTTTCTCCAAAATGCCTGTAGTTGATTAGCTGTCTCTATTATTAGAATGCTTGGGTTCGAGAAGGAGTCTCTTCCATTTCAATGCCTAGGGTTGATCAGTTGTCTCTATCATTAGAATGCTTGGTGTCAGCCAGGAGTCTCTTCCATTAGTATGCCTGGGGCCATCCAGGTGTCTCTATCATTAGACTACCTTGGGTCAGCCGTTAGTCTATCCCATTAGAATGCTTTGGTATGCCCAGGTGTCTCTATCTTTAGACTGCCTGGCTCAGCCAGGAGTCATTCCCATAAGAATGCCTGGTGTCAGCCGGGGGTCTCTCCCATTAGAATGCCTGGGGTTGCCCAGGTGTCTTTATAATTAGACTGCCTGGGATTGCACAGGATTTTCTCCCATTAGAATGTCTGGGGTTGCCCAGGTGTCTCTATCATTAGACTGCTGGTGTTCGGACAGGAGCCGCTCTCATTAAAATGCCTGCAGTCGCCCAGGTTTCTCTATCATTAGACAGCCTGGAAACGGCCCAGAGTCTCTCCCATTAGAATGGTGTCTCTCCTGGGGTCAGCCAGGAACCTCTTCCATTAGAATTCTTGTGATGGCCCACATGTCTCTATCATTAGACTGCCTGGGGTTGGTCGGGAGTTGCTCCCATTAGAATGTCTGGGGTAGCCCAGGTGTCTTTAATAATTAGACTGCCTGGGGTTGACCAGGAGTCTCTCCCATTAGAACACCCGTGGTCACCCAGCTGTCTCTATCATTAGACTGCCTGGGGCCAGCCAGGAGTACCTCTGTTAGAATACTTGAGTTTACCTGAGAGTTTCTCCCATACCTGGGGTGGCCCAGGTGTCTCTATCATTAGAATGCCTAGGGTCAGCGGGGAGTCTCTGCCATTAGAATGCCTGGGGTTGGCTGGGAGCCTTCCCATTTGAATGCCTGGGGTCGTCAAATTGTCTCTATCATTAGACTTCCTGAATGTAGCAGGGCATCTCTCACATTAGAATGCCTGGGGTCACCCAGGTATCTGTATCATTAGACTGCCTGGGGTCAGCCAGGAGTCTTTCCTATTAGAATGCTTAGGGTCACCCAGGTGTCTCTATCATTAGACTGCCTGCTGTCACACGGGAGTCTTTCTCATTAGAATGCCTGGGGTCACCCAGGTGTCTCTATGATTAGACTGCCTGGGGTTGGCCAGGAGTCTCTCTGGTTAGAATACCTGGGGCCACCCAGGTGCCTCTATCATTAGACTGCCTGGGGCCTGCCAGGGGTCTCTTCCATTAGAATTCCTGTGGTCGTTCAGGTGTTTCTATCATTAGACTCCCTGCGGTTGGCCAGGAGTTCCTCCCAGAATGCCTGGGGTCTCCCAGGTGTCTCCATAAATAGACTGCCTGGGGTCAGCCAGAAGTCTCTCACAAGAGAATGCCTGGGGTAGGCTGGGAGTCTCCACCATTAGGAGGCCTGGAGTCACGTAGGTGTTTCTAACATTAGAATACCTGGGGTCATCCAGGCTTCTCTCCCATTAAAATGTCCGGGCTCACCCTTTGTCTCTATTATTAGACGTCTGCCATCGGCCCAGAGTGTCTTCTATTAGAATCCCTGTCGACCAGATGGCTTTCACCTTGCCATGTCTAATGTTGATCAGATGGCTCTTGCCTTACCATGTCTAAGGTTGCCCAGACAACTTGGGCCAGAAGCAGTACCATTCAAATCCAGCAGAATGATGCGACTGTGACTCACTGCAGACTCAATCTTCCCAGTCTTACCCAAGTGATCTTCCCATCTTGGCCTCTCATATATCTGAGATTGCTCGGACCTTCTTTTTTTTTCTCTCTCTCTCTCACTCTAATTTCAGTTTGTTTCCACAATACTCAGAGTAACTTGCTGTTCTTTTTCTTCTTTGTTCCATCCTTTATTCTCCTATGCTCCTTCCTGCAAACTGAGTTTGACCTTTGGATTTTTTTTTTTTTTTTGGTTACACTTCACCCTGTGTGTGACAAATAGAGAGAGAGACAGAGAGAGAGAGGAGTTTTTTTAAATTGCGACATTAATTACCTTTTATTATTGTACACTCCTACTTAATTATTTGGTCTTTAGGGTTGTTCACTATTATTTCCTTGTTATTGTTATATATTTACTGTTGGTTCATTTATTTTGAGATGGATGTCGACTGCATGCATCGCATTTAGCTGCCAGCTTGTCATGTCTAAGATGAACAGACAGCTCTCACCTTGCCATGTCTAAGGTCGACCAGATGGCTCTCGCCTTGCCATATCTAAGGTGGACCAGATGGCACTTGCCTAGCCATGTCTAAGATTGAACAGTTGGTTCTCACCTCATCATATCTAAGGTCAAGTTGGATCTCACCTTGCCATGTTTAAGATTGACCAGATGATTCTCACCTTGCCATATCTAAGGTCGACCAGATGGCTCTCACCTTGCCATGTCTAAGGTCGATCAGATGGCTCTCACCTTGCCATGTCTGAGGTTGACCAGATGGGTCTCCTCTTCGAGTGAGTTCAACAAGATGGCTCTCACCTTGCCATGTCTAAGGTTGACCAGATGGATCTTGCCTTGCCATGTCTAAGGTCAAACAGATGGCTCTTCTTTTTCCATGTCTAAGGTCGGCCAGATGACTCTTGCCTTGCCATGTCTAAGCTCAACCAGATGGCTTTCATTTTTCCTTGTCTTCAGTCGACCAGATGTCTCTCACCTTGCCATGTCTAGGTCAATCAGATGGCTCTCACCTTGCCACATCTACGATTGACCAGATGGCTCTTGCCATTCTATGTCTAAAGTCTACCAGATGGCTCTCATTTTGTCATGTTTAAGGTTGTCCAGATGGCTCTCTCTTTCCCATTTCTGAGGTCGACTGGATGGCTCTAGCCTTTCCATGTCTGAGGCCAACCAGTTGGCTCTCCTTCCCATGTCTAAAGTTAACCAGATGGCTCTCACCTTGCCATGTCTGAGGCAGACTAGATGGCTCTCGCCTTGCCATGTCTGAGGTGGACTTGATGGCTCCCACCTTGCCCTGTCTATGGTCAACGAGATGGCTCTCACCTTCCCATGACTAAGGTGGACCACATGGCTCTTGATTTGCCATGTCTAAGCTAGATGAGATGCTTCTTGCCTTACCATGTCTAAGATGGATCTGAAGCCTCTTGCATTACCATCTCTAATGTTGACCAGATGGCTCTTGCCTTGCCATGTTTGAGGTTGACCAGATGCTTGTTGCCTTGCCATGCCTTAAGTAGACCATGTGGCTCTCAACTTCCTATGTCTAAGGTTGACCAAGATGGCTTTCACCTTGCCATGTCTGAAGTGGACTTGATGGTTCCCACCTTGCCATGTCTATGGTCGACCAGATGGCTCTCACCTTCCCATGACTAAGGTAAACCATATGTCTCTTGCCTTGCCATGCCTAAACTAGACCAGATGCCTCTTGCCTTTCCATGCTTAAGGTGGACCCAAACCCTTTTCGCATTTCCATCTCTAAAGTCGACCGGATGGCTCTTTCCTTGCCATGTCTGAGGTCAAGATGCCTCTTGCCTTGCCATGTCTGAAGTAGATCAGATGGCTCTCACTTTCCCATGTCTGAGGTTGACCAGATGGTTCTCACCTTGCTATGTCTGAGGCAGACTTGATGGCTCCCACCTTACCATGTCTATGGTCAACAAGATGGCTCTTGCCTTCCCATGACTAAGGTGGACCATATGGCTCTTGCCTTGCCATGTCTAAGCTGGACAAGATGGCTTTAGCCTTACCATGTTGAAGGTGGACCTGAAGCCTCTTGCATTCCCATCTCTAAGGTCGACCAGATGGCTGTCATCCTGCCATGTCAAAGGTCGACCAGGTGGCTGTCCCTTGTCACTTCTAAGGTTGACCAGATGGCTCTTGCCTTGCCATGTCTAAGGCTGATCAGATGGCTCGCACCTTGCCATGTCGAAGGTCGCCCAGATGGCTCTCATCAGCAGCAGTACTGTTCAAGTCCAGTAGCAGGATGTGATGATTCACTGCAACTTCAGTCTCTGTAGTCTCACCTGGGCAGTCTTCGTGTCTCAGCCTCCCGAGTCCTTGGGACTACTGGGACCTTCTTTCACTGTTCTATTCCTAACCTGACATTTAGTTTATTTCCACAGTACTTAGAGTGACTTGCTATTGTTTTTCTTCTTTGTTCTTTTGTCTGTTTTCCTATGCTCTTTCCTGTAAATGAAGTTGACCTTTTAGATTTTCCTTTGTCACACTCCAGCCTGGGTATCACAAATGGAGAGAAAAAGAGAAAGAGAGGAGATCTTAATGGTGATATTAATTACCTTTTACCTTGGTTCACTCCCACTTATTTATACATTGTTCTTTAATATTGTTTATTTTTTTGTTTTTGTAAAACATTTACTGTTGGATTGTTTTTGTTTTTTTGAGACGTATTTCAGCAACTAGAGTTGGACTTAGCCACAAGAGTGCCATGTCTAAGGTTGACCAGATGGTTCTCGCCTTGTCATGTCTAAGGTCGACCAGATGGCTCTTGCAGGCGGCAGTACCGTTCAGGTCCAGCAGAGGGATGTGATCGTGATTTACTGTGGCTTCGATCTCCCTGGTCTCACCCGAGTGGTCTTCCCTTCTCGGTTTCCCAATTACCTGGGACTACTCAGACCTTCTTCCTCTGTTGTTTTTTTCTAAACCCACTGTCAGTTTGTTTCCACAGTACATAGAATGACTTGCGTTGTTTTCCTTCTTCATTCCTCTATTTTTCTACACTCCTTCCAGCATGATAAATATGAACCCACTCCAGTCTGGGTGTTACAAACAGAGAGAGAGAGAGAGAGGAGAACATCTTAATTGTGTTATCGATTACTTTTCACCTTTGTTCACTCCTATTTATTGACACAATGTTATCTTTTTTTATTGTTAAATATTCACTGGTGGATTTTCTGCTTACTTATTTTGAGAGAGATGTCAGCCACGAGCATTGGACCAAGGTCAACCAGAGGACTTTTGCCTTGCCATGTCTAAGGTCGACCAGATGGCTCTTGCCTCCGGTAATACCGTTCAGGTCCAGCAGAGGGAGGTAATTGTGATTCACTGTAACCTTGATCTCTCCAGTCTCACCCGGCTGGTGTTCCCATCTCAGCCACTTGAGTCCCTCAGACTACTCGGACCTTCTTTTTTTTCTCTAACCCCACTTTCAGTTTGTTTCCACATACATAGAGTGACTTGCTGTTTTTTTTTTTTTTCCTTTGTTCTTTTCTCTCGTTATGTCCCTATGCTCCTTCCTGCAGGAAGCAGTTGACTTTTATATTTCTTTTAATCACACTCTAGCATGGGTTTGACAAACAGAGACAGCTAGAGAGTAACAGAGAAGTAGAGAGATAGAAGATCTTAATTGTGATATTAATCACCTATTACCTTTGTTCACTTTCACTTATTTACTTATTGGTCTTTAAAGTTGTTATTATTTCTTTGTTATTGTTGAATATTTACTGTTGAAATTTTTGTTTATTTATTTTGAGAAACGTGTTGGCAGCGAGCACTGGACTTAGCTTTCATCTTGCCATGTCTAAGGTCGAACAGATGGCTCTTGCCTTCCCATGTCTGAGGACCAGATGGCTCTCAACAGCATCAGTACCATTCAGGTCCAGCAGAGGGATGTGATCCTTATTCTCTGCAGCCTCGATCTCCCCGGTGTCATCTGGGTGGACTTCCCATCTTGGCCTCCCGAGTCCTTCAGACTACTTGGACCTTCTTCTTTTTTTTTTTCTAACCCAACTTTCAGTTTGTTTCTACAGTACTTACAGTGAGTTGCTGTTGTATTTCTTCTCTGTTCTTTTCTCTCTATATATATTCTTACCCTCCTTCCTGCATGATGAATTTGACCTTCTAGATTTTTTTTTTTTGGAACAATCCAGCCTGGTTGTGACAAATGGAGAAAGAGAGAGAAGATCTTAATTGTGATATAATTGACCTTTCACCTTTGTTCACTCCCACTTATTTATTTGTCTTTAATATTGTTATGGTTAGTTCTTTGTTACTGTTAAATATTCCCTGTTGGATTTTTTTCTTTTGAGACAGATCTTCCCACGAGGGTTGTATTTAGCCACCAGCTTGGTAAGTCTAGGGTCGAGAGGATGGCTCTCAGCAGCAGCAGTACCATTCAGGTCCAGCAGAGGGATCGGATCGTGATTCACTGTGCCCTGGGCGTCTTCCAGGTCTCTACAGGGTGGCCTTCTGATGATCTCGGCCTCCTGATTCCCTCAGACTATTTCGACATCCTTCCTTTGTTTTTCCTAACCTTACTTTCAGTTTGTTTCCACAGTCCTTAGAGTGACTTTCTATTTTTTTCTTGTTTTCTCTTTATATTTTCCTGTGCTCCTTCCTGCTTGATGAAGTTGACAGAGAGAAATCGAGAGTGAGAGATAGAAAGAGATTAGAAGAATTTAATTGTGATATTAATTACCTGTTACCTTTGTTCACTCCCATTTATTTGTCTTTAATATTGTTTGTAGTTATATCTTTGTTATTGTTAAATATTCACTGTTGGATTTTTTTCTGTTTGGAGTGAACAAAGGTGAAAAGTAATTAATAACACAATTAAGATTTTCTCCTGTCTCGCTGTTTGTGTCTGTCTGTCTGTCTCTCTCTCCAAGATGTCAGCTGAGAGGATTGGACTTAGCTGCCAGCTTGCCAAGTCTAAGGTCAACCAGATGGCTCTCACCTTATCTAAGGTCAACCAGATGGCTCTCGCCTTGCCATGACTAAGGATGACCAGATGGCTCCTGCCTTTGGAAGTACTATTCAGGTACAGCAGAGGGATGTGATCATGATTCACTGTGGTCTCGATCTTCCCAGTGTCACCCAGGTGGTCTTCCCACTTGGCTTCCCTAGTCCCTCAGGCTACCTGAACTTATCCTCCTCCTTCCTTTTTTTCCTAACCCCACTTTCAATTTTTTTTTCTACAGTGAAACTAACTGAAGTTTTAGAGAGACTTGCTGTTGTTTTTCTTCTTTGTTCTTTTCTCCCTTTTTCTACACTCATTCCTGCATGATGAAATTGACCTTTTATATTTTTTTGTCACATTCCAGCCTGGGTGTGACAAATGGAAAGGGGAAGAGAGAGAGTGAGAGATAGCAGAATATTTTAATTGTGATATTAGTTACCTTTTACCTTTGTTCACTCCCACTTATTTATTGGTCTTTAATATTGTTTGGTATTATATTTTTGTTATTGTTAAATATTCACTGTTGGACTTTTTGTTTATTTTGAGACAGATGTCGGCAGTGAGCACTGGACTTAGCCACCAGCTTGCCAAGTCTAAGGTCGATCAGATGGCTCCTGCCTTGACATGTCTAAGGTCGACCAGATGGCTCTAGCTGGCGCCAGGACCATTCAGGTCCAGCAGAGGTATGTGATAGTGATTCCCTGTGGCTTCCATCTCCCCTGTCTCGCCTGGGTGGCTTTCCCATCTTGGCCTCTGGAGTCCCTGGGACTACTCAGACCTTCTTCCTCTGTTTTCCTTCTAAGCCCACTTTTAGTTTGTTTCCACGGTACTCAGAATGGTTTGCTGTTTTCTTCTTTTCTCTATTTTTCTATGCTCCTTCCTGCACGATGAAGTTGATCTTTTAGATTTCTGTCACACTCTAGCCTGGCATGACAAATTGAGAAAGAGAGAGAGAGGAGAAAATCTTCATTGTGATAATCTTCATTGTGATAATTATCTTTTACCTTTGTTCACTCCCACTTATTTATTTATTGGTCCTTAATATTGTTATTATTTTTCGTTATTGTTCAATATTTACCATCGGATTTTTTGTCTATTTATTTTGAGACCAATTTCGGCTGCAAGTGTTGGACTTAGCCATCAGCTTGCCACGTCTAAGGTTGACCAGATGCCTCTTGCTGGTGACAGTACCATTCAGGTCCAGCAGAGGGATGCATTCCCGATTCACTGAGAACTCAGACTCCCAGGTTTTACCCGGGTGGTCTTCCCATCTTGGGGGGCCCCCCGTGTACCTGAGACTACTCAGACCTTCTTCATCTGTTTTTTGCTGTTCTTGTTGTTGTTGATCTTGATGGAGTCTCACTCTGTTGCCAGGCTGGAGTGCAGTGGCTGATATTGGCTCACTGCAACCTCCACCTCCTGGGTTTAAATGATTCTCCTTCCTCAGCCTCCTGAGTAGCTAGGACTACAGGCATACGCCACCAAGCCCAGCTAATTTTTGTATTTTTAGTAGAGACGGGATTTCACCATGTTGGCCAGGATGGCCTTGATTTCTTGACCTCGTGATCTGCCTGCCTTGACCTCCCAAAGTGCTGGGATTACAGGCATGAGCCACCACGCCCAGCCTCTGTTTTTTTTTTTTTTTAACCCACTTTTAGTTTGTTTCCACAGTAACAGTACTTAGAGTGATTTGCTTTTGTTTTTCTTCTTTGTTCTTTTCTCTATTTTCCTACATTCCTTCCTGCACAATAAAGTTGATCTTTTAGATTTTTTATTTTGTCACACACTCCAGCCTGGGTGTGACAAACAGAGAGACAGGGGAGAAGATCTTAATTGTGATATTAATTACTTTTTACTTTTGTTAACTGCAACCTGTTTATGTATTGTTCTTTAATTTTTTTGTCATTGTTAAATATTTACTGTTGGATTTGTTTATTTATTTTGAGAGAGATGTCGGCTGTGAGCGTTGGACTAAGGTCGACCTGATGGACCTCACCTCTCGCCTTGCCATGTCTAAGGTCGACCAGATCTCTCTCGCCAGCAGCAGTACAATTCAGGTTGAGCAGAGGGATGGGATCGTGATTCACTGTGGCCTTGATCTTCCTGGTCTCGCCCGGGCGGTCTTCCCAACTGGCCTCCCGTGTCCCTTGGACTACTCAGACCTTCTTCCTCTCTTTTTTCCTAATTCCACTTTCTGTTTGTTTCCATAGTACTTGGAGAGACTTGCTATTCTTTTTTTTCTTTGTTCTTTTCTCTCTCTCTTTTCCTATGCTTCTTCCTGCACGGTGAAGTTTACCTTTTAATTTTTTTTTTTTAATCACACTCAAGCCTAGGTGTGACAAATAGAGAGAAAGAAAGAGAGAGAGAGAAGGTCTTAATTGTGGTATTACCTTTTACCTTCATTCCCACTTATTTATTGATCTTTCATATTGTTATTATTTCTTTGTTATTGTTAAGAATTCACTCTTGTATTTTTTGTTTATTTATTTTGAGACGAATATCGGCCATAAGCACTGGACTTAGCCAGCAGCTTGCCAAGTCTAAGGACGAACAGAAGGCTCTCACTTTGCCACATCTAAGAGCTACATGGCTCTTGTCCATTACAGTACCATTAAGGTCCAGCAGAGAGATGCAATCGTGATTCATTGTGACCTCAATCTCCCTGGTCTCACCTGGGTGGCCTTCTCATCTCAGACTCCCAATTCCATCAGACTACTCGGACATTCTCTGTTTTTTTTCTAGCCCTACTTTCAGTTTATTTTCACAGTACTTACAGTGACTTGCTGTTGTTTTCCTCCTTTGTTCTTTACTCTATTTTCCTACGCCCCTTCCTGCGCGATGAAGCTAACCTTTTAGAGTTTTTTTGACACATTACATACTGGGTTTGACAAATATATATAGAGAGAGAGATCTTAAGTGTGATATTAATTACCTTTAACTTTGTTTACTCCCACTTATTTGGCTGTTTATTGTTCTATTATTGTTTATTATATTTTTGTTATTGTTATGTTGTTTGTTTGTTTGGAGAAAGGGTCTCACTCTGTCACCCAGAATGACTGCAGCCTCAACCCTTTGGACTTGAGTAATCCTCACGCCTCCAATGCCTCCCCTTTCCCCAGTACCTGAGACTACAGACACAAGCCACCACACCAGTTGACTTTTGTATTTTTTACTTCTACTTTTTTTATTATTATTATTTTCATGTCTTGAGACAGAGTCTTGCTCCATCGGCCAGGCTAGAGTGAGCAATGGTGTGATCTTGGCTCACCACAACCTCTGCCTAATGGGTTCAAGTGGTTCTTCTGCCTCAGCCTCCTGAGCAGCTAGGACTACAGGCATGTCCCACTACACCAGGCTAATTTTTGTATTTTTAAATGTTTGATGGGGAAGTATGTGTAAAGACAGGGTTAGAGGTTCTGCCATGTTGCCCAGGCTGGTCTCAACTTCCTCTTTTTTTTTCTCTTCTAATCCAACTTTCAGTTTGTTTCCACAGTACTTAGAGTGACTTGCTATTGTTTTAGGTTTTACGTTCTTCTCTATTTTCCTATGCTCCTTTTTGCATGCTGAAGTTTACCTTTCAGATTTTTTCTTTTTGTCACACTCCAGCCAGAGTGTGAGAGAAAGAGAGAAGATTTTAATTGTGATAATTATCTTTTACCTTTGTTCACTCCCACTTATTTATTGGTCTTATTATTGTTTGTTATTATTTCTTTGTTATTGTTAAATATTTACTGTTGTGTTTTTTTGTTTATTTATTTTGAGACAGGTGTCGGCTGTGGGTACTGGACCTAGCTGCTAGCTTGCTACATCTAAGGTCGACCAGACGGTTCTCACCACCGGCAGTACTGCTCAGGTCCAACAGAGACATGTGATCGTGATTCACTGTGGCCTCGATCTCCCTGGTCTTGCCTGGGTGGTCTTCCCATCTCAGCCTTCCGAGTAGCTGGGACTACTCGGACAATTTTCAGTTTGCTTCCACAATACTTAGAGGGGGTTGCTGCTTTTTTCCTTTGTTCTTTGCTCTCTCTCTCTGTTTTAAGTTTTTTACACTCCTTCCTGCACACTGAAGTTAATGTTTTAGATTTTTTTGTTGGGGGGTGAGGGCTAGGTCTTCTCACTCTGTCACACCCTGGTTGGAGTGCAGCTTGTGCGATCAGCAGTGAGCCATGATTGCACATCTGCACTACAGCCTGGGTGTGACAGTGTGACACACAAAGATCGAGAGAGAGAGAGAGAGAGAAAGGGACAGAGAGAGAGAGAGAGACAACAATTATGATCTTAATTGCCTATTTACCTTAGTTCATTCCCACTTATTTGGTTGTTTATTGTTCTATTATTGTTTGTTATTGTTTCTTTGTTATTGTTATGTTTATTTTATTTTTATTTTTTATGTGTATGTATGTACAGACAGGGTTCTGGGTTCTGCCATGTTGCCCAGCCTGATCTCGAACTCCTGCACTCAAGCAATCCTCCTGCCTCGACTACCCAAACTGCTGCTATTACAGGCGTGAGCCACTGTGCCTGGCTCCTATCTATATACCTATCTATCTACTTATCTTTTGAGGAGAGATGTTTCTTTTTTAACTTTAATTATAATAATAATTATTATTAGAGGTGTTGTCTCACATCTCCTGGGCAGCAATTCTCCAGCCTTGTCCTCCCAAACTGCTGCGATTACAGGCATGACCTGCCATGCACGGTCTGGTTATATTTTTGATGTATTTATTCTTTCCAGTCCTCGTTTCCACTTTGGGTGCATATTTGATAATATGGGGATTGAAAACAAATATTTTGAGAGAGATCAATCTCACAAACCTGCCTTTCCTTTCTAGTGGCACAAGCCTCATCAGGGGTAGTGTGCCTGATCTCTGGTGGTTTTAAATAGTGTAGAAAGCATTGCTATATGTATTTTCCCTGCCAGGGAGTCCCAAAAAACAGCTAGAGAAGCAAATTATAGAAGAGAAAGAGGTTTATAATTAAAGTGAGGGTCAGAAACTTTTGTAGATAAGGCTGATTTTAGCCAAGATTTGAAGGAGAGATTCCTTCATTCAACAGATGCTGCAGTCTACCTGATATGTTTCAGGTACTCCTATGAAATAAGAGTACAACAGTGAACAAACATTAAACACAAAGTTTTTAATCTAGTGAGGCAGAGAAACTTCCCTCAAATTATCATACAAATATGAACTTCCATGAAAGCAAACTCAGTGTCCAGTAGGAAAATTGTGAAATTATGAAATGTTATTTTGATTTAATGTATAGCCATTGAGGTTCTTTCAAATAATTATAAAATGATCACAATAACAACAGGTATTTTAAAAGTGTGGTATAAAAGTACAGAGTATAATCTTTGTTTTATAAAAATAAATGCATATTTACCTCTGCACAGAGGTGGTTCTATGCCATGCTAAACTGGTTATCCCTGGTGATGAGATTAGCAATCACAGACTATGTTCTCATAAAAGAATAATGTTTTAGTCAGGAGGCAAGCAAATTTGTTTTTCCACTGTTTGAATTTACAATTAAATACTTTGCATGCTTTAAATGTAACGGAAGTTTTGTTATATACTCTGATTCTCATATTAGGCTGTTTCATTTTAATTTTGACATTGGCAGGGAATAAGGTGAAGGTGGACTCTTCTTGTTCAGTGGAGCACATGTGGTCCTGGAGAAAGCTGTCACACAGTGGACTCAGAGATGTGGTCCACGGGCACTAATTTCCTCTCAGTCCCTGCCTAAGCAAGATTCATCTTCCTCTGCCTGCTGTTTCATTTTTTTCTTCTATTGTCTGGTATATCTTAAGATAAAAACTTGTTTCCAAAGGGAAAGTTTCAGAAATGTTTCTAAGAATAATAATTCAAGTTGGATTTCCAAGTAGTATTCCTGGGCAACTGATTAAATTCTTTTGTCAATAATCAAAATCTGGAATGTCCTGGATTAGTTCCACCATTTCATCATGATAACTCCCTCTTCTATAATCCCTACCAGAAATGATTGCTTTGCTTAAAAGCTTTTCCCTGAGAAGACACTGGTGTGTTATTTCTTTATCAGCTTATGAAAATTAATTCTGGTTGGGTACAGTGGCTCATGCCTGTAATCCCAGCACTTTGGGAGGCTGAGGTGGGCGGATCATGAGGTCAAAATTGAGACCTTCCTAGCCAACATGGTGAAACCCTGTCTCTACTAAAAATACAAAATTAGCTGGGTGTGGTGGCATGCGCCTGTAGTCCCAGCTACTTGGGAGGCTGAGGCAGGAGAATCACTTGATCCTGGGAGGCAGAGGGTGCAGTGAGCCGAGAGAGCGCCACTGCATTGCAGCCTGGCGACAGAGCGAGACTCCATCTAAAAATATATGTATATTAATTCTACATATCTAGGATTTTTACTGTGCCTTTGTGTTTTTTTAAGCTACTGGTTTTCTCAAGTTAAACATTAAAAGTATTATGGAAGTACTGATGATGTACTCAGAGGAAAACAATAGAGCATATAATTTATTTGTTATAAAATGTAAAAGTTCTGCAAGATTTTCCTCTGATTTGTAAAATGTTCTCTCTCAAGAAAGTTTTTCTTTACGTCTTACATTTTTTTTTATTTTAAAGACCCACAGGGTTGCTTAAAGTGTGATAGTCCTGTTGTTGTAGCGAAGATAATTACACATACAACCTGGCTTTTGTGGCATCTTGCTTACCCTATTTTGCAGAACACAGATACCAAAGGTTGGCCTTATGAAGCTGGAGCTATTTTTGCACTGTTATTTCAGAAATGCTGAAAGAACATCCTACTGATTTTCTAATACTCAAAATTATACAATAATATACTTGGACGTTTAGGTCTTAAAGACTTTTCATCATGAGTTTCTGTTAAAATCTAATATGAAATGCAGCTGCCATCCAGAATCTTAACAGTGTTTGCTGCCAGCCAACTGAATGACTTATTGGAGGAACGATTCATGACTTCTGGGCCTGAGGGACTGGCTGTCAGGGGGCTGGTTTGAGCAAAGCTCTTCCATAGGTGACTCCATATTTGCACTGACAGAAGCTCCTATTGCACAGAATTGTACAATTATTCAGAAAGAGTAGAAATCATGAATCTACATTTTACCTGATTTCAAACTGGTTGACAATTTACTTCTGCAGATTATTTTTCTCTTCTCCACTTAATTTATAATTTATTCCATCTATTTTTTTCCTTTTCTGCCAACTATTGTATTTTTCTAGGGATAGTTGCAGGAACGAAACTGATTTCTATCAGAGTGCTTATTATAATTCTATTCTATTACTCTGTGAACAAAGATGCAAAAATCCTCACCCAAATATTAAGAAATCAAATCCAAAAATGTATAAAAAGAATTATACACTACAACCCAGTGAGATTTATTACAGGCATGCAAATCTGGTTCAACATTTGAATATAAATTAGGCTGGGTGTGGTGGCTCATACCGGTAATCCCAGTGCAGTAGGAGGCCAAGGAAAGAGGATCACTTAAGGCCAGGAGTTCAAGATAAGCGCAGACAACATAGCAAGACTCTGTCTTTTAAAGAAATTAGTTCATCATATTAAGAGATATAAAAAGATAATATGATCTTATCAATATAATCAGAAAAATTATTTGACAAAATTCAAAATCTATTCATGAGAAAACCACTCTGCAAACTAAAAATAGGGAAAAACTTCCTCAATTTCAAAAGAATGTTTATTAAAAAAAACCTACATCTTACCTCATACTAAATGTAGAAACACTAGATGCCTTCCTGCTAAGATCAGGAGCAAGGCAAAGATGTCTCCTCTCACCATTCCTATACAACATTATACTGTAAGCCCCAGGTAATACAATGACAAGAATAGAAAAGGTACATAGATTAGGAAGGAAGAAATAAAACTGTCTTTTTACACAGATGATATAATTGCCTATGGAGAAATCTGAAAGGATCACAAAACAAAATCTTAGAATAACCAATTATAATGAGCAATTATACCAACTTTGCAAATTATAAGAAAATGTAAATGTCAATTATTGTCCTACATATTAGCAGTGTAATTAGAATCTGAAATTTAAAACAATGATATTTATGCTAGTACCAATAACAATAAAATACTTAAGTGCAAATCTAACAAAATAAATATAAATATAGGACTTTATTCACTTCAAAACTGTGAATAAAAACATCAAAGAAGATCTAAATAAATAGAGAGAAAATTCACATTCAAGAAACATTCAACTTTGTTAAAATGTCAGTACCTCCCAACTTTACATGTTCAATGCAGTCCCAATCAAAATTCCACAAAGTTAGTTTGTGGATATTGACAAACTGACCCTAAAGTTTATATGAAAAGGCAAAAGACCCAGAATAGCCCAGAAAATATTCAAAAAGAACAGTTGGAATGACACTACCCAACTGTAAGAACTACTATAAAGCTACAGTAATCAAAATAACATGGTACTGTTAAAAATAATAGAGAAACAGATAAACGATACAAAAGAGAAAGGTCGGAAATTGACCCACACAAATATAGTCAGCTTATTTTTGATGAAATGGCAAAGGCAATTCAATTGAGAGAGAATAATTTTTCAAAAAACAGTACTGGAAAAACTAGACATCCACATGCAAGAGAAAAGAAAAAAAAAATCCTAAACCCAGACCTAACAACTTTCACAGAAATTACTCAAAATGGATCATAGCTCAATATAAAAGGAAAACCCACAAAACTTTTAGAAAATAACAAAGATCAGAATCTGAATTACCTCAGGTTTTGCTCCTTTCTACAACACCCAAAATATTATCCATGAAAGGAAAATCTGCTAAGTTGAACTATTTTAAAAATAACATTTCTGCACTGCCAAAGATGCTGTTAAAAGAATAAAAATGCAAACCACAGAATAAAAGAAAATATTTGCAAAACACATAACTGATAAAAGACTGGTATCCAGAATATGCGACAAGAAATAAAGAACTCTTAAAACGCAAGAATAAGAAATGAACAACCCAATTATAAAATTGCAAAAGATCCAGATACCTTACTAAAGAACATATAAGCATGGCAAATAAGCATATGAAAATATGCTCAACATCATATGTCATTAGGAAATTGAAAATAACAATGGCATACTGCCACACACATATTAGAATGGCTAAAATCCAAAACAATGACTACACTAAATGCTGGTGAGGATATAGAGTAACAAGCACTCTCATTTATCGCGGGTGAATATGCAAAGTGCTATGACCAGTTTGGAAGACAGTTTGCCGGTTTCTTACAGAGCTACACATACATTTAAGTGCAATCCAGCAATCACACTCTGTGGCCTTTATCCAAAAGAGGTGGAAACTTTCATCTACACAAAACTCTTCACCCTACTATTAAGAAGAGTTTTATACATAATTGCCAAAACATGAAACCAACCAAGATATTCTTCAATAGGTAAATGAATAAACTAACTGGGGTGCAACTATACAACGAACATTATTCACTGATAAAAAGAAATGAGCTGTCAAGCCTTGAAAAGATATGAGGAACCTTAAGTGCATATGGTTGGGAAAGAAGGAAATCTGAAAAGGCTACATGCTATATGATTCCAAGTATATGACATTCTGTAAAAGGCAAAACCAAGGAGACAGTAAGAAGATCTGTGGTATCCCCAAGTTTGGGGGGAAGAAGGGAGAGATGAATAGGTGGGGTACAGCATATATTTTAAGACAGCAAAACTATTCTGCATAATGCAGTAATGGTGGATACATGTCATGTCATTATGCATTTGTCAAAATCCATAGATTTTAAAATAAAAAAAACCATGAATTTGAATGCAAACTTTAGATTTCAGCTAATAATAACTTTTCTATATTAGTTCATTAACAGTAAAAATATGCCACACCAAAGTAAGGTGTTAATAACAGAGGAGAAGCTGGGTGCAGGGAGAGGATACATGGAAACTCTGTGCTTTCCACTTAATATTTATGTAAACTTGATACTTACCAAAAAAATAAAGTATAAAAAATATCCCAATGATTACTATCAAAAGTAGACTGGATTTAAAAATTATACTAGTTACAAATATGTGACTGAATATAGTCCTATGCAGCAATTAAAATAAATAAACTCAGGTGTTAAATGTCATCCCCATGATCGTAATCACAAAAAAGCCATAGAATATACACAAAAGAAAATAAAAAGTGTAAATGTTTCACCAGAAAAAATCAACCAAACAAGAAGAAATAATGTAGAAAATACAAAACTAGAAGATGTAAGATATACAGAAAACAAATAGCAAAAGGACAGAACTCTCTACTTTTAAGTAATTATTTTAAATGTAAATGTATTAAACTATCCAATTAAAAGGCAGAAATCAGCAGAACAGACTATAAAACATGATCTAACTATCTTGTTTTTACAAGATTCACATTAGATTCAAAGATACAACTAGGCTGAAAGTAAAAGGAAGAAAACAGATATTTCGTGCAAACAGTAAGCAAAATAGATTTGGGTTGGCTATATTAATATCAGACAAAATAGACTTAAAATCAAAAATCTTACATAAAAATACAAAGACACTGTGTATTCACAAAAGTCCCTTTAGCAAGAAGATATAAATATTATAAGCATGCATGTACCTAATAATAAACCACTAAAATATATGAAGCACAAATCGACAGAATTGAAGAGAGAAGTCGACAGAATTGGAGAAGTCGACAGTTCTAAAATAATAGAGATGATAATACTCCACTCTCTGTAATGAACAGAATCACCAGATAGAAGATAAGTTAGAAATAAATGGCTTATATAATACAACAAACCAACTAAATTTAACAGATACATATACAGGATACTCCACCCAACAACAGAAGAATACACACTATTCTCAATGTCCATGGATCACACATGGACATTCTCCAGGATGGACTGTATGTTATGTCACAAATCAAGTCAATAACAGAAGGAAAACTAAAACACTCACAAAGTTGTAAAATTTAACATACTCTTAAACAACCAATAAGTAAAAGAAAAAAACTCAAGGGAAATTAAAAAATACAGAGAATGGAAAATGAAAATACAACATACCAAAAGTTATGAGATGCACAAAAGCAGTGTGAAGATCAGAAATTTATAGCTATAAACACATTAAAGAAGGGCCTTGGCTGGGCGTGGTGGCTCATGCCTGTAATCCCAGCACTTTGGGAGGCCAGGCAGGTGGATCACCTGAGGTCAGGAGTTTGAAACTAGCCTAGCCAAAATGGTGAAACCTTGTCTCTACTAAAAATACAAAAATTAGCCGGGCATGGTAGCGGGCATCTGTAATCCAAGCTACTCAGGAGGCTGAGGCAGGAGAATCGCTTGAACTCAGCGGGTGGAGGTTGCAGTGAGCTGAGATTGCACCACTTCACTACAGCCTCGGCAACAGAGTGAGACTCTGTCAAAAAAACAAAACAAAAAGAAGAAGAAGAAGAAGAAGAAGACGAAGGGTCTCAAATCAATAACCTAACTTTATGACCTAACAAATTAGAAAAAGAATGAACTATGCACGAAATAAACAGAAAGAAGAAAATAATGAAGATCTTAGTAGAGATAAAGAAAATAGAGACCAGAAAAACAGAAAACCAACAAAACCAAAAGTTGGTTCTTGGTTCTTCAAAAATGTTGACAAATTCACAAACTTCTAGCTACACTATGAAAAAAATTACAGAATACTCAAAATAGTAGAATGAGAAATGAGATGGGGACATTACTACTAATTCTTCTTTTTTTTTTTTTTTTTTTGACAGAGTCTCGCTCTGTCACCAGGCCGGAGTGCAGTGGCCCGATCTCAGCTCACTGCAACCTCCGCCTCCCAGGTTCAAGCGATTCTCCTGCCTCAGCCTCTCAAGTAGCTGGGATTAGAAGCATGCACCACCATGCCCAGCTGATTTTTGTATTTTTAGTAGAGACAGGGTTTCACCATATTGGCCAGAATGGTCTCAATTTCCTGATCTCATGATCTGCCTGCCTGATTCTAAGAAATAAAATGTTTTAAAGAGTGTACTGTGAACAACTGTGTGACAACAAAATGAACAATCTAGATGAAATGGACAAATTTCTAGGTATAAAAAACCTAGCAAGACTTGATTACCAAGAATAGAAAAATTGAATTGATCCATAACTTATAAGGAAATCAAATCAAAAATCAAAAACCTGCTGACAAAGAAAAGCCCTTGACCTGATGGCTTCAGTAGTTAATTCTACCAAACATTTTGAAAGACTGAAAATCTTTTTCAAACTCTTCCAAAAAATTGAAAAGGAGAGATCAGTTCCAAACTCATTCCACAATCTCAGCATTACCGTATATCAAAGCCAGAAAAAGACACTACAGAAAACTACAGATTAATTATCCCTTATGAACACAGATGCAAAACTCAACAAAATTCCAGCAAATAAAATTCAGCAGCATATTAGAAAGATGATCTCACCATCTTGAATTAATTTTTGTATAAGGTGTAAGGAAGGGATCGAGTTTCAGCTTTCTACGTATGGCTAGCCAGTTTTCCCAGCACCATTTATTAAATAGGGAATCCTTTCCCCATTGCTTGTTTTTCTCAGGTTTATCAAAGATCAGATAATTGTAGATATGTGGTGTTATTTCTGAGGGCTCTGCTAGACCTAAAACTATAAAAACCCTAGAAGAAAACCTAGGCATTACCATTCAGGACATAGGCATGGGCAAGGACTTCATGTCTAAAACACCAAAAGCAATGGCAACAAAAGCCAAAATTGACAAATAGGATCTAATTAAACTAAAGCGCTTCTGCATAGCAAAAGAAACTACATCAGAGTGAACAGGCAACCTACAAAATAGGAGAAAATTTTTGCAACCTACTCATCTGACAGAGGGCTAATATCCAGAATCTACAATGAACTCAAACAAATTTACAAGAAAAAAACAAACAACCCCATCAAAAAGTGGGAGAAGGACATGAACAGACACTTCTCAAAAGAAGACATTTATGCAGCCAAAAAACACATGAAAAAATGCTCACCATCACTGGCCATCAGAGAAATGCAAATCAAAACCACAATGAGATACCATCTCACACCAGTTAGAATGGCAATCATTAAAAAGTCAGGAAACAACAGGTGCTGGAGAGGATGTGGAGAAATAGGAACACTTTTACACTGTTGGTGGGACTGTAAACTAGTTCAACCATTGTGGAAGTCAGTGTGGTGATTCCTCCGGGATCTAGAACTAGAAATACCATTTGACCCAGCCATCCCATTACTGGGTGTATACCCTAAGGACTATAAATAATGCTGCTATAAAGACACATGCACACGTATGTTTATTGCGGCACTATTCACAATAGCAAAGACTTGGAAGCAACCCAAATGTCCAACGATAGACTGGATTAAGAAAATGTGGCACATATACACCATGGAATACTATGCAGCCATAAAAAATGATGAGTTCATGTCCTTTGTAGGGACATGGATGAAATTGGAAATCATCATTCTCAGTAAACTATCGCAAGAACAAAAAACCAAACACTGCATATTCTCACTCATAGGTGGGAATTGAACAATGAGAACACATGGACACAGGAAGGGGAACATCACACTCTGGGGACTGTTGTGGGGTGGGGGGAGCGGGGAGGGATAGCTTTAGGAGATATACCTAATGCTAAATGACAATTTAATGGGTGCAGCACACCAGCATGGCACATGTATACATATGTAACTAACCTGCACATTGTGCACATGTACCCTATAACTTAAAGTATAATAATAATAAAATTTAAAAAAAAAGAAAGATGATCTCACCACGACCAAGTGCAATTTATTCTTAGAATGCAAGGATATCTTAAAACATGAATTTTTTAACATATAAAAATTGATCAATGTGTACACATTAACAAAATAAAAGAAACATTGATCACCTCATGGATGCAGAGAAAAGTATTTTATGAAATTCAAAATCTTTTCAGGGTGAAAACACTCAAAAAAGTAGGAATTTTAAAACTAAAATACTACCATTGTGAAATCCACACATTAAAAAACCACATCAAACAATGTACTCCAGGGTGAAAGACAAAAAGCTTCTGCTCTAAGCTCAGGAACAAGGCAAAGGTGTCTGCTTTTGCTATTTCTATTCCACATAGTGTTGGAAGTTCTAGTCAAATTAAGAATTAAAAAGAAACAAACTATCCAAATTGGAAATGTAGAGGTAAAATTACTCTAGCCTACAGATAATATAATTTTATGTGGAAAGCTCTAGAGATTTCACAGATCCACACAAAAAGTATTACAACTAATAAATTCAGCATAGTAGCAGCATACAAAATTAACATGCAAATATCACTTGTGTTTCTATACAGTAATGATGAATAATTAGAAAACAAAACTAAGCAAACAAGCACATTTACAATAGCACTGAAAAGAATAAAATACGTCGGGAGTAACAAAAAAAGCAAAAAATTCTATTTTGCAGAAATAGAAAAATCCTACCTAAATTTCATATGGAATCTCAAGGGACCCCAATGAGTCAAAATTATCTTGAAAAAGAAGTCCAGTGTTACAAAATGTACACTTATTCATTCCAAAGCTTAATACAAAGTTCCAAAATAGTGTGGTACTGGCAAAGAGACACACATATGGACACTGGAACAGTATAAAGCAGCATATGGTCAAATAATTTTTGATGGGGATACAAAGACCGTTCAATGGGCAAAGGACTGTCTTTATAACAATTGGTGCTGGGAAAAAATGGATATCCACAAGCAAAAGGATGAAGTTGAACATTTACCCTACACCATAAACAAATAAAAATGCATCAAAGACCTAAAGGTAAGAACTTAAAGTATAAAATTTTTGAATAAAATATAAGTAGAAAACATCATGACAATATCACAAATATAATGACACATTTAAAAAAGTAGATGTGGCCAGGCATGGTGGCTCACGCCTGTAATCCCAGCACTTTGGGAGGAGGAGGCAGCCGGATAACGAGGTCAAGAGATTGAGACCATCCTGGTCAACATGGTGAAACCCCGTCTCTACTAAAAATACAAAAATCAGCTGGGCGTGGTGGCGCATGCCTGTAGTCCCAGATACTTGGGAGGCTGAGGCATAAGAATCGCTTGAACCCAGGAGGTGGAGGTTGCAGTGAGCCGAGACAGGCCACGGCACTGTACAGCCTGGTGACAGAGCGAGACTCTGTCTCAAATAACTAAAAAAGAAAAAAAGAAAAAGTAGGTGTAAAACTATCCATAGTAGATACTCTCATTTACATAAAATCCAGTAAGAAAACAAAACTGAAGTTCTGGCTTCCGGTAATACTGGAGTAGCTTGCTAAACTAACACTCTCACAGATAACAATGATACAATCTGGATAAAATATTATATATAGTTACATAGAAACATTCATCTATATACAATACATACATACGTGTGTGTGACTGAATGAGAATTTCAACCTTTCCCACCGTAGGGAAGATAATTATTCTGTTTGAATTCAGCCACATTTACCCCCTCTTCAAATAATAACAATGCTCTTCCAAAGAATACAACAGAATTTAGTCTCTATAACTAATATTTATAATTTCTATTACACAATATTAAAATTCATAAAATGTGTGAAGAAATGTAACATGCAAACTATACACAAGATAAAAAGCAGGCAGCAGAAGCTATTTCTAAGATGTCCGAGATGATGTAATCAGCAGACAAGTATTTCAGGGCAGCTATTATAAGTACGTTCATGGGGGTAAAGGAAAATATTCTCATAATGAATTAACTCATGTAGAGTCTCAGCAGAGACATGGAAATTATAAAAAGAGTAAAATAGAAGACAATAAAATAATAAAATAAAAAGAACTTTTAGTTTACAGAGTAGAAACAGAAGACAGCAATATAAACCATCCAATCTGAAGACTGAAACAAGTTTAAAGAAAATGAAAAGAGGCCTAAGAGACCTGTGAAATGATTGAGTCTGAGACAGAGAGGGAGAGACAGAAAAATTAAATATAATACAAAAACAAATAAACAATAGCTGAAAATTTAAAAACTTGGTCAAAACCGCAAATTCTTATATTCAAAAGGTGAACACACTCCAAAACAAAAACAAAAACAAATAAAACCATATCGAGGCCCTACTGTGATTTAGAAAACTGGCAGAGCAAGATTTTCCAGGGAGTTGCTATGATTTCTCATTTTCACTATTTATAATAATGGAAAATATGCACTCCTTAGTTTTCTTCTTGGAGAAAGTCTGACTTGTCAAACACAGATGACTTTTCAGTTTAGTTTTCAAGGTTTAATTTCTTACCTTGGAAATCAATTAAATTTGTTTCTTTAAAATGTCGCAGTAAAATTGCTCCTCCAGACAGATGTCCACGGAGATTCTGTCCTGCTGCGTCCGCCTTTCACAGAACTGAGGTTGTTCCTACACCAGTTTCAGAAGCGTGTAGGCACGCTTTATTACAGTGGCAGCAGCGTCCCTGTGCGAGGTCTAACCCAGGTGTGGGCCCTGCAGCCAGCCCGGGGGTCCAATGGGTCCTCCTATGGAGCACAGGAAGAATCGTGGCAGGCCAGAGATAGACAAAAGGTGGCTTTTAAAAGGGAAGTGTCAGGTTACCAGGGACTGGGTACTTTTACACGCGGACCTTCGGCCCTGCCCATAGAAAGGGGCAGCACTGCGCATCTCTGAAGGAGTGTGGCAAAGGGTGGGGCAATAAGAAGGGTGGGGCAGAAAGGAGTGGCCCCTCAGGAGGAAGGGGCGGGGAGATCCCAGCTACTAGAGGACGCCCGTTCCAATGGCAACTCTGCCAAGGCGCCTATGAGAGCCTCTTGGCTTTTACCTGGTCTGCGAGAAATCAAACTTTGGGCACAAGTCATGAAGCCGACAAGCCCGGGAGACACAGTGTCAGAATTACAAGGTGAGATCAGCCGCCCGGCCAAGCTATCTTCTCGCTAGCAGGTGAGGCCCGTGAACAGCCAAGCTCCCCTTGGCACGGCGGAACCGCAGTGGACGCGTGGAGGGGCTCCGTAGAGGAGGGACCTTTGCTTGGGATGCGGGGAGCTGTAGTCTCTTATCTGCACCCAGCTTGTTAGTTGTACGCCTGCAGGACTACAATCTCAGCACAAAGCAGGATTGTAGGGCGGTGCGGATCCCTGGAGGGAGACAGCGCGGTGCGCTCCTGCCGGCCATGCTGGCTGGGGTGGTGTCTTAGGCGGTTCCAGCCGTTAGTCACAGGGCGGCCGGACTACAATCCCAGCATACAACGGGAGTGGAGGTGGTGACCTTGAGAGAGGGCCTGTGCTGTGCGCGCCTCGCGGGGCATGCTGGGAGCAGTAGCATCTTAGCTGCTTCCGGCCGCTGGTCGCAGGGCTGCGGGACTACAATCTTCGCATGAAATGGAAGAGAGGGTGGTGCGGATAGCTTGAGGAAGGTACGGATACCTTGAGGGAGGTATGGATACGTTGAGGGAGGTACGGATACGTTGAGGGAGGTTACGGATACGTTAAGGGAGGTACAGCAGCGGTGCGCGCCTTGCAGGGCATGCTGAGAGGAACAGTTTTTTAACTGCTTCTGGCTGTTGGTGGCAGAGCTGCGGGACTACAATCCCAGTATGCTACGGGAGTGGGGATGATGCTGGTCCCTTGAGGGGGGGGGGCAGCGCGGTGCCCTCCTGCCGGGCATGCTGGTAATAGTGTCTTAGCTGCTTCCGGCCGTTGGTCGCAGGGCTATGGGACTACAGTCTCAGCATGCGCAGGGTTCAAGGGTGTTGCGCAGCCCCGCAGGGAGGGGCAGGGCGGTGTTGACCTCTGTTTCCAAACCCATGCTGGCTACTGAATCTGTGCCACCCCTGGCTAAGGGGAGTGAGTCCATAGAGGGACTTGAAGGGCAGGTCTGGGCTGGGCAGTGAGGAGAGTATGATACTGCAAAGTGCGCCTCGCCTTTGCCAAAATCGGTCGGGTCTCAGGCTCACCCCACCTCCCGCTGCTCAGTTCCGTTTCCCTCCAGAGCATCAAGCCTCCTCCCGCCCAGGGGGCCTCCTGCTTTCCTAAGCTGCTGTGGAATCGGCCTGAGGTCCCAGACGCTGTCCATTGTGCTGCTGCTCTCTGCTTTCTCCAGCCAGAGTGCCAGTTCATCCGCTTTTGGGAGAACTCCGCCGCCTGGCCTGCCCGCGGAAAAGGTCACAGCTTTGCAGGGGGTGACATGGGCTATGGCTTCCTGGAAATGTCACCCTCACTAGCGCCTTTTAGATAGATGTGAATTTTGAGACATGAGGGAGAGTAATTATTGGTTTACCCAGGAGATGCTAAGAGCAGAGGAGAAAACCCTAATTTCCAGGCATGTGTCCTGAGCCAGGGACAGGCTGGCCAGACCCTAAGCCCCCAGTGCCGCCAGAGAGCAGCCTACTGCCCTGATTTGTGTGGAATCCCCTTCGTGCTGCTGGGCCTTAGCGTCAGGGACAGCCCAGTCAGGTGAAGGTGGGGATGACCCATGGGCTTCTGGAAGTGGGTTGGTGGTCCTGGGAGGGCCAGCCCATCCCCCCTTGGAGAGGGTCTTTGTGCTGAAGGATGCCCACAGAGGCCTGGGTACCAGGAACACTGCTCTAGGCAAGGTGCCTTTCTTCCAGATTTGGCTGAAAGGAAGGAAGACTTGGTCAGCTTTTCCACCCAGCCATCTGGCCCTTACAGGGCTGCTCCCCATGGACCTGGGTTTGTAGAGTCCTCCAGGGCTTTGTGTGGCCCACTAGTTCTGATACTGAGGACACCCCTGCAGGCTGTTAATTTCAGAACAAGGGGTGTGTGCAGACTGGGGCATGGGTGCTGTCAGGGTACCCCAGGCTGCTCCAGGGACGGTACCCCAGTGTTCAACTTGGCTTGGGGCCCCCTGCCTCATGCCCTTACTCCAGGGCTGCTTGGCCTGGGCTTGAGCCATGGTCCAGAACTCAGGTGGCCCCATTGCCACCTAATATAAGGGCCTGTCTCCACAGTGGGTGAGACGCCCCTGGGCACTGGGCTCTTCAGTCATCCAGGGCTATCCACTCCATGGCATGAGTTCCCACATTCAGCTGAACTCTGTCTGGCTCTGGACTGGGGTCCCTCCTGTGCCCTTTCCCTGAATCCTCTCTGGGTCCGAGACACTGATCCTCTTCACTCTCTGGCTTAAGGCTTGTTCTCCTGACCTCCTTGGAGGGGTGCTCAGGATTGAGGACCCCTGCTGTTCTCTGGGGCTGTTGGTACTCGGAGGTGTGGGTGTTGGCTTGCACTGAGAAGTCCAACCCCTTCAGTGCCCTTCAGGGGTCCTTTAAGAGCAGGAGTGATAGGGTGTGGGGGAGTGCCTTAGAGGGGTCTTGCCCTCATCCCCTGCCCTGTCTCTGAGACGTGTCCAGTAAACCTGAGGTCAGCACCTCAGGAATGAAATAATGTCTTTTGCAGCAACTTGAATGAAGCTGGAGGCCATTATTCCAAGTGAAATAACTCAGGAATTAAAAATCAAATGCCATATGTTCTCACTTATAAGTTGGAGCTAAGCCATGCGTATGCAAAGGCATGCGGGGTGACATAATGGACTTTGGAGACTCAGACATGAGGGTGGCAGGTGGATGAAGGATGAAAAAACTACCTGTTGAGTACAATATATACTACTCAGGTGACAAGTGCACTAAAATCTCAGAATCCAACACTATATAATTCATTCATGTAACCAAAAACCACTTGTACCCAAATGATATTGACATTAAAAAAAATTTAAAACTAACAAAATTTATAATAAAAGCTTTTTAAAAAATAAAAAATAAAAACAGTGTCAAAGTGTTAATTTATTGTGCATTGCATAGCAAGCCCCTTTTGCTCAGTACCACACTCACTACTGGAGAAACAAAACCTTGAAAATTAAAGAAGAACCTGCACATAAATGATAATTCTGATAAGTTATTTATACACTGCCTACATGAATATTACAGATATGTGTTAAAGACAAAGATCTATGTTAGATTGGGTCAGCTTTATGCTTGGTCATTATATTTCCAATTCTTCTCTCTCAAAATACAACAGTCATGGGTTGCCATGGTGATTATTCCAAATGCATTGTGATCATATGGAACTGGTGACGTGTTCTCATTTCCCTTTCAGTTATAAAATAAGCCTGATGTTCCTAGCCATCAAAATCTCACTAACACCTAACTACTTCAGTTTCAACTGTGGTTCCTATTTCAAGACAATCACTCAAGGTTGCAAATCACAGAAAGACAAGAATGTTTTCATTAACCAAAACATTAATCAAAAATTATACCCCTTGAGGCCATGTAATTTGGTTTTTATTTAGTTTATTGTCTATTCAGGTCCATAAAGCCTACAACTGCAACAATATATACAGTTCATGATGACTTAATATTTATTGAATAGTAAAATTAATACATGTTAAGAGTAGATCTGGCTTCAGGTAATCAGGGCTGAAGTGATATGTGCAGTGGTCAAGGACAAATGTCAATGTATAATCTGACCTCCTGCACTCGAAACACACATCAATACTTTAAATGCCTCAGAAGAAAGTCACGTAGGAGAATAAATGAAAGAAAATAGAAAAGTTGTTAATTAGATTAAGAAGGAATTAAACCTGGTTTTAAAATAGAGAGATAAAGACATACAATATAAAAATACTGAAGAACAAGTAGCATAGGCAGAGGAGCACTAAAGGTATAACAGGAAAGAAATATATCTAAAAATATTAGTTTCTGAGTTAAGATTGTAGATGTAGAGACCTGACAAAAAGAGTTGTTCCTACACATTAACCAACCAAACAAACAAAAAAGCTGGAGAAACTACAAACGCATGGTCGATTTCTCCTGAGCCCTTTAGAGAACTGAGGTCATGGGGAAGACAACAAACTCAACATCAGGGCATGCAGGAGCCTGGCCCCAGGCTTTCAAGTGCACCCTGGTGAACTGGTATAATTAAGCCAGAACATTTGAACTAGTTCCTGGTGGCTGTGTGTCAGTGGGTGAGGAGAATGAGAAACCCTGGAGTCTACAGACATAGAGTTTACATTTTTCTGTATATTTTTTCTAGGAACACTACAAGGCCTGTTAGAGAAGAAAGGGTAGAATCCCGAGAATGTTTTCCCCACAGTGCTGATAAGGAGAGACCACTATCCCATCTACTGCTACAGCTCTGGAGACAGAGCTCTCCCACCTGTCATATAGAACACAAGGACCAATCTGCAGAGAAAGAGCATCCAAACCTGATCCAGTGGACACTGGGGAAAAACTCACCACAGCTGAGTGTGGAAAAACAAGGCCAACACACACATCTCTGCACAGATACATCTCCCATAAAGAAACTAAAGTGTTAATTTACAGGGCACTGTTGCAGACCCACTTCAGCTGGAAGCTAGGAACATGGACAAGGAGCCTCTCTACCACCAAGGGAGAGAGAGGAATGTGCTCTTGTCCTGGCATTGCATCCACAGGAGGGGCAGGAAATTCTTTGAAGGTCAGTAACCCCATACCCCAATTAACAGTGCTTAAGTGTGAGGCTCCCTCAGAACATCAGAGATATCCTCACTCCCTCACCCCTGCCACCAGGCTAAGAAGCATGGAGCAAAAAAAAAAAAAAAAAAAACAGAACAAAACAGCAGAATATAGCTGGGCCAAGTGCAAGAGACCAAAGTATAATGAGAGGGATTTGAATTATTTTTTTGACAGAGTCTTGCCCTGTTGCTCTGGCTGGAGTGTAGTGGCATGATGTCAGCTCACTGCAACCGTCACCTCCCGGGTTCAAGCAATTTTTCCGCCTCAGTCTCCTGAGCAGCTGGTATTACAGGCGCCCACCACCACGCCCAGCTAATTTTTTTGTATTTTTAGGAGAGATGGGGTCCCTCTCTGGTGGTAAAATTGATGAGAATATGACACTTTTTATCATTAATCTAGTAAAAATAAAACAAAGTGTTATTTTTCTGATATAGATTTATACTTCAGTATATGTCAGGCAGACTGTAAAGAACTCTATCAGAATATTGATAAAATAATGCAACACTAAATATTAAATATTATATACTTATATATAATTATTATATTGCCCAAAATAGCATATTCTCTAATGCGTATTTTGCAGTAGGTTTGTAAATAGCTTCTTTCTCTCATGACAATCTTTCTTCTTTTTCTAATGTCTGATCAAGCCCATAGACTTTATAATCAGTCTTTGGTTCCTGGTCCATTTAATTAATGGTGGTGTTTTCCCTAACATCCATAATTGTGCATATGCTTTGTGGCTTACAGTATTAAGAATACCCCAATATATAAGTGAGGATAATGAAGATAAACTTGATCTGTATTATCTGCCTTCTGAGAGTGCTCAGGGGCTTTACCTTCAACCGAAGGGCAAGCTGGTTGCTACGTCTCATAGTGAGTGCTGAGTTTTGCATTTAGATTGATAAGTGTGTGCTGTATCCAATAGAAGCGAATTCTTCTTTACACTCAGATCGACCTATGTGACTTCATGGGTTTTTGTTCTATTTCACTCGGGTATGCCCAGGTTTTCAGATCTCATGACTACTTTATTTTGGAGTTGCCAGACTCAGCAAATAAAAATACACGACACACAGTTAAGTTTAATATTCAGAAAGAAAACTGTTGTGGCAAGTCAGGGACCCCAAACGGAGGGACCGGCTGAAGCCATGGCAGAAGAACAAGGATTGTGAAGATTTCATGGACATTTATTAGTTCCCCAAATTAATACTTTTATAATTTCTTATGTCTGTCTTTACTGCAATCTCTAAACATAAGTTGTGAAGATTTCATGGACACTTATCACTTCCCCAGTCAATATCCTTGTGATTTCCTATGCCTGTCTTTACTTTAATCTCTTAATCCTGTCAGCTGAGAAGGATGTATATTGCCTCAGGACCCTGTAATAATTGCATTAACTGCACAAATTATACAGCGTGTGTGTTTAAACAATATGAAATCTGGGCACTTTGAAAAAAGAACAAGATAACAGCAGTGTTTAGGAAACAAGATAGATAGCCTTAAACTCTGACTGCTGGTGAGCCGGGCAGAACAGAGCCATATTTCTCTTCTTTCAAAAGCAAATGGGAGAAATATCGCTGAATTCTTTCTCATGATGGAACATCCCTGAGAAAGAGAATGTGTGCCTGCGGGTAGGTCTCTGAACTGGCCCCCCTGGGCATAGCCTGTCTCTTATGGTCGAGGCTGCCGAGATGAAATAGACTCCAGTCTCCCACAGCGCTCCCAGGCTTATTAGGAAGAGGAAATTCCCGCCTAATAAATTTTGGTCAGACCAGTTGATCTCAAAACCCTGTCTCCTGATAAGATGTTATCAATGACAATGGTGCCCAAAACTTCATTAGCAATTTTAATTTCGCATCGGTCCTGTGGTCCTGTGATTGCGCCCTGCCTCCACTTGCCTTGTGATATTCTATTATCCTGTTAAGTACTTGATGTCTGTCACCCACACCTAGTCGCACACTCCCTCCTCTTTTGAAAATCTCTAGTAAAAACTTGCTGGTTTTTGTGGTTTGTGGGCCATCACAGATCCTACCAACGTGTGATGTCTCCCCCGGACGCCCAGCTTTAAAATTTCTCTTTTGTACTCTGTCCCTTTATTTCTCAAGCTGGCCGACACTTAGGAAAAATAGAAAAAAACCTACGTGATTATCGGGGCAGGTTCCCCAATAGAAAACAAATAACTTTTTAGTATAACTATAAAATAAACATTTGCGTGTAATATTTCTATTCCCACCTATTATATATTACATACATACACACACACACACACACACACACATCCTTTTGCTTACCTGAATTTCATATTTAATGTTCTTGGACTTTTTTTGTTGACCTCAATCCATAAGAACTGTAGTTCTCCCCAGTACAGTTTCAGCACCAATGACCAAGTCTCATCAGAGGAGGCCACATGATGATCTAGCAGATAGACTCTTTATTCAGTATGTGAGAGTCATTTACAGACTGGGGACATAAATTAGAAATGATGAGCTGGATGTCTTTTAGGGTGAAAAATTACTAAATTTCTAATCTATGTTACTTTTTCTATTTATTCTCTCTGTTACATAACCTATGATACAGACAGAATAATAATATAATTCTGATACATGGTTAATGAATAATTCCACATATATATGTGATTTATATCCAAATATTGCTTTACTTGTAGTGGTTTGTTAACCTTCTAATGTGGAGATCATTGAGCCTTTCCGTGAGTATTCTCCTGGTGTTTCTCCTGAGTGCCACATGGCAACAGATTTTAACTGAGCTGAGGGCCCAAATGTGCATTGTTGAGAACTATCAATTGCTTGGTTCTGGAAGTTGAAATAAATATGTCCCTTTATTAGATTAAGTGCTTGAAGAAAAAGTAAATAAGATACTGCAATTTCTCCCTATAAACTCATACATATCAGGTATGCAGTTTCTTCTGTATAAACTCATACATATCAGATATGCACTTTCTCCTTTATAAACTCATACGTATCAGGTGGGTTTAGAGCAATATTCTACCTCAGCCATTATTCTCTGAGTACAAGCCAAGAATGCAAACTGTCACATGATCTGTATTGCCTTGCATATTTATGCTTACGGGCCAGAGTAGTTTTAACTGACGTTGAAAACAGTTGAACACTCTTACATCTCACGGGAGGAATAGAGTGAATATAAAAGATTTTTCTCAGCATTTTACAGCTGAATTGTTCTACATCCAGTATTAAATTGATTTAATAAAATAATACTGCCAGCATCCAAAGAAGATACCATGAGAACAATTTCTGAATTATTCAGTACAATTTCATAATAATATTTTCATACGGAGATCTCTCAATTAACATATGAGAGAAATTGTCTTTATTATTTGAGAGCAAAGTATTTTTGAAGACATGAGTGGGTATCTTTATATTAAGTGAAGTCTTAAGAAAAAGATCCCCGTGTGAGCATTTTAATGTAACTTTATGAATGCCATAAATTTGAAAAATGTGTTTTTTGTTCTCTGGAAAATTGAGAGCAGGACTTTTTAACACTTCCATTCTGAGACGTTAAAGAGAGTTAATATAAGGGGTCTCATATAAAAACTAAGCTAGAGGAGAACCAAAGCGTTTTGAAAAGATACAGTTAGTACAACTGTAGGGACCAGCCCCACAGGGTTGGTGGGTCTCTCCCCATGTGTGGAGACAAGAGAGTGTGTAGAAATAAAGACACAAGACAAAGATAAAAGAAAAGGCAGCTGGGCCTGGGGGACCACTACCACCAAGTCGCGGAGACTGGTAGTGGCCCCAAATGCCAGGCTGCACTGATATTTATTGGATATAAGACAAAGGGGCAGGATAAGGAGAGTTAGCCATCTCCAATCATAGGTAAGGCCACGTGGGTCACATGTCCACTGGACAGGGGCCCCTTCCCTGCCTGGCAGCCAAGGCAGAGAGAGAGAGGAGACAGAGAGAAACAGCTTACGCCATTATTTCTGCTTATTAGAGACTTTTAGTACTTTCACTAATTTTGCTACTGCTATCTAGAAGGCAGAGCCAGGTGTACAGGATGGAACATGAAGGCGGACTAGGAGCGTGACCACTGAAGCACAGCATCACAGGGAGTTGGTTAGGCCTCCGGATAACTGTGGGCGAGCCTGACTAATGTTAGGCTCCACAAGAAGTGGAGGAGTAGAGTCTTCTCTAAACCGCCCCCACCCCGCGGGGAAAGGGAGACTCCCATTCCCGGTCTGCTAAGTAGCCGGTGTTTTTCCTTGACACTGAGGCTACCGCTAGACCACGGTCCGCCTGGCAACGGGCATCTTCCCAGACGATGGCGTTACCGCTAGACCAAGGAGCCCTCTGGTGGCCCTGTCTGGGCATAACAGAAGCCTCGCACTCTTGTCTTCTGGTCACACTCCTCACTATGTCCCCTCAGCTCCTATCTCTGTATGGCCTTTTTTTTCCTAGGTTATGATTATAGAGTGAGGATTATTATAATACTGGAATAAAGAGTAATTGCTACAAACTAATGATTAATGATATTCATATATAATCATATCTAAGATCTATATTTGGTATAACTATTCTTGTTTTATGTTTTATTATACTGGAACAGCTTGTGTCCTTGGTCTCTTGCCTCGGCACCTGGGTGGCTTGCTGCCCACATACAACAATGTTCATATCCTAAACTCCAGAATCTGTGAATATCTTAGGTAATGTGACAAAGGAAAATTAAGATATAGATAGTGTCAAGGTTAACAAGCAGCTGACTTCATGATAAATTATCTTTATCATGAGCAGAAGCCTCACGTAATTAGAAGGGCGCTTAAATATGAAAGAGGGAGAAAAAAAGAAACTTTATCACACTGATGTGATATTAGGTCAACTCAATGCAATATTTTTTTCCTAAGAAAATTTTTGGGGATTATTTTCCCATTAGCATAAAGTTCAGTTCAGTTGTTCAAACACCTGTGATTTATTTTTACATGCATATTACTATGGATGGTGATAATTAAACAAAAAATGCAGAAAATAAAGAAATGCTTTCTGAAGAGTGAGCCCAGGTACTATATTATTATATGAGTATAGACAATGTGGACCGTACATGTGATTACATGTGATTGTAAATGTGTGGATGTTTTATATATGTATAAGTAATTTGTTGTATAATATAGTGCTCAGGCTGCATTTTTAAAAATTTGTATGAGGTGGGTTTGATCAAGATAAATGGGTGAAATAAAAATGATAAGGTTGGTAATAGTTTTGACTATGCAATAAATAACATTGATGATAGAAGTCTTATTGCGTTTTTCAAATATAGAAAAGATGATTCCTCTTCATCATTAAGATTACCATGTTGCACTTATAGTAATATAAAAAATGCCCTTTTCTTCCAAGCTGTCATCAGACTTACAGCCAACACCTTCCTTCTCTTCCACATCTTCACAACCCTTCTGGATCACAAGCCTAAGTCCACTGACCACATCACCTGTCACCTGGACCTTGCACACTTAGTGATGCTCCTCATTGCGGTCTTCTTGGCATCTCCAGACCTGTTTAAGTAACTACATTTGCAGAATAACTTAAAGTGCAAGGCATTTTTCTACATGTACAGGGTGATGAGGAGCCTCTCCAGCTCCATCACCTTTCTCCTGACTGTGCTCCAGGTCATCACCATCAGCCCCAGCACCTCCTGGTTGGTGAAGACTAAACAGAAATTCACAGGTTACATTTTCTACTCCTGTTTCTTCCTATGGGTTCTCAGTTTGTCTCTCAGTAGTAACCTGCTTTCCCCCACTGTGGCTTCTTCTAAAGTGACCAAGACTGATGTGCTAAGTATCAGTAAATACTGCTCACTTTCTTACATAAGCTACATCTTCTAATATGACAAAGACTGATGTGCTAAGTTGTGCTTTATTTCTTGTCATTCTATTATTCCTATACATATAATTACATTCATATTGCTATTATTTTCTCTTTTTTATATGGTTGTATTCATTCTGCTGAAAACTCCAGTTCACTAATCCAGTTCACTAATTCTGTCGTCAACTCAGTCTAATTTTATATTTAACTCACATATTGTATATTAAATTTATTTACTTTTAAATTATTCCACTTATATTTGTCTCTTTTCCAAATTTGCTTGTTCAGTTTATAGTTCCCTGCTGTTTCAAAATTATTTCGATATCCTCTTTTCCCCACTTGTTTTGACTTAAAGATTTAAAATATATATCCGGCCAAGCACAGTGGCTCATGCCTGTAATCCCAATACTTTGGGAGGCCGAGGCAGGCAGATCACTTGATGTCAGGAGTTTGAGACTAGCCTGGCCAACATGGTGAAACTTTGTCTGCAGTAAAAATACAAAAATTTAGATGGGCGTCGTGGTGGGCGCCTGTAGTCTTAGCTACTCGGGAGGCTGAGGCAGGAGAATCACTTGAACTCGGGAGGTGGAGGTTGCAGTGAGCTGAGATCACGCCAATGCACTCCAGCCTGGGCAACAGACTGAGACTATCTCAAAAAAATAATATAGGTATTTCCAATATGCCAAGTTTATGCAGTGTCTAATTTCTTCTTACCCCTTTTCCTGGTACCTCATTTTCTTCTGTGCTTCATACTTTTAATGAATTAATTTTTGCAACAGGATCTGGTTTATTCTGCCTTGGCAGGGTGGTCCTGAGAGTGGCAGGTGCCACCCTCTTCTGGGCAAAGGGAGGTCCAGAAGGCCAGTTAGGGCCAATGGTGGGAGAACCTGGGGGTGGAGTGGGGTTGGGGATTTGGGCTACAGCCCCTGGAATGTGGTGAAACCAGGATGAGGCCCAGAGGCAGCTGTGGTAGGCCAGGGCAGGGCGGAAGGCACTGGACTGGAACCAGGCAAGGTCTACAGGGCCAAGATCCCAGGCCACACGGGCACCCTGGGAGGCGGAGCACAGTGTCCCATGACACAGAGCATGAAACACAGGCCCAGGGCTCACAGTAAGCACATGAACAAGTGGACACAGATTCACAGGCCAGTTGACATCCAGCCATGGTGGGACCAGAGGTAGACACGGTGTCACATACAGACCACAGGGAAGACATGGCACAATGGGACAGATGGATGTGATGGCCACAATGCACAGACCAGGCCACAGAGCTCGAGGGATATGGGAAGGGGCCTTTTGGCATTTCTGCACTGGAATCATGTGAGACAAGGGTGGCCGGGTGCTCTGGAGGTGCTGGGGTGGTCCCCTCACGGCCCCTCTGAGCTTACTCTGTCTTCCACACTTTGTTGAGCAGCTTCCTCACCTCATCATAGATGATAAACACTATGGCCACATGCAGGCAGACCCGGCCCAGGCAGGCAATAGTGCCCTTGTAGAAGGTCTTGTGCCCTTCCCTCAGGATTTGCAGCCACAGTCCCATGTGTTCTGCATTTGTGCACCTCCAGGTCTCGCATCTGGGGCTCGATCTCGTGCAGAGGAGCATTTCCGAAGACACTGGCCGCTCCCACAATGGCTCCGAAGAACCCAGCGACCAGCGGGTTCATGAGTTTGTTGGGGCTGTCCACTCGGTACCAGCTGCGCAGGGATGTCAGGACAAAGAAACAAGTTGCCTGGTTCCAGCCCTGCTTCAGCACGGGGCCTGTGGGGCCCCGGTAAGTCCCGGTGTTCCCGCACAATCTCCTAACCCTGTGGAAGAATCCCCTGTACTTGGATTTGGAGAGGTCTGGCCATGGATTAACTTCACCTTGATGGTCTCCATGGGACATAGGACCACCACGGCCTCGGCCACGCTAGCTCACTGGCCGCACCGCTGCCCGCCTTGCTGTTCACCAGTCCCTGGGCATCCCGCATCTGGTTGCTGAGGAACGCCTGACGCCGCCTTGTGGATGAAGCCGCAGAGCAGGGAGCTGAGGCTGCGGCCCAGGCCCAGGCTGCCTTGGCTGCGACTGTGTGCCTGCAGGCCCCATGCCCGGTATCCGGTGGATGCGAGTGCTAGTCCAGCTGCAGCTGCATCTTCACGAACTCGGTGGGGAACGGGATGCAGATTTTTTTTTTCTTTTCCTTCCTTCCTTCCTTCCTTCCAACTTCCTTCCTTCCTTCCCCTTTCTTTCTTTCTTTTTTTTTTTTTTTTTTTTTTGACAGAATTTTGCTCTTGTCCCCCAGGCTGGAGTGCAGTGGCGCGATCTTGGCTCACTACAACCTGGATTCAAGCGATTCTCCTGCCTCAGCCTCCCGAGTAGCTGGGATTACAGGCATGTGCCACCATTCCCGGCTAATTTTTTTGTCTTTTTAGTAGAGACGGTGTTTCCCCATGTTGGTCAGGCTGGTCTCAAACGCCTGACTCAGATGATCCGCCCGCCTCGGCCACCCAAAGTGCTGAGATTACAGGCTTGAACCACCGCGCCTGGCCCTGTGATGTAGATTTTGATGCTGCCAGCCAGGCTGCCTGCCGGGATCGCCTGCCCTGGAGCAGGAGCATCAGCCGTGCGTTCCAGGACGCAGGCATGGCATGACCGGCAGGAGGCGGAGTGCCCGGCGTCTCTTGGGATCGGAGCCTCCTGAATTCCACGCTGGGACCTTAATTTGGTTTTAACACAAATAAAGATCTCACATAAAGATAAAAGGGGATGTGTTGGCTTGTAATTTTTGTTAAAAGCAATGGTATATGTTGTATAGGATAGTGTATTGGGATCAACAGGTTTTTGGGGTTTTTTTTCAGCCCACTGACATTGAAAGGGATAAACAGTTTTTTGGTTATTAGTGAGCAGTTTTCTCTCAGGCCATAGTGTAGGGGTTTGTGGTCATGTAGATGAGAGATAGGCTGGGATTAAAATTTGTTATGGCAGTAATAAGAGCAACAGAGCTAGACTCTGTCAAAAAAAAAAAAAACATAGTTAGTAGAAGAAAAAAATCATAGGATTATAGGATTAGAGCAGAAAAAAATAAAACAAAAACTACAAAAGATTAATGAAAATATTTGGCCTTTTAGAAAAGTTAAAAATTGGCAAACCTTCAGCAGACTAAACATTTTTTTTTTAATTCAAATAAAAAAACGAGTTAAAAAAGGAGATATTACAACAGATAACACACAAATTCAAAGATTGGTTTGTGGCTACTATAAGCAACTGTATGCCAATACATTGGAAAATCTAAAAAAAAAAAAAAAATAGACAAACTCCTAGAGACATACAACCTACCAAGATTAAACAGTAAAGAAATCCAAAACCTAAACAGACCAATAACAATTAATGAGATTGAAGCTTTAATAAAAAAACTCTTCCAGGAAAGAACAGCCCAGGACCTGATGGCTTCATTACTGAATTTTACCAAACATTTCAAGAAGTAATACCAATTCCTATTCAAACTATTCTGAAAAATAAGGAGGAGGGAATACTTTCAAACTCATTCTATGAGGCCAGTTTTACCCTGATATCAAAACCAGACAAAGATACATCAAAAAAAGGAAACTGCAGGCCAATATCTCTGATAAATACTGATGCAAAAATCTCAACAAAATACTAGCAAACAGAATTCAACAATACATTAAAAAGATTATTCATTATGACCAAGTGGGGTGTATCCCTGGGATGCAAACATAGTTTAATATACACAAATCAATAAATGTGATATGTCATATCACCAGAATGAGGAAAACAGCGTGGTACTAGCATAAGAACAAACACATAGACCAGTGAAAAAGGATAGAGAACCCAGCAACAAATCCACACATTTACAGAAAACTCATTTTTGACAAAGATATCAAGAACATACAGTGGGGCAAAGACAGTCTCTTCAATAAATGGTGCTGGGGAAACTGGATATCCATATGCAAAAGAATAAAACTGGATTCCTATCTCCCACCATATCCAAAAACAAATCAAAATTAATTAAACATGTGAATATAAGACCTCAAATTATATAAAACTACTATATATAAAAAAGTTGTGAAAAATTTTCAGGACATCAGTATGGGCAAAAATTTCTTGAGTAATACCCCACAACCATAGGCAACCTAAGCAAAAATAGACAAATGGAATCAGATCAAGGTGAAAAGCTTCTGCACAGCTAAGGAAACAATCCACAAAGAGAAGAGACAACCCACAGAATGGGAGAAAATACTTGCAAACCACTCAACTGACAAGTTAATAATCAGAATATAGAAAGAGCTCAAACAAGTCTATAGAAAAACATCTAATAATTCAATTAAAATATTGGCAAAAGATTTGAAGAGGCATTTCTCTAAAGAAAGCATACAAATGGGAAACAGGCATATAAAAGTTGAACCTCAGAGAAATGCAAATCAGAACTACAGTGAGATATTATCTCACCCCAGTTGAAATGTCTTATATCCAAAAGACAGACATTAACAAATGCTGACGAGGATGTGGAGAAAAGGGAACTTTTGTGCACTGTTGGTGGTAATGTAAGTTAGTACAACCACTATAAAAAAAACATTTTGAAGGTTTCTTAAAAAACTAAAAGTGAGCTACCATAGCTACCATGCAACCCAGCAATCCCAGTACTGGGTATATACCCAAAAGAAAGAAAATCAGCTTGTTGCTTCACTGTTTACAATAGCTATGATTTGAAAGCAAACTGTCTACCAACAGATGAATGGATTAAAAAAAATGTAGCACATATATACAATGGAGTAGTATTCAGCCATAAAAATGAGATTTTGTCTTTTGCAACAATGTGGATAAAAGTGGAGAGTATGTTAAGTGAAATAAGTCAGACACAGAAAGACAAACTTGGCATGTTCTCACTTACCTGTGGGATCTAAAAATCAAAACAATTGAACCCATGGACGTGGAGAGAAGAGGTTAGTTTTCTTAACCTCTTTGAGAGGTTAAGCAAGATAGTAGGGGCTGGCGGAAAGGTGGGGACTGTTAATGGGTACAATAAATAGAATAAATATAACCTACTATTTGGTAGCACAAGATGACTATAGTCAATAATAATTTAATTGTACATTTTATTTTATATTTTATATTTTATTTTATATATTTTATTTTATTGAGGTAGAGTCTTGCTCTTGTCACCCAGGCTGGAGTGCAATGGTGCAGTCTTGTCTCACTGCAACCTTTGCCTCCCAGGTTTAAGCAATTCTCCTGCCTCAGCCTCCTGAGTGGCTGGGATTGCAGCCACCTGCCACCATGCCCAGCTAATTTTTTGTATTTTTAGTAGAGATGGGTTTTCACCACATGCCCAGCCAATTGCACATTTTAAACTAAGAGAGAATAATTAGACTGTAAGACAAAAAATAAATGCTTAAGTGGGGGAGGGTGTATCCCATTCTCTATGATGGGAGTATTATGTATTTCATGCCTGTATCAAAACATCTCATTTATCCCCATAAATATATACACCTACTGTGTACCCACAAAAGTTAAATAAATTAAATTTAAAAAATTAAAAAATAAAATAGCATAGAATTAAGTAGGCCCAGAAATATGAGGATTTTAATGAAATGATAATACCTAAGTAATAATCAATCAAGAAGTAAAAACAAAGTCATACTTCACTCCCATTTTTGTTTCTAATCTATATGTTTTCTACTTTAAAGCTGTAGAATTTTCTTTTTTTCATTGCTAATTATATTTTAATGTGACTAGTCTGGGTCTATTTTTTCTAAAATTTTCAGTTTTTCTATATAATTTTTCTCTAACTTTTAGTTTCTTTGTTTATGCCCCTTATATTTTTGAGAAGTGTCTATTCAGATTTTTGCCCATTTTAAAACTGGATTATTTAATTATTTTCTATTGAGTTTTTTGTTTCTTTTGTATTCTGCTTATCAATCGCTTGTCGGATGTGTAGCTTGCACATATTTTCTCTCTTATCTCTTTTTTCTTTTTGAGACAGAGTCTCTCTCATCACCCAGCCTAGTGTGCAGTGGCACGATCTCAGCTCACTGCAACCTCTGCCTCCCAGATTCAAGCGATTCTCCTGCCTCAGCCTCCCAAGTAGCTGGGATTACAGGCGTGTGTCACTGCGCCCAGCTAATTTTTGTATTTTTAGTAGAAACAGGGTTTCTCCATGCTGGCCAGGCTGGTCTTAAACTCCTGACCTCAGGTGATTCACCTACCTCGGCCTCGCATAGTGCTGGGATTACAGGCATAAGCCACCATGCCCAGCCTTATTTTCTCTCATTTTAGGAATTGTCTCTTCATTTTATTGATTGTTTCCTTTGCTGTGCAGAAGTTTTTTGTATGATGTGATCTCATTTGTACATTTTACTCTCATTCCCTGTGCTTTTGAAACATTATTTAAAAATCTTTGCTCAGATCAATAACCCGCAGTGTTTTTCTAAGGTTTTTTTGTGGTAGTTTTATAGTTTCACGTATTCGATTTAAGTATTTAATCCATTTCTATTTGATTTTTGTATGGAGTGAGAGATAGGGGTCTAGTCTTATTCTTCTACCTATGGATATTCAGTTTTCCCAGCATCATTTACAGAAAAGACCATCATTTATCCAGTGTATGTTATTGGTGTCTTTGTCAAAAATGAGTTCACTACAAATGTATGAATTTTCTTCTGGATTCACTATTCTGTTCTATTGGTCTACATGTCTGTTTTAATGTCAGTACCATGCTGTTTTGGTTAGTATATCTTTACAGACTATTTTGAAGCCAAGTAGTGTGGTGGTTCCAGTTTTGTTTGGTTTTGCTTTTGCTTAAGATGCCTTTGAATATTCTTTTATGTGGTTTTATATAAATATTAGAATTTTGTTTCTACTTCTGTGAAGAATGTCATTGGTATTTTGATGGGATTGCATTAAATCTGTAAATTGATTTGGCAGTATGAACATTTTAACAACATTGATTATTTTATTTCATGCAATATAAAATACCTTTTCATTTTGTTTCATCTTCTTTAATTTCTTTAATTTATATTTTACAGATTCATTATAGAAATCTTTCCCTTATTTAGTTGTTTATTCCTACTTATTTGTAAGTATTGTAAAGAAAATTTTTTTTCAGAATGATTTCTATTGGGATATAGAAATGCTACTAATTTTTGTATGTTGGTTTTCTATCCTGCATTATTACTTAATTTCAAATCTCTCTTTAAAATACATTTTATAAGAAAGAAAGAAATAAAATTCATAGAAAAATTTTGTGACTAACACTGTCATTATTCCAAAACTTCAAAACCAAGCCAATATAAGATACATTTGGATGTAAAATTACATATAAGTATATATATATGTATATACAATATGTACATATATAATAACTGAGAAGATTTTATTTCAGAAATACAGGGCATTCCAAGAAGACAATCAGCTTATATAATTTAATAAAATAAAATAAAACAACAGCATTTATTGAGTAAATTATTGTATACCTTTGTAACATTTATAAATAACTTAAAGCTGGGCACAGTGGCTCATGACTATAATCCCAGCACTTTGGGAGGCCAAGGCAGGTGGATCACCTGAGGTCAGGAGTTAAAGGCCAGCCTGGCCAACATGGTGAAATCCCATCTCTACTACAAATACAAAATTAGCCGGGCATGGTGGTGCACACCTCTAACCCAAGCTACTTGAGAGGCTGAGGCAGTAGAAATGCTTGATCCTGGGAGGCAGAGGTTGCAGTGAGCCGAAATTGCTTCATTGCACTTGAGCCTGGGCAACAACAGTGAAACTCCATTGAGTATAAATGGATAATAATAATAATTAATGATAATCACATTATTATTATAACTTAGAAAAATACTCTACTAGTGAACATTTCAATTATTAATGATAACAATGCATCAGTATATAAGAATAAAATATAAATGACCAATGAGCACATAGATGCTTAGCATCTCTTTTCATTAGAAAAATGCAAATCAAAACCACAATTAAATGTCAGTTTACACGCACTAGGATAGGTATATTCAAGAAAAGAAATAAATGTGGATGAGAATGTGGAGAAATTAGAACCCTCATACCGTGCTGATGGCATGGTAAAATAATACAGCCATTTTGGAAAATATTTTGGCAGGTCCTCCACAGGTTAAGATAGAGTTACCATATAGCTCAGCAATTCTACTCCTGAGTATATACCAAACAGAAATAAAAGCATATGCCTACACAAAAACTTTGTATTATGTTTATAGGAGCATTGTTATAAATAGCCATAAAGTAGGTATGACCCAAATATCTATGGGTGAATAACCAAATAAAGAAAATATGGTATTATCTATACAATGGAATATTAGCCATAAAAATAAATACAGTCCTATGATATGTGTTACAACATGGATAAATAATAAAAACATATGCTAAATGAGAAAAAAAACAAAGAAAAAAGTTCACATATTTCTATAAAATGACTAGAATAGACAACTAAAGATAGAAAGTGGATTAGTCGTTACCAGGGAAATTGGGTGGGAGAATAAGAAATGACTGCTTGATGGATATGGAGTTCTTTTGTGAAAGGGTGATGAAACTATTTTGGAATTTGATAGTGGTGACAGTTGTGTAGCATTGTAAATAGACTGAAAAACACTGAATTTTACACTTTAAATCGGTTAATACATTGAACTCTATGTTATGTAAATTTTAGCTGACTGAAACAATTTAACAAACAAAGAAAAATAGACTATGAAACAAGAGAACAACTGAGGGAGCCCTACAGGCTCCAGGACAATGTGGGGGGCCTCAGAAGCCTTCTGTGCTTCCTGTTTGCCTCCACTATTCTGAGGTATCCAGTTAACTCCCCAGGCCTCCTCATCCCAGCCTGGAAAATGACTTTAGCTCCACTCAAAAAAACAAACAAACAAACCAAAGCTCTGACAGGGATGGTCTTGTCCTTGGGCCTCGGAGCAGTGGTCTGATGCTCTGCCACATTCTACAGTAGCCTGTGTGCTCAGTCCCACAAACCCCCAGGCCACTTTCTGCTCTGAAAGACCTTCAGAGGATACAGAGCAATTTCCAAGGTCAGCTCACTTCTTTAAGCCTTTGAAATTTAGGGGCCACCCAGGTCAATTATGTCAGTTTATAGAGAAAAAAAAATAAGGTTTTCACTACTGTATTCCTCTCCATACTGGGTATAGGGGGATTCTTCCTAATTTTAATTATGCACAGCAATGAATGCAGAAAACAAGTTTTTGTCCTCTGAAGGCTATCCTGGGGATGGCCACAGCCCAGGCAAATCCATGGGAACCTTGAGGTTCCCAAGCCATTGGCCTGTTATCTTTTCCCACCCCCGTGTTATGGGTCTTGGGCATGTTACCAGGAGATGGGGTGCCCCTACCTTATGGCAAAGCTGCCCCGATCCTCTCTTTCCTTTCTTCTTGTCACTCCATCAGTATTAACTCATCTTCTGATCTTTAACCTGAGAAGTCTGTGTGTGTTTTTTTGTGTGTGTGCGCACATGTGTGTTTATGCCCAAACCTGTACGCGTCTAATGGTGCAGACGTGAGATTGCATCATATGATGAGAAAATTGGCAGGAATCCCCAGGATTTCAGGGATTCATTCCCAAAGCAAACCCCGTGAGAGAGTTGAGCCCTGGCCTAGGATGTCAGAATGCTCTTTTATTCTCTGGACTCTGCCCACTTTATGTTCTCTCCATATCCCAGTTTCTTCTCTCCATATCCTGGAGAGAAGTCTCGGCTTCTCTCCAGATCCCAGTTTTCCAATTATCCAGTGAGGTGTTAGATGTCAAAGCGCTTAAGCCACAACTCAGCATGCACATGGTCCAAGCTGCCTGCCAACTAGGATGGATGTAGCAGGGCTGTGATCAGGGTGTGCCCAGATCTTCCTTACTCGAGCAGAAGTAGATGGGTTCTGCAGTGGGCAGCTGGACCTTCTGTCCAAGAAGGGTCGTGCACACAGGATCTTTAAAGGCCCACAGACAATGGGTGCATGTGAGCCCCACCTCCATCCCCCAACAGCTTCCCATGGAGCATACCAATTTTTCCCCTGTCCTCTGCATCTGGAAGGTGGTGACATCCTCACTGAACACATAGACTGATGGACCCTTCATGGTGGAGTAGTCCCACGAAGAGAATCTGGGATGCTATTAACTGTACAAGGGACTATGGATGTGGGCCATGTGAAAACACTAGAACTTCAGAATTAAATCTTCCTCACTGCAGCCTGTGGGGAAAAGAAAGAGAGATCAGACTGTTACTGTGTCTATGTAGAAAGAAGTAGACATAAGAGACTCCATTTTGTTCTGTACTAAGAGAAATTCTTCTGCCTTGAGATGCTGTTAATCTGTAACCCTAGCCCCAACCCTGTGCTTGCAGAGACATGTGCTGTGTTGACTCAAGGTTTAATGGATTTAGGGCTATGCAGGATGTGCTTTGTTAAAAAAGTGCTTGATGAGTTCATGTCCTTTGTATGGACATGGGTGAAACTGGAAACCATCATTCTCAGCAAACTATCACAAGGACGAAAAACCAAACACCGCATGTTCTCATTCATAGGTGGGAATTGAACAATGAGAACACATGGACACAGGAAGGGGAACATCACTCACCGGGGACTGTTGTGGGGTGGGGGGAGAGGTGAGGGATAGCATTAGGAGATACACCTAATGCTAAATGATGAGTTAATGGGCGCAGCACACCAACATGGCACATGTATACATATGTAACAAACCTGCACCTTGTGCACATGTACCCTAAAACTTAAAGTATAGTAATAAAAAAAAAGTGCTTGAAGCCAGTATGCTTGTTAAAAGTCATCACCATTCTCTAATCTTAAGTACCCAGGGACACAATACACTGCGGAAGGCCACAGGGACCTCTGCCTAGGAAAGCCAGGTATTGTCCAAGTTTTCTCCCCATGTGATAGCATGAGATATGGCCTCATGGGAAGGGAAAGACCTGACCATCCCCCAGCCTGACACCCGTAAAGTGTCTGTGCTGAGGAGGATTAGTAAAAGAGGAAGACCTCTTTGCAGTTGAGATAAGAGGAAGGCATCTGTCTCCTGCTTGTCCCTGGGCAATGGAATGTCTCGGTGTAAAACCTGATTGTATGTTCTATTTCCTGAGATAGGAGAAAACCAGCCTTAGGGCTGGAGGTGAGACATGCTAGCGGCAGTACTGCTCTTTAATGCATCAAGATGTTTGTGTACGTGCACATCAAAGCACAGCACCTTTCCTTAAACACAGAGATCTTTGTTCACATGTTTTCCTGCTGACCCTCTCCTCACTATTACCCTATTGTCCTGCCACATGCCCCTCTCTGAGATGGTAGAGATAATGAACAATAAATACTGTGGGAGCTCAGAGACCAGTGCTGGTGCAGGTCCTCCTTATGTTGAGCACCGGTCCCCTGGGCCCACTTTTCTTTCTCTATACTTTGTCTCTGTCTCTTATTTCTTTTCTCAGTCTCTCATTCCACCTGACAAGAAACACCTACAGGTGCGGAAGGGCAGGCCACCCCTTCACAGCCTTCCACCACTATACAGATAGGAGAATGTCTTAGGAAGGAGACATGTATTATCCAAGATTATACAAGGATTCCATGGCAAAGCTAGCACTTTGGTTAGGATTACATTTGCCCACATATAGAAGAAAACCCAATATAATAGTAGTGCAGACCAGAGAGAAAATGCTTTCTTTCTCATAAATAAGAATCCTAGAGCTGGGCAGTGCATGTTGACTCTGATCTGTGCATCAAGGCAGTCAAAAATAATCTATCTTTTTGCTAATTTTTTTCTTTTTTTAACTTTTATTTTAAGTTTAGGGGTACATGTGCAGGATGTGCAAGTTTGTTACATATGTAAATATGTGTCATGAAGGTTGATTGTACAGATTATTTTATCACCCAGTCATTAAGCCTACTCTCCACTAGTTATTTTTTCTGCTTCTCTCCCTCCTCTCACCCTCCAACTCCTGATAGGCCCCAGTGTGTGTTGTTCCCTTCTCTGTGTCTGGGTGTTCTCATCATCTAGCTCCCACTTATAAGTGAGAACATGTGGTATCTGGCTTTCTGTTCCTGTGTTAGTTTACTAAGGAAAATGGTCTCCAGCTCCATCCATCCATGTCCCTACAAAGGACATGATCCTGTTCCTTTTTGTGGCTGCATAGTACTCCATGGTGTATGTGTAATACATTTTCTTCATCCAGTCTATTATTGACGAACATGTGGGTTGATTCAATGTCTTTGCTATTGTGAATAGGGCAGCAATAAATGTGTGCATGCATATGTCTTCATAACAGAATGACATATTCCTTTGGGTATATACTCAGTACTAAGGTTGCTGAGTCAAAGGGTATTTTTTTCTTTAGGTCTTTGAAGAATCACCACACAGTCTTCCACAATGGTTGAACTCATTTACACTCCAATGAACAGGGTAAAAATGTTCCTTTTCTCCACAACTTTGCCAGCATCTGCTATTTTTTGACAGTTTAATAATAGCCATTTTATTGATATAAAATGGTATCTCATTGTTTTTTGGATTTGCATTTCTCTAATGATCAGTGATGTTGAACTTTTTTTCATATGCTTGTTGGCTGCATGTATGTCTTCTTTTAAGAAGTGTCTCTTCATGTCCTTTGCCCACGTTTCAATAAGGTTGTTTGATTTTTCTTGTAAATTTGAGTTCCATATAGATGCTAGAAATTGGATCTTTGTCAGATGCATGGTTTGCAAAATTTTTCTCCCATTCTATACGTTGTCTGTTTACACTGTTGATAGTTTATTTTGCTGTGCAGAACATCAGTTTATTTTGCTGTGCAGAACATCTTTAGTTTAATTAGATCCCATTTGTCAATGTTTCCTTTGCTCCAATTGCTTTCGGCATCTTCATCATAAAATATTTGCCCGTGCCTATGTCCTGAATGGTATTTCCTAGGTTGTCTTCCAAAGTTTTTATAATTTTGGGTTTTACATTTAACTTGTTAAACTATCTTGAGTTAATTTCTGTATACGGTGTTAGGAAGGAGTTCAGTTTATTTCTTTCTTTCTTTTTTAATTTTAGTTTAAGTTCCGGGATACAAGTGCAGAACATATAGGTTTGTTACATAGGTATACATGTGCCATGGTGGTTTGCTGCACCTATCAGCTCGTCATCCAGGCTTCAAGCCCCACATGCATTAGCTATTTGCCCTAATGCTCTCCCTCCCCTCACCCCCTACTGTCTGATTAGCCCCAGTGTGTGTTGTTTCCCTCCCAGTGTCCATGTGTTCTTATTGTTCAACTCACACTTATGAGTGAGAACATGCCATGTTTGGTTTTCTGTTCTTGTGTTAGTTTGCTGACAATGATGGAGGAAGGGGTTCAGTTTCAATTTTCTGCATATGGCTATCCAGTTAACCCAGCATCATTTACTGAATAGGGAGCCCTTTTTCCATTGGTTGTTTTTGTCAGGTTTGTCAAAGATCAGATAGTTGTAGGTGCGCAGTCTTATTTCTGGGTTCTCTATTCTGTTTCATTGGTCTACATGTCTGTTCTTGTACCAGCACCATACTGTTTTGGTTACTGTAGCCCCGTAGCATAGTTTGAAGTTGGGTAGCATGATGTCTCCAGCTTTGTTCTTTTTTGCTTAGGATTGTCTTGACTATTAAGGCTCTTTTTTGGTTTCATATAAATTTTAAAATAAATTTTTCTAGCTTTGTGAAAAATGTCAGTGGTAGTTTAATGGGAATAGTATTAAATCTGTAAGTTTCTTTGGGGAGCATGGCCATTTTAACAATATTAATTTTTCCTATCCATAAGCATGAAATGTTTTTCTATTTGTTTATGTCATCCCTGATTTCTTTGAGCAGTAGTTCATAGTTCTCCTTGTACAGACTTTTCACTTCCCTTGTTAGATGCATTCCTAGGTGTTTTGTTCTTTTTGTGGCAATAGTGAATGGGCGTTCATTCATGATTTTCCTCTTGGATTGACCATTGTTGGTGTATAAGAATTCTAGTGACTTTTCTTTGGAAGGCCGAGGCGTGCGGATCATGAAGTCAGGAGATTGAGACCATCCTGGCTAACACGGTGAAACCCTGTCTCTACTAAAATTACAAAAAATTAGCTGGGCGTGGTGGTGGGCACCTGTAGTCCCAGCTAGTTGGGAGGCTGAGGCAGGAGAATGGCGTGGACCTGGGAGGTGGAGCTTGCAGTGAGCCGAGATCATGCCACTGCACTCCAGCCTGGGCAACAGAGCGAGACTCCTTTTCAAAAAAAAAGAATGCTAGTGATTTTTGCATATTGATTTTGTATCTTGAGACTATGCTAAAGATGTTTATCAGCTTAAGAAGCTTTGGGGGTGAGACAATGGAGTTTTCTGGATATAAGATCATGTCATCTGCCATCAAGTGTAGTTTAACTTCCTCTGTTTTGATTTGAATGCCTTTTATTTGTTTCTCTTGCCAGTAAATTCCAATACTATCTTAAATAGGAGTGGTGAGAGAGGGCATCCTTGACTTGTGCTGGTTTTAAAGGGAAATGCTTTCAGCCTTTGCTCTTTCAGTATGATGTTGGTTGTGGGTTTGGCATATATGGCTTTTACTATTTTGAGGTATGTTTTCTCAATATCTCATTTATTGGGAGTTTTAAACATGAATGGATGTTGAATTTTATTGAAAGCTTTTTCTGCATCTATTGAGATAATCATGTCGTTTTTGTCTTTAGTTCTGTTTATGTGATGAATCACATATTGATTTGTGTAGGTTGAAACAACATTGCATCCCACGAATACAGCCTACTTGATTGTGGTGGATAAGATTTTTGATGTGCTGCTGGATTTGGATTACCAGTATTTTGTTGAGAATGTTTGCATCAGTGTTCATCAAGAATATTGGCCTGAAGTTTCTTCTTTTGTCTGCCATGTTTTGGTACCAGTATGATCTGGTCTCATAGAAAGAGTTAGGGAGAATACCTTCTGTTTCAATTTTTTGAAATAGTTTTAGTAGAAATTGTACCAGTTCTTCTTTGTATATCGGGGAGCATTCAGCTGTTAATTTTTCTGGTCCTGTGCTTTTAATGGTTGGTATGCTATTTATTGCTGCCTCAATTTCAGAGCAGTTATTTCTCTTTTGAGGGATTGAATTTCTTTCTGGTTTGTCTTGGGAGGATGTATGTGTTCAGAAATTTATCCATTTCTACTAAGATTTTTAGCTTATGTGCATAGAGTTGTTTACAATATTCTTTAATGGTTATTTTTATTTCTGTGGAGTCAGTGGTAATTTATTATTTCTGACTGTGTTTATTTGAATTTTTGATCTTTTTGAATTTGGCTACAGTAACCAAAACAGCATAGTACTGGTACCAAAACAGAGATATAGACCAATGGAACAGAACAGAGCCCTCAGAAATAATGCCACATATCTACAACTATCTGATCTTTCACAAACCTGACAAAAATAAGAAATGGGGAAAGGATTCCCTATTTAATAAATGGTGCTTGGAAAACTGGCTAGCCATATGTAGAAAGCTGAAACTGGATCCCTTCCTTACACCTTATACAAAAATTAATTCAAGATGGATTAAAGACTTAAATGTTAGACCTAAAATCATAAAAACCCTAGAAGAAAACCCAGGCAATACCATTCAGGACATAGGCATGGGCAAGGACTTCATGTCTAAAACACCAAAAGCAATGGCAACAAAAGCCAAAATTGACAAATATGATCTAATTAAACTAAAGAGCTTCTGCACAGCAAAAGAAACTACCATCAGAGTGAACAGGCAACCTACAGAATGGGAAAAAAATTTTGCAACCTCCTCATCTGACAAAGGGCTAATATCCAGAATCTACAATGAGCTCAAACAAATTTACAAGAAAAAAAAAAAAAAAACCCCATCAAAAAGTGGACGAAGGATATGAACAGACACTTCTCAAAAGAAGACATTTATGCAGCCAAAACACACATGAAAAAATGCTCATCATCCCTGGCCATCAGACAAATGCAAATCAAAACCACAATGAGATACCATCTCACACCAGTTAGAATGGCAATCATTAAAAAGTCAGGAAACAACAGGTGCTGGAGAGGATGTGGAGAAATAGGAACACTTTTACACTGTTGGTGGGACTGTAAACTAGTTCAACCATTGTGGAAGTCAGTGTGGCGATTCCTCAGGGATCTAGAACTAGAAATATCATTTGACCCAGCCATCCCATTACTGGGTATATACCCAAAGGATTATAAATCATGCTGCTATGAAGACACATGCACACATATGTTTATAGCGGCACTATTCACAATAGCAAAGACTTGGAACCAACCTAAATGTCCAACAATAGACTGGATTAAGAAAATGTGGCACATACACACATGGAATACTATGCAGCCATAAAAAATGATGAGTTCATGTCCTTTGTAGGGACATGGATGAAACTGGAAACCATCATTCTCAGCAAACTATCGCAAGGACAAAAAACCAAACACCGCATGTTCTCACTCATAGGTGGGAATTGAACAATGAGAACACATGGACATAGGAAGGGGAACATCACACACCGGGGCCTGTTATGGGATGGGTGGGTGGGGGGAGGGATAGCATTAGGAGATATACCTAACGCTAAATGACGAGTTAATGGGTGCAGCACACCAACATGGCACATGTATACATATGTAACAAACCTGCATGTTGTGCACGTGTACCCTAAAACTTAAAGTATAATAATAATAATTTTTTTTTAAAAAAAAAAGAATGTTAAATATTGGCCCTCAATCTTTTTTAGCTTGTAGAGTTTTCAGTGAGAGGTCTGCTCTTAGTCTGATGGGCTTCACTTTGTAGGTGACCTGGCCTTTCTCTCTTGCTGCCCTTAATATTTTTTTCATTTTAACTTTGGAGAATCTGATAATTATATGTTTTGAGCATGATCTTTTCATGGAGTATCCTACTGGAGTTCTCTGCATTTTCTGAATTTTAATGTTGACCTGTATAGCAAGGCTGGGGATATTCTCATGGACGATATCCTGAAATATTTTTTAAAAATTGGCTCCATTCTCCCCAGCTCTCTTAGGTATACCAATCAGTTATAAATTTGGTCTCTTTAGATAATCCCATATTGCTCACAGGTTTTGTTCATTCCTTTTGATTCTCTTTTTTCTATTCTTGTCTGCCTGTCTTATTTCAGAAAGACAGTCTTCAAGAGCTGAGATTCTCCCATGTTCTTGGTCTATTCTGATATTAATATTTGTGATTGCATTATGAAATTACTGTATTGTGTTTTTCAGCTCTATCAGGTTGCTTAGATTCTTCTCTATCCAGGCTAATTTGTTTGTCAGCTTTTGCAATGTTATATTGTAATTTTGAGTTTTCTTGCATTGAGTTAGAACATGCTCCTTTAGCTCAGTGAAGTTCATTTTTATCCACATTCTGGGGTCTACTTCTGTTATTTCAGCCATCTCAGCCTCAGCCCTATTCTGAACCCTTGTTGGAGAAGTAATGTTGTCATTTGGAGGAGTGAAGGCACTCTAGCTTTTTGAGTTTTTAGTATTCTTGTGCTGATCCTTTCTCACTTTTGTGTGCTTATCTACCTTTAATCTTTGAGGTTGCTGACCTTTGAATGGGATTTTTGTTTGTTTTCCTTTCAACTGTTTGGCCATGTTGTGTAGGGCTGTTGCAGTTCTTTGGGCATCTGCCCCAGTCTGTAGTCATCTAGGATTTTTCAGTATCTGGAGGTATCATTAGTGAAGGCTGTGAAACAACAAATCAGCCCACCCCTTTCTCTGGGAGGTCCATCTCAGGGGAGGTGCAGACCTGTTGCTGGCTTGAACACACCTGTAGGAGGTGACTGGAGACCCCTTTTGGGAGGTCTCACCTATCCAGGGGGAACAGGATTGGGGACCCACTTAAAGAAGCAGTCTAGCCCCACTTTCATAGAGCAGCCATGCTATGCTGGGGTACCACTTCTGCCCCTCATCAGGTTGTGCTCTCTAAAGCCTGGAGGCTGAAAAAGCTAAGTTGCTGAAACAGCAAAGTTGATGGCCCACCCCTATCTCTAGGAACTCTGTCCCAGAAAGTTTTCAAACTTCTGTTGGCCAGAGAACATCAGTGGAAGTGGCTGGAGGCCCTGGTTGGGAAGTCCCACTCAGAGATAAGGGGCATATCAGGATCCTACCTAAAGAAGCAGTCTGATCACATCATGGTAGAGCCACTGTGCTGTGCTGGGGGATTGCTTCTGCCCCCTGTATGGTTTGGGGTCTCCTAAGCCCACAGGCTGGAATGGCTGAGTTGTCCAAACAGCAAATGTGGTGGCCCACTTCTCCCACTGGACACTGCATCCAGGGAGAAAGCAAAATTCTGTCTGCTGGAGAATATGGAAGGGGCTGGCTGGAGGCCCGAGTAGGAGGCCCCACCCTGAGATGAGAAATGTGTCAGGGTCCCACTTAAACAAGCAGTCTGGCCACATTTTGGTAGAGCCACTGTGCTGTGCCAGGGCTTCCCTTCATCTGCCATCAGTTTTGCTTGGACTCTCCTAAACCCACAGGCTGGAAAGGCTGAGTCATCCAAACAGCAAGTATGGCAGTCTGCCTCTGTCTCCAGAACTTTGTCTCATCCCAGGTAGGTAAAACACTGTTACTGGGGGCTGGCTGGAATTCCAAGCCAGTGGGTCTTATCGGGTGAGGCATCATGGATGTGGGGCCCACAGACTGATGTTGTTCATCCCTGTGGTTTAGGCTTCCTTTCTGGGATTTTTATGGTGGTCCCACCTCCTGTTTTGTCCGAGTTGCAGTCACCTTTGCTGGAGATCCTGGAGCCGGAGTGTGTAAAGCTTCTGAGATTCTATTTGTCTGAGCAGTTTCTCTGGCAAGACCATGCAGCTCTGTGTGTCAGACCAAAGGCCCTGGTGAAATGGGTTCATGAGAAAATCTCCTGACCTGAGGGATAAAAAGATCCATGGGAGAAGTGTGGTTTCACAGGGTCACACATTCACTCACCACTTCCCTGGACAGGGTAGATTCCCTTCGCTCTGTGTCACTTCTAGGTGGGCAGTTGCCATGCCCTGCTCTTCTCCATTCTGCATGGGTTGAGTTGTTTCCTTCATTATTCCCAGTGCAAATACCTGGGTGTTTCAGCTGAAGGTGTTGTATTTACTCTCCTCCTTTGTTCCTTTCCATGAGAGCCACACACCATATTACTTCTAGTCAGCCATCCTGGCACCCTTTTCTGCTACAATATTTCAGTAGATGGTTTTTATCCTGTAGGCTGTCTCATGGGCCAAGATGGCTGTAGGACCGTCAGCCTACACCAGCAACCATGTGCATTTCAAAGATCAAGAAGGAGGAAAGATGCAAGGTCAAAGTGGCTCACACAGCTGTGTCAGCCTCATCTGAACAGTCTCCCCAAAGTCCCGTCAATACTTCTGGTTACACCCAATTGTCTTGAATGTTTTCTAGTCATTATTAGCTTCAATAGGGGTCAGGAACTATAACCATTGTGTATGGTAAGTTGCTGTTTGAATAAAACTGAATCTCTGTCTTTAAGAATGAAAGAAAAATAAAAACTATGGCAATAACCAGTGCTCTTTTTCTGCACTAAATTCAAAGATAACAAGGAGAAAATGGAGTTTGTCTCAGGTGAAGTGGCACTTATTTTCCAAGCAAAGCCTCTTTTGGTGTTTATTTATTTTCAGATCAGATGGGAAAAAGTCTTGGTTCTGACAAGCACTCTTTTTATGACCAAAGGTTAGTTAAGCTTAACTTAACTCTCTTCTTGACTTAGTCAACCTTGGCTTGTTGCCCTGCTCCTGGTCTGAGAAGCTTATTTTCAGAAATGCTGCTAAGATTGCTTAGTAAAAATCCACATATTTTTTACATCTACTAAAATCCTCATTCCCCTTCCCTGATATTTAAGTCCTTAGCCTGCCTGTAAACAGAATTCTGTTACAAAAAAAAATTCCTCCTCCTTTGGTATTTTATCAAATTTATTTCAGTAATTTTTTATCCACTGATTTATTTGCTTATTGATTATAAATCCTGAGTTGTCTGTGTTCAGAGTTATGATCGATTTCTGAACCGTATTACAATGGCCATAACATCTACTGCAATAGTGTTAAAGTCTTTCTTCCGAATTTTTAACAAATGTCATAATTTTTTTAATTTGACAGTTTCCCAACAGGATGTTTGAGTATAAAACCAGTTTTCAGTTCCTTCCCAAAAATGATGTCAACCACTGTGTAGTTGTATCTGCCTGACCCTTGCGTGTCTAAAAAAGTATGTTCTTATTTAAAGGGGTGAGGGTGGAAGATTATAGAGCTAACATTTTTCTAAAATGCTGAGTCATAATTGAAACCATACAAATAAAAGAGGTAGAATGCTTGGATTCCAACATTTTTAACCCTGAGGATACTTCAATGTCCATGATCCATATTACTGTGAAGATAATGCACAAAAAAGAAAACTGATGATTAAAATTGAACATGATACAACGTATCATTGACTAAAAACTAACATAAGAGAAAAATATTCTCAAAAACATTTGGGTATCCACAGTTTGACCCAGGAAAGTTGACTGGGTAGATATAATGGTCCATATAGAAAATTTATAGAAGCAGAATCTGTAAATTATGATGTGAAAAAGTCAGATAATTTTTATTTAAATATAGTGATCATGATAACAATAATTCAGTTGAATTAAAAATTAGAACAGATTAACTTGAATTTGTTATGTTCTATAAAATATAAATAATGGAGTTAAAATGTCATATATGAGTTTGCTCTGGAAAACACATTCTCAAATAAATAAAATCTGATTTTATTTGATTATTTGACTGATTTTATCTGTTTATTAAACCCATAATAAAATTATTTTGTGTGGTTCAAATTCTCTAACATAACATAGTATGGTCAAAATGAAAGGGTAAAAATTGCAAGACCGACTTAACATTTGTCATCTTAAATGTACTATAAGGATGCCTTTTAAATTAATTCAGTGATTAGGTTTTTAAGTGCATGGTTTAGGTTATACTGAAGTGTCAAATACCATCCCCGTAATTTGCAGTAGATTAACAGCATATTTTAGCACACATAACAGTGTTATTGAGTGACCAAGTTGAAAAAGCACCTCCTTTGCAAGTGGTAATTCAGGAACTCAGAGTTTTTTCATTATTTGCCTTCACCATCCATGAGTCTTGGTTGCCCTTTGTGCTCAGTCCCCTTAAAATAAAGTACTTTAAGAAATACATGTGGGAAGATTTAATGGACTCAACTTAATGTGGTTCACATCTGTCTCACTCCATCAGCATTATCAATAACTGGTCACATTTCCACATCTAAGGCAAAGGAGGTTAAGAAATGTAATTCATCTGTGCCTAACAAAAGGAAGAATAGATTTTTATGAACGACAAGAGTTTTCTGTTACAATATGTCACTCATATGGATTTACTGTGTTTCTCAAATATTTATTGAACATCTATTATAGCCAAGTACCGTGATAAGGGCTGAAGGGAGGACAGAGAGCTGAGACAGCAGAGTCCTAGTATGAGAGAAACTCACAGTCTAAGAAAATAAGAAAATACATGGTATGAAGTGCCTGCTGTCATAAGAAAGAAAAGAATAATGTGAAAAGGCTCTGAAAGTTTAGTTAATTATTCTACTTTGGGAAACTTCCTGAAGATGATAGCAAGTAAGATCCACTCTCAAAGATAAGTAAGATTTAGTTGATAGAGAAAGATGGATGCAGAAATGGTTGAGCAATGGCAGGGTGATAGGATGACAGAGGTGGCTACCATAACATGGGACAGAAAGCTTTATTAACTTGGCAGTAGGGTGGGGTAGGGTTGGAATTATCCCAAAGTCAATCCTTACTCAAAGTGAATCTTTTCACTCTGATCTCACTCATGTTGGAATAGTTCTACAAGCTCTTGTGAGACTGTATTGTACACTGTGGGAGTGAAGAACAGAGTGTGGGTGACTCCTACCTTCATAGAATTTAATATCCCATTTGTCTCAATATAGCCAGTGCCAAGAGTCATTTACATAGAAGTTTCAAATGCTTGAGAGAGACTGGCCTCTGAACTAAAAAGAGATCTCTGTCTGGACACAGGTGGAACTGTAAAATGTTCACTCTTTGTCCCCAGTTCGTTTTCATAGAATTCTTCATACCTGTTTCTATGAGGAATGAACTGGATGTGTTTGAAGACAAGCTGAAGAGCTACGTTACCTCTGTGAACAAAGTGGGGATGCTGGCTCCATTAACCCTGCAGGTGAAAAAGCTGATCAACCCCAGGTCATATTTTGTAAACATGTTTAAGGCTAAATTAAAATTTGAACATGCTCTAAGAATTTTTTTTCAATAGCCTGTTTATTTTTAATGCCTATTGGAAAAATTGAAATGAATATTTAATTTCAAATTTGGACAAAATAAAACACCAAACACTTTTTTCATTAAGATGCTAAAGAAAGTTTATTTATATCTTTTGAACTTTGTCTTAAATTCATTTGTATCTTAAAATGGAAGCTTTCTTTGAAAACTACATATTCTAGCTCACTGACATTGAATGGAAAGCTATTAACTATTCCCCAATGAGGAAGGATCTTCTAAAATGGGGCTAAAATACATGAAATAAATGGTTTCCAATAGCTCCTGCAGCTTTGCCAAGTCCATGTCAAAAAATTACATGTATGGGTTTATTTCCTGACTTTTAATTCTATTCCATTAATGTGTTTGTATTGATCTTGGATCCTACAACTTTGCAGAATTTGATTATTAGTGTTAACAGTTCTATTGTTATTAATTAGGATTTTAATTTTATGTATAAAATTATAACATCTATATATAGAAATAAGCTTTTTTCTTTTCCAATTGGAGTGTTTCTGTTTTTGTGTTGCCCAATTATTCTGGCCAGATTTCTATTACAATGTTGATCAGAAGTGAGGAATGCAGGTATCCTTGCCTTGTTCCCGATTTTAGGGGGAAAGCTTTTAATCTTTCATCACTGCATATAATGGTAGTTTTGAGTTTTTTATACGTGCCTTTTATTATGTTGAGGAAGTTTTAGTCTATATCTAGTTTACTAAGTGCTCTTATCATAAAAGAGTTTTGGATTATGCCAAATTTTTTCTCTATCAATTGACATAATCATGTTTTTTGTAAAATTCATTCTATTGAGTTGGTATATTGCACTGATTGATTGCAATTTTTAAAGAATTTGAGAAAAATTGTAGTTACAGCTTTTAATGTTTAAAACAATTTATCAGTGGAGCCATCTGGTTCCAGACTTTTCTTTGTTAGTATGTTAGTATGTTTTTGATAACTTATGCGGTCTTTTACTTATTACAAATGGTATTAGAGTTATTCAGAGAAATAGAAGCAATAGAATAAATATCTACATCTATACTATATCTTTGTGTGTGTGTTCATCTATGTATATGTGTTAATATATGAGACAGAGCCCTTTAGAGTTGTCTTGGTGGTGTCTGGGCAGGGGTCCTTCATCAGCCATCTCTGGGCTGGTTTGGAGAACCCTCTGTTCTTCCACTCACCTCATTTCAATGCTGGCCCTTTTTGGCAGCAGCAAGCTTCTGGCCTTCAAGAGAGTAAACATGGTTACCCCACTAACACCTTTTTGCCAGTCTCCTGTGTGGAGCTCTGCAAAGACAGTAACTGGTAGACAGACCTGGAAGCCTCAGAGCTATTCCTGGCCATCACTGCTGCTCCTCATACCCCACTCAACCTTCTGCTCCCCAGATTAGGCATAGACTTACGTCTACACAGAACTTCAGCCTTGGAAAGCACCAGACGACAGCTCCAGGGCTCAGAACAATCTTTGCACCAGCACTTGCCTCCCTACTTTGCCAGCCATGACCAGGTGTGTAAACATGATGAGCCACCAGGATTCTAACCTCCCAACAATCTCTTCCTGTTCAGGATGAGCCAGCCCCACATGACATTCCCCTACACACCATATTTGACATTAAATATTTATCCTTTTGTATTTGGCTTATTTTACATAGTATAACATCTTCAATGTTCATCCATGTAGCATTCTTTTTTTGAGATGGAGTCTCTCTTTGTCACCCAGGCTGGAGCGCACAGCAATGCAATCCTGACTCGCTGCTGCCTCAACTTCCCCGGGCTCAGGTGATTCTCCTACCTCAGATGATCCTCCCTGTGGATGGGACTAGAGGGACACACCATCAAGTCCAGTAAATTTTTGTATTTTTTGTAGAGCTGGGATTTGCTATGTTGCACAAGCTGGTCTCAAACTCCTAGACTCAAGAGATTCTCTCATCTTTGCCTCCCAAAGTTTGGGGATTATAAGCATAAGCCACCACACTCATGAGCAGTGCACTCATTTTAAGGTTAAATAATATTCCATTGTACGTATATACCATATTTTCTGTATCTGTTTATTTCTTAGAAGATATCTGGGTTTGTTTTTACATTTAGTACTATAAATGATGCTTCTATAAAAATTGGTGTGAAAGTATCAGTGCATAAGTGAATAAAATTTTAAAACCTGAACACATCTCTGCATGCAGTTCTTAGATTGAATAACAGAGGCCAGACACGGTGGCTCACACCTGTAATCCCAGAATTTTGGGAGGCTGAGGTGGGCAGATCGCTTGAGCTCAGGAGTTTGAGACCAGCCTGGGCAACATGGAGGAATTCCGTCTCTACTATAAGTACAAAAATTTGCTGGGCATGGTGGTACATGCTGATAGTCCCAGCTATTCGGGAGACGGAGGCACAAGAATTGCTTAAGCCCTGGAGGCAGAGGTTGCAGCTTAAGTCCCTACTTTTAATTATTTTGGAGATACACCTGTAATGGAGTTGCTGGAACATACGGTAATTCTATGTAGAACTTTCTGATAAACTGCCAAACTATTTTTCACAGTCAATAAACCATTTTATATTCTCACCAGCAATACACCAGGGTTTCACTTCCTCCACATCCTAGCTAATACTTGTTCTTTTTCATTTCTGTTGTTTTGTTTTTTATATAGTCACCCTAATATGCGTAAAGTGATATGTCATTGTGGTTTTGCATACTAAGAAGGCAACCTACTTTATCATGATGGATTATCTTTTTGACGTGCTGCTGGATTCAGTTTGCAAGTATTTTGGTGAGAGGTTTTGCATTAATTTTCATCAAGGACATTGGCCTAAAGTTTTCTATTTTCATTGTGTCTCTGCCAGGGTTTGGTGTCAAGATGATGCTGGCCTCATGGAATGAGTTGGGGAGGAGACTCTCCTCAATTTTTGGGGATAGTTTCTGTAGGAATTGTACCAGCTCTTCTTTATACATTTGGTAGAATTTGGCTGCAAATCCATAAGGTCCGGGGCTTTTTTTGATTGGCAAGCTACTTATTACTGATGCAATTTCAGAGCGTGGTATTGGTCTGTTCATGGAATCAATGTCTTCCTGGCTCTGTCTTGGGAGGGCATGTGTGTCCAGGAATTTATCTATCTCTTCTAAGTTTCCTAGTTTGTGTGTATAGAGGTGTTCACAGTAGTAGTACTGACCCTACAGAAATAAAAACAACCATCAGAAACCAATAAAGTTTTAACATCAATTATTTTCATGTCTTGAATCCATTTTTATTTAATTTTTGTACATGGAATGTGATAAAGATTCAATTTTACTTTTTTGTTGTTTTGAGACAGAGTTTCGCATCACCCAAGCTGGAGTGCAATGGTGTGATCTCAGCTCGCTGCAACTTCCACCTCCCAGGTTCAAGCAATTCTCCTGCTTCAGCCTCCCAAGTAGCTGGGATTACAGGCACCTGCCACAACACCTGGCTAATTTTTGTATTTTTAGTAGAGATGGGGTTTCACCATGTTGGCCAGGCTGATCTTGAACTCCTGACCTCAGGTGATCCACCTGCCTTGGCCTCCCAAAGTGCTGGGATTACAAGCGTGAGCCACCACACCCGGCCAACTTTACTGTTTTAAATGTGGGCTTGTTTTCCGAGAATCACTTGTTGAACAGAGTGTCTTTCTTTACAAAATGGTTTAGGCACCCTTGTCAAAAGGCAACCAATAATTTATGCAAGGTTTTTTCTTCTGAGTTATCTATTCTATTTCTTTGGTCTCTATCCTTGTTCTTATACCAATATCAAACTGTTTTAATTACAGTAGCTTTGTGTGTTCTGAAATTTAAAATTGTGAGCCTTTCACTTTGGTCTTTTCAAGATTATTTTGGCCATTCAGAGTACCCTCAAATTCCATATAAATTTTAGAATGGGCTATTCCATTTACGCAGAAAAAAGTTGGAAAAAATAAAAAGTTGGGATTACATTTGTACACTACTTTGGGTAATATTGTCATCTTAACATTATTAAGTCTTCCAGTCCATGAACATGGAATTCCTTGACACTTATTTAAGTCTATTTCCGAAATATTCCCATCCTGTAGTCTTCATTGCACAGGTTTTTACTTCCTTTTTAAATTTATCGCTAAGTATTATATTATTTTAATGTTGTTGCAAACAATTGTTTTCTTAATTTCCTTTCAAATAGTTCCTTGTTGGTATATGGAAATGCAGTTTATATTTCCGTGTAGTAAAAATAATTATTTTGTCTTTCAAATCTAGATTAGCGATTCACTCAGAATAAATATGCTGTATACATTGGTAGTCATTTAACTTTTTCCAATAAGCTAACCAATTTCAGCATGTTCTAAATATGTAAAAATGTTAAATTGTGTTTTATTTTCATTTACTCTCAGCTGTCATTCACTCACCCAGAATTACATTACTTCACACAAAGAACTTCCATTACTGTAAAGTCCCTGGTAATTGTATTTCTTCCTGTATCTTTCAATCTTTAGCAATTCCACAACACAAAACAACCAAAGTTAGTCTTTATGTCAAAAATCTTCAATGGATATTTTTCATCAGAGGATTCCTTAGTGCAACATTTAATGGAACAGATGCATGCTGCTGAAATATAATTCTCCAAAAGTCTCTTAGAGTTTGTTGTTTTGTTATTTATTACATCATATATCTGTCCTGTTCCAGATTATTTTTCAAAGATTTTTGTACACAAATAGCCTGGAAAAAGAGTAGTAGTTTTTCTCTTCAGGTGAATGACAGATAAATTACTCAACCAATATGATAAAGACAATGTTTGTCTGTGAGGCAAAGATTGGACAGGTTTGCATGTGAACTACTTTAAAAAGATTAGGGTTTCTTTATCTTGAGATTACTCGGCTGTGACACAAATCTTTCCCATGTGCAATGTCCATCTGAGCCTTTTGAAATCCCTTTTAAAAATCGAGTATAGACAGGGAGAACTAATACAAATATGAAGCTTTTGCCTTCAGTTATGCAGAAAATAAGTAAATATTTTTGTCATACTTAAGTGTCTCATGCCTTTTACCAGCATCCATGAAACTAGAAGGTTTATAGGTTGGTTTACAAATTAGGTAGAATCTACGATTCTTCACAATTATTTAGTTTTGGTGATGAAAATATGATGCTGAGATAAACACAACTTTCTAAAAGGGGGAGAGAAACAAATACTTGAAGAGTTTTCAAGGGAATATGAGAAGTCTCCCCAGGTCCAACAGCAAATTCTCTGAGCCAAGTGGTTAGTGAGGTGAAACAAGAGCTCTACACTCTGCTGTCTGCTAAAGAGGCTGATGTGTGGGAGGATTAAAACTAGGAGCCTGAGTGCTTTGCATGTTCATGTTTCTCCTGCTAGAAGGATCAAGCAGTCTTTAAAGCTGATGTTGAGGCTTGGTTGAGTCCAAAACACTAGAAGTTTATGCGGTTGAGCTATGAGCAGTCTAAAGGCTGCTAAAAGCTAAATTAAATGGGTCTTGTTAGTGCCTTTTTTTTTTTGAGACGGAGTTTCATGCTTTTCACCCAGGCTGGAGAGCAATGGTGCAATCTCAGCTCACTGCAACTTCTGCCTGCCAGGTTCAAGTGATTCTTCTGCCTCAGCCTCCTTAGAGCTGGGATTACAGGCACCTGCCACCACACCCAGCTAATTTTTGTATTTTTAGTAGAGTCTGGGTTTCACCATGTTGTCCAGGCTGGTCTCGAACTCCTGACCTTGGGTGATCCACCCGCCTTGGCCTCCCAAAGTGCTGGGATTACAGGCCTGAACCACCACGCCCAGCCGTTAGTCCCTTCTTTACCCAGATGAAGGTTCTCACTCCCTCTGCACTCCTAAATTTTTTCCTTCATCTATAGCCAACTTAAGCAACTTTAAATATTAAACTACATAGGATTGGAGATTTGGAGGGGGAAACTCAAGCTTTTGTAGTTCCGTTAGATACAGGTATCCAATTTACCATTCTGTGTAGTCTCCTAGGGTGCACAGGGAGATATAGGTACAAGGGTGGGTGGAAGTGCTGACAAGTGTAGGGTCAAGAATGATTACAAAGTGGTAGAAAGTAAAAAGTTCTTAATCCTGGGTACTCTTAAAATGTAAGGCATCACAGACCTTAGTATAGCAAACCAAGAGAGAAAAAAATCTACCAACCACCCAATCCCTCTGCATGCTAATCACTTCTGGCCCCTTGCGCCCTCATGCTCCTGCCCAGGGGATAGTGCTATCCTACTTTAGCCCTTGCCTCAAACAAATATTAAACACTACGGTCTGTGCTTACATAGAAAAAGCTGAGCAGAGGGAAAAATAAGTTGGATTAATTCCACACATGCTTCATGACTCTCATAAATTACAAACTGTAGGGTGGACATATTAACAATCAGAGTTCTGTAAACATAGATTTTATTTTATTTTATTTTATTTTATTTTATTTTATTTATCTTATTTTATTTTATTTTATTTTATTTTATTTTATTTTATTTTATTTTATTTTATGTTTGAGAGAGGGTCTCACTTTCACCCAGGTTGAAGTGCAGTGGTGTAATCTCAGCTCAATGCAAACTTCATCTCCTGGGCTCAAGTGATCCTCCCAAATAGCTGTAACTATGGATGTGCACCATCACACGCGGGTAATTTTTTTACTTTTTGTAGAGATGTGGTTTTGCCATGTAGCCCAAGCTAGTCTCGAACTCCTGAGCTCAACTGAGCCATTCACCTCAGCCTCCAAAAGTGCTAGGATTACAGGAGTGAGCCATCACACCTGGCAGAGTTCTGTAAGTATAGATTTTAATGAGCATTATGTGGCAATAGATGTTCTTAGATTTATAGACGTAAATATTTAATTGATATTAAGTACAACCCCAAGGCTCTTTTTTTAAAGTTCTCTGATTACTACTGTGAGTTAGGCAAGTCAAGTCAGATCCTTCTGCTTTGACTGATGATAAAAATAGGCAGAGAGTGTGAGTCACCAGGCAGTGGGGAGCAGAGAAAAAAGTTTGGACTGTACTTCATTGATCTATTTCTTCTCTGATTGGCACTTTTCTGTCTCTCCACAAAGTTCAACAACTTGTGATTTTTCATAGTTTGTGTCTGAAGTGTCCAGAAATGTTAATAGGTTCCAGCTGAGCTTTGCCTTTGGAATAATTTACTATCTGTTGTCTACAGAAGAAAATATATGCAGCTATTTAAGGACATATTATGTGCCAAGCACTGTGTTAAGCAGTAGCTTACAGGTGCGAGTTGACTTAATCTTTAGGGACACTCAAGGATCAATGGACTCATTATTCCAATTTTACATAGAAGGATAAAATGTTGTCTCATTGTGAGTGGCTGCTTAGAAAGAATAAATGAATAACCAAAGCTACATGGCTGGTAAGTGGTAAACTGGAATCTCAAAAACCAATCATTTAATCCTATCCTTTTGGCAAGCTGAGCAGCCCCTTGCCAGTGGTCTAAAACAATGCCAGGAAAAGAGGGGGTGACAATTGTGCATTTGATAAACAGGTAAAAGCCTGGTGTTGATATTCAGAAAAAAAACTATTCAATTATTGTAACACTTGACATCCATTTTTAACTTAATGCAGCGCATAAAAGTGTTTACAAAAGTTGCACATGCTTTTGAGATCAACATTTGGGAGGGATTTACATAGAATATACATTTACCTTAAAAAACATGCTTAGCCACTGGTAACTCTATGTCTATCAAATTAGGTGTTTCAACTAAGAATGAGATTGCTAATTATGTTTTTAATATATTTTAAATAAGTTCAGTCATTACTATTCAGTGATCACTAATAACAGGTTGGATACATCTTAGACCAGATAGCACATGTGTGAGTGTGAGTGTGTGTGCAATGCATATTTTGCCTACGTTTCTGTATATAATATATATTTATCTATATATTATACATAATATATATAATATATAGCATATGTAAAGATAATACACAGATATATATTACATGACGAAAACATGTATTCTCTTTGTATTAGTGTTTAATTTACTAGTGTCCAGAAGAAGGAAAGAATACATTTCACAAGTAAAATCAAAGCACTACTTTTTTTTTTTTTTTTTTTTTTTTGAGACAGAGTCTCGCTTTGTCGCCCAGGCTGGAGTGCAGTGGCCCGATCTCGGCTCACTGCAACCTTCCCCTCCCAGGTTCAAGCAATTCTCCTGCCTCAGCCTCCCGAGTAGCTGTGACTACAGGTGCCTGCCACCACGCCCAGCTAATTTTTTTGTATTTTTAGTAGAGTAATTAAGTAAAATTAACAAGAACATAATTTTTTTTGTATATTTTTGTATATTTCGCTATTGTTTTTCCCATCAGGTTTTAATCTTTATTTACAAACTCTTACCAGCTGGTCCTGGTGGCTCATGCCTGTAATCCCAAAACTTTGGGACCCCAAGGCAGGTGGATCACCTGAGGTCAGGAGTTCGAGACCAGCCTGGACAACATGGTGAAACCCTGTCTCTACTAAAAATGCAAAAAATTAGTCAGGTATTGTGTCAGGTGCCTGTAATCCCAGTGACTCTGGAGGCTGAGGCAGGAGAATCACTTGAACACGGAAGGTGGAAGTTTCAGTGAGCTGAGATTGCACCATTCCACTCCAGCCTGGGCAACAAAGAGTGAAACTCCATCTCAAAAAAAAAAAAAAAAAAGAAAGAAAAAGAAAAAGAAAAAAATAAAATAAAAACTCTTGTCTTTTTAAAGATCTATTCTAGACTCTCCACCCAAACTCAATTACCAAAACTCTAGGTTTCTGAGGTGTTTGATTTTCGTTCCTGACTCCTGAATAGCACCTCTGAACCTACCTAGGGCCTGGAGAGCCTTGCCAAACTGAAGGGGGAAATACAGGCCTGGCTGCCTTTTTCACCTGCTGATTGTAGAGCCACAGCGTCTTGAGTGAACATAGGGAGTAACCAGGAAGCTGTAACAGCAGGCCTTGGGTAAGACCAAGCACTCTGCTGGATTCAGGTCTGACCTAATGCAGTCATAGTTGTGATGGCCACAGAGATGCACTTTCATGTGTCTCAGAACACACACACACACACACACACACACACACACACAGAGAAACTCCATTTGTTTGGGAGAAAGTAAGGGAAGAAAAGAAGAGTCTCTGCCTGGTAATTCAGAAAATTCTCCTGGATCTTGTTCAAGACAATCTTGTTCAAAGCCATCAAGGTAGTACCTCTGTGAGTCTGCAAGAACCACATTGTTACCGGGCTTGAGGAGTCCCCTAAAGTAGAAAAATCTTAGATCACAACACCCAAGTCCTTTCAAATATCTCTGAAGCCTTCCCAAGAACAATGACTACAAACAATCCCAGGGAGTGTTGACTATAACAAATATCAAAATCTTCAATGGTGAGACACCCACAAAGATCTACTGGCATCAACAAATGATTTAAAATAATACTTAACCAAATGAACTAAAAAAGGAACCAGGGACGAATCCTGCAGAAACAGAAATATGTGATTTTCCTGATAGAAAATTCAAAATGGCTGTGTCAAGGAAACAAAGAAATTCAAGATAACAAAGAGAAGGAATTCAGAATTCTCTCAGATATATTTAACATGCAGAAAAAAATAATTTTAAAAAGAGTCAAGGAGAAATTTTGGAGATACAAATGCAATGCAATAACTGAAGAATGCATCAGAGTCTTTTAATAGTAGAATTGATCAAGCAGAAAAAAGAATTAGTGAGCCTCAAGACAGGCTATTTGAAAATACAGAGTCAGAGGAGACAAAAGAAAAAAGAATAAACAACTCACAGTGTAGATCTCAGTCCAAGGCTGAGGACATGAGAACCTGGAATTTCACTTGTGTAGGTCCTGGAGTCAAAAGGCCTGGAGTCCTGGAGTTCTGATATATAAGGATAGGAAAAGAAGAGTGTGCCCGAATAGGGAGGGAGGGAGAGAGAGAAAGAGAAAGAGAGAGAGAGAGAGCAATTCTTCTATATTGTCTTTTCAATTTTTTTTTAATTTTATTTTTGAGATGGAGTTTCACTCTTGTTGCCCAGGCTGGAGTACAGTGGTGTGATCTCGGCTCACTGCAACCTCCTCTCCCCGGGTTCAAGTTATTCTCCTGCTTCGACCTTCCAATTAGCAAGTATTACAGGTGCCTGCCACCATGCCCGGTAAATTTTTTGTATTTTTAATAGAGATGGGGTTACAACACGTTGGCCAGGCTGGTCTCGAACTCCTGACCTCAGGTGATCCACCCACCTCGGCCTCCCAAAGTGCTGGTATTACAGGTATTAGCCACCACACCCAGCCTTTCTTCCTTTTTTGTCTTGGCTCTTTACTAATTGTATGATTTCTGCCCACATTAAGAATGAGTCTTTCCCACTTAGTCCACTGAAACTCACATGCTAATATCTTCTGTAAACACCTTCAGAGACACAAAAAATAATACTTTAACTGTCCTCCAGGTGTTTTTCTTTTCAGACAGGGTCTTGATCTGTCACCCAGGCTGGAGTGCAGTGGTGTAATCATTGCTTACTACAGCCTTGACTCCCTGTGCTCAAGCAATTCTCCCACTTCAGCCTCCTGAGTACCTGAGATAACAGGTACTGGCCATGATGCTCAGCTCATCCTTTTTCTTTTATGTTTTGTAGAGACAGAATCTTATCTTGCTGTTCTTGAGCTCCTAGGCTCAAGCAACTGCTCCTCAGGCTCCCAAATGCTGAGGTTACAGGCATGAACCACCATGTATGCCTGGCAGTCTCCAGGTATTCCTTAATTTACTTAAGTTGACAACTAAAATTAATTATTATAAGTCCACCACTCATCACCTTGACACTTATACATATGCCCTTATATCATACCTAATTTCCAAATGACGACAAAAACAAGGTAATAGTTTTAACAAATATAAAGCATCTATTCCAAGAACAACGAAAAGTGCAACAGTATCTTTTCCAGAAGATGAGGTAAAGCTCTTGGACCATGTTAAATTTTTCCTGATTAAAGACTATGATATAAAATTAACAATATTTAAATACTGACATAAACATAATAAACATTGTATTACATAACAAAGAATAATAAAAGAGCAAAAACAACAACATTTGCTTAATATATGTCTATAGAAACATGAACATAGTCTTAACTATATAGGAAGACCATCCACATGGCAGTTATAGTCCTCATTTCTATCACTGGTCATTTGGTTGTAGCTTGTATTTGTAACAGCTTTCTTCTGTCCACTCCATATTACATTTAACAAGCACCTAAGCTGGTTATGGTTCTTTACTCAGAGTTGTGACCCAAATTTTATTCCTAATGTTTCTTGGCTGTTTTTAGTTTTTCCTGGATTGGGTTCTTGTAATTTCCCATTGACCTTAATTACAGTTCATTCTAATACTATGTATTTCAGACATACTTTTCATTATTCCATTGTGGATTAGTATTCTAACTTTTCCCTTGGTATTCCAGATTTATCACCCCAGGTAACACTATAACTCCCTTCTAAGTCTGTTGACTGAGAGGCATGAGAAACACAAAGTGGCACAGTGGCATTCTTAACTTTCAGTTCAATTTAATAACTTTTAAAATCTTTTGTTGGAAGCAGTACTTCCTCTGGAACTGAGACCTCTAGGCCACCTCTAGGCCCAGTCATGGGAGCAGAGCCAAAAATATTTCTAGAAGGTCATGAGGGGAAATAATGAGTGATATAACTCCCATTTTCACCTCTTCATTTTTGGACTCATAAATCCTGACTATGGGAAAATGGTACCATAGGTTGGACGCTGATGCAGAGCATATATCACCTTCTGAAGAACCTGGCTTCATTGTTAAGAAGTATTGTCACCTACTTGGTGCCATAACCAACATTTCAAAAGGTCATTTATCATTCCACTAAGCCAGTTGCTTCAGGATAATGGAAAGCATGGTAAGTCTACTGAATTCTATAAAGATGAGCACATTACTACACTTTGGCTGTGAAGTGAGTTTCTTGGTCTGAGCAATGCTGAGTGGAATACCATGAGAATGCATAAGGGATTCCGTGAGTCCATAGATGGTAGTTTTGGCAGAAGAATTCCCTGAAGGTAAAACAAATTTATATCCATGGCAAGAGCCTACTCCAATGAGTATAAACTGTTGCCCCTTATATTATGAAAGTTATTCAATGTAATAAACCTACTACCAGCTACCTGGCGAATCACCCTAGAAATGGTGTCATATCAAGGACTCAGTGTTGTTATGTGCTGCTGTCAGATTTAACACTCAGAACTGGCTGTAGCCAGACTGGCCTTTGGGATTCAAAGTTGATGCTGCTTATCCCATGCATTGCTTCTATTTCTGCTACTATGTTCACTTTGTTCATAAGCCCACTGGGTGATGAAGAGGGTGGCAGGGAAATAAGAATAACTGATACCCACAGAACAAGTCATTCTGTCCATGTCATTATCAAAATCCTGCTCTGATGTGGTCATCCCTTGGTGGGCATTCACATGGAACATACATATCTTTATGTAACTTACCCAGTGAGAGGGGTTTATCCACAAAATTCTTTCCAATTTTTTTTGTCATGAATTGTGTAATCATGTTCCCTACATGTCGCTGACCATCTAGCCAATTCATGGGCCACAGCAGTGTTGCAGGATTGGGGATCATAAGATCTCAAACTCCTGGTCTCAAGCAAACCCTGCCTCAGCCTCTTAAGTAGCTGAGACTATAGGCGCACACCACAACGCCCAGCTAATTTTGTTGTATTTTTGGTAGAGATGGAATTTTGCTGTGTTTTCCATGATGGTCTCAAACTCCTTGCCTCAAGCAACTCTCCCAGCTTGGCCTGCAAAGTGCTGGAATTACAGGCATAAACCATCACACTCAGCACCTATAATTTGATATTTTAAACAATACTATCTAGTGAAACCTATAACAAAGTCATGTAGGGAAAGAAAGCTCACTAACACAGTGTAAAATTGTATGGATATGATGCATGCACATGTGTGCATACATGCTTGTGTGTGTGCGTGGGTGTGTGTTTTCCGAGAAATGGTACTTTATTGCTACAAGGCTAGGATAGCATTCATGTTCATCTGGTGATGTCAAATATTGAAATTCCAGGATTCACATAACAAGATTCCTAACTCATTCACAACACGGTGAACACTGTGAAACACAATTGAGAAATGGGCACTTTGGAAGAAACAACTGGCCTAGGGACAAGAGACAGTGTGCAAGCCATCTGCTCCATGAAATGCTTTGTTCAGAGCATGCATTTCATGCACTTCATTCCATGGTGACAGATATTGCTACTCTGAGGTCGTGAGACATTGAACCTAGGATTTGCTGTGAAACTCTATAGACTGAACATCTGTCTGCAGTATCTCCTGCCTCTACCCATAACCTGTGCCACACACCAGTGGCGCACTCTTCTCTCTGGATAAATGAAAGTTCTGGATGATCCGATGTGCAGAGAATTAGGCTGTTTTTCCCAGGGGCTCTAGTTGAATTTTTTTGGGACTGTCTGGGAGGATGCCCTCCACGTTGTCCAAGGGGAATCACGAGAAAACCGGTGACCCCATGTGCCTCCATTCCCTCCCCCTTCCTCCCCTACCCCTCCATCAGGGATCGCATTTATTCCAGAATGATACTTGCTTTCATTGTCATTGGGAGTCACCTAGCAGCGACCGTTATTGAAAATTTAAGCAGCATAGAACAGAAAAAGCTCTAGTCACCTGTGCACAGCTTACTGCAATGGTGAACTTCTGGGCTTAAGCAGTCCTCTTGTCTCAGCTTCCTGAGTAGCTGAGACTATAGGCCTGTGCCACAATGATCAGCAATTTTTTCAAGTAGTGATAAACTCTCTCTCTTCCAGGTTGCTCTGGAACTCCTGGCCTCTAGCCATCTTCCCACCTTGGTCTCCAGAAGTGCTAGAATTACAGGCATGAGACACTATGCCCAGTCCTATAATTTGATATTTTCAACAATACTATCTAATGAAACTCATTACAAACACATTTGGCAAAAGGAAGCTCACTATCATGATATAAACTTGTAGACATATGGTGCGCTCCCACGAGCGTATGTGCCTGCATGTGTGTCTGTTTTCTGAGAAATGGTACTCTTTTCCCCAGGGGCTGTGGTTGAAGAGTTGTGGGGACTGTCTGGGAGGGTGCCCTGGGCTCAGAAATGTAATCCAAGAGAGATCAGAAGACCGGCGACCCCATATGCCTCCATCCCCTTCCCCTTCCACGCCCACCCCTCAACAAGGGATCCCACTCATTCCAGGCTGACCCTTCATTTGGTTGTCATCTGGTGTCACCTAGAGGTCACTGTTATTGAAAACATAGGCATCCCATCAAAACTCCTGGCTGCCTGCACACAGCCAGGGAAAACTGTGGTTTCCCTTGGGCCCCACGCTGACCTCGGTGGCACTCCCGCCCTCCCTCCACCCACTGCCTTGTTGCCTAAGGAACCTCCACCCTGGCTAGGCCCCATTGTTCTTTTATCATTTGTGTTTCTTTTTCCTTTTTTTTTTTTTTTTAACAAGCATAGACTCTTCTTCCTTGGTTTTAAAAATGGTGTGAAAGGAAAATAAATCTTGGGGCTTCCAAATCACTAGCTAAAGGGAAAAGTCAAGCTGGGAACTGCTTTGGGCCAACCTGCCTCTCATTCTGTACAAAGTCACCCCTCTGGGCGCATTGGCTCAAACCTGTAATCCTAGCACTTTGGGAGGCTGAGGGGGTGTGGAGCACCTGAGGTCTGGAGTTCAAGATCAGCCTGGCTAACATGGTGAAACTCCATTTCTACTAAAAATACAAAAATTAGCCAGGCATGGTGGTGCATTCCTGTAATTCCAGCTACCCAGGAAGCTGAGGCAGGAGAATTTCTGGAACCCAGGAGGTGGAGGCTGCAGTGTGCAGAGATCGCATCACTGCACTCCAGCCTGGGCGACAGAGCAAGACTCCATCTCAAAAAAAAAAAAGTCTCCCCTCTGCTCACAGAGATACATGCATATCTGATTACCTCTTTTGTAAAGGCTAACAGAAACTCAAAAGAATGCAACCATTTGTCTCCTATTTCCTATGACCTCAATGCCCCCTCCCCACTTTGAGTCTTCCCACCTATGCTTCAAGTTTTCCCGCCTTTGGGTCGAGTTTTCCCACCATTCCAGATTGAACCAATGTTCATCTTGCATATGTTGATTGATGTCTCATGTCTCCCTAGAATGTATAAAACCAAACTGTGCTGTGACCACCTTAGCCACATGTCGTTAGAGTACCTTGAGGCTGTGTCACGGGTGTGCATCCTCAACCTTGGCCAAATAAACATTTTTTTTTTTCTGAGATAGTTTCACTCTTGTTGCCCAGACTAGAGTACAATGGTGCCATCTTGGCTCACTGCAACCTCCCCCTCCCAGGTTCAAGCGATTCTGCTGCCTCAGCCTCCTGAGTAGCTGGGATAACAGGCACCCACCACTACGCCCAGCTATATTTTTGTATTTTTAGTAGAGATGGGATTTCACCATGCCTATATTTTTGTATTTTTAGTAGAGATGGGATTTCACCATGCTGGCCAGGCTGGTCTTGAACTCCTGACCTCAGGCAATCCGCCCACCTTGGTGTCACAAAGTGCTGGGACGACAGGTGTGAGTCACCGCGCCTAGCTTAAATTGCGATTTTTAAAAATAAATGAGTTTCCAGGAAAAAAAAATGAAAAAAACCCACAGTGAAACATATGCCTCTCGACTTTTGAGGCAGCAACGACACTATAAAATTATATGTCGTTCCTTAACTCAGCTCATTTCTTGACTGGGGACCATAGGCATTTGGGCCACTTCCTCATGGAACTTACTTGTGCTTCAGGGTCTGTTCAGACCTGATCAGGTCCACACAGCTTCTGTGTTATGCTGAAGTGCTGTTGTGCACACCCATTTACAGCCAGTTTGTGATGAGCAGCTCGGTTCACATGGTAACTTCATGGCCCCACGGTTGGGCATTTTGTTTCTACTAGCAGCCAGAGAGGTTAGCTGAGACAGAATCTTCTCTTTTGCCGATGGCAGCATGGGAATGAAGGATGTGATAGGCATATTTGGAATTTGTATAAATGTTGACTTGTTTACCTTTGGGAAGGGTTAGGGCTCTGGTGAGAGCTATAAGTTCTGCTTTTTGGGAGGAGGTTCCTGGAGGTAAGGGCCTGGCTTTAATTACTTGGTCAAGAGAAACAACTGCATATCCAGCAATTTTGGGGGAGCCAGTGGGCCTGGAAGAGGAGCCATCTATGAACAGCTGGTCACTGGGGTTGGTGAGAGTCTTGGAGGAAATGTTTGGGAAGTGTGGCTGCAGGTGGTCTTGGATGTCAGTGCAAGAATAAGTAGGAAGGGAAGAGGATACAAGAAGTAAGGATGCTGGGTTGAGGGGAGCACTTTTGGCAAGGCAGAATTTGGGATTTTTGATAAAGAGGCCATGGAGTAATTGAATCTGGGAAGGAGGAAGAGAGCTTAATGCTTGGGAGGAGAGGAGATCTTGTAGACTATGAGGACTGTAGACCGTGGTATTTTGGCTGATGTTAGTTTCTTGCTTTCTAGAGCTAAAACTGTGGCTGCTGCCAGTGCTCTAAGACAGGTTGGCCACCCTTTGACTGAGTTGCTGAGTTGTTTAGAGAGGTAGGCTACAGGAGCAAAGGAAGAGGGATTTTGTTTTTGTTGTCCTGAGACACCAAGGGCTATTCCTTGGTTTTTGGCAGTATAGAGAGTGAAAGGTTGGGATATACTAGGTAAGGACAGAGCTGGTGCAGTGATAAGATTGGTTTAGAGTTTGTGGAAGTTGGGGAGTATGTTATGTGAGGAGTTTAGGTGTTTGTTGAGGGGTCTTTGGCTGCTTTACAAAGGGGGCAAGCTAGGAGGGCAAAGTTGGGAATCCATATTTTTAGAAAGCCTGTTATCCCTAGGAAAGAAAGGATTTTGCTTTTTTAGGAAGGTAGAGATAGGCTGACTATTAAGGCTGCTGATGCCAGGGTCATGGCTTGGGACCTGGGGGAGAGTTGAAGTCCTAAGCAGGTCACCATAGGGGTGGAAAGCAGTGCTTTGGAGGGGGAGACCCTATGGCCTTTATTAGTAAGGAAATTGAGAAGGGTGGCAGCATGAGTTTGGGAGATTTTTAAGGAGGGGCTACAGAGGAGGAGGTCATCTACATATTGAAGAAGGCAGCTGGAGGAAAGATTTAAGGAGGTGAAGTCTTGGGCTAGGGCTTGCCCAAAGAAATGAGGGCTATCCCTGAAGACTTGAGGGAGGACAGTCCATGTGAGTTGTTGTGACTGGAGAGTGTTGGGGTCAGTCTGGGTGAAAGCAAAGAGGTTTTGGGAATCAGGGTGTAGGGGAATGGTGAAGAAGGCATCTTTCAGGTCAATTGTTGTATAGTGGGTGGTGTTGGAGGGGACAAGAGAGAAAAGTGTATAGAAGTTAGGGACTACAGGATGAATAGGGAGGACAGCCTGATTGATAGCTCGGTGGTCCTGGATGAGTGGTATGAGCCATCAGATGTTTTAATAGGGAGGATGGGGGTGTTATACGGAGAGTGTGTTGGTCTAAGAAGACTGCATGAGCAGAGCTTGTTTATGATGGGTTGTAAGCCCTTTTGGTATGTTAGGGAAATGGGGAATTGGGGAACATTGGGAAATTTAGAGGGTTGTTTTAACTGGATTTTGATGGGGTCCTAGTGAGCAGCTATGGAAGGGGTGGTGGTGTCCACACTACTGGATTAATGAGGGAGGCGGCTAGCGGGTGCTGGGGAGGAGGGATCAGAGGCTGGACTAGCAGAGAGGAGCAGGAGAGACTCTGGTTGAGGGGGACAGAAAAAGTTGATAGAAGCCTTGAATTTGGCTAAAATGTCTCGGCCTAGGATGGGGGTGGGGCAATGAGGCATGATAAGGAAGGAGTGTGAAAAAACAGTATTAAATAGGGAACAAGTAAGGGATTCAGTAGTGCATGGACATGAGAAGAGTACATCAACCCCCACAACAGAGACCTGGGAAGGGTAAATGGGTCCTAAAAATACAAGTAAAGCCGATTAGGTGGCTCCACTGTTGATTAAAAAAGAGATCGGTTTACCTGCTATTAGCAGAGTTACCCTGGGCTCCAATGCAGTGACGGCAGATGGGGCCGGGGGCCCTGGGCTCTGTCAGTCTCCAGCAGCCAGGCCAAGGAGGTGTGGGAGTGTGAGTGACTCTTCACTCTTTGATTTGCCAGGGCTTTGAGGAACCGGCCTGTTAGTCTACTTGTTAAGAGGACAATCAGACTTCCATTGACTGGTTTGTTGGCAGGCTGGGCAAGGAGTTTTTGGTATTCGTGGGTTAGGGCATGTTCAGGCCTAATGGCCTTCTTTGCCACACTTAAAACAGGGCCCAGGAGGGTCACTGCTATTGGGTCTTTTGAGCCTCTGGGCAGCCTGGGTAGATAGCTGCTGCTAGGAGCTGGTATTTAGCCTGATCTTGTTGGGCTTTATTTAATTTATTTTGCCCATCTCTGTTGTTGAAAACCTTGAAGGCCAGGATAAGAAGGTCTTGTAGAGGGTTTTGATGGCCATCTTCTACCTTTTTGAGCTTGCGCTGTATGTCAGGAGCAGACTGAGAGATGAAATGGGTATTAAGAACAATAGTTCCTTCCTGGGAGGTGGGGTCAACACTGGTGTATTTTTGGAGGGCCTCTGTAAAGCGGGAAAGAAATTTGGCAAGATTTTCATTGGCCCTTTGGGAGATTTTTTTTTTTGAGTTTTTTAAAGTTTACGGCCTTGTGGGCAGCTTCGTTAAGGCCTGCAATAAGGAAGTGATCATGTGGTTATGAGATGCCAGCCGGGCTCTGTGGGTTGGTACTCCCAGGAGGATTTTTCCCGGGGAAATGCAGCAGCCTTTATGGGCTTAGGAGGGTCTTGCCAATGAAGATCGTCAGCATGTGCCTGAGCTGCAAGCTGCACTCTTTTCTTTGTTTTTCTGGGAGGAAAGTAGAAGAAAGGATAATATAGAGATCATGCCAAGTGGGTTTATAAGATTGAGTGAGGTATTTGAACTTTTTGATGTAAGTGTCAGGATTGGAGGAAAAGGACCTGAGACCGTTCTTAATTTGGGAAAGGTTGGAGAGGGAGAAGGGAATGTGGATGTGAACGAATCCTTTAGCCTCAGCCACCTCTCGGAGGGGAAGTAAGGGGGCCGACTGTTGGGCATGCTGAGTCCGAGAGCAGGTATGAAGTGGAGATGGGGAGCAATCAGAATCAGAAGTTGGGTGGTTAGGAGAGAGGAGGGGAAAGAGGTAAGGCAGGAGCGGGAGCATATGGTGGAGGATTGTGATGATTTGGGGGAGGATTATGGTGTTGTCAGAGAGAAGGAAAGTTGGCAGGGTCAAAGAAGGAGGAATTGTCACTAGGAGTGGTGGAGGGGGGTGTTTGAGGATGGGTCGGGTTTGGAGCAGGCGAGGAGGATTTGGAAAGTAGAGCAGGACTGACAGAGGGAGGGACGGCTACAGAGGGCAAAAAAAAGCCTGAACATAAGGGATCTCTGACCACTTTCCATTGCGATGGCAGAAGTTGTCTAGGTCCCTGAGAATGTTGAAATTGAAAGTGCCATTTTCAGGCCATTGGGAGCCATTGTCTAGTTTATATTTTGGCCAGGGAGTGTTACAATAAAAGATGAGGTTTTTTTGGCCAAATTTTGGAATGGAGGATAAGGGCATTAATGTTACAGAGGAGATACCCAAGGGGCGGGGGGGGGATGTCTTTGAGGGAGTGGATTGGGAGGCTCCCTTAGTGAAATGAGAAAGGGAGGGGTAGAGACAGGAGACTTGGCTAGAATGGTGGGAGAAGGCATCCCTTGTCCCACGGTTCAAGTCGGAGAAGTGCGATAATCCTCCGTTCAGGCATCCCCGAAAGGGAGATACCAAGGGCCTAGAGGCCGGGAGGAGGAAACCCTTGGCCCAGTGCTAGGTCTTTCAGGAAGGAAAGAGTAGACAAGGGTTCCAGACCGAAGGCAAAAGTCTCCTTTACTCACCCCTGAGGTGGTCCTGGTGTCGGATGTGTTCACCAAGCGATGGAAAGGCTGTATGAGATCCTTGGGTCTCTAGCAGGTTCTGGAAGGGGTAGTTCGGCCGGGGGAAGAATGGAGGGAAGGAGAAAGGGAGAAAGGGAGGCCAAACTCTACCACCTTCCTGAGTTTCAGCACCAGAAATGTAAGGTCAGCTGAGAGAAAGGATGAGGAGACCCAAAGTCAGACAAGCAAGCTTTATTGAGCTGCTTGGCTGCTCCATCACAGTTAGAGGAGGCAGCCCCACTTACAGACTATAGCAGGGTTTTACAGGGCCAGAACCAGGTCAGGGTCGGGGAGCTGAGTCGGGGCAGGAGAACTGGGTCCCAGTAGAGGAGCTGAGTTGGGGATGCAGGTGTCTCAACTGCATCCTGGAGATGTTTTTTGCCAGCTTTGTTATGCGAGGTTAAGAGATATGTTAACCGCATCCTATAACTGTCTGGACAAACAGATACTGGAGGGCTCAGTGAAGGCAGGGGTTTGTCTTTTGCCCTGGGGTAGCTGTGTGGAGAGCACAAGGGAGTGTATTGTGAGGCCTGTGGGAGGGGAAGGGTCTGGTCGGGGTGACCCTAACAGGGAGTTTTTTCAGACCCCCAATTAAACTTATTTAATCTTAAATGGTCCTGTTAAGAATTCCCTCATCATCTTGTCATGCTCCAAGGCAGGCCCAGGAAAGTCCTAGTGAAAACTCTTGGTGGACTTTTGCGACATTCCACCCTTTGCAAGAGTGCACTGGTTCTCTCAGCTTTTAATATTTAACTTAGCCACTTGGTCAGTACTGAAACGGTTGTTGCAGAGGCCCGCCTTAGTTAGTGAGACCTGGCCTGCCACACACACAATGGGGCAATCTCGGCTTGCTGCAACTTCTGCATCCTGGGCTCAAGTGATTCTCCTGACTGGGCCCCTCCAGTAGCTGGAACTACAGGTGCCCGCCACTGCCCCCAGCTGGAGCTACACTAACTAATGTATAGGAATAGATTGAAATAGAGATTTCTCCACAACAGTGCTGGATGAACACCTCAAGGGGATCACACAACCTCTTCCGGGACGTGGTGACCATTGTTTCTGTCCGTGTTCAACTGAGTTCAAATTTGATATTTAAGTTTTCCTCCACATTCGGCCTCAATTTGATACTCAATTGTAGGAAAATACCCTTACAGATACATGGGGAAGGCACAGTTGATATAGATTACAGATACAGGGTAAGCACAGGAGAATTAAAATCACAATTAATAAAAACCACACCCACTATGGCCAATGCCAATGCCAGTTGGATAGCCAGTCCTTGATGGGGTCCTACTGGTTAGATTCCAACTGTTTTACCTGTTTTTGCATGTCTTGGGCAAGAAGAGTAATACTGTGAGAATTGTCAGGGATATACACACAACATTCAGTATGCAGTAAGGAGCAAAACTCTCCTTGGGCTGCAGTAAGCATATCTAATGTCATTCGATTTTGCAACACAACAGTATGCAGCTCAGCAAATTCATCGATAACAACATAAATCCAGTGCTACTCTCAAGAGCTTTTTCTACATGGAAACTTAATATTTTAATTTGTTGCTGAAGCAGGATTGTACCAGCGGCAGGGGAGAATACTGTGATAGGGTACCACCACCAGGGAGTCTGGCGCATTCACAACCAGCAATGTTTGTAAGCATCTCAATTACTGGGGAGGGGAATATCATCCCAGATGGTGAATGGAATTAATGGCCACCCCCAATGCATCTTCCTGCCCAGTGTGGGGGCAGGTATCACCATCTGTAGGATCTGCATACCCAGAGGGCCCTCCAGGGAACAGCAATGGTTTTACTATAATTATAGTGTATTAAGGTGTTATTAAAGTAGGAAAGAGATTGTGTTTCATTAGGAGCAGTGTCACTGATTTGGAGTATGTGTTGACAATTGTCTGGAAGGAGAAATGCCAGAGTGCCATTGGAGGAGCCATTCAAGGCCTCCAAACAAAGCGGAGGCTATATGGAGTCCAGCCACCAACATGGCAGGCTCTAGGTATATGCCATTCCAGGTATATTGGGCAGAATACCAAGGCTTCTGACATAAGGCAAGGGTGGAGTTAATCTTTTGTCCAACTTGAGCAAAGACAGAATGCTTGGTTTGGCCAAAAAAAGTCTGGGTTCGATTGCAAGTGTTGTTGTTGTGGCCTCATTGGTGCCGACATAGCATTCAGAAACATCGGCAGGGATGATTCTCCAAGGTAGTCCATTTCCTGTGGCCTCTGGCAATTAGACACATAGCCAGCATTGACTGCGGTTGGCTTCTGTTGCAGTGGTGGCTACCCAGTTGATGAACTCATTCTTGGCTCAGACATGATAACCCAGGTACTGATTACTAGCAAACAGGTTATCCTCTTTAATAAGAAAAATGGAGGGGCACATTATATTGTTTTTCCTCTTTAGGAAATTGTACTATGCCTTCATTTTCTGCTCCCATAGCTACAAGGTTACCAGACATAGGGACGGGATCTGATGGACACTGTACCCATATTTTGGCTCCAGGATTTAAGCTACTTGTACCAGTGGATCCGAATCCCCCAGTTCCATAAGTAGCCTCTTTTGGGGCAGAGATTTCCTCAGGGGTTAATTGTTGACAAGGTGTCACTAACAATTGAGAAACCCGCATCTGCAGTTTTATAGCAAAAGAATCTGGAGTGGTATTGTATAAAATGACCTTCAACTCTCCCCAGTAATCACTGTCAGTTATGCCCCCATGTACCGTAAGACCCCACATTGCAAGACCTGATCAGGATGTAACCCATCTGCAGTGTTTGCGAGGTATTATAACTCCTAGGCCTGAGGCCACCATGTATGTACTTTGGGCAGGAATTATCCCAGACTTGAAACTATGTAAGTCCAAGCCAGTAGCTTCTATTGTACTCTTTCATGGGAGTATAGCCTCCGGGTGGATTTTCTAGAATTTTAGCGAGAGAGGTTGGACTACACTGGCACACTTAGCAATTTGTAGGTGTGGGGTAAGCATTTGGCTCACTGGGGTTTCAGATGTTGTTAATCGCCAATTGTTTAAATTTTGTAATGTGTCAAACAGGTGATCCTTCCATTTTTCTAACTTACCTTGCCCTAACACTTTCAACTGTTTGTTCAATAACTCATTCATTCTTTCAGTTAAACCAGCTGCTTGCAGGTGGTAAGGAATATGGGAAAATCCATTCAATGCCATCTTGGGCTGCAAAGGTTTGTACAGCTTCACCTTTGAAATGGGAGCCATTGTCTGTTTGAATTTGTATGGGCACACCATCATATAGAATTAGGATATTTCATGTTTTAATAGTGTTAATTTGGTTAGCATTAGCATAAGCACAGGCTACTAGGAGCCCTAAGTAGGTGTCTACAGCAGTACATATATATTGGCACCCTTTAGAAAGTGGCAAGGGACAAATATAGTCCATTTGACAAATTTGTCCTGGCATTTTTCCCCGGTGAATGTGCCCCATAGCCCTTTGAGGAATTGGCTTGGTTTTTAACTGTTGGCATGTAGTGCATTGGGATAAAATTGTCTGAACTGCATCCTGGGGTAACATCCTTCTTTACACTCCCCAAGCCATGGTTCCCTGTACGCCTAGGTGTCCGCACTGGTGATGCACCCATTGTGTGATTGCAGCCCAATCTACTTCTTCCAGGTCTGAGTCGGCAGTAATAGTAGAAATTTTAGCTTGTTGGTCTGCCTGCTGATTAGTCTGTCAAGAGAAAGCAAAAAGGCATGAACATCAACATGGAAAACAGTGATAATGGTAGTGTGCACCAGAATCCAGATATCTACCCAGTATTGTTTTCCCCTGGGGTTTAGGGGGTGGAGTGGGGCTAGAAAGTCAGTCCCCTACCTTTGCTAGCTCAGCAACGACATCTGCCGCCCCCCGGACCCCTTGCTTACCCTAACAGATCCCCCATCTCCACCGCCTTGGAGGTTGACCTCTTACTTTGCTTTCTGTTTTTCTTCCTTTCTTGGGCTTGAGCAGGGGGTGCAGGGGCGAGGGTGTGTGTGGGGAAGGGGTGTGGGGTGAGGAGGGAGGGGAGTGTCCTAAGAATCAATTTAGTGTCATGCCTCTTTCATCACCACCACCACTGAAGATGAAACCAACAATAAACTAAATAACTGCATTCTCATCTATAGCCTTCCACCTGCTTGGGCGGTCCGAACTGGAGTTGTGATTTTTTTCCCCCTTCGCTCCTGAGGCCTCCCTCTGTAGGAAAGTTTCACCCTGGCTGGGTCTCAACCAGTGGACTTCGTGGTTTGGGTGAATGAGGGCAGCACCCCTGCTTGGTGTCCAGCCACTCTGGTTCCCGCCTCCTCCTCCTACACCATGGAGGGCTCATCCTCGGGCTGGGATGGGGTTCTGGGAGCATGTTGGGGACAGCTGAGGCAGTCCTTTACCAGGGGTGGCCGCGTGGGCCCAGGGGCGGGGTGGGGGGGGCTTTCTGAGTTCCAGATCTCCTCTGCACTGCGGCAGGGTGTGGGCACACTGGGACTTGGGCCACTCTTGTGCACCCTTCCTCCACTTTCTGTTGCCCAGGTCTACCAGGGTGGGGGAAGGGAGCGATGGGGAGGTCCCGTATGACTTCTGGTCCCAAGTGTCCCACTACCCTCCACCCTCAGCATCCGGCCTGCTGGCCGCTCCTCTGTCAGGTCTCCGGGTCAACTAGATGTCGGCCACGAACGCCAGACTTAGCCTCCGGCTCGCCATGTTTGAGGTCGACCAGCAGGCCCTCTCACCGGAGTGAGCTGTAAGGAGGGATGCTCAGTGAACCAATCAAGACGTGGGCCACGGAGGTCAGCAGGGCTCTGGGCAATTCATGGTCCTGACCTGGCAAGCACCACTCTGGGACCTGAGCGTTGCAAACCCATCTACACCCGTCCAACCTGTGTTGGCCGGCGCTCCTCGCTCGCTCAGGCCTCCGGGTTGACAAGAGTTCAGCCGTGAGCGCCTGGTTTAGCCGCCAGCTTACAGTGTCGGAGGTCAAACAGCAAGCCCTCCCCCGGAGTAAGCAGTGAGAAGGGAAGCCCGGCGGACCGAGTGCAACACGGGCTGCAGCGGGGAGCTGGGTTCGGGACGGGTCAGAGTCCTGACCATGCTGGTATGGCTCCAGGCCCTGAGCATCCCACACCCAGCCACCATCGATGGACTGGCCATTCCTCAGTCACTGAGGCCTCCGGGTCAACCAGATGCCAGCCACGCCTGACTTAGCCGCTGGCTTGCTGTGTCCGAGGTCGACCAGCAGGTCTTCTCATCAGAGCACTGGGGAGGGAAGCCCACTGGACCAAGTGAGATGCCCTTTGAGGGGTGAGCCAGGCTCAGGATGGGTCAGGGTCTTGAAAGTCCTGGCCCCGAGTGTCCCACACCCGGCCACCTTCACCCACCAGCTGCTCCTCACTCCCTCGGGCCTCTGGGTCATCACGATGTTGACTGCCAGCACCGTACATGGCCACTGGCTCACCTTGTCTGAGGTCGACCAGCAGGCCCTTTCACAGGAGCTGCAGTGGGGAGGGAAGCTTGCTCTGGACCCTGTGTGGAACAGCTGTCAGCCGCGGGTGCCATACTTAGCCACTGGCCCGTGTCTGAGGTCATTTTAAGGGCGAGACTCCTGGTCTAACTCAGGTATTGTAAGGGGAGAGACACCTGGCCAACCTCAGGCATTCTAATGGGAAAGATGCCTGGACCACCACAGCCATTATAAGGGGAGGGTTTCCTAGATGAACTCAGGCATTCTGAAGTGAGAGTCTCCTGGCTGACCTCAGGCATTGAGTGGTGAGATACCTGGACTACCTCAGAAATTCTAAGGGGAGAGTCTCCTGGTTGACGTCAGGCATTCTAACAGTAGAGACTACTGGCTGACCTCAGGCATTCTGTGGGGAGCGACTCCTGGCCAACCTCAAGCATTCTAAGAGGATAGTCTTCTGGCCGACCTCAAGCATTCCAATGGGAGAGACACCAGGCCAGCCTCAGGTATTCTAAAAGGAGTGATTCTGGGTCAACCTCAGGCATTCTGAGAAGAGGGTCTACTGGCCAATCTCAGGCATTCTATGTGGAGAGAAACATGGCTGACCTTAGGAATTATAAGGGGAGAGAAATCTGGCCAACATTAAGAATTCTAGTGGAAGAAACGCCTGACCAATCTTAGGCATTTTAATTGGAGAGACATCTGTACGAACTTATTCATTCTAAAAAGAGAGACCCCTGGCTGACCACATTCTTTCTCATGAAACACCTGGCCGACCTCAGACATTCTATGGGGAGAGTCTCATGGCCGACCACATGCATTCTAATAAAGTAGACACGTGGACCACTTCAAGAATTCCACTGGGGACACACTGTTCCAAGATGGATGAATAGGAAGAGCTCCGGTCTGCAGCTCCCAGCATGATTGACACAGAAGACAAGTGATCTCTGCATTTCCAACTGAGGTACCTGGTTCATCTCATTGGTACTGGTTGGACAGTGGGTACAGCCCACGGAGGGCAAGTCAAAGCAGCTTGGGGCATCGCCTCACCCATGAAATGCAAGGGCCTGGGGGATTTCCCTTTCCTAGCCAAGGGAAGCCATGACAGACTATACCGGGAAAATCAGGACACTGCCACCTAAATACTGTACTTTTCCAACAGTCTTAGCAAATGACACACCAGGAGATTACATCCTGTGCCTGGCGCAGGAGGTCCCACACCCAAGGAGCCTTGCTCACTGCTAGTGCAGCAGTCCCAGATCGAACTGCAAGGCAGCAAGCCTGGCTGGGGGAGGGGCTTCCGACATTGCTGAGGCTTGAGTAGGTAAACAAAGCAGCCGAGAAGCTCGAACTGGGTGGAGCCCACCACAGGTCAGTGAGGCCTGCCTGCCTCTGTAGACTCCATCTCTGGGGGCAGGGCATAGCTGAACAAAAGGCAGCAGAAACATCTGCAGACTTAAACATCACTGTCTGACAGCTCCGAAGAGAGCAGTGGTTCCCCAGCATGGCGTCTGAGCTCTGAGAACTGACAGACTGCCTCCTCAAGTGGGTCCCTGACCCCCATGTAGCCTAACTTGGAGACACCACCCAGTAGGGGCCAAGTGATACCTCATACAGCTGGGTGCCCCTCTGGAATGAAGCTTCCAGAGCAAGGATCAGGTAGCAATATTTGCTGTTCTGCAGCCTCCACTGGTGATACCCAGGCAAACAGGTTCTGGAGTGGACCTCCAGCAAACTCCAACAAACCTGCAGCTGAGGGACATGACTGCTAGAAGGAAAACTAACAAAGAGAAAGGAACAGCATCAACATCAACAAAAACGACATCTACACCAAAACCCCATCTGTTGGTCACCATCATCAAAGACCAAAGGTAGATAAAACCACAAAGATGGGGAGAAACCAGAACAGACAAGCTGAAAATTCTAAAAACCAGAGTACCCCTTCTCCTCCAAAGGATTGCAGCTCCTCGCCAGCAATGGAACAAAGCTGGACAGAGAATAACTTTGACGAGTTGACAGAAGTAGGCTTCAGAATGTCAGTAATAACAAACTTCTCTGAGCTAAAGGAGGATGTTTGAACCTATTGCAAGGAAGCTACAAACCTAGAAAAAAGATTAGATGAATGGCTAACTAGATTAAACAGTGTACAGAAGACCTTAGATGACCTGATGGCACTGAAAACCATGGCACAAGAACTATGTGATGCATGCACAAGCTTCAGTAGCCGATTTGAACAAGTGGAAGAAACGGTATCAGTGATTGAAGATCAAACTAATGAAATGAAGTGAGAAGTTTAGAGAAAAAAAGAGTAAAAAGAAATGAACAAAGCCTCCAAGAAATATGGATTATGTGAAAAGACCAAATCTATGTTTGATTGGTGTACCTGAAAGTGACAGGGAGAAGGAACCAAGCTGGAAAACATTCTTCAGGATATCATCCAGGAGAACTTCCCCAACCTAGCAAGACAGGCCAACATTCAAATTCAGGAAACACAGAAAATGCCACAAAGATACTCCTTGAGAAGAGTAACTCCAAGACACATAATTGCCAGATTCACCAAAGTTGAAATGAAGGAAAAAATGTTAAGGGCAGCCAGAGAGAAATGTCGAGTTACCCACAAAGGGAAGCCCATCAGACTAACAGCTGATCTCTCAGCAGAAACTGTACAAGCCAGAAGAGAGTGGGGGCCAATATTCAACATTCTTAAAGAAAATAATTTTTAACCCAGAATTTCATATCCAGCCAAACTAAGCTTCATAAGTGAAGGAGAAATAAAATCCTTTACAGACAAACAAATACTGAGAGATTTTTTCACCACCAGGCCTGCCTTACAAGAGCTCCTGAAGGAAGCACTAAACATGGAAAGAATCAACTGGTACCAGCCACTGCAAAAACATGCCAAATTGTAAATACCATCTATGCTAGGAAGAAACTGCATCAACTAATGGACAAAATAGCCAGCTAACATCATAATGACAGGATCAAATTCACATGTAACAATATTAACCTGAAATGTAAATGGACTAAATGCCTCAATTAAAAGACACAGACAGGCAAATTGGATAAACAGTCAAGACCCACCAGTGTTCTGTATTCAGAAGACCCATCTCACAGGCAGAGACACACATAGGCTCAAAATAAACACATGGAGGAATATCTACCAAGGAAATGGAAAGCAAAAAAAAAGCAAGTGTTGCAATCCTAGTCTCTGATAAAACAGACTTTAAACCAACAAAGATCAAAAGAGACAAGGCCATTACATAATGGTAAAGGGATCAATTCAACAAGAAGAGCTAACTATATATGCACCCAATACGGGATCACCCAGATTTATAAAGCAAGTCCTTAGAGCCCTACAAAGAGACTTAGACTCCCACACAATAATAATGGGAGAGTTTAACACCCCACTGTCAATATTAGACACATCAAGGAGACAGAAGGTTAACAAGGATATCCAGGACTTGAACTCAACTCTGCACCAAGCAGACCTAATAGAAATCTACAGAACTCTCCACCCCAAATCAACAGAATATACATCATTCTCAGCACTACATCACACTTATTCCAAAACTGACCACATAATTGGAAGTAAAGCACTCCTCAGGAAATGTAAAATAACAGAAATCACAACAAACTCTCAGACCACAGTGCAATCAAATTAGAACTCAGGATGAAGAAACTCACTCAAAACTGCACAACTACATGGAAACTGAACAACCTGCTCATGGATGACTACTGGGTACATAACGAAATGAAGGCAGAAATAAAGATGTTCTTTGAAACCAATAAGAACAAAGACACAACATACCAGAATCTCTGGGACACATTTAAGGCAGTGTGTAGAGGGAAATTTATAGCACTAAATGCCCAGAAGAGAAAGCAGGAAAGATCTAAAATTGACACCCTAACATCACAATGAAAATAACCAGAGAGGCCAGAGCAAACAAATTCAAAAGCTAGCAGAAGGCAAGAAACAATTAAGATCAGAGTAGAACTGAAGGAGATAGAGACATAAAAACCCTTCAAAAAATCAGTGAATCCAGAAGCTGTTTTTTGAAAAGATCAACAAAATTGATAGACCACTAGCAAGACAAATAAAGAAGAAAAGAGAGAAGAATCAAATAGACACAATAAAAAATGATAAAGGGGATATCACCACCGATCCCACAGAAATACAAACTACCATCAGAGAACACTATAAACACCTCTACTCAAATAAACTAGAAAATCTAGAAGAAATGGATAAATTCCTGGAAAAATACACCCTCCCAAGGCTAAACCAGGAAGAAGTTGAATCGCTGAATAGACTAATAACAGGCTCTGAAATTGAGGCAACAATTAATAACCTACCAACCAAAAAAATTCCAGGACCAGATGGATTCACAGCTGAATTCTACCAGAGGTACAAAGAGGAGGTGGTACCATCACTTCTGAAACTATTCCAATCAATAGAAAAAGAGGGAATCCTCTCTAACTCATTTTATGAGACCAGCATCATCCTGATAACAAAGCCTTGCAGAGACACAACAAACAAAGAGAATTTTAGACCAATATCCCTGATGAACATTGATGCAAAAATCCCCAATAAAATACTGGCAAACCAAATCCAGCAGCACATCAAAAAGCTTATCCACCAAGATGAAGTTGATTTCATCCCTGGGGTGCAAGGCTATTTCAACATATGCAAATCAATAAACGTAATCCGTCACATAAACAGAACCGAAGACAAAAACCACATGATTATCTCAATATGTGCAAAAAAGGTTTTGACAAAAGTCAACAGCCCTTCATGCTAAAAACTCCCAATAAACTAGGTATTGATGGAACATATCTGAAAATAAGAGCTATTTATGACAAACCCACAGCCAATATCATACTGAATGGGCAAAAACTGGAAGCATTCCCTTTGAAAACTGTCACAAGAAAAGGATGCCCTCTCTCACCACTCCTATTTAACATAGTGTTGGAAGTTCTGGCCAGGGCAATCAGGCAAGATAAAGAAATAAAGTGTATTCCATCAGGAAAAGAGGAAGCCAATTGTCCCTGTTTGCAGATGACATGATTGTATATTTAGAAAACCCCATCGTCTCAGCCGAAAATCTTAAGCTGATAAGCAACTTCAGCAAAGTCTCAGGATACAAAATCAATGTACAAAAATCACAAGCATTCTTACACACCAATAACAGACAAACAGAGAAACAAATCATGAATGAACTCCCATTCACAATTGCTACAAAGAGAATAAAATACCTAGGAGTCCAACTTACAAAGGATGTGAAGGACCTCTTCAAGGAGAACTACAAACCACTGCTTAATAAAACGAAAGAGGACACAAACAAAAGGAAGGATATTCCATGCTCATGGATAGGAATAATCAATATTGTGAAAATGGCCATACTACCCAAGGTAATTTATAGATTCAATGCCTCCCCAGTCAAGCTACCAATGACTTTCTTCACAGAATTGGAAAAAACTACTTTAAAGTTCATATGGAACCAAAAAAAGAGCCTGCATTACCAAGTCAATCCTAAGCCAAAAGAACAAAGCTGGAGGCATCACGCTACCTGACTTCAAACTATACTAAAAGGCTACAGTAACCAAAACAGCATGGTTCTCATAACAAAACAGAGATATACACTAATGGAACAGAACAGAAGCCTCAGAAATAACACCACACATCTACAATCATCTGATCTTTAAAAACCTGACAGAAACAAGACATGGGGAAAAGATTTCCTATTTAATAAATGGTGCTGGGAAAACTGGCTAGCCATATGTAGAAAGCTGAAACTGGATGCCTTATTTACACTTTATACAAAAATTGATTCTACATGGATTAAAGACTTAAATGTTAGACCTAAAACCATAAAAATCCCTAGAAGAAAACCTAGGCAATATCATTCAGGACATAGGCATGGGCAAGTACTTCATGACTAAAACACCAAAAGCAATGGCAACAAAAGCCAAAATAGACACATGGCATCTAATTAAACTAAAGAGCTTTTGCACAGCAAACGAAACTACCATGAGAGTGAACAGGCAACCTACAGAATGGGAGAAAATTTTTGCAATCTACTCATCTGATAAAGGGCTAATATCCAGAATATACAAGGAACTCAAACAAATTTACAAGAAAAACCAAACAACCCCATCAAAAAGTGGGCAAAGGATATGAACAGATACTTTTCAAAAGAAGACGTTTATGCAACCAACAGACACATGAGAAAATACTCATCATCACTGGCCATCAGAGAAATGCAACTCAAAACCACAATGAGATACCATCTCACACCAGTTAGAATGGCAATCATTAAAAAGTCAGGAAACAACAGGTGCTGGAGAGGATTTGGAGAAATAGGAACACTTTTACATTGTTAGTGGGACTGTAAACTAGTTCAATCATGTGGAAGACAGTGTGGTGATTCCTCAAGTATTTAGAACTAGAAATACAATTTGACCCAGCCATCCCATTACTGGGTATATACCTGAAGGATTATAAATCATGCTACTATAAAGACACATGTATATGTATGTTTATTGCAGCACTATTCACAACAGCAAAGACTTGGAACCAAACCAAATGTCCATCAATGATAGACTAGATTAAGCAAATGAGGCACATATACACCACGGAATACTGTGCAGCCATAAAAAAATGATGAGTTCATGTCCTTTGTAGGGACATGGATGAAGCCAGAAACCATCATTCTGAGCAAACTACCACAAGGACAGGAAACCAAACACCGCATATTTTCACTCATAGGTGGGAATTTAACAATGAGAACACTTGGACACAAGGCAGGGAACATCACACACTGGGTCCTGTCGTGGAGTGGGAGTTGGAGGAGGGATAGCATTAGGAGGAATACCTAATGTAAATGGTGAGTTAATGGGTGCAAGAAACGAACACGGCACAATTATACAAGCACATGTATACATATGTAACAAATCTGCACGTTGTGCAAATGTACTCTAGAACTTAAAGTATAATTTAAAAAAAGAGGGAGAGAAAAAAAGAAAGTTACTCTGAAAAAAAAAGAATTCCATTGGGAGATCATCATGGCTGACCACAGACATTCTAATGGGAGAGATACCTGGCCAACTGCAGGCATTCTAACAGGGGAGACACCTAACTGAACTCAGGCATTCTAAAGGGAGAAAAACCTGGCCAGCCACATTCATTCTAACAGGAGTGACACCTGGCCGACCTCAGGCATTCTGGGAGAGAGACATTTGGCCGACCTCATTTATTCTAAACAGAAAGACGTGTGGCCGACTTTAGGAATTTTAACAAAAGAGACACCTGGCCTACCTCAGGCATTATAACACAAGAGACACTCCTGGCTGACCTCAGGCATTCTAATGAGAGTGACACCTGGCTGACCTCATTCATTTTACCTGGAGAGACTCCTGGCCAAATTTGGGCATTCTAATGGGAAAGACACCTTGCTGATCTCTGGCATTCTAATGGGAGAGACAGCTGGCGGCTTCATTCTAACAGGAGAGACACCTGGCCAACCACAAACATTCTAAGGAGAGAGACACCTGGCCAACCTCAGGCATTTTAACAAGAGAGACAACTGGTCGACCTCAGGCATTCCAAGAGGAGGATCTCTTGGCTGTACTCAGGCATTCTGATTGGAGAGACTCCTGGCCGATCTCAGGAATTCTAATAGAAGAGACACCAGGCTGACCTCATTCATTCTAATGGGATTAACTCCTGCCCAACCTCAGGCATTCTAACAGAGAAACCTGGGCAACCGCAGGCATTCTAAGGGGAGAGCCTCCTGGCTAACCTCAGGCATTCTATGGGAAGAGACCCCTGGCAGAACTCAAGCATTCTAATGGAAGAGACTCCTTGTCAACCTCAGGCATTCTAAAAGGAGAGTCTCCTGGTTGTCCTCAGGCATTCTAACTGGAGAGACGACTGGCCGACCTCAGGAAGTCTTGGGAGAGACTTCCTGCTGACTTCAGACATTCTAATGGGAGAGAATCCTGGCTGACCTCAGGCATCCTAAGGGAAGAGACACCTGGCCGACCTCAGGCATTGTAATGGGAGAGACACCTGGCTAACCTCAGGCATTCTAAGGGAAGGGACTCCTGGCTGACCTCAAGAATTCTGAGTGGAGAAACATCTGCCCTACATCTGGCATTCTAAAGGGAGGGACTCCTGGCCGACCTCAGGCATTCTAACGATAGACTCCTGGCTGACCTGAGACATTCTGAGAGGAGAGACTCCTGGCCGAGCTCAGGCATTCTAAGGGGAGAGACTCCTGACCGACCTCAGGTATTCTGAGTGGAGAGACACATGTCATATATCAGGCATTCTAAGGGGAGAATCTCCTGGTAAATCTCAGGCATTCTAATGGTAGAGACTCCTGGCTAACCTCAGACATTCTGAAGTGAGAGACTCCTGGCCGACCTCAGACATTCTAATGGGAGAGACACCTAGCTGACCTCGGGCATTCTAAGGGGAGAGACATCTGGCCAACCTGATTCATTCTAATGGTAGAGACACCTGGCCGAACACAGGCATTCTAAGGGGAGAGCCACCTGGCCGACCACAGGCATTTTAAGGAGAAAGATACCTGGCCGACCTCAGGCATTCTAACGAGTGTGTCTCCTGGCCGACCTCAGGCATTCTGACGAGGGACAACTGGCCAACCTCAGGGATTCCAACAGGGCAGACACAACGTTGACGTCATTCATCCTAACTGGTGAAACTCCTGTCAAACCTCAGGCATTCTAATGAAAGAGACACCTGGCCAACCTCAGACATTCTAACACAAGAGACACTTGGCCAACCTTAGGCATTCTAAGGGGAGAGTCTCCTGGCCAATCCCAGGCACTTGAGAGAAACAGCTGGCTGACCTCAGGCATTCTAATGGGAGTGAGTCCTAGCTGACCTCAGGCATTCTAAGAAGACATGCTCCTGGCCGAATTCAGGCATTGAAATGGGAGAGATTCCTGGCTGTCCTCCGGTATGCTAAGGGGAGAAAGACCTGGCTGACCTCAGGCATTCTAAGGGGAGAAACACCCGGCTGACATCAGGCATTCTAATGGGAGAGACATCTGGCTGAACTCAAGGATTCTAATGGGAGAGACAGCTGGCCAATCTCTGACATTCAAACAGGAGGATCTCCTGTCCGACCTCACACATTCTGAGTTGAGAGATACCTGACCAACCTCAGGTCTTCTAAAGAAAGAGACACCTGGCCGACCTCAAGCATTCTAATGGGAGAGACACCTGGCCAACCTCATTCATTCTACTGGAAGAGATACCTGGCCAACCTCAGGCATTCTAAGAGGAGAGATACCTGGCCGACCTGTTCATACTAAGAGGAGAGATTCCTGGCTTACCACAACCATTCTCACAGGAGAGTCCTGGCCGATCTCAGGCATTCTAATGGGAGAAACTCCTGGTTGAATTCAGGCTTTCTAATGGGGAGACATCAAGCCAACTTCATTCTTTGTAATGGCAGATACACCTGGCCGATCTCAAACATTCTAGTGAAAGAGACACCTGGCTGACCTCAGGCATTGTAAGGGGAGGGGTCCCTGGCCGACATCAGGTATTCTGAGTGGAAAGACACCTGCCCTATCTCAGGCATTCTAAGGGGAGTCTCCTGGTCGACCACAGGCATTCTAACCATAGAGAGTCTTTGTCGACCTCAGGCATTCTGAGAGGAGAGTCTCCTGGCCAATCTGATTCATTCTGATGGGACAGACACCTGTCTGACCACAGATATTCTAAGGGGAGAAACACTGGCCAAACACAGGCATTCTAATGAGAAAGACACCTGGCCAACCTCAGGCATTCAAAGGGAGAGTCTCCTGGTGGACCTCATTCATTTTGATGGGAGAGACACCAGGCTGACCTCATTTATCTTAATGGTAGGCACCTGTCCGACCATCGTCATTCTAATGGGAGAGACTCCTGGCCGACCTCAGGCATTCTAACATGAGACACCTGGCCGACCTCAGGCATTCTAAAGGGAGTGTCTCCTAGGCGATCACAGCCATTCTATGGGTAGAGACACCTGGTCTACCTCAGGGATTCTAATGAGAGAAACAACTGGCCAACCTCAGGTTTTCTAACAGAGACTCTTGGCCAACTTCGGGCATTCAAAAGATTGAGACTACTGGCCAACCTCAGGCATTCTAATGGGGGAGAAATGTGGCAGACCTCAGGCATTCTAACGTGAGAGTCTTCTGGATGACCTCAGGCATTCTAAGGGGAGAGACACCTGGCCAACCTCAGGCATTATAATGGAAAGGACTCCTGGCCTAACTCAGGGATTCTAATGGGAGAGACAGCCAGATGATCTCCATCATTCTAAGGGGAGGAACTCCTGGCTGACATCAGGCATTCTGAGGGGAGAGTCTCCTGTCCAAATTCAGGCATTCTGAGTGGATAGACACCTGACCAACATCAGGCATCTAAGGATAGGGACACCTGGCTGAACTCAAGCATTCTAAGGGGAGAGACACCTGGTTGACCTCATTCATTCTATTGAAAGAGATACCTGGCCAACCTCAGGTATTATAAGGGGAGAGACGCATGGCTGACCTCATCCATACTAAGAGGAAAGGCTCCTGGCTTACCTCAAGTATTCTTTTTTTATTTTTTTTTCCTTTTTTCATATATATATATATATATATATATATATATATATATATTTTTTTTTATTATACTTTAAGTTCTAGGGTACATGTGCACAACCTGCAGGTTTGTTACATATATATACATGTGCCATGTTGGTATGCTGCACCCATTAACTCGTCATTTACATTAGGTATATCTCCTAATGCTATCCCTCCCCCCTCCTCCCACCCCATAACAGGCCCCGGTGTGTGATGTTCCCCTTACTGTGTCCAAGTGTTCTCATTGTTCAATTCCCACCTATGAGTGAGAACATGCGGTGTTTGGTTTTTTGTCCTTGCAATAGTTTGCTGAGAATTATGGTTTCCAGCTTCATCCATGTCCCTACAAAGGACATGAAGTCATCATTTTTTATGGCTACATAGTATTCCATGGTGTATATGTGCCACATTTTCTTAATCTAGTCTATCATTGTTGGACATTTGGGTTGGTTCCAAGTCTTTGCTATTGTGAATAGTGCTGCAATAAACATACGTGTGCATGTGTCTTTATAGCAGCATGATTTATATTCCTTTGGGTATATACTCAGTAATGGGATGGCTGGGTCAAATGGTATTTCTAGTTCTAGATCCCTGAGGAATCGCCACACTGTCTTCCACAATGGTTAAACTAGTTTACAGTCCCACCAGCAGTGTAAAAGTGTTCCTATTTCTCTAAATCCTCTCCAGCACCTGTTACTTCCTGACTTTTTAATGATTGTCATTCTAACTGGTGCGAGATGATATCTCATTGTGGTTTTGATTTGCATTTCTCTGATGGCCAGTGATGATGAGCATTTTTTCATGTGTCTGTTGGCTGCATAAATGTCTTCATTTGAGAAGTGTCTGTTCGTATCCTTTGCCCACTTTTTGATGGGGTTGTTTGTTTTTTTCTTGTAAACTTGTTTGAGTTCTTTGTAGATTCTGGATATTAGACCTTTGTCAGATGGGTAGATTGCAAAAATTTTCTCCCATTCTGTAGGTTGCCTGTTCACTCTGATGGTAGTTTCTTTTGCTGTGCAGAAGCTCTTTAGTTTAATTAGATCCCATTTGTCAATTTTGGCTTTTGTTGCCTTTGCTTTTGGTGTTTTAGACATGAAGTCCTTGCCCATGCCTATGTCGTGAATGGTATTGCCTAGGTTTTCTTCTAGGGTTTTTATGGTTTCAGTTCCAAAATTTAAGTCTTTAATCCATCTTGAATTAATTTTTGTATAAAGTGTAAGGAAGGGATCCAGTTTCAGCTTTCTACATATGGCTAGCCAGTTTTCCCAGCACCATTTGTTAAATAGAGAATTGTTTCCCCATTTCTTGTTTTTGTCAGGTTTGTCAAAGCTCAGATAGTTGTAGGTGTGTGGTATTATTTCTGAGGCCTCTGTTCTGTTCCATTGGTCTATATCTCTGTTTTGGTACCAGTACCATGCTGTTTTGGTTACCGTAGCCTTGTAGTATAGTTTGAAGTCAGGTAGCGTGATGCCTCCAGCTTTGTTCTTTTGGCTTAGGATTGACTTGGTAATGCAGGCTCTTTTTTGGTTCCATATGAGCTTTAAAGTAGTTTTTTTCCAATTCTGTGAAGAAAGTCATTGGTAGCTTGATGGGGATGGCATTGAATCTATAAATTACCTTGGGCAGTATGGCCATTTTCAAAATATTGATTCTTCCTATCCGTGAGTATGGAATGTTCTTCCATTTGTTTGTGTCCTCTTTCATTTTATTAAGCAGTGGTTTGTAGTTCTCCTTGAAAAGGTCCTTCATATCCCTTGTAAGTTGGATTCCTAGGTATTTTATTCTCTTTGAAGCAATTGTGAATGGGAGTTCACTCATGATTTGGCTCTCCGTTTGTCTGTTATTGGTGTGTAGGAAAGCTTGTGATTTTTGCACATTGATTTTGTATCCTGAGACTTTGCTGAAGTTGCTTATCAGCTTAAGGAGATTTTCGGCTGAGACGATGGGGTTTTCTAGATATACAATCATGTCATCTGCAAACAGGGACAATTTGACTTCCTCTTTTCCTAATTGAATACACTTTATTTCTTTCTCCTGCCTGATTGCCCTGGCCAGAACTTCCAACACTATGTTCAATAGGAGTGGTGAGAGAGGGCATCCCTGTCTTGTGCCAGTTTTCAAAGGGAATGCTTCCAGTTTTTGCCCATTCAGTATGATATTGGCTGTGGGTTTGTCATAAATAGCTCTTATTATTTTGAGATACATCCCATCAATACCTACTTTATTGAGAGTTTTTAGCATGAAGGGCTGTTGAATTTTGCTGAAGGCCTTTCCTGCATCTATTGAGATAATCATGTGGTTTTCATCTTTGGTTCTGTTATATACTGGATTACGTTTATTGATTTGCGTATGTTGAACCAGCCTTGCATCCCAGGGATGAAGCCCACTTGAACATGGTGGATAAGCTTTGTGATGTGCTGCTGGATTCTGTTTGCCAGTGTTTTATTGAGGATTTTTGCATCGATGTTCATCAGGGATATTGGTCTAAAATTCTCTTTTTTGGTTGTGTCTCTGCCAGGCTTTGGTATCAGGATGATGCTGGCCTCACAGCATGAGTTAAGGATGATTCCCTCTTTTTCTATTGATTGGAATAGTTTCAGAAGGAATGGTACCAGCTCCTCCTTGTACCTCTGGTAGAATTCGGCTGTGAATCCGTCTGGTCCTGGACTTTTTTTGATTGATAAGCTATTAATTATTTCTTCAATTTTGGAGCCTGTTATTGGTCTATTCAGAGATTCAACTTCTTCCTGGTTTAGCCTTGGGAGGGTGTATGTGTCGAAGAATTTATCCATTTCTTCTCGATTTTCTAGTTTATTTGCATAGAGGTGTTTATAGTATTCTCTGATGGTAGTTTGTATTCCTGTGGTATCAGTGGTGATATCCCCTTTATCATTTTTTATTGCATCTATTTGATTCTTCTCTCTTTTCTTCTTTATTAGTCTTGCTAGCGGTCTATCAATTTTGTTGATCTTTAAAAAAAAAACAGCTCCTGGATTCATTGATTTTTTGAAGGGGTTTTTGTGTCTCTATCTCCTTCAGTTCTGCTCTGATCTTAGTTATTTCTCGCCTTCTGCTAGCTTTTGAATGTGTTTGCTCTTGCTTCTCTAGTTCTTTTAATTGTGATGTTAGGGTGTCAATTTTAGATCTTTCCTGCTTTCTCTTGTGGGCATTTAGTGCTATAAATTACCCTCTACACACTGCTTTAAATGTGTCCCAGAGATTCTGGCATGTTGTGTCTTTGTTCTCGTTGGTTTCAAAGAACATCTTTATTTCTGCCTTCATTTCGTTATGTACCCAGTAGTCATTCAGGAGCAGGTTGTTCAGTTTCCATGTAGCTGAGCGGTTTTGAGTGAGTTTCTTAATCCTGATTTCTAGTTTGATTGCACTGTGGTCAGAGAGACA